>NC_000017.11:45685980-46310980 GCF_000001405.40 Homo sapiens
CCAGATAGAACTTCATAAGACAAAACATCAAATTCCTTCCTTCCCCTCTCTTAGTAATGGTCCGCCCTATTTAATCCTGGGATGTGAGTTCTTTTGGTGATGGGGGTTTGCTGAATTGATAGGGAATGGTGCCAGTGGTTATGTCCGAGTGGCATTGAACCATAGAAACATTTCTGAATGTTTCTTCTATTTCTATCCCCTAATCTTTTCATGCCACTAGGCATGTGAGGCCAACATGGCCTTCTAAGCTTCTACAGTCAGCCTGGCTGCCACTGTCCCTGCATGATTTTGGCGACTCTAAGGAAGTCCCAGAGACCAAGGAGAGTCCAGTCTTGTGGTCCTGGCCAGAACTGAAATTTCACCATTGACTTTGTCATCGTGCTGTGTGCTTCTCCAAACCACAAGGGTTCCTCCTGCTTCCGGGGGCCTCAGCTCTATCCTTGCAGCTCTCGTGAGCCTCAAGTTCTCATGCAGTTTTCAGATTAGGTGGTTCCAGGAACTCACACCTATCTCCTTTCTCCTGTGCCATTGTCAGAGATGACAGCAGATCATGTTCCACAGTGGGAATGGCCAGTTAACATATGCAACACTTCCCTTTGAAAGCACCTTAAGTGGAGAATTCTAGAAAATAAACCAGGCTGGGCATGATGGCTCATGCCTATAATCCCAGCACTTTGGGAGGCCGAGGTGAGAGGCTGCCGAGGTGAGAGGCTCACGAGGTCAGGAGTTTGAGACCAGCCTGACCAACATGGTGAAACCCTGTCTCTACTAAGAATACAAAAATTAGCTGGGCATGGCGGCACACACCTGAAATCCCAGCTACTCAGGAGGCTGAGGCCGGAGAATTGCTAGAACCCGGGAGGCGAAAGTTGCAGTGAGCTGAGATCATACCACTGCACTCCAGTCTGGGTGACAGCAAGACTCCATCTCAAAAAAAAAAAAAAAAAAAAAAAAGAGAGAAAAAAACTTGCCCACTTTCATCAATCTTGGAAGCTCAGACCTTAGTAAAATTTATTTATTTCAAAGAAGGTGCAATAAAATTGTTCAAGCCCACTTGGAAATCCATTGTAAGAGGTGCTGGCATTTTGAAAAATCATTTTGCTGATTGCGAGAGTAATACATGCTCATTGCAAATAATTAAGAAAATACAAAAAGGTACATAGAAATAAAATCTCCCAAGATGTTACCTCTCAGAAATAACCATTATTAGCATTTAATATGCCACTCCTTTTTCTGTGCACAGCAATTTATAAAATTACATGGTACTTTATCTACAATTTTTCATCTTGCTTTTTTCACCTTAAACAACCAGAACATTCTTCCATGTCATCGTCTACTCTTCAAAAACACCGTTTTAATGACTACATAATATTTCATTGTCTGGTTGTACCAGGATTTATTTAGCCAGTTCTCTATTTGCAGGCTTCTAGGAGGTTTCTTATTTTTCATGATTATAAATGATGCTGCAGTGAATATTCTTGTCCAGGAAATCTTTATCTGGGTTTCTGATAATTTCCTTAGAAGAGATTCCAAGAAGGGAAATTGTGGAGTCTCAATTCTGCTGGGTGTTACCTGTCTCCTATGGATGCTCAGAAAGGCGGAGTGGCTCCTGTTACCCTGAGTGGGTAGCATTTCCTGCCGCTAAGGCCTCCTAAAGGCCTAGACCACACAATTTTTATTCCTGCTGGGGAGAGATGGAAAAGGGGCCCCTGAGCCTCCCCAGACAGATCCCAACTACTCACCTGAACCTGCTCCGTACAAAGCAGAGCATCCCCCTGCAGGACTCATTTCATAATTAACTTAGAGACTAAAGCATATTTAATTAACCATGGAAACCCTCCCAGCCATCTGCCTCTGTTTTTATTTTGAGGAAAATGGCAGATTTTTTTTTTTTTCCTTAACTCCCTCTTTTTGGGGATGGAGCTCATTTCCAGCATCTTGGTTCTTGTATAGAGCTGGGTCCTCTCCCCTGCTGATGGCCACTCCAGAGTGTCAGAGTCAGGGGTTAGCTTGAGGTGGGAGGCTGGGTGAGAGGTTGCACAAGGGCCTGGGCTTGGCCTCTAAGGCCAAGTCCCTGCCTGGGGTGAGCTCAGCCAGGCAAAGGTGGCACCCATGCACTACAGTGTGGACCTTCAAGGACCTAGCCTCAGACTCTTGGCTGCTGTCCTAAACTTACAGGGCTGCAGAGAGGGGCAGAGCTCAGAGAAAGAAGCCAACACTCTCATTCCACAGGTGAGGAAACTGAGGCCCAGACAGGCTCCAGGTCAAGCCTGAGCACAGAGATTTTCAGGCCCCTTGTTTGCTTCTTTGTTGTAGCCTCAAAGGAGTGGGGACGGCTTTGATTTCACTGCACTCCAAGGTCAGGGGATTTAAACGGAGTTCTGGGGGCTGTAACAGCCCACAATGTTGGAGCACTTTGAAATGTGCAAAACGCGTTTGCAGATCACATCTCGCTGAATACTCAACCCAGGCTCCAGAGACTCCGGGGTCACGTGACATGCATATAGTCACACAGCTGGTGAGTGTTGAGGCTGTGATGGAAACGAGAAGTGCTTTGGTCTGAATTCCCAATGTAGCAGAATGGCTTTTGTTCTCACAGTATTCGTCAGAGGCCCTGGACTGGGAACTCATAGCGGAAAGGCCTGAAGGAATATTAGTCCAGTTATTTCTAGTGACATCACCTCCTCCAGGAACCTTTCCTGGGCTATCGCCCCAGGCTGAGTTGGGAGGGAGGGCTGGATCTCTGACCTTTTATCAACCCCCACACACCACAGCATTATACCCTAGGGCGCAATACTTCATGCTATACTCCAGGTTCTAGCAAAGGGTCTGGCTTATACTAGTTGATCAGTAAGTGGTATTGAATTGAATGAGATCAAATGTGGACGCCGGTGTAATTGCTTCAGCGCCTCACTTTTCCTTCCCTCAGGAGGTCATCTGAGAGCTCTCTCGGGGTGGATGTCACATGTGCTTTGGGATGGTCCCCAAGGGCTGCCATATGGACCGATCTATGTGCCAGGCTGGCCATGTGCCCCGGATCCTGGAGCTGTCAGAAGGGCTGGAGATCTAGCCCACAGACCCCGGCCAGGTAGCATCACCTTTAATAGATGTGTGGCCAGGCCTGGCAGGGGACTGGGGACATCTGCCACCTGTGCTTTTAGTAAATCATGCCCACCCTCTGAGACTCATTTGCTCCTCTATCAGATGAAGGCAATTTGATTGGACCCTTCCAGCCCTGATGATCCATGTCCTATGACTTTATAATGTCCCCAGGCAGGGGCCAGGAGTGGCAGAGAACCAATCCTCCCTCCCAAATCAGTTTTGGGGGTTAGTCCAGGAAAGCTTTCTGGAAGAGGAGATCTTAGAAATAACTGGACTAATGTTCCATTGGACCTTTCCTCTGTGAGCTCCCAGTTCAGGACCTCTGATAGGGACCAGGGCAAAAAGACGGAGAGTCAACTCCAGCCAGAAGTCAGAAAGCTGGAGCTGCTAACCAAGCTAAAATGTATCCTGCATAGAAAAGACAGTAAAGTACCAGGTTTCCTGGAGCCACTTTAATGTTCCTGCCAGGCTGAAAATCTCTCTCCTTTTAAGATATAAAAGATTTGCTCCCTGACACTCATCTTCAATCATTTTCTGTCTCTCTTCAGCCACTACAGCCTGCATTGAAGGCGAGGGAATCCACGGTGATGAATTAGGCATCTGTAGATATTTCTCCAGAGCTGCATCTGTTAAACCCAAAGCAGGTCTTGGCTCCACTGAAATCAAATTCAACATGAAAAGCCCTCAATGTGGAGCCCTGGGGCACCCCCAGCCCAGAGCCACGCTGCAGCCTCCCCCTGATCCCCGCTCCGTGGCACATCGCACATCACATGGGCCACCTATTCTGTAAATTACTGTAAAATTCTAGTAGAGAACTTATCTTTTTTCCTATCAAGAGAATGACCTACAGAATGAAAAAATAATTCAATGGAGGAAGATGAAAGTAAAATGCAGCTTCATTCAGGGAGCTTTTGGGAGAGAAAAATAGAAAATGCCTCTGTCATTTGCTTTTAAAAATCAAGAATGGGGAGCATGTAACTCTCTCCAGTAAATACAACTAGTAATACAAATGCTCTTTAGTTGTATGCTGTGGCCGGTTCTTGGAGAGAGGCTGAAGGGGAAGGAGGAGGAAGGGGCTCAAGAAGTAGGACAGGGGGAGAGAAGCAGCCAGAAACAGGTGACTAGAAAGAAGGAAAAAAAAATCAAAACTCCGTAAAAGAGAGGGCATGAATGACAGTCGCAGGCAAAGCAACACAAAAATACAGACAAAGAGAAGCATGCACACATCACAGCCCAGCCACTTGATAGGAGAGAGACGGAGATGGGGAGGCTAGAGGAAGAGAAGCAGACACAGAGAGGGACATGGGAGGGAGACAGGCGAAGATGGGCTCAGCAAGCAATACAGCTATTTAAAAACAACCAACACCACAATCGAGGCTTGTTTTTGTTTTTAAAGAAGCAAACATTATCAGAATTATGTTTTCCCAGCATTACTTTTTAATGTGTTTGCATTCCTGTCCAACTTTGAGAAGCTCAGGCATTCTTAAAAATCCATTCTCCTCATTTGCCACCCAGAGAACTCCTCGTTAACAGTTCCCGGCAAGGAGATCTCACACCTCGTGCTGTAACCTTTTCAGATGATGCCGCTGAAAACCTTAAAGTACTGTTGTGTTTTCACAGTGCTGTTGTGTTTTCACGTGGTCACACCTCTCTGTGCAGCTCTATGGGTGCCTTTTGCTCAACCCCATCCCGCCTTTGCAGAGACCACAGATTCAGAATCGAGGATGATCCAGCCAGGGCCAGAGCTGACCATTCCATGCTGCTTGGTGACAAGGTTTGCTCAGCAAATAAGTAATGAAAATAAGATGACAGCGGATGTGTAGAATGAATGAAAAGAAGGAGTGCCAGGCCCTCCAGCCGCATCATACCCAGTAAAAGCTTCCCAAACCTGCCAAGCGCTCTCGCACCTCGCTGCCAGAAACTCCTCTTTCCTCCCCTGCCTCTGCTGTGGGAAACCCTTCCCACCCATCGTTCATCAATCAATTCATTGTATTAAGCATCTCCTCTGGGAATTTTTTCCCAACCCTCCTCCTCCCTGGGGGTTAATCGTTCCTTCATTTGGCTTCCTGTCTTGCTACCTCTGCCGTAGGTCTTAGCATATTTCATTAGAGCAAGATTTCTCAACCTTGCCCTGTTATTTTGGGCCAGATACTGCTTTGTTGGAGGGCAGGGAGGGGCTGTCCTGTGCACTGCAGCTTTAGCAGCATCCCTCTCCTCTGCCCACTGGATGCCAGCAGCCCCACTCCCCTGGTCGCAACTACCAAAACAATCTCCAGCCGTTGCCAGATATCCCTCAAATCACACCCAAAGACACCAAGTGAGAGCAGTTGTTGGGGGTGTCAGCCTCAGAGACAGTGTGGCCTCTGGAGTCTCAGTGTTAGAACAGTGGATGGCATAGAGGAAGCACCTGGATTCTGTAGAAGAAGAATCCGGATGCTTGGACTCTGCCCGTGGGTGGGTAGATAATGAACTGGCCAGTTGCACACGAGCCATGTTGATCGTTGAAACAGGAGTGTTGGTGCATTAGGTCCAAAAGCAAATCCACCAGTCTATTGAATGATGTGTGGGAGACACAAGGAATAAGAAAGAAAGCATCTCTGTTTAAGGCTTTTGTGATCTAGTTCATCAGAAAAGGCCTGTAGCCACGGGACGCTGATGTAAGAATAACGGGCAGTTTGTAATGAGTTCTGAAGCAGTGCAGGTTCCTCTACATGGGTTTAGGTATTTAGAAAAGGGGAAGCCAGGGTGGGCTACTTTTCCTGTGGAGGGCCTAGGGGGCTCCATGGAACTTGACCAGGGCCTTTAAAGATGGGATGGACTTGAGGTTGCGGGGTGAGTGTGGTGTGGCTTACAGCAGAAAGTGTTTACTCCAAGGGGCAGATCCAGCCAGGCCCATAAGTTGGGTCTTGATGCTAGGAGGCCAAGTCTCTTCAAATATGTCCTGAACAGCCTGCAGCAGGGTCGCCTGGGGTTGCTGGTCATAAATGCAGATTCCTGAACCCCCCAGGCTTAGTGACTTGCTATCCCTGGGGTGGGCCCAGGACCCTATTCTGTTTTTTTCACATGCCCCGCCACCCAGCTGATTCTGATGCTCTGTGAAGTTTGAGACCCATTTCCTTGTGGTTGGTGGGGAGTGATTGAACAGTCCTGGTAATAAACTTGGCCTTCCATTGTGTGTAGCCTGTAGGGTTGACTTGGTCCAGCAGAGCAGTTAAGTACACAGGTTGTAGTGCCAGGCTGCCAGGGTGCAAATCTTGGTCCTGTCATTTCTAGCTGTGCAACCTTGGGCCAGTCACTTGAAATCTCTGTGCCTCAAACTTTTCATCCATAATATGGGGTTAACAAGTCCCTACCTCACAAGATATTTGGGAAAATTAAATTAAGTCAAACATATAAATGCTTAGCATGGAGCCTGGCAGATAGTAAACACTCACTCATAAATATAAGTCATCACCATCATCATTATTTTAGCATTTGAGGCTTGCAAAGAGTTTGACAAAGCTGAAGTCTCCTTTATTAAAAATGTGGTCTGTCATCCATGGCCCTCCTCTGCTCCCCTCAGCTTGCCTCTAGTTCCTCCAAAACCTGAAGTTTAATTGCCTGAGCCCTTCTCCAGGAGGAAGATGGACCCTGAGGTGCTCTGAGTGGAGGAGCAGTGTTGGGACGAACAAGGGAGTGTCCCTGGCAGTGTCAGGCCCCTCCCAGTCTTTGGCTCGGAGAGGAAACACTTCTTGCCTCCCCAGCCCTGGGATGGACATATTGGAGGCCCAGAACATCCTTTTGCCACTACCAGATGGCCGTGCCACTCCTCAGCAAGTCTCTCCCAGAGGGAGGCCTGAGCCAGGGCAGAAAAGAGGGAAGAGCAGAAAACAGCTCCGTCTGTGGCAGATGCCATACCCCAGTCTTCTGGTTTTTTGTTTTGTTTTTATATATTTATTTATTTTTTTTTTGAGACAGGGACTCACTCTGTCTCCCAGGCTGGAGTGCAGTGGCATGAACTCGGCTCACTGCAACTTCTGCCTCCCAGGTTCAAGTGATTCTCTCACCTCAGCCTCTTGAGTAGCTGGGACTACAGACGTGCACCACCATGCCTGGCTAATTTTTGTATTTTTAGTACAGATAGGATTTCACCATGTTGTCCAGGCTAGTCTCAAACTCCTGACCTCAAGTGACCCACCCGCCTCGGCCTCCCAAAGTGCTGGGATTACAGGCATGAGCCACCACACCCGGCCCATATCCCAGCCTTCTAAGAGTATAATGTGGCGTTCAAAACCTGGCACACATGCCTTCCTTAGAGTCTTACAATGACCCCAGGAAGTGGGTGGGGAGGCCTTGCCCACCCATTTACAAAAATAACAGCTTTTTGGAGATAAAATTTACATACCATAAAATTCATCCTTTTGAAGTATACAATTCAATGGCTTATAGTATATTCACGGAGTTGTGCAGCCGTCTCCTCTAGCCAATTTTAGAACATTTCATCACCCCCTAAAAAGAACATTTTAATCACTCCCATTTCCCCCTCCTTCCAGCCCTTGACAACCACGAATGTCTTCTCTGTCTCTATGGATTTGCCCACTCTGGACATTTCATATACAAATGGATTCATGCAATATGTGGACATTTGTGTCTGGATTCCTTCACTCAGCACAGTGTTTTCAAGGTTCATACATGTCGTACCATGTGTCGGTATTTTTGTTCCTTTTCTTTTTAGTACTTTATTCCTTTTTATGGTTAAGTAATATTCTGTTGTATGGACATATGACATTTTGTTTATCCATGCATCTGTTGATGGACATTTGGGTTCTTTAAACTTTTTGGCTATTATGGATAATGCTGCTATGAACATTCACATACAAGTTTTTATATGGATGTACATTTTCATTTGTCTTGGGTATAAACCTAGGAGTGGAATTGCTGAGTCATAAGGTAACTCTATGTTTAAACTTTTGAGGAATCACCAGATTGATTTCCATGGTGGCTGCACCATTTATAATCTCAAAAAAAGGGCATAAGCATTCCTGTTTTTTCCATGTTCTTGCCAGTACTTATTACAGGTTGAGCACCCCTAATCCAAAAATCCCAAATCCCAAATGCTCTAAAATCTGAAACTTTTTGAGTGTTGACATGATGCCATCAGTGGGAAACTCCCATGTGACCGCCTGCAGTCAAAACACCATCAAAACCTTGTTTTATGCACAAGATTATTTAAAATACTGTGGAAAATCACCTTCAGACTATTTGTATTAGGTGTGTATGAAACATAAATAAATTTCATGTTTAAACTTGGGTCCCATCCCCAAGATATCTCTTTATATATATGCAAATTTTCCAAAATCTGAAAATTTTTGGTCCCAACATTTCATGTAAGGGGTACTCAACCTGTATCTGTCCTTTTGATTACAGCCGTCCTATTGGGTGTGAATTGGTATGTCATTGTAGGTTCACTCCTTATAGATGAGGAAATTAAGGCTCAAGAGGCAAAGCAACTTGGCCAAGTACACTCAGATAGCCAGGGGCAAAGCCAGAATTCAAACCAGACACATCTCACTTCAACATCCATTTTCTTGTTTTCCTCTTACATCAGGCAGCCCTCCAGCTGAATGATTTTTGTCTGTGCCTGGCCCAGTCCCTGAGTCCAAAGTGGTTTTTAGGATTCACATCGGTTACAGGACCGGGCCATGGTCTGCCCACCTGAAGCTGACCACCTGGTCACTGTTCACTCTCCCAGCCAGTCTGCCGGCCAAAGTCCATTGAACGCCTACTGTGTGCCGAGCTCAGGAGCTGTAAGTAGATTAAGGACGGCACAGAGCCCACTCTCAAAAATGGACTGATTGCTTTTAATGTGTCTCATCAAATGAAAGATGAAATTTTAGACTCTAGATTTACACGGTGCCAGAAAAGTGCAGAAAGCTGACCTGGGAGGAGAAGTGAAAAAGAAGAATGGCAAGGGACCCCCGGCTGGAGAGTTGAAGGGCGATGGCCTGAGCCAGTTTCAGAAAGATTTGGTGCCAATGCTGAGGGCCATGGCCAGGAAGAAGAGGACCACGTTAGAGAGGTAGGTTGGAACTGCTTTCAGGGATGGGGTTTAGCAAGAAACTGAGGAGCAATTAAGAGGGAAAAATAAAGGAGTCAGAAGGAGGAGGGGAGAAAGAACAAGGGCTAATCTGTGTAATTATACAAATATACAGCTTCCATTTAGCAGGCCTCTCTGAGGGGCAGGATCTGTGCTGAGCGCTTTGCATACCCTGCAAGGTACATTGTTAATATTCTTATTTTATAGACAGGAAACTGAGGCTCAGAGATATTAAGTGCTTTCGCCAAGGAATACAGTTGGTAACATTCAATCAGACTTTAAATCCTATTCTCTTAACCACTCGAACGTCTACTGAGTGAGTAACCAAGGGATGCTTATGAGGGAACGTGCCGTCAGGGGTGCTGGAAATAGGAACCAGGCTCAGCTTTCCCTCTGGAAGGCTGGTATTTTTGGAAATAGAAATGCTTTGGAGCTAATGGTTTTTCCTGTAATGGTTTCAGCCTGTTTGGGGTTTTCACGCTTCAGTTTACAGTCTGAGCCACTGGTGTGTACTCATTTATTCCTTTTTACAGGAAAAAAAAAAACCCCAATGAATTTTTGATCAAATTGAGCTTGACTATTTGACCAGTGAATCAGAAAGTCTTCCAAGTCTTAGGAAGGAGGTGGAAGTGAAGATGGAAAATGTATACCCATCTCTCTTCAAGAAGGTAGAGTGAGGGAGGCCCCTCCTGGGGGTTCTGGGACAAAAGGAGTGGAAATTAAACCCACAGGCTGTCTGCAGCAGGATCACCAAGCGCTCTAGGTCATTGCGTCTCTCAGGGGATAGCAACTGGTCAAGATTCTGCTGGTACATCAAACATTCAGCTGCATGATGATGGTCTAGACCAGGGCAGCACATTTTTCTATAAAGAGCCAGATAATTGTAGGCTTTGCAGGACACCTATGGTCCCCATCACACATTTGTGTCTTCCTCCTTCCCCTTCCTCATTTCCTTCTCTTTCCTCTTCTTCCAGAAGCATTTAAAAATGCAAAAAAAAATTAAATTCTTAGCTGGAGGGCTATACAGAAAACAGACTATGGGTCAGATTTGCCTGATGGCCATAATTGGCCAACCCCTGGTCTAGATATCTTTTGGAAACTAACTTGGATGAATTGCTTAACTTTCTGGAGCATTATATAATGTATCTATTGAACACCTACTGTACACATAGCTTCATACCAGTTGCAATAGAAAGAACACAAAGATAAATGAATGAAGAAGCTTTGCTGTAGCTGCTGTGGGTGTAATGTAGGGGAAACAGCAGCAGACCTAGAGCCAGAAGACTTGGATACCAAGCCTACTTCAGTCCCTGAAGAGCCTGCAGAGCCACATCTGTAAATGGGGAAAATAAAGCATCCTTTGCCTGATTAAATAAGCTCAGGAGTAAAGTCATTTTGAAAAGCACTACATAATAGGAACTATATTTAGAGAGTTGAGGTTACACATGCCTATGAATAGTTGACTCACAATATAAAGACTGTATAAAGCTATGATGTCAGAGGTGTTAAGAGAGAAAAGAGATTGACACACTGTCATATAGGACTCCCTATGCCAGGTACTCTCACCTGTGTTAGCCTGTGAGTGATTTAGGCAGTGTACCCATTAGAATTGGGTTTGGCTGCTTCCTACAGGAAGCCCAAAGTAAAAATGGTCTAACCAAGACAAAAATATAACTCTTAGCCTGGGCAATAAAGTGAGACCTTGTCACTATTTTTAAAAATTTTAAAAATAGCCAGGCATGGTAGTGCACACCTGTGGTCCCAGCTACTCAGTAGGCTGAGGCAGGAAGATGGCCTGAATCCAGGAGTTCAAGGCCACAGTGAGCTTATAATTGTGCCACTGCACTCCAGCCTGGGTGACAGAGTGAGACTCTGTCTCAAAAAAGAAAGAGAGAGAGGGAGAGAGAGAGGGAGGGAGGGGAGGGGGGGAGGGGAGGGGAGGGAAAGGGATGCTGTCATTTGAAGTGGAGGTATGCAGTCCAGAACGTGGAGAGCATCCCCACAGTGTCAGGAACCCAGGGTCCTTCTCCTTTGCTCCATTATCCTTGCATGTAACTCCCATTCAACAAAGACATCTCATAGGCCAAAATGGCTGCTTGACCTCCAGCCATTACATCTGCATTCCAGGCATGTGAAAGGAGGAAGGAACAAAGAAGAAAGGGCTAAAGGACATATGCTAGGAGCCTTTCACAAAAATGTACTGGAAGCTGGCTCCAAATACTGCTCCTTATATCTAATTTGCTATACTTAGCAACAAAAGAGACTGTGAAAACCAGTCTTTATTGTGGGTGGCCATGTGCCCAGGTAAAACTACAAGGTTCTGTTTTTAAAGAGGAGGATAATCAACCCTGGGATAAGCAACTAGCTATGGCTATCATAGGTAACAAGTTCATAGAAAGACAAAGTCAGGGAAGGCTTTATTAAGAGAGTGAGATAGCATGGCTTGAGGAAATGAGTTGGAGGTCTGGAGGGAGATAGTGGGCAAACTAGTCTAGTCTAGACTACTCTTGTAGAGGAGGTTTCAGGTTTTAATGCTGGAAAAGATACTAATTAAAATAATACTATAACCAGTTGGGTACCCTACCACCTTGGGTGATGCACCACCCCTTGATGACTTTGTGACTCCTCAGAAGCTCCTCCCCTCCTCCCCCTCCTCTTCCCCTTCCTTCAATATGTCACCCACACAGCCTTCTTCTGCTAGGGCTGCCACTTCCCAGGAGGTGGTCCTCAGGTCTTCCTGAGTGGGTCCCTCAATGCAGCTCAAGCCCATCCACCTTCCCCTGCATCTCCCAGTCCTTGGAGAGACTTGTATCTTTGCTGCACTAAACTCTACAAGTGAGGATTGTTTCCTGCTCAGTACTCTCTTTCTCTCAGCTGTAGACACAGGCTGCTCCAGTTCTCTTGACTTGAGACTCTTTGGGAGGTGACTGGTTGGGCCCTAGTTTCTGTGTTCTTCCAGCTCTGCGGGTTGCAGGTCAGGTTCTTCCCTATATCTCTCATTCCAGCTCCATGACGGCATCCAGCCAGTGGAACACCCACAGTTAGCTTGGGGAGATGGAGATGGGGAGGCCCTGGGTCATCCCAGGCCTCACTACTAGCTGAGAAGTCTAAAAATCCCCACCTCCCTCTAATCACCTCGATGAACCTCTAGCCTTCTCTTTGGCATGGGCTAAGGTGTAATGGGGCAGGGGATGCAGAACCAGTGAGGGACCATTCTCAGCAAGTCCCAACTGGATGGTCTGGCATCTCCCTTCACAGTGTGTGGGCAATTCACACCTGAAGTTCTCAGCCTTGGGACCTCAGAGGAGATTCTAAAACAACAGGGCAAGCCCCTGGTGAATGTCCTCTTAAATATATTCCATTTATTGACTTCTAACTATGTGTCAGGCACAACTAACCCACTACCAATGAAGTCTTTACAGGTAAAGAGACTGATGATGGTGGAAAGGCAGGTGAGGACTGGACGATTCCAGAAAGAAGTCATGAGAAATGAGGCCAGGAAAGAGAGGTGGAGGCAGATGGCAGAGGCTTTAGTGCGGGACTGAGAAGCTCTGACCTTCTCCTGTAAGTGCAGGGAACCATCGAAGGATTCTAAGCATATGTGACGTGGTCTCAGTTGTGGTTTTGGAAACTATCTCCAAGTAGAGTGTGGGAAGGATTGGAAAGAGAGGGCCAAATGTCTTTCCATTAGAGCGTGAGTCCTGGGAAGCAGTGGAGAGGGACTGGGTATGGGGAAAAGAATGAGGAGGAAGAGGAAGGAAGATATAGGGGAAGAGAGGAAGGAGAGGGGACAAGAGAAGGAAAGGGGAAGAAGAAGGGGGAGGAAGAAAGCGAGGAGATTTGATTCCTCTCTTCCTCTCTTTCCTGTCCTCTCCTCTCCTCTTTTTTTCTTTTCTTCTCCTTTTTTTTTTTGAGACAGAGTTTCACTCTATCGCCCAGGCTGGAAAGCAATGGTGTGATCTCAGCTCACTGCAACCTCTGCCTCCTGGGTTCAAGCAATTCTCCTGCCTCAGCCTCCTGAGTAGCTGGGACTACAGGCATGCACTACCATACCCAGCTTTTTTTTTTTTTTTTTTTTTTTTGGATTTTTCATAGAGACAGGGTTTCACCATTTTGGCCAGGCTGGTCTTGAACTCCTGACCTCAGGTGATCCGCCCACCTTGGCCTCCCAAAGTGCTAAGATTACAGGCATAAGCCACTGCGCCCAGCCTGGTCCTTCTATTTCATTTGCTCAACAGAAACATACAATTTGTGAGCACCCACCACATGTGAGAGGGGCTTGGACAAACAAGGTGGACCATCATGGTCCTTGTGAGAGCTCATAACGAGGAAGGGAAGAGGGAAGAGGATGCCAATTGATGTGTACAGGGTCCTCTGGAGCTGACAAATGGCCTTGACAAATACTATCTCCCTCCATCCCTGCACCCGTTCTGTAAAATAAGCAGGACAGACATGCTTATGCTCATTTCATAAATGAGAGAACTCAGCACTGGTTAACTTACTCAGGGTTCTACAGCTGGGAGAAGGCGGAGCTGGGATTCAAATCCAGTGCTGTTTCTGCTACATCAAGTACACACAGGAAAGGTACCCAGAGCTCAAGGGGAAGGTAGAATTTGGCAGAGTGATTAAGGGCTGGATTCCGGAGTCCGACTGTCTGGCTCCAAAGCCTGTCTCCATCTCGCTGTGTGTGAACCGTAGATGAGTTTCTTAACTCTCTATGCTTTAGCCCCTTCACCTGTAACATGTGAAGAATGGTGCCCACCTCCTAGGGTTGCATGAGGCTCACATAAGCTATAGTTCAGGCCTGGCCCAAAGTAAGCACTCTGAAAGGGATTCTGCCATTACCATTACATTTTGAGGTGGGTGGGTACAGGGAGGTGGTCCAGGCAGAAGCAATGAGCCATCTCAAGGGGAAGTGCAGGGACCCAGGCCACTGTCAGGACCTCCTTTCTGGGCCCAGACCCCCTAGATGCCCTGGACCTAGTCTTTTGCTTCCTCTCCTGTATCCTTGCCCATCATCCTCTTCCTCTCCCTTTCTTTGTTCCATCCATTTCCCCTTTCTTCCCTGCTGATCCTTGCTCAGTTCTGTTGAGCCCTGGAGGCTGAAGACTGTGCTAACACTTCCCCACCACCCCCATGTGACTATGGGCCAAGAACCAGCCTTCCAAATTGCTTTGACATCCACTGAGGAGCATGTTCCAGGAATATCAGCTGTTCAGCCGGTCTGCTAAAGGGCATGGTCAGAGCACCTGGCTTTTCCTGTGGGGAGAGGCTTCTGCAGGCAAACGCCTCTCCCTCCTCACTGCCCCTTATCCTGCTTCCCAGTCTGCATGGTCTCTTTTTTATTAAAGGAGACTGGGAGAGAGGCTGAGAGAGAGGGAGGGAAATATTAGAAATATTGTCACAACCTGCTCCCCGGCTTCACAGAAGGTAATCATCAGGAAAGAGACGAGAAGAGAACTGGGCTCTGTGGTTATCTCAGCTATTAGTAGGAGATTATTTGTTCATCAGCCTGTAAAAAGTTCCCAGCTTTGGCAAAGGTAATTACCAGCCTAGGTGGCTGGGCCAGGTCGGGACATGGGGGGAGGTGAAGCTGTCATTTCCAATTCACCAGCCTCCATTTGCTGTTTGGTCAAGAGGTTCAAATGAAAAGGTTAATTAAGAATCAGAGGATTTGCTCATCAGGTTAAGTCATGTATACACAGCACAAAGGGCATGTCTATACATGATAACTGCTTTTAAAGAAACCAATTCAATTCAGCATGCATTTGTTGACACACTCACCTCCCCCACCCCCAACACACTTACAACCTCTCGGGGTTAGGTGTGTGCTAGCCTCTTTGTTTGTTACAGGGGATATGATAGCCGGTGAGGTATGGGTACTTGCTTGGGATATATGGCTCCCTCTGCAATGGAGATCAGCCCACAAATGTGGGGGCTCCAGTCAAACTAGCTACTTGCCTACTGTGTGTCCCTTGGGCAAATAACTCTCTGTCTTGGAGGAGGTTAGAGTAGATCTGCAATTCCTAGTCATAATAGTCTGCGGATTGGGGAAAAGGAGATGCAATAGAACCATTCTGGACAACTTTTAAAAATATACTCCCTACAGGAATTCTGATAGTTGCCCTTCTCCCAATTTCATCCAAGTCTCTTGGTACATGTAGTGGATGCTGTAGAATGTCAACCTGGTCCCTCCTTCAGGATTGAGGTCCTCACTTCTCCAGTTGCAGCTAGGAGTATTGACAGATGATGTCTCTCAGCTAGGTCCCTCTCTAGGAATTGCCTCAGCCAAGGAGAGCCAAGTTCACTTCCTTGGGGCAGCCTGCATCAAACTGTGGATGTGGGGGTGTAAATACCCATTCCTTTTGCTTCAGGACAGGACAACTTAGAAGGCCATCCTAGCTCCAGAACTCCCGGTAGGCTTGGCTGGGACCCTTCATCCCAGCTCAGTTTCTCTCTCTGCCTAATCCCATTTCCTTCCCTCTCCTCCACACCCCCTTCCCTCTCCTCCCCACCCCAAGTTGTTGATGCCAAAAGCAACCTCAATAAATTTCCTGCATGAAAATATCCATTTCAGAGTCTGTTTCCCAGGAAACCCAACCCAAGGCAGCACACACAAAAAATTGAGACTCACCAGATCCAATGATCGGCAGGAGCCGTTCATCCATTCAGCAAACGAGTGTTTGGCACCTATGTTAACTCTAGCCCTAGAAGACGTCCTGGGTGAGGAAAGATTCCAAGTGGGCCTCAAAGAGTGGGCAGAGTGTGGAAGGAGGAGGAGAGGCAATGAATTTAGTGGAATCATTGTGTGTTTTGGAGTGCACACGTGGAGTGACCAACTAGATGTCTGAAATTATCCTGGAGTGCCGAATTACTAATTCCAGCTCTGGAGTGTCCCTATCTGACCTTTAGTGGGTGCAGGATTATTGCCTGTGGAAAATTCTGTCTTGCTTCTGCCATGTGTTATGTCCCAATGGCAACCTGTCCTCACACCCTACCTTTAAAGAGGTGATCTGTCTCCATCTCACAGCCAACATCAACAAGGGAAAGCTCCTACCTCCATGGTATTATTTGCAGCCTTTGTTCTGAACCTATCAATCGCTTCACCCTCTTGGAATCTTCTCTGAATTGTTCCTGAGGCCTCAGCTGCCAGCCTCTTGCCCTACCCCCTGACCAGGGCCTTGCAGGCTCTCCTTGACCCTGATGACTGATGTTTCCCTCCCAACCCTCAGCCTTTGACTCCCCACTCATTTATAATCCAGACACATTCTTCATCACATCTGTCTTCTGCCATGCCAGGGGTCTCCCCAGCCCAGCCTGTCCCAGGCTTTACCTCAGCACTGCCCCAGATGGTCAGGTGCTCTGCTGGCCTATAAGCCCTGTGACCTCAGACTGACTGTGTAGTGTTTAGAGGGGGATCTGGAGCTCTAAAAGGAGTTGGGGATTGTGACTATGACTGGGGCACATGACTGAGATGGTCCTCTTATTCTAATAACAGCAGGAAATGCTGTTAGGTCACCTCCTTTCCAGGGTTCTGCATCTTTACTCCCACCTGGCATAGTTTGGCTTCTGGCTTCCAGTCCAGTATCCCCAGGAAACAGGCAGACTTGAGCAGAGCTGAATCCTCAGTGAGGCACTGGAGACTTTGTCTTAAAGGAAATCAGGAAGGAGAGACACAAAATAGAAAACAGCCTGGGAAGAAGGGGTTCTGTCCATGGTTCTGAAAAAACAATCCCAGGAATACTGTGATTACTTGCTGACCTTCCACCTGAGGCTCAGCGCTCAGCTGTACATTGTGAGGAGCCCAAAGGACATGGGATCCCAGTTCCTGCCATAAAAGGTCCTTTAGGCAAGTTGGACACAATAAAACACCTACATGAGAACACACAGGAATAATTCTGAGCAGTCCAAATAATGATGGGTCTCAGAAAACTGCACATAGGAGAGTTCTGGCTGCCTTGATAAAGGGGACCTTGAGGCAAACCCCATTTTAGGCTCTAGGCCCTTTGAAGAAAAAACCACTTTGTAATGAAATGCTCTTTCTTTAGTCACCATACCATTCCCTGCAGTATTTAAAACCTAAAGGTCTTGGATATAAAACTAGTTTATCTAAATGCAGCAGTGCAGCAGTTTAAATTTAGGTGCTAATGCTATGTTTGAAATGTAAGCATACCATTGGCTTTTAGTTATGTCTTTAAAAAAGGATTGGTGAGTCATTTTTGTCTGGGTGCCCCAGCTCCAGGCCATATGGCCACGGTCTCTCAACCCTTGCTTGTCATAGTCACACAGAGCTGACCCTATAAGCAAGAGGCTCCAGAGCCTCACTTTCCAGGGCAGCCTGAGGCCCTGGGACATGTACACAGCAGCGTGTCTGCCACACCCACTGCTGATGGGAGTGCGCTCCCTCCCCAGGCGCTGCTCTGTCCTCAGCATTGTGAGGATCTTAGTATGCAGAGACAACGCATGGCCTCCCTGCTCTGCTCCCAGCAGGTGCCCTCCCTTGCCTTGCATGAGGAAAGGCTGCAACTTTGAGCTCCCTCTTTAGCTAGGGAGCCTCCCTTGCCTCCCTCACTGGGTCTCAGGAGGAAAGAGCTTGCGTACATCTTCATCCAGCCTCTGTATCTTTGTGGAGGTCTTCTCATTCACAGACAAAAGGAACTGCTTTAGGTCTATCTTCGGAATTGGAAAAATTAATATTCATAAGACAAATACCCTGATCCCTGACCAACCTGATGTCTGAGGGGCAGATCACACATCTATTGACCTCAGTTTCTCCTTTAAAACAAGAGGAGCTGACTGGATGATCAAACAGGTTTCTGCTGATTCATCCTAACAGTCTCTGAATCAGAAGGAGTGGGATGAGTCCTTCTTTACCTTAGATAAATATGTACCCTATCCATCTACCCCACTCCCTGAAGTCTTACCTCCCTGAGAGCCAATACTCAGGGAATTCTGTGTCCATGAGAACACTTCTTTTTTTCCTCTCATCTGGGACTGTTGCTCTCTATTCCATTTGATTTCCTACCTATGGAACTGGGGTAGAAAACATGGATCCTATAGGAACCCTTCACTTATCTCTCCTGAGACCTTCACTAGAGCCAGCCTCTCTTTTGAGCTCTGCTTTAATTTCTTCTAACTACCAAGAGGAAGGGCAGAGGGCATGTCCTGCTCCACAGCCTCACCACCTTGGGAAGATAAAAAAAGAGAAGAAAGAGTCGATTTCCACTCTTCCAGACAAATCCCTCATTTCAAAACCTTCAGGAAAAAACTGGGTGATCCCAGGAGGAGGCTGGCACACAGGGAAGGGTGTGGGAAAAAGACATAAACCTCAATTCAGTGGGTGGTAAAGATTACCCAAGAAGGTTTCTCAGAGAAGCTATCAGAACAGGCATTGAATGAGGATCTGTAGAGATATAGGGAGAAGACAGAGGCATACCTTGTAAAGACAGAAGCAGTAATTGGCAAGTCACTTGTATTTGGGGAGCGGGAGAGTTCCAGTGGGCTCCAGCGGGCTGCGGGAAGAGAGTGAGATGCATTTGGCGAGATGCAGGATTGTGGGGCGGGCAAATGATGAGGGCCTTGCATGCTGGAGTCTATTTTCTGCAATAGGAACAAGAAGGACGTTGATCCTGATGCCGGGTCTCTGTGGGTTGGGTGTTTGTCCTGGGACTCCCAAACTTGGGGAGAATGTAGGGCTCAGACATAAGTTTGTGTAAGTGTGTGAACATGCATGGGAAATGCAATGGATACAGAGTTTCATTTGAGCCATTCTGGCTTGGTCCAAATTTATTTTAATTTGGTCAAGAGTATGAAATCCACATTACTAGTCATTGGTAACTCAAGCCGAGGCTCCAGTGACTGTCAGGCTGCGTGATTGCTTCCCTGCAAGGACAAAGGAGAATGAAGCTTACATGCTTGGTAAATATTGGGGTGGGGAAGAGAAATGGATGTTTTTTCTTTTCAGTCCATCGATTTTGTTATTCTCAATTGCTGTCCCAGTGGACCCACATGCTCCACACATCCCTGAATATTCTCTCACATCTGGCACGACTTGGGACAGGAGCGGAAATGCTGGGAGGGGTATCTGGAGAAGAGTCTGGAATGCTTCTTGGAGGTTCAGCCACGTTTGAATGTGCAGCAGGACTGCCCCAGCCACTCAGGGCCAGTCATCTCTCACTCTTGCTTCCAGTCCCATTTTCTGCCCTACTTTCCAAATGTGATAGTTGCTTTTAGTAGAAATCCACAAGCATTTGCCTTCAGGGCCTCCAAGAGCTCCCCTTCCAGTCTCCCACTGGCTCCCCCTCCACCTGCAGCAACACAGGAGCCAAACCTGGGATTTACCACTGCTGCCCCATCTGCATCAGGGGCCAGTCTTGGGACCTGCAGGAAGGGTGGGGAAAGTATGTTGGGCCTGTTGACATAAGTGAGTCACTGTGAGTGGGAGCAGATGACAGGGAGAGTATGACTCAGTGAAGGGAATACAATGTGGGTGAACACAAGGGGTTTGCAAATTTTTACCTGCCCAAGGGAATGTGGAAACTCAGGGGACTTGGAGCAGGCCCAGCTGGTGCTTACTGATGCCATGTTGGCCCAATGGTGCTGCTGTTTTCAGGTTCTCTCTGGGTAACCAATACGTATGTGGTAGTCTTCCTGAACTTGTCTCTTCTGCATTCTTTGGTGACTCCTTGTATCTTGACCCCTTTAGTCCTTCTTTGCCAGGGAGGGTGGTGAACAGAGGCCTCAAGGAATCCTCAGCCAGTGTCCCAGCTACTGGGTCCACATCCATCAGAGGAGCATGGAGCTGGGACCAGTGTCTTGATCTGAGTTTCAGAACAGAGTCTGCCATAGGGAAAGGCTCTTAAGCATCTGACTTAGTCACTGAACATTGTGATGCTCTGCATAGGTCTCTCTTTTTGGAATATGGGAAGAGGGACAGTATCCTAGATGCTAAGGGCTGCTGCCTTCCTTCTTTGGCCAGCAGCTTGTTGGGAGCAGGAGAGTAAAGTCGTCCAAGCTATACAAGGAAGAAGAGCAGGGGAACGCTGCCACAAGCCTCATGACACTGGCAGCCACCTGCCTCAGGGCCTTTGCACATGCTCTCCCCCTTCCCTTCACATGGAAGGCTCCTCCCCATACACCTGCATGGCCAGTGTCCTCACCTCCTTTAGATCTTTGTTCAGATGTCACATTTTTGGTGAGGCTTCCCTGACCACAGTATTTAAAATGCCACCCTACCCACAGCATTTTCCGTCTTCCTTTCCTGCCTTATTTTTTCCCCATATGCCTTCTCACCAACTAATATACTGTTACTCATTTACTATGTTTATTTTATACCTCCTCCTATTAGAATGCAGGCTTCATGAGGATAGGCATTCAGTCTGTTTTGTTCATTGCAGTATCTCCAATCCCTAGAACAGTGCCTGGCACAAAGAAGGTTCCCATTAATCTTAGTTGAAGATTTAGTGAATTGACCAAGAATATTCTGAGTGCTAGTAGGAAAGGTTATATGCCCAGGCAGGGGTTACCCACTGCAGAGGATGGAGTGGACAAAGAAAGGCTCAGACTGGGATTCAGGGGAGCTGGGTGCAAGCCCCAGCCCTGGCCCTCTCCAGCAGCAAAGTGGAGATAAGCCAGCCCACTCTGCATCCTCTGGGTAATGGAAGTATCATCACTTTGTAAATTATAAAGAGTGGCCTGTATGGCTCTCATCCTGACTCCACTGTGGTGTATGGGCTGACCCTGAGTTGCAGTGTGATCAGATGGGGTTGGGGTTAGTAGAGAAGGTTTTGTGGAGGAAGTGCGTCTTGGGATGGGCTCTAGATATGCAGGGAACCGCACTGGCAAAGGCCCAGAGGAACAAGGAGTTTGGGGTGGGAGACAGGCAGGGCCTCTGTGGAGATTGTTCTGATGCTAATTCAGAGGCACCAGGGACTAGGGAAGCTTCTGCCTTTCGTGGCCACAATTCTCAGGCTAGTTGCCCGGGTGTGAGCTATAGTCTGCTCAAGCCGTGCTTGTTACAGGGAACTGCGACCCACTGCGCTGCCTTGAGTGAAGGGGTGTTGCTGATTGTCAAAGATGACAAACAGGCAGCCTCAAGGCTGTGGAATGGGCTTTTGGAGGCTGGAGCTGGATGAGCAGGGAGCCCTTCTCCTGGGCCCCGTCAGCCTACTCACTTTTCATAAGGTCCAACTTAGCGGCCACTGTCTTTTCCCCCTGTTTGGTTTCAGTCTCCATTCCTGACTATGGATTTCTGTGTGTCTCAATGTTCTCAAAAGAGAAAGCATTTCTAATGCCCTTGAATCAGCCTATGGATGGGAGAGTCACTTGCTCACCTCTCATCCATCTCCTGTAGCCTAGAGGGGACAAAGTCGCATGGTACATGACGGGAGGGCTTCCCTCTTCAGTGCCAGCAGAAAGGAGTATGGATCTAGGAAGGCAGTTGGGCAGGGAAGGCCAAATGGCTAGGACTCAGGCACAAGTCCTAAGACCATCCTGCAGACCAGGGCTCCCAGTGTGGATTCAGGGAGAAAAATAAAAGGGCTGTTTCCACAGTGACCCTGCCTGAACTTTAGGCTGTATCTTATTTTTTTAAATTTCTTTTTCTCTTTTCCCCCCTCATTCTTGCTGTCATCTTATAAGCTTTATCTTTGTGGTCTCTTCACTCCAGCCCGACTCACCCACTCACCAGTGCCTACTTCTGCTCATGTCCTCTCCCTGGCCAACTCATTTCCATTGATTCAAATCCTATCCATCCTTCCAAGCTCAGCTCTGCCCCATCTCCTGCCGGGGTACTGCCTTGATCACTCCAGCCCTTCCATCTCCCCTCCTCTCTTCCTCTCATTCTTATGTCTCTTCCTGGTTATTTTCAGCTTCCCTGACCCTTCATGTAAACTGTCTGGTGATAGATGGCCTTTGTAGGGTCGTCTTGTATTGCCACTTATTTCTGGTAATTTTTCATGCCTTGCTTTCCAATTGGTCAACAGGACAAACATCACACACCCCCTCAGGTCTTTCCTGGGCACATAAAGATCCTTGTAGACATGCACAGCCATTTGCCTTTGGGGCAAGAAGGCTTTAACCACCATCAGGTCAAATCTGAGAGATGAGGAAACAGAAGTCTAGAGAAGAGGAGTATTTTGCCCCAAATCACATAGTCAAGGTCAGCGTGGAATTCAGGTCTCTTGGCTCTTTACCCAGGCAAGAACTATGAGAAGCAGCTTTGGCTGTGAAGTTGGTACCATAGTGTTGCAAAGTACACCAGAGCCAAGGTGGCCAGTGGCAGTTGGGGAGGTCTCATGCATCAGAGAGTGAGTGGCTGCCCACCTGGGTGGATGCATCCCCTGCCTCCTTGCAGGGTCCCAGAGCCTCATATTCTGCCAGGAGCCATCTGTTCCTTTGGAAACTGCCATTTCCCCCACTCAGTTTCCTCTTTTAAAATGCAAACTCCTAAGAGATGGGCTCAAGGGCACAGGCTGGCAGGGAACTCTGGCTGGGTCCCCCTTGGAAGGAGAGGGGGAGTGGTGGCAGAGGAGCCTTACAACTTCACCGTGTCCACTGCCAAAGTGCGCATTTCCTGATTGGCAGGTGGACCAAATAAAAGCCAGCCCAGGGATCTGGGGAGAATAAATCTCAATGAAATGTTTTTTATCAGGGTTCTGCTGCTCTACAAGGAAGATGTGCAGGTTAAGCTGGACAAATAGCAGGCTGAGTGCGGCTGGGCTTTTCCCAGTCTCCAGGGAGGACTCAGGATTGAGCTGCAGGGCCTGGTGATCATCCCAGCCTCAAGGCAAGGGCACAGCTGCGATCCTGCTTGATCTCACCCTGCTTTGTCTGCTTCCTGTGGAGAGCTCCCGCCTTGAGAGTGGGAAGGAATGTGTGATCATCCCCATTGTACAGAAGGGAAGAGTGAGACCCACAGTGACTAAGTGAGTACAGAGAGAATGAGGAAGCAGAAAAGGAATTGGATTGGGGTCTGGGCTTCTGGTCCAGGCTCCACCCTAACCTGCTGTGTGATTTTGTCCAAACCTTTTATCTTTTCTGGGTTTCTTCACTCGAGTGTGAACTTTGGACCAGATCAGTGACTTCCAGATCACTTTTCCTAACCACAATGGGCACATGTTAGCCCTTTCCATGGGCCCGGGCCACTTCCAGTACCCCTATAGGGGCTGTAATGCAAACCCTTATTCCTTTTCCAGAAAGATCATCAGAACAGAGAACCCTGAGAATTGCATTGCAGGGATACCCTTGCCTCTGTTCTAATTTATATAACAAATTCCAAAGCCTTTGCACTCAGTGTTTGGGAATGAATGACCTACAGGGCACCTGGGTCACTGTCTTGAGAATCTTTAGCTTTCCTGGGTTCCTCACTGAGGTGCTAAGATGCCAGGATCCTGGGCATCTGAGTGTACCCTGAGGTCTGGTCTCATCCACTGAGGCAGGAGGCAGAGCTGGGCAAGCCTGGGTGTCCAGCCTCCATGCCCCTCACTGATCAGGGGTCACTGTGGCCCCTCACTCTACCTGCCGCACCTTTCCCAGCAGATGGTAGCTGGGAAAGCAAGTCAAATGCCTGTTTCCTCCGGTGGACTTGGGCAGATCATGCTCTGAGTGCTCCCCAGCCCTTTTCCCTGGATCTCTGAGCTGGCTTTCTCCAAATCTCCACCTCCCTTTCTCTGCGTCTCCGGTGAATACTGCCACACAGGGAGCCTGCTTTACCAAGCCTTACTTGAGTCTTGAGATGCTAATAGATCCCCTGGGAATGGCAGGCTGGAGTGGAACCTGGCATGGGGAAGACAGACTGCGCCAGCTCCCACCAGAGCACGGAGCACTGCAGCTCTGGCACCACTGAGACCCCTGATCAAGGCCATTTCTACCTCTAGGTGGACAAGCCAGGCTCAGGGGCACTGCTGGATTGCCCTGTGGGGGCCTCTAGGCAGCACAAAGGGCCTCCCTGCTGAGCTCAGGCTGGGAATTCTTCTTGCCCTAGGCCCAAACCAGCACTGATTTCAGTCTGAATGTGGTGGCTGCAGTGCAGGGCCCACCGTTCTGATGGAACCTAAAGTCAGAGGAAGAAGGAAGAAAATGACCACTGATTAGTACCTGAGGAGGACAGTGACCTCTTCAGGGATCATCTCATTCATTCCTTACCTCCCAACGGCACTGTGCTGCAGGCAGTACTATTCTATTTACAGGCACAGAGACTGCAACTTGGGGAGGCCAAGCAGTTGGCCCAGGGTCACACAGCCGGCCAGAGGCAGAGCAGGGATTCTGCCAGGCCTATTGCTCTTCCCACTTCACCATATCAGGGGCCTAAACCACAGTAAAGAAAGCCAGGAATTGGAACCCCATTGGTTGGTGGCCCTGTTTCTTCCTTCCTTTGCCCGGGGTGGGTGACGATGCTCTTTCTGCACCACTGCACAACTTGTCATCCCTTCTAAGATCCCAGCCAGGGCAATGCCTACTGTTCAAGAAAGAGAACCCTCATCTCCCACCAGCAGAAATCAATAATTTATGAAATACTGCTTTAGCCAGAGCAGAGAGTGATATATTATAATGCTTCTTAAAATCCAATATTAACAAGTTTTCTAAAGGGTGAAAATATTTGAATTAGGGGAAATGAATGTTTTACAAGCCAGCAGGGGAGCCATCCCCTGAGATGGGCAGGGGGATGGCCGGGGAGGTGGGAGAGCATTGGACTGGGGCTGGGTCAACTGTCCTGAGGCTTTAAGCCAGAAGCCACCATAACTCAAAAGGGATGTGCCCTGGGCAGAGTGGGTGCAGAATCGCATTCCGCAAAGGGTCCCAAAGGGCGTTTATGCTAGATGCCTGCTGGGCAATGGCCAGGGGTGTCGAAGTCTAAGACTATTGTGGTCTTTAAATTCTGCCTATTGGGACCTGCCCCTTTAGAGCAGCTGGTCCTCCAGGCCTTTCTGCCCAGGGGGCTGCAGGCAGGATCACCCTCTGTGCTCAACTATGTTATTGTTCAGCAAATATTTACTGTCCCCTCCTCACTGGGCAGCTTGAGTGGACTGCCTGATGATCCTACAGACCTTGGCTTGGGCTGATGGAATGTGGAGGGCAGGCATATGACTAAGGGCTCCTCCAAGCAGAGGCCTTGAGTGAGTTCATGTGGAAAGCTGGGGCTCTTGGGCTCCAGTCCTGCACTCTGAGAAGAGGCTGTGCCCCAAGGAAGTCACTGTTCCTCACACCTGGATCTGGGATGAGACACCCATGGGGCCAAGCCAGGAGCAGTCACCACAGCCAACCTGCAGGCTTATGAGCTCATTGGTGTAAGACACTGAGATGTAGAGTTGTTTGTCATAAGGCATCGTCACAGAAAAGTCAGCACACCCTCCCCTCCCCACCACCTCCATGCCCTGTTGGAAAAGCATCTCCTGGCCGCTTATCCAGGCACTTTGTTGTCAAATTCATGCCCTTTGAAGGGTACCTGCTTCCCTGCCAGACATGCTCCCCGCAAGGAGAGCAGAACAAGCTCTCCAACTTCTTCCATTGTGAAAGCCCATTTATAGCATCAAATGTTGTCTCTGCCCCCTAAGGTTCAGTGGCTATATTTTTGTAGCCATTGATTGGGACTAGGTGTGGGGAGGAGCACAGTGAGAATAGGCAACTATGAATCAGTTACCCTTTAAAATTGATTATGCTTTAATGTATATTTTATCCAACAGAACAACAGTTTACAAATATTTGAAAAGCAGTATATGAACATAAAAGGGGTAGTGTTTATTCCCTCACTGCTGCTTACCCCTCAGATTCATGGACTCCTTGCAATCTGAGACTCATAGGGACTGCGGAAAGAGAGTGAATTTTGTTGTGAGATCGATTACTTCCCAGCCACTTCAACTGCCTGGATCTCAGATCTCAGTTTCTTCTTCTGTAAAATAAGCACATCTCTGCTGCAGGGTTTTCTGAAGTATTAAGGCGAGCACAGGAATGGTAATATACATGGCAGACATGGGATATACTCAACAATCACATCTTTTTAATTTTGTCTCTGCTGTTTATTCCGCCCTGTGACCTTGGGCCAGATTTGGAGATGACTCTCAGCCTTAGTTCCTTCCTCTGCAAAATGAGGAGCATCATACCTATCTCAGGGGAGACACAGAGTCCTGAACGAGAATGCACCTGGAGCACAGTCAGTGCTGAAATAATTTTCTCCGTCCTTTCTTCTCTGCCAGCCCCTCCTGTCTTCCATGGCCACATGCAAGGCACAGCTTCTCCAAACAGCCTTCCCAAGGCCCCCACTCCACTCAGGAGTCTCCTTTAGGACAAAGCTCCTCTCCAGAAGTGCATTCGTCACAAGCTAAACACCCAACAGCTGATATCAGTAACAGAGGACCGAATCGCAGATTAATTAAAGATCCTGTTTACTCGCCTGCCTCCACCGTGTCATGTGCTCCTTCAACCTACAGCCCTGCACCTTAATTGAAGAGTGTGCAGCAGTTAGGGACAGGCTGGACTTCTCAAACTTCTGCCAGTTTCACACTTGCTTGCATTACCCGGGACAGGCCGAGCCAGCCTGTCCACACCTGGTGGTTTAAAGTGTGGCCAGGCTCTCACCTAAGCCACTTGATTAGTCTTCACAGTGGAATTAGAAATAGAATCCCACCAAATCAGGGCAAAACAAGGCAGGAAGAGTATTTGGTGAAAGCAGGGACCACACCTTTTTTTAAATTTTTTTTCCAAGCACCAATCTTGTATTTTTCTTGCCAATAACTAGGCCACAGTGACCTCCTGCTTCAGTCTCCTGGGGCCAGGACAGGTACTCCTCACCTCTGAGCCCTTGACTGTATCCTCTTGCCTCAGACTTTGCTCTCTGCTCTGAGGACAGTGGCAGGATAGTAATATGAGTAATAGTTAGGACCGGCTGAGCACTCAGTGAGGCACTTAAAGGCAGTTCTACGTGTAGTGGTGAAGAGCACCAGTTCTGAAAAGAAGTTGGGCAAGGCATGGCAGCTCGTGCTTGTAATCCCAGCATTTTGGGAGGCCAAGGCTGGAGGATTGCTTGAGCTCAGGAGTTTGAGACCAGTCTGGGCAACATGATGAGACCCCCATCTCTGAAAAAAAAAAAAGTAGCCAGGCATGGTGGTATTCGACTGTGGTCCCAGCTCCTTGGAAGTCTGAGGTGGGAAGATTGCTTGAACCCGGGAGATCAAGGCTGCAGTGAGCTCTGTTAGCAACACTGTACTCCAGCCTGGGTGACAGAGAGAGACCCAGTTAAAAAAAAAAAAAAGAGAGAAGATGTACAAATGGCCAAAAAGTACATGCAAAAATGCTCTCAACATCACTAATCATCAGGGAAATGCAAATGAAAACTGCTGTGAGATATCACCTCACACCTGTTAGAATGGCTATTATCAAAAAGATGAAAGATAACAAGTGCTGGAGAGGGTGTGGAGAAAAGTGAACCCAGGTAAACTGTTGGTGGGAATGTAAATTAGTACAGCCATTATGTAAAACAGTATGGAAGTTCCTCAAAAAATTAAAAATAGAACTCTCATATTACCCAGCAACCCCACTACTGGGTATATCCAAAGGAAATCAAATTAGTATGGCAGAGGTATTTACACTACCATATTTATTGCAGCACTGTTCACAATAGCCAAGATATGGAATCAACCCAAGCATCTATCCATGAATGAATGGATAAAGAAAATGTGCCTTATAGACACACTGGAACATTATACAGCCTTTTAAAAGAAGGAAATCGTGTCATTGGCAACAACATGGATAAACGTTATGTTAAGTGAAATAAACCAGGCACGGAAAGAAAATGCTGCATGATCACACTTATATGTGGAATCATAAAACGCTAAACTCATAGAAGTAGAGAGTCGAATAGTTGTTACCAGGGACTGGCCAGGGGCGGGGGCCAGGTGCAGAGAGGTTGGGGAGATATTCGTCAAAGAATACAAAATTTCTGTAGATATGAGGAATAAATTCAAGAGATGTATTGTACCACTCGGTGATTATAGTTAATAACCATGTATTGCATTCTTGAAAATTGCTGAAAGTAGATTTTGAGTGTTCTTACCACAAAAAAGGGTAAGTATGTAAAGTAATGCATATGTTGATTAGCTTAATTTAGCCATTCCACATTGTATACATATTTCGAACAACATATTTTATGAAGTAAATGCGTACACTCTTTATCTATTAGAAATATAAATTAAGAAAAAAAAAAGAAAAAGCATACCAGTTCTGATTTTGGGTCTGGTCTCTGGCTGTGTGACCCTGAACACATGACCTAATCTCTCTAAGTCTCAGTTAGGAAACTCATCAGTAAACCAGGGCTGTCACAGCACCAGCTGGCAGGGCTGTCATGGGGACTAAAGGAAGAAATGCTTGTAGAGTGATCGGTGCAGTGACTGGCGCATATGAAGAACCCAGTAAATATTAGACATCATTATATTTTGATAAGATGACTTCTGCCAGTGACCCTGTGGAATAGCTGATCTTATCCCCTGTTACAAGTGAGGAAACACAGACTGGGGAAGTTAAGTAACTTGCCCAAGGTCACACGGCAAATAAGAGGCACCGAGCCCAGCTTTGCGTGCTCATGACCATAGGAAGACACTCTGCAAATGAAGAGATAAATGCCTGCCTGGATGTCCACCACGGAGCCCTATCTGTGTTAGGACATTCTTGCATTTCCATAAAGAAATACCTGAAAAAGAAAAAACAAACAAAAAACCCCAAACAACAAAGTTTAACAAAAGAAAAAGAAATAGGGAAAAAAGTAAAAAATGAAATACCTGGGGCTGGTTAATCTATAGAGAAAAGAGGCCTAATTGGCTCATGGTTCCACGGGCTGTACAGAAAGGATGGTGCCGGCATCTGCTCAGCTTCTGGGACGCCTCAGGAAGCTTCCAATCATGGTAGAAGGCAAAGGGGCAGCTGGCATATTACATAGCCAGAGCAGGGGCAAGGGGCAGGGGAGATGCCACACACTTTTAACCAGATCTTGAGAGAACTCAGTCACCATCACAAGGACAGCACCAAGACATTCATGAGGGATCCACTCCCATGACCCAAACACCTCTCAGCAGGCCCCACCTCCAACACTGGGGATTGCATTTCAATATGAGATTTGGAGAGAACAAACATTCAACCTATAGCACCGTCTCGTGCCTACTGCCTTAAGTGAGTGGCAGAGAGTGGACTGAGGCCTTGGGGAAAGCAGTGAAAAGACTGGGATCAGAGCCACACCCCTCAGGGTTGGCGACCTGCTCTGAGCTTCACTGACTTTAGGACTTTGCAGCCTGAGTTCCCTTGTCTGCACAGTGGGTATGAATGATGCCTACCTGTGGTAAGGATTATGTGAACGCTGGGTGCAAAGCAACACAGCACCATTGTTTAGCAATGTATATGTGGCACATAGTAGATGCTCAAGAAATGTGAACTCCTCTTTCTTCTCCCCTTAAGGTTTTGAAGTTGGGGGGTCCCTCAGTCACCCCAACACCACCCAGGCTGCCTCCTACTCTTCTGAAATGCCAGCCCATCAATCCTGGGCACTTCTGTGGGGCCTTTGGTCTGTGTTCAGCCATCCTGCAGCACAGGCTTGACTGTGGGTGACACTCTGCCAGCTCTTTTCTAGTTCTCTGGGTGACCTTGGTGAATCACTTCTTTTCTATGGGACTCAGTTTCCCTACCTGCCCATAAGTGGCTTGCCCTGGTTCAAGACCCCAGACAGCACCTCTTGGATAGGCTACATCAGCATCATCTGGAAAAATATTTAAAATGCTGAATCCTTGACCCCACTTTCTGGAGGCTCTGCTTCAGTGGATGGGATGGGCCCTGGGAACCTGTATTTTTAATGTTTGGGAACCATCAGCCTGGTCTCTCAGCTCCCCCGCAGTTCCTGTAGGCTGCTCTTCCAAGTGAGGACCATGCGGCTTGCCTTTGTGTGCTCCCCTCCCTTGAGTGGCATGCTGCACCCCAGCCTGAGCTAGGTGGTCCCAGCAAGGGATTAGGGAATGCCGATGGGAAGGAGGAATGACTTTCCAAGCCCAACAGGAATCTTGCCAGATGCCTCGGGACAATCATAAGCTCCATGGGACCTGTTCCCATTTTCTACTAGTGATGTGGCACTTCTCAGCTGGGAAAATGCACGCTGATGTGGGTGGATTTCCTTCTCCTTTTGCCCCCAGACCTGCCTCCACACACACGGGTGTGAGCATACACACACACACTAACATTCACACACACACCAAGGAATCTGATCTGAGGGATTGTCCTGGCCTTGGCCTTGTCTGCTCTTTGAAACAGCCGGATGTATGGAAGTTGCTGGGGGGTGGGGTGGGAGGAGGGGGCAGCTTAACTGTCTCATTTGTTTCAGTGGCTGTGGCTTCATCTACCCGCCAGCGGATGTTGGAGGGGGTCTCTTCCAGAGGGTAGTGGTGAAGCCCAGGAGGGTTCCAGGAACTCCCTCCATGGGAAATGCATGCTTTGTTTGTTTGTTTGTTTTGTTTGTTTGTTTTTAGAAGGAGTCTCACTCTGTCGCACAGGCTGGAGAGCAGTGGCGTGATCTCGGCTCACTGCAACCTCAGCTTCCCAGGTTCAAGCGATTCTCCTGCCTCAGCCTCCCAAGTAGCTGAGACTACAGGCAAGAGCCATCACACCCGGCTAATTTTTGTATTTTTAGTAGAGATGGGGTTTTACCATGTTGGCGAGGCTGGTCTCGAACTCCTGACCTCAAGTGATCCGCCCGCCTCGGCCTCCCGAAGTGCTGAAATTATAGGCCACTGCGCCTGGCCGGTTTTTTTTCGAGAGTGGTGGGGATGGATCATCAGAGTGGGCTTTGAAATGAGGCCAGCAGCAAAGAATCAACAAGAAATGAGGATCCACCGTGCCAGGAAAGCTCAGGGAGACTGCAGGAAGAACTGGGTTTTGTTGCTTTTAAATGATTTCATTTGTTAGAACAAAATCTAAAACCTACAAAAGGGTATCCTGTGGAAAGTGTCCTTTTCTTTCCAGACACACAGCCCCACCCCACATTAGCCACCGTTCCACTTTCTCACAGATCCTTTCAGAGACAGCCTGTGTCGATAAATGCATATGTGTGAAAATTACTTTTATTTTCCTGGAACAGGTAACACAGTTACACACCATGCATATACTTTGTGGGTTTTTTTTTTTTGGCTCCTTGATTTTTTCACTTATCCTGAAGATCTTTCAGCACACAGAGAGAGTTGCAACAGTTTTTATTTATTTATTTATTTAGAGACAGGGTCTCACCCTGTTGCCCAGGCTGGAGTGCAATGGCGCGATCTCGGCTCACTGCAATCTCTGCCTCCTGGGCTCACACGATCCTCCTGCTTCAGTTTCCTGAGTAGCTGGGACTACAGGCATGAGCCACCACACCCAGCTAATTTTTGTATATATATATATACATATATATATATACACATATACATATATATATACATATACATATATATGTGTGTATATATATATGTATATATGTGTATATATATATATATGTATATATGTATATATATATATGTATATATGTATATATATATATATATATATATTTTTTTTTTTTTTTTGTAGAGATGGGGTTTTGCCATGTTGCTCAGGTTGGTCTCAAACTCCTGAGCTCAAGCGATCTGTCCATCTCGGCCTCCCAAAGTGCTGGGATTACAGGCGTGAGCCATTGCACCTAGCCTAGTAGCCACAGTTTTTAAACAGTTGCTTGTATTCTATTTTACAGATAATTCATTTAGTCAATTCCTCCCTTAGCCATTTATCTTGTTTTTCAAGAGATGCTTCAATACAACAGCCCTGCATATACACCCTTTTACATTTAATCTGTGGGATAAATAACTAGGAGGAGAATTTCTGGGTCAGAGGGCATATACATGTTTAATTCTGATAGAGCCAACTTACCTTCTTCAGAGATTGTACTAATTTACACTCTCACCAGCAATGTATGAGGATATGTTACTTTGCTGATTTGACAGGTGAAAAAACACTATCCCCTTGTAGCATAATTTGCATTTCTTTTATGAGTGAGGTTGAACGTTTTTTCACCTGTTTAAAAACCACTAGTTCTTCTTTGTGAACTCTTCTTCTCCTTCTCCTCCTTCTCCTCCTCCTCATTCTCCTCTTCCTTCTCCTCCTCCTCCTCTGCCTCCTTCTTCTTCTTCTTTTTTGCTTCTTGTGAGGTTTTTCCTTTTTTTTTTTTTTTTTTAAGACAGGGTCTCACTCTATTGCCCAGGCTGGAGTGCAGTGGCATGATCTCAGCTCACTGCAACCTCTGCCTCCCAGGCTCAAGCAATCCTCCCACCTCAGCCTCCTGAGTAGCTGGGACTACAGACAGTGCCACCAAACCTGGCTAATTTTTGTATTTTTTGTAGAGACAGGGTTTTGCCATGTTGCCCAGGCTGGTCTCAGACTCCTAGGCTCAAGCAATCCACCCACCTTGGCCTCCCAAAGTGCTAGGATTATAGGCATGAGCCACCATACCACACTGTGAACTGTTCTTATGGCTCTGGAGGAATCTTCATATATATATATATAAAACTAAACCCTTTCCCTGTTCAAAGAGATGCCAGTTTGTTGTTTGCTTATGATATTTTTCCCCTGGAGGAAATATGACTTTTATATAGTCAAATTTGTCAACTTTTTCTTTATGCTTTCTAGGTTTTGTACCCTATTTTTTAAAGGTCTTTCCATCTCCATTTAATTTTTAAAATCTCTCGGTAGTATTTTTATGACTCATTTATATATTTAAGACTTTAAAGCATCTGAGATTTAGATAAGGTACAATGTTTGGGCAAGTGCTTCGTATGTTTTCAAGTATTTTTTCTTTAATGCCAATTAGTTACGAAATTCAGCCCCATAAAAATTCTTTGGGGCATGCAAATGAGATTGCATTTGCTCTAGTTTTTGGGTAAAGAGAGGCTTTTTTTAGAGCAACTTTGTTTTCCAGATAACTACTGAGTTGTTCAATTTTTAAAATACGTAATCCATCGTATCCCCAGTGATTTGAAACACATTCTTTACCACATACCAGATTGGTGTTTCTTTCTGGTTTCATTCTATACTTTTTTTTTCTGTTCCATTGATCTATCTACTCGTGTTGTTTTAATTGCCATTTCTTTATACTGTTTTAAATATCTGGTAGGTCTGGGCCCCCTCACTATTCTTTTTTAGAATATGCCTATTCTTGCTTGGTTATTTTTCTCTATAAACTTTAGAATGGGCTTTACTAATTCCAAAAAGGAAGAACCGGTACAGCTGGTGTGGGTGAGCAGGGGATGCCACCTGCCTCCTCTGGTCCTGGTATGCAGAGTCCAGCAGAAAGAATGATGTCATGCTGCACAGTTACAGGTGGCTCAGGAATGTTCTCCTTTCTCTCCTGCTTAATCAAGGAGGGCTTCAGTGGAAAAGGCAGAGAGGGGAAGAAGAAGCAAGAGAAAAAGGAGAGGTGGAAGAGAATTTTGAAGCAAGGAAGAAGAGGCTTCCTGGCAGAAAGGACTGAAGACACTCTGGGGGAGAAGAGACAGAGAGAGATGAAGCATCAGAAATCAAGGCTGCAGGGAGGGTTCCTTGCGGAGATTGGAAAATGGTGGGTGGGAGAGGAGGTGGAGGCCAGCTGGAAGGCTTGAGCCTAAGGCAGGTTGGGGGTGGCCTGGAACTGATGGAAGATGTGGTTAGAGGGAGTCAGTCTGCCTCTGAGTCATGCGCATAGGACTTCAGTCAGCAAGCTGCCCTGGCTGAGTGGAAGACAGACAGAAATGGAATGAAAGCCAGAAACTCCAACTGTCTTCTCAGGCTGGCCACCAGAGGTGCAGTCTCATGTTCCTTCTGGTTACAAATGATCCCTACCTCCCAGGAAACCACAGTGTGGGGTTTTGAATAGACTGCTGTGCATTTACTCATGGAGAGGAGTCGGAAGCTAATTTTGAGAGTGTATGAAGTAGTTTTACATCCTGGGCTACAACAGAAGCATATCCTGGCACAGGGGTGTTGTGGCTGTGTTTCATTAGGAGCTGTAATTCTCCAGACCAAAGAAAGTGGCAGGGAGCTCAGCCCTGGGAACAGTGGGCACAGAGTCAGGGGATGCCCAGGATAGGGGCGATGCTGGCACTGCGGAAGGAAGCTAGGCCTGCAGGAGCCCGAGTTTGGGCCACATTCAGCCTTGTCAGGGTTGCAAGAAAGGGTGGATGATGAGTGCACGGGCAAAAATGGGCCTGCGGGTTCTCTGTCAAGAGCTTCACTCGCTTCCAGCTAGAGCCCCTGGCAAATGACTTCTCACACCAGGAAGACACCCCTGTGGGAAGACACTCCCAGACCCAGCAGGCCCACGTGCTCCGCAAACGGACCCTGTGCCACAGTTTTTCTCTGCTGCAGTGCCCGGCTTCAGAGCCCCCGTACAGGGTGGCTGGGAAGACCTCTTCCCTGTGCCCCCGCTCAAGCTGGCTCTTCTCTCTGCTGTCTTCTGGGCTGGGCTGACCGGGAAACAGGATACTGCTTTGCCTGCCCTATTGGCCTAAAAACGTTTCCTTCCTCTGCAATTAGAATCATGGAATATCACCGGATCCAATTCCCTCTGAAATTTCTCCCTGAAATTTCAAAGCTCAGAAAGGGCACCCGAGGGTCCCACAGCCACACGAAGTTCTAGGTGTGACCTGCGTCAAAGAACCAAATTTCAACAAGTTGAGTTTAGTAAGTTTAATAATAAGGCCCAATGACACTGTCATCTAATTGACTTTTATTAGGGATTTATGAATCAGGCAGTATTCCATCTAGGAAATGTCTAGAAAGGTGCTCCACCCCATTGGCAGAACAGTTGTTTGAGATTTGTTGTTGTTATTTTGCTTTGTTTTGAGACAGGGCCTCACTCTGTCACCCAGGATGAAGTGCAGTGGCACAATTATGCCTCACTACAGCAGCCTCGAACTCCTGGGCTCAAGTGATCCTCCCACCTCAGCCTCCTGAGTAGCTGAGACTATAGGCGCACATCACCATGCCCAGCCAATTTTAAATTTTTTTCTTTTATAGAGCCAGGGTCTCACTACATTACCTAGGCTAGTCTCAAAACTCCTGGCTTCAAGCAATCTTCCTGCCTTGGCTTCTCAACGTGCTGGGATTACAGGCATGAGCCACTGCACCTGGCCAAGGACAGTTGGTTTTTGTATGGTAACTTGAGCAGGAACAAGAAAACAGCATAGTACAAAAAAGAAGATTGGTTAACATTAGGTTACTTCAGGTTACTTTCCTCGTAAGGGTTAATGCAGAGACTTTCTTCTTCAGCCAACTAAAACTGGCCTGTTTGGGGATTTGGCTACCATCTCTCTCCTGATTTCTTGGAAGGTCAGATCTCATAAGTAAACAACTTAGGTTTCGGTTTGGTCATGTAACCTTAGCATGAGTGACTCCATTTTGGGTTGAGCTATTAGAGCCTAGTGCAGGAGCTTAGTCCAAATCAATGCCCTCCCATACATTTTATTTAACACCAGAATCCAGGTCATTGGCTTCTAGCCACTGGTCTGTCACCTAGTCTAGGTCTCCTCCTGTGTACCACAGGGCACATTCAGTATCCCACCAGGGTGTGGAAGTCGTCTTCCTTCCAGAGAGTCAGGAAACCTTGCTTTTAATGAGCTCAGGGGCCAGCATCTTGAGGGCCTGCGTTTATTTTCAGTTAGAGCGGATGGAATGTTGTTTGTGGTTTGCTTTTTTAATACAAAATGGGCTGTGGAAATGAAGCTGCCTATACAACTCTGTAGGGAGCTGGCCGGCTTTAGCAGAAAATGTTCTTGCCGGGGACCCGAGACTTAAGCTCTATCTGGAAGTTCCTTCCCTGCTCTTGGCCTCAATTTCCATTCTGTAGATGGAGAAGGTTGGATTGAGGAGTGTCTGAAGGCCCTTCTGGCTCTGACTTGCTTTGCTTTTGTGAAAGGGCTATAAGGCCCTTGTCACCGTCCCCAGCACCACAGTGGAGACGGGGTGAGACCCTCCAAAGTCTTTTCCCACAGATGGAGTTGGCATGATTTGTATGAAGCACTCTCAGGCCTCCCCAGGGGGGCCACTCCTGTGCCTTCTGCTCAGCAGGTCTTCATGGGGTGGGGCTGACAGTCTACTCTCCTGGCACTTCACACACAGCTCATCTTTAGAAGGACAGTGGCTTTAGACAGTCTCCCTGGGACCCAGCCTGAGGCCACTGTCCAGCAGGGGGAGAGACAGCCCAGAGATGGAAGCAGCCGGGAGAGCAAAACACTCCTCACCACCAGGCTGGCCCAGCTGGGCTCTTCCTGGCCCAGCGCTGCCCTCCATCGTCCGTGTAGCGGTGGAGCCCCCAGTAAAAGCACTTGCTTTCAAAGTGCCTCAGAGGGAAAAATACAACACTTCACGACATTAGAAACGTGAGAATGGTCACAAGTACATGAAAGCCGTGATGTAAGTCGTGAAATAAAAGTCCAAGTTCTATATGTGTTGAAATAGTATTTAAAAAAGAAAAAACCAGCCAGGCGTGGTGGCTCACACCTGTAATCCCAGCCCTTTGGGAGGCAGAGGCAGGAGGATCGCTTGAACCCAGGAGTTCAAGACCAGCCTGGGCAGCATGTGAGACCCCATCTCTACAACACAATTTAAAAATCAGCCAGGCGTGGTGGCGTGCACATGTGGTCCCAGCTGTTCAGGAGGTTGAAGTGGGAGAATTGCTTGAGCCTGGGAGTTCCAGGCTGCAGTAAGCCATGATTGTGCCACTGCACTCCAGCCTGGGTGACAGAGTGAAAACTGTCTCATGAAAAAATAAAAAGGAAAAAACCAAATTAGGAAAAACTGTAACCCTGCAGCAGCGTAAAACAGGTGACAATGACACTTCTATTACATCACCTGTGACAGACCCCTTATCCTTCATGGATTTTGGTTCATGCCAGTGTGTTGTAGAGTTTTGCATCTGACTCCCTCTCAGTAATCAGCTGGGGATTTTCCTTGGTGTATTAGTTAGTATAAGCCAGGCTGTTGTCACAAACCACCTAACAAAAACTCAGAAGATAGAAGTTGAATTCTCTTTCCTCTAATCAGGTGGATATTTCAAGTCAGTGGGTGACTTCACTCACACAGAAGAACAGGGATCCAGATTCCTTCTGTGGTGTGGCTCTGTTGACCCCTAGTTTAGGTGTCCATGGAGGCATACCCGCTGTCTTAGGGCTTATCTTAGTCCATTCATGCTGCTGTACAAAAATACCTTAGACTGGGTAGCTTATAAACAACAGAAATTTATTGCTCACAGTTCTAGAAGCTGGGAAGTTCAAGATCAAGGTGGCAGCAGATTCGGTGCCTGGTAAGGTCTCACTCTCCGCCTCATAGATGGCACCTTCTCGCTGGCTTTGCATGGTGGAATGGTGGAAGAAGGGAACAAGCTCCCTTGGGCCTCTTTTATAAGGGCATTAATTCCTTAAAAAAGGTGGAGCCCTCATCACCTAATCGTCTTCCACAGTCCCCAACTCTTAATACTATTGTATTGGGGATCAGGTATCAACACAATTCTGGGGAAACATGAACATTCAGGCCAGGGTTCCAGCCTGGAAGTGAGCACCCTTTTTGCTCACATTCTGTTGATGAGAACTTAGGGCTGTGGTCACATCTAACTGCCACGGAGGCTGACTAATGTGGTTCTTAGCCAGGTTCGCACATGCTCAAATCCAACTGTATTACTGAGGAAGAAAGAGAATATATAATTTCATAAATTACCAGCAGTCTCTGTAGCTTTCAAAACTATGTCAACCCAAAAGTTTGTATTTTTCCTCTGCCAGTCCCTTCTTGTGACAATGTCTTTTTAGCAGCATTTCTCCACTATTTACCATCTCTCCCTCACTCTTCTTTCCCCTCCTTCTTTCTTTCCCTCAACACACCCCTCACTCTCACTGTTTTACCTCTTCCCTCACTGAGTACAGAATCCCTAGGATAAACAGGATGGAGTTTCCAAGTTCCATGGGTCAGGACACACCAGACTGGGTTATGGATAAGGACAATGGTATACATTCCTGCCTTCTTTGCCTACACTAGCCCATGAGCACTTCACCCATGCTAAGCCATCTTCGGCCCAAATGGCCCTTGAGCATGCATTTGAAAAACAGGTGGAAGATAAAACAAGAAGCATGCATTGGTTTTGCAGGTGGAAGACCTAGATTTCATGTCCTGCCAGTTACTAATTGTGTGGTCCTGAGTAGGTCTCCTCACTTCTGCTCTGAGTATCTCTTCATTGAAAAAATGGAGCAAATGCAATTTCACCTGCAAACCCCAGAGTTTTTATGAGGCTGAAGCAGGATAATGTTTGGCAAGAGCTTTTTATATTTTCAAGTATTTTTCTTTAATTTAAGCATATTTATTTTATAGTCTGAATTTTATAATTTCAATAGCTGAGGTCTTCTGAAGGTCTAATTCTGCTGTTTGTTTTATCTGCTGATTTTTCACTCAAGGTGGTTTATTTTATCGTGTACCTTGTAATTGTAGGTTGTGAGCTCATATTCACAACCTCTCTCTGTGAGAATCCTGTTAAGTATGACTTAAAAGCGTCAGCTTCAGGGCTGGGCGTAGTGGCTCATGCCTGTAATCCCAGCACTTTGGGAGGCTGAGATGGGCAGATCACTTGAGGTCAGGAGTTTGAGACCAGCCTGGGTAATATGGTGAAACCCCATCTCTACCAAACATACAAAAAAAATTAGCCAGGAGTGGTGGCACATGCCTGTAGTCCCAGCTACTTGGGAGGCTGAGGCAGAAGGATTGCTTGAGCCTGGGAGAAGGAGGTTGCAGTGAGCTGAGATCATGCCAGTGCATTCCAGCCTGGGCTACAGAGCCACTCTGTCTTAAAAAAAAAAAAAAAGTGTCAGCTTCAAAGAGGATTAACATTAACACTCCTGAGTGCTACCAACCTGATCCCACTTTGTAAGTAAATTTCTCAGTTTGGAGTTTTCCAAATCACATATGCAGTCTACCTTAAAACCCCAACCCTCAGAGGAGAAGAGCCTATGACTCTATGATTCCAAATTCTCAGTGAAGGCTGGTTTTTTTCAACTCAGAGCCCAGATCAAGACAGACATATTTCCTTCAGTCCCTCTTTGCTGATGAGTCTACTTTTCCCTCCAAATGTAACCTTTCAAGGATCTAGATTTTATGCTGTGGTCTCACTTCCACCTTCTCACATTGCTTGAGTCCCCATGTGGACTTTAAAATTCAAGACTCTGTGAAGTAACTGAGCTAATGCCTCAAGGGGAGCTTTCACCCTCAGTGTCATCTTAGCATTCTTACTTCCTGTTCTCTTCTCATTTGGGACCCCTGAAGATTGCCATCATTTTCCTGTGAGTTTAGCGCTCACAAGAAGGGTGTTTGTTGTATTTTGTCCAGCATTTCTAGGTGTTGTGCAGTGGGAGGGCTTCTCAGGATGGCCAATGGACTCTGAAATCTCACTGTCTTTCATGCGTTCTTTAATTCCTTTTTCTAATTTTTCCCTTTTCCTCTCTTGTCCTTCCTGTCTCTTGCTCCTTCTCTCCACATTTATCTGCCGGATCTCAGCTGCTGGCACTGTGTGTTCTCAGGGGATACTCTGTCAGGTGTTTTTCAAGGCTCCTGGCTGACCCTCCCCAGCTTCTCCCTTTGGTTCTCTAGCTCCAGACCCCTAACATGGCCACTAAACACCCCCAGCAGGCACCCCACTGCCCCAGATCTGTGCCGTTGGGCTTTATCTTCCGTGCAAACTTGTCAGCATCCCTTTTTATTCATCCAGAGCTCTTCATTCCATCACTATTCAACTTGTCAAAATGTGCTCAGCCAGGAACAAGTTTAGGTCAGAGATTTTAATAATCTCTTCAGAGCTTTCCTCTTTTGAATCATTGTGAATATTATGCATCAGAAAAACTCCAGATTTTGAGCCTCAGACTGGGAGGCACAATTAGGTGCTCAGAGAGGCCAGAATTTGGCCAACTTCTCATTCCCCAAATGGACTCAAGGAATATGAGAGAATTCTGAATGAGAGAGCAGGCAAAATTACCCAAGAGGGAATGAGGCTCTTTGGCTCTAATTTGAGGGTCATTTTTCTTCTTGCTGGCACTTCTCTTCCCCCTGGATTGGGCCCCAAGACCATTCAAGCAGGCTTCTAAGAAGGATTCACTGAAGTGATTTCCCTAGAGGATTGACAGGGACTTTGAAATGTGCTGCCTCTTTTAGAGACTTTGCCTGGTAAGAGGAGGCAAAACCTTAAACCAAAAGGACAAGGAAAAGGAAATCAAACATTGGGGATCGGGGGCCTCCTTCCCAAGGCTACTAGAAGGCTGCCTCTGGATACTCCAGTGTAGAGGCACTGTGACCCCCGCCCACTTCCTCTGCAGTGTCTCATCTGATGCTCATGACCACCCTGTTGACATCATGTAGCTCATGTTTTGTGGGAAACAGGCTGAGCAAGGCAACAGAGGTCCTGTATTGGCTAAGTGCTGAGCCTCATTTAGACTCCAAGCCGGACTTTGAGAAAACCTGTTGATATGGTCAGGCTTTCTGTGCGCACTCAAATCTCATCTTGAATTGTAATCCCCGCATGTGGAGGGAGGGACTTGTAATCCCCACATGTCAAGGGAGGGAGGTGATTGGATCATGGGGGGGTTTCCCCCATGCTATTCTCACAATAGTGAGTTCTCAGGAGATCATATGGTTTTATAAGTGTTTGACAGTCCCTCCTACATGTGCTTTCTTCTCTCTCTTGCCACCGTGTGAAGGTCTTTGCTTCCCCTTCCCCTTTTGCCATGATTGTAAGTTTCCTGAGGTCTCCCCAGCCATGTGGAACTGTGAGTCAATTAAACCTCTTTCCTTTGTAAATTACCTAGTCTTGGATATTTCTTTATAGCCATGTGAAAATGGACTAATACATCTGTCCTCTACCTACCATGCCCAGTCCTCTCCAGGATGCCACAAGATGGGTTGGAAGGCCGATTACTGCAATTGTCCAGGAAAGAGCTGACATCTGTACATCACACTCCAAGAGGCAGCAGACACAGGGGTGAAGCCCAAGGGCTCTAGAGCCAGACAGGCCAAGTTCAAATTCCAACTGTACCACTGAACTAGCTGAGCAACATTGGGCGATGCTTTACTCCAACCACCACTCCTAGCCTTTCCTCCCCGGCAGCCCGTGGAGACTAAAACACCAACCAAATCATTTCACTCCTCTGGTCTCAACTTTCCAACAGCTTCTCATCACTTCTAGAATAAAATCCAAGTGCCTCCTCAAAGCCTTCCAGGCCTACAGCAGAGGCAGCCAGTGCTCACCAAACTCTACATTCTCCTCTTTGTCCCAGGCTCCCTGCTGTGCCACATTTCTCTGCTTCTTTGCGTGGGTGGGGTGATGGTGGATGCGGAGACTTATGCCTTATTCTTGTCAATGGAGTGTGAGTGGAGGTGACATGTGTTAACCCAGGTCGAAGTGGTTGAGAGCAGTGTGCCTTCTCCACACTTTCCCCACATGCCAGCTGGATGGACATCCAGTGAGGACCCTGAGGAAATGGCAGAGTCACACAGTGGAAGATGCCTGGATCCCCAAGTATGCGAATCAGAACTCCTGTACCTGTCTTGTGACAACACTAACTGAACTACTACACAAGCAAAAATTGATTCTTTATTGTGTCACGTCACTGAAACTTGGGTTTTTTTTTTTTTTTTTTACAGCAGCTGGCTTATCCTAACACGAGGCCCTACATCAGTCGACCTCAGTCCAAACCCATGCCTGCTCACCCTCTCCCTCACTGTGCCCCACCACACCACCTTCTCGTAGCTCCTCAGACTCCAAGCTCATTCCCATCTAGTGCCTTGGCCAGGCCGTGTTCCCTCCTCCTGGAATGCTCTTCCACAAAGCTTTACATGATGTTTTTTCTCAGTTTTGCCAGATTTCTGGTCAAATTTTATCTCCTCAGAGGGAGAAGCCCCGACTCCCCTTTTAGGCAGGCCCACCCTCACCAGGCATCACCTTCCCTGTGCTATTTTTCTCCAGAGAAGTTATCAATGACTTACCAGTCTATCAGAAATATGTCTTTGTTAAAATATTTATTATATAGCTCCTCCCTGTGTCTGTCTATCCTGGTGTCTAGAAGAGTGACTGGCACATAGTAAGTCCTCAATAAATATTCTCTGAGTGGATCAATGATCACTGTTTTCTCTGCATCTTTATCCATTTCTCTTTCCTTTTTCTCCTCTGTAAGTTGAGTGTTGTATGCTGAAGACAAAAGGGGATAATGCAGGTTAGTGTGGAACATCCTGGCACAACAGATGTCTGGGAACTGCAGATTCTGTCCTATGTAGGGATAGCTCCACAAGAAAGCCCAGGCTAGTGTCCATGGGTTGCCTGCACCAGAGCCCAGGAGGGTGGTTTAAGCAGGAAGGTTCTTGTTGCTGCCCTCCCAAGAGAGGGAGTGGGGCTGAGCCAGCTGTGGAGCTTGGGGCTGGCTGCCAGCTGCTGAGGTTGACAGCCACATGGAACTTCACCGGGGCAGGTAATTGAACTAGTGGAGTGGGCTGACCAAGAGGAGGGGAGCGTTCCCAGCATTGGGGTGATGAGCCATGGAATTGGCATTGGAGTGGCTGTAGTCACAAGTGGAAGGAATTCATCTGCTGGCACATCCAGCCTGCAGGGAGAGGACCCAGGGGCGCCTGCACTTGTGGCCTGGAGGGAGATGGACAACTTCTGGGGTGCCCTCTGGTTGTTGGAGATGGAGGGCATTGAAGGAGGAGGGGACGGCACATGCGAAGGCATGGAGTTGTGAAATGAGTGCTTGGCAGTTAGAATGGTGAAGTGAGGTAGTGCTGGTGGCCCTAGGATGTAGGTGGAATCAGGACTTGACCCCAGAAAAGCCACATGTGGGGAAAGGGTGAGCGCTGGGCTAGGAGCCAGGAGACCTGACTTTCCACTCCCAGGTCTACCACGATCCATGTATCCTTGAGCTCAAGTGTATCCATGATCCTGCTCAGGTGTTTCACTGCATGACACACAGATGAGGAAACTGAGGCACAGAGAAAGTGATACACAGTTGCATAGTCACTTTCTCTGTGCCTCAGTTACCTCATCTGTCAAACTGATGATAGTTCCCCTCACATGGGGGTGAGGAGAAGAAGAATAAAAAGTGGATGCCTATGCAATTTTCTCCTCACAATGTTTTCAGTTATTATGACTGAGAGGTGGCCAGGAGGAGCTGAGGAATTCCCCTAGGACTTGTGTGTTGGGAGGGCCAAGGGCCAACTGGAAGTGACTGTTGCTGAGAAGAGAGTGGGAGAAAACAGCAGGAGGAAAGCCAACGTGGAGAGGTGGGGGAAGGGAGGAGCTGGAAGCAGTTCCAGCAGGAGACCAAATGTGGGCAGTGGCAGGAGTGTTGATGTTTCCTGGCAGGTGCAGTCCAGTTGCTTTCTATGCCTGCAGTGTGCAAGTGGATTGGGTCCTTGTGCTTGTCCGTGGACCAAGCACAAACATTCTGGTTGCATCTCCATCTAGGTACACGGTAGGATTGCATCCTCCATGCTTTTGAAGTTCTGCCTGCCCACGTGACTTGCTTTAACAAATGATGTGAGTGGAAGTGGTACATGTCACTTCCGGGTGGAAGGTTGAAAAGCTTGTGCCTGATTCACCTTTGAGGCTGATTCTGTCAGTGTCCCTTGGACCCTCCCTGCTGAATTCTACCTGCCAGTGTCTGCATCTCTGTGCCTGAGGGATTTCTCCAGGCCCAAAAAAGACAGCTCAGCCTACATGCACTACCAGCCAGAAGTGCAGGGGAATTACACATTATCACCTTCATCAGCTCTCAGTCAGTGACTCTGGGGAATTGAGACACAAATACCCAGGCTCCCTCGCTCCATGCTGCAGGTGGGATCACTCTGCAGTATGTGCTCCTCACTCTTTCCCTGGGGTATCCCACGGGATTAAGTTCATTCACCCACAGAGGTACCTGGCTTCATATGCATCTTGTATTAGCTGCTTTCCCTTCCCAGTTGCACTTTTCTACTTGATACCAGTGTTTCCTGCACCTCCCAAATAAACGATTGCGCTCACACTGTTGTTTCTGGATCAGCCATGTTCCTCTTTCCTGCTGTCATGACAGTCCGTTGGCCAACCAACTGGCAATTTCCCTGGGGGTGGCTACTCTGTCATTCCAGGCCTTGGGGTAAGGATGAGTAAAAGCTGGTGGACTTATCATGGGCAGGTGGCATGAGTCAGAAACCCATTGAAATTTGGGGGCTGCTTGTTACTACAGCCCAACCTCACCCACCCTGACTGATACAGCCCCTGGCTTCTCACCAAACACCAAAATGATGCATCTAATTTAAGGCATCTTATGAGAAGGAAGGAAGGAAGGAAGAAGGGAAAGGAAGGAAGGAAGGAAGGAAGGAAGGAAGGAAGGAAGGAAGGAAGGAAGGAAGGAGACAGAAGAGACAGAGAACATTTGTGAGTGTGCATGTGTGTGTGCACACTGGGGCAGAATGGAAGGGAAGAGAGGGACAAGTTTGAAGGGAAGACTGGGACAGGAAAAGAGGTGCCCAAGAACCCACTGGAGAGGAGACTTAGAAAGGATAAAAGAACAAGAGGCCCAGATATACAGTGAGAAGAATCCCAGGTCACACAGCAAGTCAGGGGTTGAATTAAGCCTAGGACTTGGGCTTCCCAACTTCCAATCTAGCGCTCTTTCCTCTGAGCTCACTTCCTCCAGAAGGCCCATGGCTGGAATGTCCCTTCTTTCAAGCTCCCTGGGATTGTAGAAAGAAGCACACAGCCCATGGTTCATGGGACCCTAATTACCTCTAGCTGCCACCTTGTTCTCACATCTGGATGACAGAGGCACATCTGTATCACACTGGGCTACAGGCTGGCCTCTGAAGGGTCCATGGGAATGAAAGTTAAGGTTCTTTTGCTTGAAAGCAACACAGATAAACTTTAGCCAGCTCAAGCCACAAGAGGGGATGAACTGGAGAGTGTATTAGGCCATTCTTTGTGTTGCTATAAATAAATACCTGAGGCTGAGTAATTTATAAAGAAAAGAGGTTTGGTTGACTTGTGGTTCTTCTGGCTGTACAAACATAGCCCCAGCATCTGTTCAGCTTCTGGGGAGGCCTCAGGGAACTTTCATTCATGGCAGAAAGCAAAGCAGAAGTAGGCACATCATAGGGCAAAAGCAGGAGCAAGAGGGAGAGTGGATTGTAGGGTGTGCCACACATTCAAACAACCAGATCTAATGAGCACTCACTCACTATCACAAGGACAATACCAGGCCATGAGCAATCTGCCCCCATGACCCAAATACCTCTCACCAGACCCCACCTTCAACATTGGGAATTACAATTCAACATGAGATTTGGCAGGGCCATATATTCAAACTATATCAGGGAGAGACTATGGCTTTTAGCTAACAACATAGGCCTTGGGAGGAAGAGCAACAGAAGCAGCTCTGGAAACCATGGTGCTCTTGTTTGCTCACTGTACAGATAAAACCAATCCACTGAGACAGCAGTACCGCAGTAGAGAAAGAGTTTAATAATCACAGGGCTAGTTAAGTGGAAGGATGGGAGTTTATTACTCAAATCACCCTCCCCAAAAGCTCAAAGGTTAGGGTTTTTCAAAGATAGTTTGGCAGTCAAGGGGCTAGGGAATGGGGGATGCTGATTGGTTGGGCCAGGGATGAAATTACAGAGGGTTGAAGCTGTCTTCTTGTGTTGAGTCAGTTCCTGGGTGGAAGTCACAGAAGCAGTTGAATTAGTTCCTTGGTATGAGTTATGGGCCCAGGTGAAGTCAGTCTGTTACTAGAATGCAAAAGTCCAAAAAATATCTCAAAGACCAATCTTTCATTTTTACAATAGTGATGTCATCTATCAGAGCAATTGGGGAATTTACAAATATTGTGATCTCTGGAGCAGTAAATGATTACAGAAATTCAAGCTAGGGAACAATGGCTGGTTATCATTTAACTACACCTGCATCTTAGCAGAATTCAGGCCTCTCCTATGATCCTAATCTTGTGGACTTTCATTAGTCTTACAAAGGCAGTTTTGTTTTTTTTTGTTTTTTGAGACGACGTTTTGCTCTGTTGCCCAGGCTAGAGTGCAGTGGCACTATCTCGGCTCACTACAACTTCTGCCTCCTGGGTTCAAGTGATTCTTCTGCCTCAGCCTCTGGAGTAGCTAGAATTACAGGCATGCACCACCATGTCCAGCTAATTTTTGTATTTTTAGCAGAGACAAGGTTTCACCATGTTGGCCAGGCTAGTCTGGAACTCCTGACCTCAAGTAATCCATCTGCCTCGGCCTCCCAAAGTGCTGGGATTACAGGCGTGAGCCGCCATACACAGCCTTACAGAGGCAGTTTTGGTCATCAAGCAAGAAGGGGGTTAGTTTTGGGAAGGGATTGTTATCATCTCTGTTTTAAAGTTAACAAAGGCAGTTAGCTTGTGAAGTTGGAGTCAGTTAGCTTAGATTTCTCTCACTGATGCACTTTTTGTAAAGGTGGTTTCACCCTGTGCCCATGGACCTTCCTTCCAGGGGTCACCATTTATGCCTCTCACCTGCTATGTCTCTCAGGTTAAAAGTTCACATTCCTAGGAGAAAAGAATCTGACTGGCAAGCTTCAGTCAGATGCTCTTTGGTCCAGTGAGCTAAGCCCCGGGGTTTTAGCTGGGACCCATGGTTGAGGATGGCCAGTTCCTGGAGAATGGGAGAGGGCACTGTGTGTGAGGCAGACAATGGGGAGTCATGTTTGTGAATGGAGTCTTCTGCCAGTGACTCATATCTCCTCTCAGAAGGTCCTCCTCTTCCTTTTTCCAGACAGCAGGGTTTTCTGTCACTTGATTCAACCCTTACTGAGGCTGTAATTGATGTCTCACAGGTACCGGCCTCTGTGGAGGATTCTGAGATGAAGACAGTCCTCACACCCCTGTGAAGACGAGTGAGTTCACCAAGCACAGCCACGCAAGGTTGAGGGGCCTGGAGCCCTGGGAGAGCCTGGCTGTGGGGGGGTCTGTCGCTGCCAGCTCTGCCTCTTGGTCTCTCCACCCAGACGGGAGATGATCAGGACTGACCAAACTGAGCCACCCAACACAGTCTCTTGTGGACAGGGAAGGCTTCAGCTTTGCCAAGAATTCCAGAGCTGGATTTTATTGACTCATCATACTTGAGATTATGTCAGTGGAGTCCTTTCTGGAGAGGGAGGCCTGCCCTTTGACCTAGCTGTAGAATTGCCCCAGCATTCCCTTAGCTCAATCCCTCCCCTGACCCCCACGCCCTTGGGACTCTCTGTGGCTGTCTCTAGGCCAAAATATCCTCCCACTGTTCAGGAGGGGCCTGGCCAGAGACTCTGTTGTTATTTTCACACCTGTTCTTATAACAATCCCTGCGGAAGAAAAGAAAAATGTCACCTAGATAAAGACAAAAAGCATAAAAAAGAAAAAAGAAAAAAAAAGAGTGACATTTGGAAAAGTTTAGACAGGAATGGCCTGGCCGGGGCTGAAATTGGGAGGAGGGAGAAGGTCAGAGGCTGGGGGATTAGGGACATCTGAGTGCTGACTTGGAAACAGGGGACTCTGGGTTTCTCTTTCATAAGGACCAAAGGCTGCTCATATATGCTAAGCACCTTTCATTCATTGTCTCACCAACAACCATAGGAGGCAGTTACTATTATTAACTCAGATAGAAATAGGGAAACTGAGGTTCAGGGAGGTTAAGTAATTTCCCAGGGTCTCATATTCAGCCTGGACACCGTCTCATATCTGGCTCTAAATAGTAGCCTCTAAGGCTCATTGGATTGGCACTTGCCTCCCAGGACCCCTGTGGTTATGAGATTCAGAGTCCTGAGATGTCTGAGCTGGTCAAAAGCTTTGGGTAATCTTTAAATAAGCAGCTGTGCCTTGCTAAGAGAATGGGAGGCTCCTGGAGAATAGGGTGGCCAACTAGAAAGAAACTAGCTTGGAAGTAAGAAATGACTGGGTCCCATACCAAGCCTGCCTCTTATTACCATGTTACCTCGAACAACTGACTTTACTTGTGTGAGCCTCAGTTTTCTCCTCTGAAAAATGGACTAATAACATTTACACTGGAGTGTGCTATCCAGTGCAGCTCAGGTGCTCCATAAGTGAAAAGATGGTTCCTACCTTATTGCTTCCTTGGGATCTTCCTCCCCAGCACGTAGGCTTTCAGAGCCTCAGTACCATCTCTGATGACTTTTTTGCCAGGGCTCATCAGATGGGGTAGAACTTTCTGATCAGGAACCCACAGCGCACACACACACACAAGCCTCCCCTCATCCTGCGTACAGAGCCAGCTTTGCTCGGGCTTCTGGGAAAGGGGAGTATGGGGATTACTTATTGACTCCAGTATCCAAACCACTGGCTGGACAAGAATGCAGCCAGCCTCAGGAATGACTTAAACCAGGGACTCTGGGGCCACCAGGCATCCCTCCTACTGCCTGGTTCTCTAGGTGTCAGCTCCCTGCTTAGTTAGATAGCTTCTCCCGTGCTGCTGGTCCAAGGCCTAATACTCTCAGTTTCATCACAGTAGACAAAACTCCAATTCCAGTTACAACCAACCAACCAACCAATAGGAGAAGACTCCAATTGGCTAGGCTTGAATTACCCATCACCTTCTCAACCAATTATTGAAACTCAGAGGTAGAAAGGTACTATGATTGGTCAGGGCTGGATCAGGTGATCACACCCAGGCCAATAATTGTTCCAAAATGGCCACTTTACATTTAGATCGCCTAACTAGAATGGGAATGCACAGTGCTTTGCAGAAAACAGTGGTGAAAGTTCATGACTGGCCCGGGCAACTGATATGGTTAGGCTTTGTGTCCCCACCCAAATCTCATCTTGAATTATAATCTCCATAATCCCCACATGTCGAGGGAGAGACCAGGTGGAGATAATTGAATCATGGGGGCAATTCCCCCATGCTGTTCTCGTGATAGTGAGTGAGCTCTCACAAGATCTGATGGTTTTATAAGGGCCTCTTCCCACTTCGCTTGGCACTTCTCCTTCCTGCTGCCTTGTGAAGAAGGTGCCTTGCTTCTCCTTCACCTTCCACCATGATTGTAAGTTTGCCAAGGCTTCCCCAGCTGTGCAGAACCGTGAGTCAATTAAACCTCTTTCCTTTATAAATTACCCAGTCTTGGGCAGTTCTTTATAGCAGTATGAAAACAGACTAATACAGCAACATAGTGAGATGTCATCTCTAACAAATTTAATTAATTTTTAAAGTGGTGAAACGTCCTAGGCAAATGAATAAATATCTTTTACCTTTCAAATCTCAATTCTCTTTCTTTCTAATCATTCCCATCCAATCCTGGAGCACTACACTACTGATATCTTCATTCTGCCATTTCCTGTCCCCTACCCTGGTGTTTAAATCTCTCCACTCTACCTATTGGGCACAGCTGGCCTGATGAATCAACCCAGCCTGCAGGCCTGATGGATTTTCAGAGTTCAAGGAAGTTCTTCCTTTTCCAGCCATCTTAAATGTCTTCCTACCTCTGCCTGCTGTATCAGCAATTTCACTATTGGTGGTTCATTTTTTAGCTTACTATGACTTGTTCCCATTAAAATGCACATCCCTTTGTGAGTATGCACTCACTGTCTGAACAATTATTTATGATTAGTATTAGTGCTTTATCAGCTTTTTTACATTTTGGTGGGGGAAAGGAGGAGAGACTACAGAGGGCTTACTCGTGTTGGAGGGAGGAAGAGAGGCTGTAGAACCTGGAAGCCAATTCTCCTGATTCAATGAGTCTGTTTCAGGTAAGTCCAGGTGATTGTCGGGAAGCCATGGCCATTCTTATTTTATCTTGGAGAAGCAGCAGCGTTTTATCTTTTTTCTGTCTTCAAAGTTTAAATTTTCTTACCTAAAATTTTAAATTTTGAGGTAATTGGGGAATCCTCTACTCAGTTTCCCATGATAGCAACTTGCAAAACTATAATATTACAACCAAGATATTGATGTTAACACAGTCAGGATACAGAACGTTTCTATCACCATGAGGATCTTCATGTTGCCCTTTTATAGCCATATCTACTTCCCTCCCATCCCTATCTTCTCCTTAACTGATGGCAACCACTGATCTGTTATCCATTTCCATAATGTTGTCATTTCCAGAATGTTATATAAATGGAATCATATGTAACTTTGGGGGATTGGCTTTTCTCACTCAGCATAATTCTCTGGAGATTCATCCAGGTTGTTTTGTGTATCAGTAGTTCTTTCTGACTGTATTAATCCATTCTCACACTGCTATAAAGCTACTACCCGAGACTGGGTAATTTATAAACAAATGAGGTTTAATTGACTCACAGTTCCACATGGCTGGGGAGGCCTCAGGAAACTTACAATCTTGGCAGAAGGGGGAGCAGGCACATATTACACGGCAGCAGGTGAGAGACAGTGAGCAAGTGCAGGGAAAACTGTCTTATAAAACCATTAGATCTCGTGAGAACTCACTATCATGAGAGAAGCATAGGGGAAACTGTCCCTGTGATCCAATCACCTCCTACCAGTTCTCTTCCTCAATACCTCGGGATTACAATTTAAGATGAAATTTGGATGGGGACACAAAGCCTAACAGTGTCACTGAGTATTAGATCATGGTAGGATATACCCCAGTTTATTTAATCATTTCTGTGTTGAAGGACAAGTGGATCATTTTCAGTCTGGGGCTAATACAAATAAATAAAGCATCTATAAACATTTATATACAAGTCTTCATTTCTCTGGGATAAATGCCCAGAAGTACAATTGCTGGGTTGTACAGTAGTTGTATGTTTAGTTTTTGAAAGAAACTGCCAAACTGTTTTCCACGGTGCCTGTACCATTTTACATTCCCACCAGCAATGTATGAGTGACTCAGTTTCTCTGAATCCTTGTCAGCATTTAGTATTATTACTGTTTTATGTTAGCCATCCTGATAGGTACATAGTGATTCTCATTGTGATTGTAACTTGCATTCCCTTAATGATGAACAATGAGCATCTTTTTATGTGCTATTTGCCATATGATGTCTTCTTTGGTGAAATATGTCTTTATGTCTCTTACCTATTTTCTAATTGGATTGTTCGTTTTCTGACTGCTGAGTTTTGAGTGTTCTTTATATATTCTACATACTAGTTCTTTGTTGGATATATGGTTTGCAAATATTTTTCCCAGTATGTAGCTTTTTTTCATCTTTTTAATGCTTTTTAATGGGCCTTTCACAAAACAGAAGCTTTTGTGATGAAGTCCAATTTATTAATTTTTCCTTTTATGGGTGATGCTTTGGGTGTTGAACCTAAGAACTCTTTGCATAGACCTACATCCTGAAGACTTCCTCCTGTTTTTTCAGAAGTTTTATAGTTTTATGTTCTACATTTAAGTTAATGATCCATTTTGAGTTAATTTTAGTATAAGGCGTACGTAAGACTTAGAGGCTTTTTTTTTTTTTAGCACCATTTGTTGAAAAGGCTATTTTCCTCCATTGAATTAGTTTTGTACGTTTGTCAAAAATTAGTTGGGCATATTTGTGTGGGTCTATTTCTGGTTTCTCCATTCTGTTCCATTGATGTATATCTCTCTGCCAATAACATACAGTCTTGTAAGTTATCTTGTATCTTGTATGCCAATAACATTCAGTCTTACTGTAGCTATACAGTGATTACTGTAGCTTGATATGAGATGGACTGATTCCTCCCAATTTATTCTTTTTTTTTTCCAAAATTGCTATTCCTATGGTTTGGATGTTTGTCTCATCTAAATCTCATGTTGAAATTTAATTCTCAATGTTGGAGGTGGGGCCTAATGGGTGTTTTGGTCATAGAGGTGGATCTCTCATGAATAGATTAATGGCCTTCTCTGGAGTGAGTGAGTTCTCATTCAATTAATTCCTGTGAGAGCTGGTTGTTAAAAGAGCCTAGCACACCCTCCTTTTCCTCCTCTCTCTCACAATGCCATCTCTGCACACTCTGGCTCCCTTTTGCCTTCTGCTATGAGCAGAAGTAGCCTGAGGCCCTCGTCGGATGCAGATGCCTAATCTTGAACTTGTAGCCATGAGAATCATGAGCCAAATAAACCATTTTTCTTTAAAAATTACCCAGCCTCTAGTATTTCTTTATAGCAACACAAAACAGACTAAGATAGCTATTCTAGTTCCTTTGTCTTTCCACATAAATTTTAGAGTAATATTGTGTATAGCTACAAAAACTTTTGCAAGATTTTAAAAGGAATTGCATTAAACTCATATATCCTTTTGCGGAGTAAGTCAACATCTTTACTATGTTGAATCTTTCAATCCATGAACATAATACATCTCTCCATTTATTTAGCTGTTCTTTGACTTGTTTAATCTTCTTTTTGTAGTTTTCAGCATACAAATCCTGTAGATTTACACTTAAGTATCTCTTCTTTTTCTTTTTGTAGTTGCACATGGTATTGTATTTTTAATTTTGATATCCAGGTGTTCATTTCTAGTACATAGGAATACAACAGATTTTTGTATGTTTATCTCGTATTCTGTGACCTTGCTGAATTCACTTACTAGTACTAATATTTTGTATATCCCTTGGGAACTTCTACAAAAGCAATCATGTTCTTTTCAAATAGGAACAGTTTTTATTTCTTCCTTTTTAATCTGTATGCCTTTTAATTTCTTGCCTTATTGCACTGGCTAAAACTTTCACAGCACTATGTCATATAAAAGTGGTGACAGCAGACATTTTTGCTTTGTTTTCATCTAAGGCAAAAGCATTCAGTCTTTCACCATTAAGTATAATGTTAGCTGTAGGGTTCTCGTTGATGCTTTTCATCAAGTTGAGAAAGTTCTATTCCAATTTTTCTTTGAATTTTATAATGGATGAGTATTGAATTGTTGTTTAATGGGTGTTGACTTTTCAGCATCAATTGATATAATCATGTTAATGTGGTGGACAACTGGTAAATGGATAAACAAACTGAGCAGCCATTTATACATTGTATGGATGTACCAGTTTATTTATCCATTTACCAGCTGAAGGACATTTGGGGAGTTCCCTGTTTTTGGTGATTATAAATGAAGTCTGTATAAACATTCACAAACAGGTCTTTGTATGTAAATGGTTTTCGTTTCCCTTGGGAAACGAAATGCTACTCAAATACCTATGACTGGCATTGCTAATTTGTATGGTGAGTACATGTTCAACTTTATAAGAAACTGCCAAATTGTTTTCAAAACTGTGCGTCATTTTGCATTACCAAGCAATGTGTGCGAGTTCCAGCTTTGTTCAGCTGGTACTTGATATTGTACCTCAGACTTTCAGAGCCCTTCTTTCTATCTCTGCTGTCTCCCCTTCCTGAGTGCCAGAGAAGAGTGGGTATAGTCACAATAGCAATTTTCCAGAAGCAGAAGGGCTGGCTCTCATAATTCCCCTGCACACTACGAACTTCAGAACTGCAGTTTTTGGGAAGGTGTGACAAGTGTGTTGAGCAGAATCAGGACAAGGGCCAAGGCAGAAGGAGTAGTGGGGGCACAGGGTTGGCAGTGAAGGGTCCAAGTGGCAGCAGTCCACAGTGGCAGGACCTGGAACACTTCGTCTGCTCAGGGCTTGTTGGTAGTGGGAAAGGATCACTTGGGGCCCAGGAGGGGGTCCTGCTGCCTCAGCACCCTCCCTCTGCCCTCCTAAGGTTTCCAGCCATTTCTAACAGAGGAAACTGCAATCTCTTGAGATTCCTGCAGGCCCCAGGGAGGGGGAGAGTTGCCTGAGAACCAGAGGCCTGGCTTGGGGCCCAGTTATGTGACACCTGAATCTTGGGGAGAGTGGCTGTGGGACCAGGCCCCTGGGGCCTCCTGGGACAGTTGGGAACAGGGAGGGGCAGCTCAGGTTTCCTCACTGCTTGGTGTGTGACCTGGGCTCCACCCAGGCAGCAGAATAATGCCAGGCCTTAGCCCCTGCGGTGTAACACCTTTCACCAAGAAATTGCTGTCCCGCTCCTGTTCCACAGGGACTGCTCTGGCCTGGACTTTGGGTCCTGTGGCCTAGAAGTAAAGGGACCAGATCTTAGTCAGGCCTCAGGACAGAAGCCGAGCCAGTCAAATCTGGAGGAGGTGCGTGAGGTGTGTGTGTGTATCTGCGGGGTGGGGAGAGGTGTCATGTGGGGACCAGGAGCTGCCCAATATTCAGTTTCAGTTGATTAGCTGTGTGGCCTTGGACAAGTAATTTAGCCTTTTTAGGCCTGGGTTTGCCTGTTTTTGACTTAAAGGTTTGGACTAGATGGGTGATTTCTCAATTGCATTGAATGTCAGCATTACCTGGGACTTGTTTTTATAAACTACAGATCCCTGGGCTCCACCACAAACCTATTGAATCAGCATCTGTGGGCCTGGGGTCCTGGCTTCTGGCTGTGTAACGGGCTCCAGCCGGTTTTTATATGGCCAGTGTGTCACTGATATCTCCAGACCCACTTACCTAAAAGTTCACCAAGTCCAGCAGCCTAGGGCAACCTCTGGTGGAAGACAGAAAGGCAGGTCCAGGAAGGAGGGAGGAGCCAGAGAAGGGGAGCCAATCAGGGGTCAGAAAGATGGGGGGAGGAACCTGAGAAAGGGAGCCAATCAGTGGCCAGGAAGGTGAGAGGAGGAGCCACTCAGTGGCCTGAAAGGAGGAAGAGGAGCCAGAGAGGGAGAACCAATCAGGAAAAGAGGATGCGGCAGGCTGGGATTCTTCTTGCAAGGGAACCTGAAGCTTTAGTCTGGGCAGGCAGCGAGCTGGACTGGTATCAGAGGAAAAGAAGTCTCTACTTTGGCTGCTTCTGTTTGAGTGTGTCTCCCAGCACCATAAGGCAGGTAGAGAGGGCATCACCTTTGTGGTTCAGGAGAAGGGTTAGCACATCCCTTGTCTGTTTGGAGGCTCAAAGTGGGTCTAGGAGAAACTATATCTGCCTAGAGGGAAAACATATCCTGCAAACCCTAAATAGCCATGGGGAATAAATAGCACTTGGGCCCCGGCCATTCCACCCCCTCTGTGTCTGACTCAGCTTGGAGGACAAAAGAGTCCCCATCTGCTGCTTACTGGCTTTGCGTGTGTGAGCAAGTCACTCAACCTTTCTGACTCTGTTGCCTCCTCTGTAAAATGGGAATAATAATTATACCTGCCCTACCCCCACAAGGCATTGCTCTGGGCATCACCTAAGACAAGGGAGGCGAGGGTGCTCCATCAACTGCAGCATGCTGTGCAATCCATTGGGGCTAGGCACTACCAGAACCCCAGGGAGGAAGGGATGGATGGACAACCCTCCCTTGTCCCACAGTTGGAGCATCTGTGCTTAAAAGAAAACCACTCGAGTGATTATCTTTTATAAATTGTTAGATGGTCACAGATAATCTTCCCTCTGACAACCCACCTCAGTTTCAGAGGCAACAAGTACTATATGAATTTGGTGTGATCCTTTCACACTTAAAAATTTTTTTTCACATATATGCGTGGGCTCATGGGAAATATATATTGTGTGTCAGCACGTGTGTGTGTATGTGTGGCTTGTTTTACACAGAGGGTGGCGCAGTTACATATCACACAGCAAAATGCCTTTTTTAAACTCAAGGTTGTATGTTTGAGATCTAATTAGGTCATTTCTTTTATCTGCCATGTACTGTTCTACCTTGAGTCTCTCTCACATGGCATCTGTTTTGCCTGATGTTAAAATTGTTATGGCGCTAAATCATGTCTTTTCTTACCCCTGGCACAGCCAGATGGGCTGCCTTTGGTTGCAAGCCCAGCAGAGTCAGAAAGAAACTAAGGCTGTCAAGGAAACCTAAGGGTAGGTCTTCAACTCTGGGCCCGGAAGGAGCATCACCTCCACCTGGCCTTGTCTGGTTCATTTACAGCCTGCAGGAAGGAGAGGCGGGGAGACGGGGAGATGGGAGAAGGAGGGAGAGAGAGAGAGAGAGAGAATGTGAATATGAGAACGCTGCCCTGCTCCAAGCTCACCTCGCACCTCTGTCTGGGGAAAGTGGAATGGGAAGAAGCAGGTGGCATCCCCATCATCCCAAGGTGCCCTGCTGCCAACAAGACCTTGGGTGTCCATCCTTCTAGTGCAGTAGCACCACCACCGCCACCCCCCTTCAGGTGAAGGTTGCTAACTTTGAAATCAGGATGGGCTACATAATTTGCAGAGCCCAGTGCACATAAAAATGCAGGGCACTTCTTCAAGAAATATTAAGAATGCATTAGGCCAAAGGCAGACTCCTTCTAAGCATGTGGCTCTGCCTGACTGCACAGGTGGCATTCCCATGAAGCTGGTCCTGCCTGAAACTATCCTCTAAGGGAGTCCTGTTAAGGTGTGGGAGAAAGTGCGCAAAGCTCTGCAAAGGGAAATAGCTGTCATTTTGGAAGCCATCAGGATCTTTTAGTGCAGTCAAGCTGAACCATGGAGGTCATGATGACTAACAGTTCCAGACAGGTTGAAAAGCTCTGATTTGTCCCCTCTAGGGTGGGAACTAAGGACTGGAGAGGCTGCAGAGCCAGCAGATAACTCAGAAGGCCAGGGTACAAATCCTCCCTCTGTCCCTGAGGAGCTGAATGACCATGAGTTTGTTGCTTAGCTTCTCTGTGCCTCAGTTTCCTTATTAAGATAAGGTGCCCTCTTCATAGGATTGCTTGGAAGATTAACCCTAAAACTATGGAGAAGCTGAGGACATTTCCTGGCATATAATGTTCGATAATCTGGGCTGATGTTAGATATCCTTTCTGTGAGCTTTGGTTTCTTTCCTAGGATAATATAATGGGGAAAGGTAGAAGGTAAAGATGGATCTAGAGTCAGGAGTTCTGGGTTCTCTGCTACTAACCACCTGCTTACCAAGGCAGGTCACTGTCCCCTTAAGAGTCTCACTTCTAAAATTTAAGGGAGGGGGTGAGGTATGACTTTCCTTCCAGCTTTATAATTCTGTTTCCAAGGAATTCCACCTGTTCCTCTCATTGGTTTATCCCAGTGTACCCAGTGTATTAGTCTGCTTTCATGCTGCTGATAAAGAAATACCCGAGACCGGGCAATTTACAAAAGAAAGAGGTTTAATTGGACTTACAGTTCTATGTGGCTGGGGAAGCCTCACAATCATTGTGGAAGGCAAGGAGGAGCAAGTCACATCTTACGTGGATGGTGGCAGACAAACAGAGTGAGCTTATGCAGGCAAACTCCCATGTTTTAAAACCATCAGATCTCATGAGAGTCATTCACTATCATGAGAACAGCACAGGAAAGACCCGCCCCCATAATTCAATCACCTCCCACCGGGTTCCTCCCATGACACGTGGGAATTGTGGGAGTTACAATTCAAGATGAGATTTGGGTGGGGACACAGCCAAACCATATCACCCGACATTTATTTTCTCTGAGGTTTAAGAAATTTCTCCGCTTATCTGACTGCAAATCTTTCTCATTAGTTAAAGTCCACTTCTTTTCCTGCCCTTTGTGTGAAAACAACTGGTTGGTGACCCATTTTACAGACTCAGAAACTGAGGCACATTGAGAACCATCTGCTCTCCAGGTGGAACAACCCCAGTCCCTTTAATATGCCCTTGCATTGGCCCTTCACTGCACTGTGACCTCTGCCCACTGCACATCCCAGGAATGTCCACCACTCCTGCATTTAGAGACCCACACAGGTCACTCCTGCCAGCCAGGCACAGGGCTCGGCCCCTCAGATCTGTCTAATATTCTCAGTGCCTGTAGGGAAGCAGATCTTGTTACATATCTTGTTTTCCAGCTAGAGAAGCGGGCTCCTGGAGCCCAGACTGAGGGTGGAGTGAGGTTCCTGTAGGTAACTTGTGAGACCCCCTAATGCTGTGAGGCAGAGCCCCAGACCCTGCGACCCTGTGGGGGTCAGCCTTTCCTGGAGAAAAGCTTTCTCCCAGCACTTACCAAGCCTCTCTCCCTGCAGCTGGCATGAGGGATGTTGCTCCTCTGCCAAACCCACACTCTGGGGTGAACACAGCTCTGGGCATGCCAGCTGCTGCCCTGGCCCCTTTACTGCCACTCAGGAAGACACACGTGAGTGCCATTCAGTGCCAGTGTCCTTGTCAGGGGGCAAGCCTCAAACCTGTCCCCTTCCTACCAGGCCCCTGATCAGCTCCAGCACTAGCACAATGCAGAATCAATATCTATTTGGGGGGATTATTGAATGTCCATCTCCTCCACTAAAATAACCTCTTTGGGTGGTGTGTTGGGGCGGGGGCATGACTTGTTCACGGAAATATGCCCAGAGTCTAACACACTTCCTGGCACAAGGAGGTGCTCAGTACACATTCAATGTGTGAGCACATGGATCTGCTGTGATTTATTTATTTTTTAAACTTTATTTATTTATTTGTATTTTGAGACAGGGTCTCACTCTGCCACCCAGGCAGAAGTGCAGTGGCACAATCATGGCTCACTGCAGCCTCAACCTCCTGGGCTCAAGAGATCCTCCCACCTCAGCCTCCCAAGGTAGCTGAGACCACAGGTATGTGCCACCACGCCCAGCTAATTTTTGACTTTTTGTAGAGACGGAGCCTAGGCTGGTCTTGAACTCTTGGGCTCAAGTGCTTCTTCTGCCTTGGCTTCCCAAAGTGTTGGGATTACAGGTGTGAGCCACCATGCCTGGCCCCACTGTGATTTATTGAAAGTCAACCTCTGGCCCAGGCATGGTGGCTCATGACTGTAATCCTAGCACTTTGGGAGGCCGAGGTGGGTGGATAACCTGAGGTCAGGAGTTTGAAACCAGCCTGGCCAACATGGTGAAACCCTGTCACCACAAAAAATACAAAAATTAGCTGGGTGTGGTGGTGCACACCTGGAATCTAAGCTACTAGGGAGGCTGAAGCTGGAGAATCACTTGAGCCCGGGAGGCGGAGGTTGCAGTGAGCTGAGATTGCATCATTGCACTCCAGCCTGGGCAACAAAGTGAGACTCTCTCAAAAAAAAAAAGAGGAAGAAGAAGAAGAAAGTCAGCATCTGGCAGATACTGGCCCTTTACTTTATTAGCAAATTCCTGGAGGCCCATCTTTCACGGGATTACTACACAGGGGTGCTGATTTAGAAAAGTGCTATTTTATGTGTTATGCTCTGAGGGTTCATTCATGCAGGCAGTGTGTAATGAGCACTCGCTACATGCCAGGCCCTGAGGACAGAGCAGTAAAGGAGCCGATGTCCTTGCCTGCATGGAGGTCCCATCCAAGTGAGGAGACAGTTAAAATGCAAACACAGCTGCACGATATTGTCAGGTGATGCTTTGTGCTGAGAAGGATGAAGCGGTAGGGGGGATGGAGAGAGTGGGGTGGGTGGGGTGCTATTTCAGATTGAAGGGTCAGCGAGGTCCTGCAGAAGAGCTTCAATTTAAATGGAAGCCACCACTGAGAACGAATAGGGGGGATTTGGGGCATCCCAGGTGAGGAGTGGGATTCAGAAAGAAGAATTCCTTGACATCCCAGGCTCCTTGGTGAGCCAGTGGGGACACATTCTGCTTGTCATCAAAGTGAATTACAAACTCATCCAGCTCAGAGCCTCTGCCAGAGCCATCTGGGCTGCAGTGGCCTCTTTCAAAGAAAAGAGTTCGCCAACAAGAAAGCGGCACGGCATCCTGATGAGGACTGGGGCTTTAGAGTTCTGGGCAGAAACGTGTTGAAATCCCAGCTCAGGCATGATTGAGGTTCATGTCTTAATCCCTGAGAGCTTTGGTTTCTTTATATGTAGTCGGGAATGATAACAGTGCTTCTCCCAGAGGGTTGTTGTAAGTCTTCAAAGAAACAGCCTGTGTAAAGTGCTGAGCACAGATAAACAGTGGCCTTTACTGCCATTGTCATTCTCTTAGCTCCCAGTGGGGTTCTTTGCTTCTCTTTCATTCATTCCACAATAACTGAGCACCTACTCATTGTCAGGCTCTAGATGCTAGGGTACCCAGAGGAGGAACACCTAAGCTATCCAAATGTGAGCCAGAGAGTGCACCCATCCAAGAGGCAGGGCCCTGGGCATGCATTCCTGCCATTCCAGCTGTGTGAACTTGGCCATGTGGTTTCATCGCCCTGGGCCTCAGCTTTCCCCACTGCAAATAGAGGGCTCAGCTTGCCAATCACTGGGTGATTCTCCTGCTGAGCTCCTGGGCTGAGGCTGGGGCACAACTGTGGAGGGAGCATCTGTAGCCCCAGGTGACCTGAGCCTCAGAGAAAGCTAGCCTGCCTGGCCCGGAGGCTCTGCTGGGAGTGGGGTGGGAAGAAGCCCATGTGCTCGGAAATGGGCCAGGGTCAGTGCTGGGGCCTGTCGCCCCCAAGGACCCTCCCACATCAACCAGAGCTCCTCATGGGGAGGCAGAGGGTACAGCCGCTGAACGTGCCTTCCCAGGAGAAGCTTGAAGTGTACTCAGGATCTTGGCAGGCATCGGGGTTCTGAGGGGTCGTAAGAGGGGCCGCTAGGGACAGGGCTCCAGAGAGGCCTGATGAAGGTGGAGACAGAGGAAGAGGATATCTAGGAGAAGGGGTTTGTCCTATTTCCTCCCAAGTGCCACTTGCACTTCTAGTGCTGGGAGTCATTCATTATACAGATGATTATACAGTCATTCATTATACAGATGGCTGGGGCCACCACACTTCTTCTTTCCTTGCCCTTCTCCTCCTTTCCTACCCCTCACCCTGGGAGTGCCTTGGACCCTGGGATGACCCATTCTAATTTCTTCTCCTTCCACTTACCTGTGCTGGCCGGGTACGGTGGCTCACACCTGTAATCCCAGCACTTTGGGAGGCTGAGGTGGGCAGATCACCTGAGATCAGGAGTTCAAGACCAGCCTGGCCAACATGGCAAAACCCCGTCACTACTAAAAATACAAAAATTAGCCTGGTGTGGTGGCAGGTACCTGTAATCTCAGCTATTTGTGAGGCTGAGGCAGGAGAACTGCTTAAACCTGGGAGGTGGAGGTTGCACTGAGCCAAGATTGTGCCACTGCACTCCAGCCTGGGTGACAGAGTGAGACTCCGTCTCCAAAAAAATCCAAAACCGAAACAACAACAACCAAAAAAAAAAAAAAAAAAAAAAAAACTTACCTATGCTGTGTACCTGCCTCTCTGTGCTATGGGAAACTAAGCCCTAAATAATCTAAATAATTCATTTTATTCAAAAAGCTTTTTTTTTTTTCCTTAGAGACAGGGTCTTAGTCACCCAGGCTGGAGTGAAGTGGCATGATCATAGGTCATTGCAGCCTCCAACTCCTAAGCTCAACCAATCCTCCTGCCTCGGCCTCCCAAGTAGCTGAAACTACAGGCAAGTGTTGCCATGCCCAGCTAATTTTTAAAAATTTTTTGTAGGAACTGTTGACCAGGCTGGTCTCAAACTTTTGGCCTCAACCACTCCTCCCACCTTGGTTTTCCAAAGTGCTGGGATTATAGGCATGAGCCACCACACCTGGCCTCAAAAAGCATTTAATGAGTTCTGTTTAAGGGACTCTTTGGGTGTGATATAGTAAACAAAACAAAGAATCCATATCCTTGTGGAGCTTGCATTTCAGAAAGTGAGTGGACAATAGCAGCTTAACGCAGCACTTCTCCAACCTAGAGGTGCATATGGGATCACTTGGGCATCTTGTTAAAATGCACATTCTCATTCAGGAGATCAGGGATGGGCCTGAGATTCCAACAAATGATGCCTAATGTTGCTAGGCCATAGTTTGAGTGGCAAGGGGTTTTATGTGTTATCCCTCCTGAGATAGCAATGACATGTTCGAAGGAATGGCTCTCTAATATGGAACCCTAGGGAGGTGTTGGTGGAGGTGGCTGGGTATTGAGGACACTGGGGACTCTGGACTGGTCTCCTGGGTGGCTGCCTGCCTTTCTGTGCAGAAGGCTGGCTCAGCTTTCCAGCCCTGGCTTCTTAGCTCCCCACTGTTCCTCCTCAGCCAGGCTGTGGGTGGGAACATCTGGAAGGGATCCCCCGGAACTGGGGGAATTTCCAGGCACATGAGGCTCTGTCAACCCAGCCAGGAACATCCGCCCCTGCCATCTGCTCCAGACGTCATTGCAGAGTCTGTGTGAGAGGAACCCGACAGTTTCCAGCTCCTCCAAGGAGCGTCTGTCTGTGTCTCTGGGTCCTGCCCTGGGCATGTGAGGGGCCTGCCTCTGCTACTGCTGGGGGAGTCTGTTGGGGGCCTAAGTTCCCAAGTGCAAGTCCTGCGTTTTATCTGCTGGGAGATGAGGTGTCTCCAAATTCCAAAGATGCCCTGGGGGTCTTCCCTAGGACGATGAAGGAGGGAGAAGCTGCCCTGGTTGTTGAGAAGCCTCAGCCCAGAATTTTCTCACCCTCATGAGGCAAATTTGTCCAACACACGCTGTGCTCTGCCCTGTGCAACATCTCAGTAATAAATGCCCAGTTTTGTGCACTGATGGCCTGTGCACCGGAGGCTTTACAGCTTGACCTCACTTGATCTGCATGGAAACTGTGAAACTGCTCTTACTCTCACCTCCATACCGATAAGGATGAAGCAGCTCAGAAAAGTCAGGTTACCTATAGGAAGTAGCAGAGCCAGGATTTGAACCCAAAGTCACTGGATACCAAAGCCCAGTGTTAACTCTTCAGTTACATTGGCTCCTTACATATCCTCTAAGAGCAGGTGCTAGCTAAGAGCAGGACTGGATGGGACTCATCCAGCTGAAAGTCTTGCTTCTTCAAACTCCAAGACTTCTCCTGGAGCTTCTCCTCCAGCCCTGTGGGAAGCTCCCGGTCCACGGTTTGGGGTGGTTGTGCCCAGCCCTGTTCATCACATGCAGCTGCATAAGTCTGGGCAGCCTCTCCCTGTTAATGAGAGCGACGAATGACTCTCATCAAGTCTGGGAGTTACTCAGCACCAGAGACAGGTCTCTGGATGTGACTTCCTTCTTAAGAGCAAATGCAAACAGTGGAATGCCTAATCTCAAAGCAAGAGGCCTGGGTGCTCGCTTGGGAACTCCCAGGGGACTCCTGAGAGCAGCTGGCCCAGTCATGGGACGGTGGGGTGGGACAGCCAGGGCTTGGGGTCTGCTCTCTAAGGGAGCCGAGGCTGCAGCAGCTGTCCTCTCCATCCCCTAGCTCCACCGGGATAATTGACGGGGAGAGTATCACCTGATGTTAAAGCCCAGTGTTTATTCCTCTGTTACGTTTCGTTCTCTCTGCCACCATCTCTCAATCCAGCCTCTTAGCATGGGTGCCCCTAGCCCAGGAGCCCTATGCTGAGCTGGCAGGTGGGTTAACGAGTCTTAATGTATAGAACTTGTGCCAACCACAGTGTCGTAGACCCCGCAGGCCTCTAAAGGCCTGTCTGCCTCCCTACCCCTATCATGGGTCAGGCCGGAACTGCAGGACTCAGCAGGCACCATGGTGGCTTGGTCTGTGCCCGTCCTACCCTCTTTGTCTGCTGTGCCCTCAGCTTTAAACCTGAGCCGGGCAGTTGTGACAAGGGAAGAGGGCTCCTTAACCACGATTTGCCAAGAGATGAAGGGCCCCTGAGGAAAGGCTTTTATTTCTGTATTTCAGTTTCACAGCTTGGGGAGATGGGAGATAGCTCATGTTCCCCTGAGGCTGCAAAAGTTCTATGACAGCCAGTCAGTGAGGCTGTTCCCGGTAATGGGAGGAGAGACATTGTCATTGAAGGGGCTGTGCCATCTCGCCTCTGGGGGAGGATGAGGCAGCAGCCCCGCTAGGACACGGGGCAGGGGACGGAATCTCAGCATGTCCGAAAGCAGGTCCAGGCAGTAGACTCGCTGTGTGCCCGGACCAGTGAGGCACTTCTCTGGGCCTCAGATCCCAGTGGGAGGAAGGAGGGAATAATGTCAGAAGTACAGAGAGTTGGTGAGAGAAGAGAGGCTGGGGAGATATCTGCAGGATGGAAGGGAGAAGGACAGGGAACTGGGAAGCAGGTAGCAGGCAAGGACTGAACAGGCCATGGTGTGCTGTCCCAGAGGCTGAAGGACCTCTCTCCATTGGCCCCATACTGCCTGCTGCTCCTGCCTCCTGGCACAGATGCCCCTGCTCTGAGAGACTGTGCAGAGAGAGCAGGTGGGTAAACAAGTCCTTATGTGTAGAATTTGTGCCAGCCACAGTGCCATAGACCCCACAGGCCTCCAGAGGCCTGCCTGCCTCCCTGCCCCACCCTACAGTGGGGGCCAATCTGCTTACATCTGTAGGATCCGCCTACCTCAATCCTGTTTCCAGATGGAGGGTATTTCTGGGGGTTGGTAGATTCTGTATCCAGTCACCTGTTATCTTCTTAGTTCTTTGAAACCCAACCTTCACCTTGGTCCCAGTTCCAGTCTTGGGTTTGGATCCCAGCTCTACAGCCGTCTACGTCTACACCTACCTTCTGCCGTGAGCCCCAAGTCCCTCTTTTTTTGAAATGATCATAGTAGTAGTGCCTCTCTCTTAGGGATCTTTGAGGATTAAATGAGATAACTGGAGCTCCCAGCAAAATACCCAGACATAGGGGTTCCATGATGGCTAGATCACTTCTCCCTCACCCCTCTCAATTAGCCTCTTTGGGTTGCGCTTGTTTCCAGAGGCCTGGGCCAGACAGTTAATAGTTAGGGTGTGTGGAGTGACTGCCCACTGCTGCCTTCAGCAGTAAAGGCGAGGGGAGGAACAAGAGCTGTCATTTATTGGACACTTTCAGAGGGCCAGACCATTGGCATGCAAGCATCATCATCCTCACACCAACCCTGTAAGGAGGATTTTATGAGCCCCTTTTTAGAGATGAGCAGACAGAAGCCCAGGCTTCTTGAATACCCTGCCTGGATCCCATAGCCAGTGAGTGGTGGAGACTGAATTCAGATCCAGCCCCCATTCCCAAGCCGGCTGGGCCCTTGCCACTGTCCCACTCAGTAAGACACAGTGACACTCAGGGGCTGGGTGGCCAAAGGCCACCGGTACCAGGTGAAGAGCACCTATTCTGGAGGCAAAGTCCTCAAATTATCAAAGCTAGGGCAGCAAAGCATGCTCAGATGAACACAGAAACCCAGAGGGGGACAAGGCAAATTATTCCAGGGACCCAAGACCTGCAGGGACGGAAGACTGGTGGGTGGAGACCCAGGTACAGCAGCACCCACAGGACACGGTGCTCCCTGTAGTGCAGGGAAACGCTGGAGAAGCCGGGCCAGCGTGCCCGGGAATGCGGAGGGAGAGGGCCTGTGCTCCTCCTTCTGAGAAACACATGGTTTCCCCAATCTAACAGCGGCCAAAAGGAAAAACTATGTACTCTACAAAATCCACAGTATACACACGACCCGCCAACATTTCAGCATCATCTCTCCGAGAGATCTCTCCCAGAATCCCGCGAAAGAGCCAGGCAACACGCACACTTGCCCAAGGTCAAAGACACTATTCCAGGTATGAATTTTATGGGTAACCAGATGACACTTGAAGCGGCTCAGAAGTTGGCGTGAGAAAAGTCCCCAGTTGTTATTACTTAGTGCGGCCTGGGAGGAAGAAAGGATTCTTTGTAGAGCAATGAAAAGGACCCAGATAGAGGCAAGCCCCTGCCCTCCTGAGCAGAAATCGTCTTTTCCATCAACAGTTTGTGCTCTGCACCGCCCAGCCTCATTGTTCTGTGGCATTCCGCCGGGGGCAAGAACACATTGGGATGCCTCGCCTTCTCAGCACACCGCTGCCTGGATTTCTGTGCAAGGACTTGAATGTAGATTTATCCTAGTCGTCATTATTTAGAAATATTTTGACAAAGTAGTTTATTTAAAGGTACTATGAGTCCCCTCCCTGTTTTTTGCTGTTTATCTTTTCTTTTAAATTTTCTCCCAGAAACAGTGTAATCCTCTAACACAGTTTGCATTGTAAGGCCAGGACAACAACACTGAAATGCAGCGGTGGGGGCCAGGTAGACACATAGGGCACATATCCCCAAGAGAGGCATAAATCCAGGTGGCCGCCAGCACCGAGGGCTCCAAGGCCTGCCATGGCCACAGCCCCTGGGGTATGCTCCTCTCCATCCTCCACCTCCATCTGGGCCAGCACCTGGGCTCTGGTGGTGAGGTGCTAGGACCTCTTTCCACTCCAGAGGGCCAGGGACCAGGATACTCAATAAGGATGTGTTGAGGAGCTGGGGGTATCTGGTGCAGAAGACCAATGAGTCCAGTCGAGGAGCGCTGATTCAGGAAACAAAACACCCAAAATGTCAAAGCCAGGACAGCAAGGCGTAAAAGAGACCGTCTCGACCTTGAAGGGTTTACATTTCCAGCTAAGTAGGTGAGACAAGCATTCTGACATGTTACTGAGGCTGCGGCCTCCATGCAGAAGGCAGTGACAGTGACAGGAAGGTTGTCAGGTTGACTAACATGGGAGAGGGGGTAAAACACACAGCTGCTGCCCTCAGGTGAGTGGCAGCTGGCGGGGGGTGGCATGATCCCAGCATGGCTGCCTTCCATTCTCTCCTTTTCAGTGTCACTTGTCACTCCTCCCGTTGAGGGGTGGAATCTGTGCCTCCCCTCTGCTTGAATCAGGGCTTCTCCCTAGTGATTTGCGCAACCTATAAAATGTGGCGGAAGTGATGTTCAGGATTTCTAAGGCAACGTCCTAAGAACCTTGCAGCTTCTGCCTGGAACTCTAGAGACTCTTGGCACCCAGAGACCTCCATGCAGTGAGGAAGCCCAAGGTGGCCACGAGGAGAGACTGTAGGGGGAAGAGGGTGGAGACCTGTCTGGCCCCCCATTCCTGTTCCCAGCCATTTGAGCCATCCGAGCTTCAGCCATAAACATCCAGGGGCAGAGAGGAGCCATTCCCTCTGTGCCCTGTCCAGGTTCCTGATCCACAGAATCGTGAGACATGATAAAAGCAAAGTATTGTTTTAAGGCACTGAGATTGGGGTTATGTGTGCCATACGTACATCCACAGATAACCAGAACTGGGTGAGGGGACATATGCCAGGGCCAGGGACTCTGTTGACCCAACCCTTTCTCCTTGAGACCACACCTGCCCTCTCTGGCCCCAGACTCCTCCACCATGGCCTCCCTAAGTGCTGACACTCCCATCCCTGGGACCAATCCCAATGCCTGGGCACTTCCATCCCTGGGACCAATCCCAATGCCTGGGCACTTCCCCTTTGAACCCCAATTTGAGAGCAGATTTGCTGCTGAGGTTGGGGGGGAACTAGGGGAACCCCGGGACGGGACAAAGATTCTGGGTAACCACCTCTGGGGCAGGTGTGGGGAGACTGGCCGGGGCAAGGAAGTGGCTGCACAGGGGAAGGAGTGAGCCGTGTGCGCATGGATGGGGGAAGGAGTGAGCCGTGTGCGCATGGATGGGGGAAGGAGTGAGCCGTGTGCGCATGGATGGGGGAGGGAGTGAGCCGTGTGCGCATGGATGGGGGAGGGAGTGAGCCGTGTGCGCATGGATGGGGGAAGGAGTGAGCCGTGTGTGCTCGTGGCTGTGTGCCTTCCTCCATGGAAGAGCTCCCTCGTGCCTGTCTTCCAGAACTCAGGTCCAGCGTTTCCAGCCACCTGCTGGACTCTCCTCAGAACCTCCCACAGGCCCCCCAAATCCAGCACATCTCAAACCAGAACCTGCTCTAAACCCACCCCCAAGGCAATTCCCTGTCATTCCCTATTTCTGCCAAGGGTGCTGAAGTCACCAGGGCCCGTCCAGGTGTGGGCAGCCAACCCTCTAGTGGAGCTGGAGCAGCAATACCTTGCCCACATGGCAGGTGGAGATAGGGGGACCTGTGGGTAGGGACTGAGGTGGGAAGAGTTGTGGCGAAGGAGGTGGGCAGAGCCTGGCCAAGCTCATAGGCAGCCCTAGGATTCCTCCCGGAGAGGTAAGGGGCTTTGGGCTGTGTCCTGGGGGCTGGAGATACCCACAGGAGGCTAACAATAGCTCATCCAGCCTCAGCATCCTCTCTGCCTCTTTGCCACCCCCTTTTGCTCCTGGAGCAGCCATAGGGAAACCCTGCAGCTTCCAGCTCTGCAGGGCCCTCATTCCCCTCCTTCCCCTTCCACTCCACCCATCGCCCGCCCCCACCTCCCCTAAGCCCAGCCTCCTACCACCCCCACACCCATTTGACCCTTTCTCTTCCCCCCTTCCCCTCAAGGCTGCCGACCCGCTGCCCACTGTGGGAGCCAGCTGCCGCCTGTGGCTGGGGACACTGGGAAGGGGGCTGGTGCCACTGGGGAACTACACTTTTAATTTGATTTGCATTAACCTAGATTTTAAAACTGATAATCAATTCGGTTATTGAAAAACTTTTAGGCTGGGTGTGGTAGCCTAAAAGGTGGGAGGATTGCTTGAGGCCAGGAGTTTGAGACCAGCCTGGACAACATAGCATGATCTCATTCCTACAAAAAATAAAAAAATGAGCCAGGCATGGTGGTGCACGCATGTAGTCCCAGCTACTTGGGAGGCTGAGGTGGGAGGATCGCTTGAGACCAGGAGTTTGAGTCTGCAGTGAGCCATGATTTTGCCACTGCACTCTAGCCTGGGTGATAGAGCAAGAACCTGTCTCAAACAACAACAACAAAAACCCTTTTAAATATGTTTGGAACAACTTGGGTATGTGAACCTACCTTTTCGACTGTAAATTTAACAAAATCTAACTGCAGATCTAGCTTATCCAGTGAAATCCTTGTGTGTGAATTAGCGCCCCCATAGTTGCCATATGTATAAAAGAAAGCAAAAAAAAGAATAACATTCTCATTAATAATTTTTATTGATTACATGTTGAAACGATCATATTTAGGATCTATTGAGCTAATACAATAAGCAAAAATATATCTTAAAATTGATTTCATCTGTTTTCTGTTTACTTTTCAATGTGGCTACTGGAAAATTTAAAATTATATACACGGCTGGAGTTCTGTTTCTATCGGACAGCACTTCTTTAGAGCGTGGATCTGCACTCGATCAACAATTCAGCCCTGTGCTGTCCCTGGCTAACCCTTTCCCACCTCCGCCACTTCCTCAGGCTCAATCGCAGCTGCCTTGGGCTCATGTATGGCTGATACCTGGGTGCTGACCTTGGTATAACACACACATGTTTGCAAATACATGTGTGTATTTGTGTGTCATGTGCACGCCTGTCTCTATCCACATGCTCATGTGTACACATCTGCATCCAGACATTATCCTGTTCTCTGCGTGTGAGCACACTCGGGCCAGCCCTTGCTGGACCAGGTGTGCACAGGCAGCATCTGAATGGGAGCCGGGTGCCCATGGGGAGTTGACATGGGGACAGGGCCTCGGGCATAAAGCCTTGGGGCCAGTCATTCATCCCCAGGGGAGGCTGGAACAGACAGTGTTTCCTTGGCAAGTTGATGAGAATGTCATGTAGGACAGAACCCACAGCCGCCCTGAAATCAAGATCGATGACAGCTGCCTTCCCATCCCTTACTGATGAGGTCCATCATTCTATCACGGGAGAGAAAATTAAATTGGTCTGGCAGAGTTTCCTGTTCCTAAAGCCAATTTGGTCGCCACTGTGTAGTGTGTTATACACTTCTGGGTGGCATCTAATCATTTTGTTTATTCATAAATTTCCAAGGTATGGTCTGCAGAGCTAACCACACCACAGGAAATCAGGAGGAGGTACTTGCTCCTCTTCTAAAGATAGGAGGCAGCCTATCCATCCACCATCTGCCCAGCCACCCAGCCATGTATCCATTCATCCATTGGGTCATACAGTTTTTCAACCTGTATATACAGAGCGCCTCCTCCATGCTGGGCAGCGTGTCAAATAGAAAGAACCATGGGATGAGATTAGATTCCAGCACCCACCCCTGGGCAGGTCTCTGGCTTCTCCAGGCCTCAGTTTCTCTCTGTTAATGAGGGAGTTGGACCACAGAGCTCAAGGCCCCTCCTAGCTCTGGCACTTCAGGGCCTGGGGCTGATTTTCCAGGCAGAGAGAGAGGCCCCCTCCCAGACTCCAGGGGCTGCTTGGGGTCAAGAAGGGAACCGAAGAGGACCCCAGGACCATGGGCATCACTAACTCCCACGGCTGAGGTCCCGACTGACAGGAATGGGGTGGCCCTGGAATTTAGAGGAAAAGCTCCCTCGTGCCTCCTTCCCAGAACCCCAATTTGAGAGCAGATTTGAGTTGGCTCAAGTGGGTGTTTGTGGGATTGGTTATGTCTCAGAGATTTGGGGGATCAGGCCAATCAGCAGACTCTGAAATTCGTATTTTGGAGGCTGTGTCTTAGAGTCCCCCACCCTCCAGGGCCGGAGGGTCTCTGGAAGCTCTTTCTGGTTCCTCTCCATCTCCATGGCCAGCATCCGTGTTTGGGCAGTTCCCAGGCTCCCTGCCTTCTTATACCAATAAGCATTCACCACTTGTGGACTTGTCCCGCACTGCCTCCCCAGCCTGCCTGCCACCCTGGACCTGGCCTCATTTCTGGGTCTGCTTCTCCGTGTGCCCATACTGGCTGGGGAGCCCACTCCTGGGCTCTGGCCATCTCATTCAGCTGGCAATCCCAGGTCCCCAGGACCAATGAATTCCAGGCCCTCTCAGAAACCTTTTGCCACAAACCTGGTGATTGGTGGGGAGTAACGGAGCTGTGTTGATCTAGTTACCAAGAGCTCTAAATTACTACCATCAAAATCAGACACAGCAAAACCTTGCTCAGATCCCTGTCTGGTAACATCAGTCTTCATAATGAAGGTGCCTGATTGCAGGCTGTCTTGGCTGTCGGTGGGTGGAAGCAGAGGGACAGGGATGGGGAGAGGGGAGAGGCTTTGTTTCTGAGCTTCACGGCTTTGATCTGCCAGCGAAGAGCAATTTCCTCCGACTTCTCGTCCAACATTCAACCCCCTGCCAGCAAACCCACAAACACAACCCGGGAGGATGATGGCATGGAGAGCATCTCTGAATTCAGGGAAAGGATGGGAGGAAAAGAAGGTGTTGAGAGTGTCTACACTCACCTCCCCAAAAATCCCTCTCTCCACCTGACCTCCTCGCCTCTGTAATGTAGACCATGAATGGACTCTGTTTCAGTCCTGATATCTGCTGCATCCTCTGAGCCTAGCTCAGGGCCAGGCATAGAGTAGTTCCATACATATTGTTGAACAGATGGATTTCTAGCTCTAGGATCACTCTAAGAAGATTCCTGGGCCAGGTGCAGTGGCTCACACCTGTAATCCCAGCACTTTGGGAGGCCAAGGCGGGCAGATCACGAGGTCAGGAGATCGAGACCATCCTGGCTAAAACGGTAAAACCTGTCTCTACTAAAAATACAAAAAATTAGCCAGGCGTGGTGGCAGGTGCCTGTAGTCCCAGCTACTTGGGAGGCTGAGGCAGGTGAATGGCGTGAACCCAGGAGGTGGAGCTTGCAGTGAGCCGAGATTGTGCCACTGTACTCCAGCCTGGGCAACAGAGCAAGACTCAGTCTCAAAAAAAAAAAAAAAAAGAAAAGAAAGAGAAGATTCCTGGTAGTGATCCAATGCAGGAATGGCTGATGGTATCATTTCTTCATTTAATAAACATTTCTTAGGCAGCTCTTAGGTTCCTGGCACCGTGCCAGGCCAAGGACTGAGATGACTAGAAAATCAAATTGTTCAATAGGAGGCATCGAGCTCCTGCTCCACACCAGGCACTGAGATGAACAGGACAGATATTCCTACCTCCATAGAGCTCACACGTTCCTCTCCATGGGAGACAGACAATAAGCAGGTAAATAGATAAATAAGCAAGATGGTTCTGGATTGTGAAGGTGCTATGAAGGAAATACACAGGGTGCTGTGATGAAGAGCAGTTGGGCAGCTTCCTTTGGACAGGGGCAATGCAGGGAGGGCTCTCTAGGACCTGAAGAGTAAAGAGAAAGAGCCAGGAACCAGGAGAGAGCACAGCAAGTGCAAAGGCCCCAGGGCCGGGAACAGCTCCGTAGGTTTGAGGAATGGAAAGGAGGCCAGTGAAGCAGGTGTATAAGATCGAGCGTGAAGCGGTGCTAGCGGAGGTTGGTTAAGTCACTGTCCTCCAGTGGTGATGGCAGACCAGGGAACTATCAGAGCAGAAAGGCCAGTGCTGCCGTGGAAGTGGAATGTGCAGGGAAGCCCGGAACTCAGCCCAGAGGAGGCAACATTGGCGCTGAGACCTAAGACTGCGTGGAATATCTCTTAGGCCCAGCATGGCTTTCCTTCTTGCCATCACTTTGGACATTGCTCCAGGGACTGACTTCCTCTCCCTCCCAGCCAGGAGCAGGGCTCTGGGGCAGTGCCAGCTGGACCCTGCTCCAGCCCAGAGGGACTCCTCCATACGACTTCCCTGCGCTGAAGTTTCTGTCAACCTCTGCTGCTGCTGCAGACAGCTACTGGTTGGCGGTGGCTGGAGTACTCAGGGTAAGCGCTTGTGGCAGATGTTGCTGCGGTGGGGTAATGGCACTAACACGGCGAGTCCCTTTCTTTCATCTCCCTGGTCTCCCTGGACCTTTAACTATCACTGAGCCCAGCATCTAGCAAATAGCCTCATTGCTGTCTTTTATCTAGCTGGCTTTCAACTTGAGACACTCTAAGGGCCTTGCCTGATAGCAGCACCAGGACCATCAGAACTACAGTCCTCAGAGTGGGCTGTTCCAGGCGTTTGAGTAATAATAATAATTATTATTATTGCTATAATAATATATACAATTATAATATCTATATATAATATTTACATAAATTATTGATATGATAATTATTGATGTAATAATTATTGATATTTTTGATGTAATAATTATTGATGTAATTACTGATATTAATGTTGGTGTAATAATAATTATTATTGATATAATAACTGCAACATCAGCTCCCTATTTATTAGGGTCTGGGCATGCCAGACACTGTGCTAAAAAGTTTCTATGCATCATTTTATGTAATTCTCACTACCACATTATAAGGCAGGTATTGGTATGAGGCTCGGAGAGGTTAAGTAACTTGGCCAAGGTTTCACAGCAAACAAGTGCTGGAATTGACGTTAGAGCTAGGGCTGTTCAGGTCCACAGACTCCTTCCTCCGTATTCTAGTGGTTCCCGGTGTCGGGCTGACTGCAGTGGAATCAGCAGGGGAACTGTTTGGAAAGTAAGATTTCCATCCTGGCTAACACGGTGAAACCCCGTCTCTACTAAAAATACAAAAAAATAGCTGGGTGTGGTGGCACCCGCCTGTAATCCCAGCTACTAGGGAGGCTGAGGCAGGAGAATCGCTTGAACCCAGGAGGAGGAGGTTACGGTGAGCCAAGACCACGCCACTGCACTCCAGCCTGGGTGACAGAGCAAGACTCTGTCTCAAAAAACAAACAAACAAAAACAACAAAAATTGGTTGGGGGTGGTGGCTTGTGCCTATAGTCCCAGCTACTTGGGAGGCTGAGGTGGAGGGATTGCTTGAGCCTAGGAGGTCAAGGCTGCAGCCTGGGCAGTGGAGTAAGACCCTATTTCAAAAAAATACAAAGCGTTCTGGAGGTGGTTGCACAACAATGCGAATGTACTTGATGCTACTGAACTATACGCTTGAAAATGGTTAAGATGGTGAATTGTGTGTTATCCTAATAAATTTTTAAAAATTGTTTAAAAAGGAAGAGGAAAACTAAGTGTTAAATTGTGTGGGGATGGTAGACATTGGTAGTTCCCCAGTATTCATTCTCCCCCCTTTTTATTTACTTATTTTTAGAGATTGCTATGTTACCCAGGCTGATCTCAAACTCCTGGCCTCAAGCAATCCTCCTGCCTCAGCCCCGAAGTAGCTGGGATTGCAGGCATGAGCCACTGTACCCAGCTTTCCCCTTTTAGCTGAGTACATGGCTGCCCAGATTAGACACTACATTTCCCAACATCCTTTGCAGGTAGGTATGGCCATATGGCTAAGTTCTGACCAATGGCTATAAGTGGTAAGGTCCTGTGAAAGCCTCCAGAACCTTCCTTAAGCGACAGTGTCTGTCTATTCCTCCATTGGCTGCCAGGAGCATGGGTGCTGCCATTTTGGATCATGAAGTTGGAGTCACACTTGGCAGAGCAATAACATGTGAGATCCTAAAGTTGACACACCCTATTATCTCTTAATTACCTGCTGGGACGCATGAAAGAGAAACAAACTGTGATCTCCTTCAAGCCACACTATTTTGATTTTCTATTATGTGTACCTAAACATAATCCTAATGAATACAGAGGGGTAGAATGAATGCTACTGGGGTTTCGAGAAACAGAAAGGACCAGGAGGGTTGGAACATTCAAAGAAGGCTGTATGGCTAAGGTTGGCCCTGAGCTGTCCTGATGGATGCTGTGCTGCAAGATGAATGAGGCATGGCCCATGTCTTTGAGGGGCTCAGGGTCTAGTGGGAGAAACACAGGTAGACAAATATCTATAGCCAGGGCCATTGCAATTAGCTGACATATGGGCAGCCCTTGGCATCCACCAGGCTGATTACATGGCTCATATTTATTTTTATGTTACGTTACGTTACGTTACGTTACGTTACGTTACGTTATGTTATGTCATGTTATTTTTTGAGATGGAGTCTCACTCTGTCACCCAGGCTGGAGTACAGTGGCGCGATCTCTGCTCACTGCAAGCTCCGCCTCCAAGGTTCAAGCAGTTCTCCTGCCTCAGCCTCGCGAGTAGCTGGGACTACAGGAGCCCGCTACCACACCCAGCTAATTTTCTTTATATTTTTAGTAGAGACGGGACTTCACCATGTTAGCCAGATGGTCTCGATCTCCTGACCTCGTGATCTGCCCACCTCAGCCTCCCAAAGTGCTGGGATTACAGGTGTGAGCCACTGTGCCCAGCCTTTATTTTTATTTTTTTGTGACGGAGTTTCACTCTTGTTGCCCAGGCTGGAGTGCAATGGCGCAATCTTGGCTCACTACAACCTCCGTCTCCTGGATTCAAGCAATTCTCCTGCCTCAGCCTCCCAAGTAGCTGGGATTTCAGGCATGTGCCACCACACCCAGCTAATTTTGTATTTTTAGTAGAGATGGGGTTTCCCCATGTTGGTCAGGCTGGTCTCGAACTCCAGACCTCAGGTGATCCGTCTGCCTGGGCCTCCCAAAGTGCTGGGATTACAAGTGTGAGCCACCGCACCAGCTCATGCCTCAGCCACATCACTGGCAGAGTGTCAAGGGACGCAACAGGAAATTCATGCTAAGTTGTCGAGTTCTGGAAAGCTCTGTGCAGGAAGTGATGTTTTTCTGAGCCTTGAAGAAGGCATGATGGGGAGGGGCATTCCAGGGCAGAGGCACACAAGAGGCAACGGCGTGAGGGTAGTCTGGTGAGGCTGGGCCGGTGGTGGCTCACGCCTATAATCTCAGCACTTTGGGAGGCCAAGGCGGGTGGATCACCTGAGGCCGGGAGTTCGAGACCAGCCTGGACAACATGGCAAAACCCCATCTCTACTAAAAATACAAAAATTAGCCAGGCATGGTAGCATGCACTTGTAGTCCCACCTACTCAGGAGGCTGAGGCAGGAGAATCACTTGAACCCAGGAGGCGGACGTTGCAGTGAGCCGAGATTACACCACTGCACTTCAGCCTCGGTGACAGAGCGAGACTCTGTCTCAAAAAGAAAAAGTGTGGTGCGAGAGACCTGGCAAAGCAGAACAGTCCATCCCTGCACAAGCGGTTTGGGCCTTGTTTACAGGAAGCCATCACACGGACCTGAGAGTGTTCTTGATTAAAAGGAGACTATACCTGGGATGATGGATCTTTCAGATACATGATTATTTAATTTTTTTTTTTAAAGGCCAAATTCTTCCTGGGAAGAAAGAATCAGCAAGGTGCAGAGGAGGCAGGTGAGGTCCTGCCTAGATCGTTAGAAGTCAATGGCTCCGTCGGCATGGCAGGGGAGAGGTCTGCAAAAAGGCCTTTAAAAAAGAAAAATTGCAAATGGTTTGCAAATGTTTATGGATAGGTCCAGAACCATGAATTTTGACAACTAAAGGATTTCCAGAGAGGCTGAGGGAAAAGCCAGAATTGAGTTAAGCAGAGATTTATAACAGTTTTTATTGGATGGAAGGTCCCCATCTGTACTCAGAGATCTGGGTTACATTAAATATCACTTCCAATGAGATCTTGTCTTAAATTTAATGGGCAAAAGAGAGGAGTTAGATAAGTGTTTGTATCATTATTTTAACAAGTCTCTGCTTTATGAGAAAAAAAAATCTGTTTAAGAATAGCAGTGGGTAAATTGTCACAGTTCAGTTACCTGTTCCTGAAGAATCGACTCTCCCCTGGCTCAGGCTCTGTGGTGGTAGCTACTTGATTTACAGACAGGTGGCCAGAGAGAAACTAGCCAGCCCCTCTAGGGCACTGTCCCACCTTGCCAATTCCACCCCTGTTTCCAGAACAGAACATGGGTAGGATGAGGACCAGTGCGAAGGAGAGGGAGGAGGCACGTGTGAGTGAGGGGGCATCTGACTGGGGAGAAGGGCTGTTCTGCAAAGTGGTGGGTATCAACGGCCTTTCATCCTCCTCCCTTGCCCCTGGGGGAGACTTAGATTCTGCAAAATGCTTTTTTCTTTTTTTTTTAAATTAAACTGTTATCACAACTTCCTATGGAGTAGGCAAAGGCATCCACAAAGTGTTATTATCCCGGTTTGAAAGAAAGGTAAGCATCAGACAGGTGATGTGGCTTCCCCAGGTCTAATAGCTGCCAGGCAGTGAAGGAAAGGCCCCAGCACCAGGCAGGGGAAGGTGGGTAACCCAAGGGAAGCCTGGAGTCCATGCAGACGTCCCAGCAGAGGCATGGCCGAGGGAAGAAGCCTCTGCTCCCACTCAGGGGGGCTCATGGGAGCGAAGAAGTGGCAGAGACTGAAGTCTGAAGACCTCCGCTCTGCCTTTCTGGCCCCTGTGTCTTTTTCATGCCTGCTCACCCACCCACAGTGCCCTCCTCCCCCCGGGGGGAGGGGCCGCCCCTTCCTCCCAGGGGCTGTGCCCAATACTAAACAATTTCTGCCCAGGTTCCTGTCTCCACAGGCATCCATTGTCATTATTCTTTTTTTAAAAAAATCGGAATGGATTTTATTAAGAGAAAATCAATACACACAACATAACCTGCAGCAGATAAAGCAGATAAGCTTTCAATGCACAGTCTCGGTGCCTTTTCCCAGGTGTTCCTTCCACTCCCTTAGCCAGAAGCCTTTGTCCGTGGGCATCTGATGAGCCACTTCTGGGAAGCCAGCCTCCCTGCTCCTCTTACCAGCAGCTTTGTTCAGCAGCCCCTTCCCACCTCCCGTCTCGGCTCTGTGCTCCATCCTGGCGGCTAGCCCCAGACCCAGCCAGACCAGCCGCCTGTAGACTCACTCGTCTTTGGCCTCAGGTCAAGGGCCTCCCCAGCAGGCCAGCCCATTGCCGCCTCCCTCCATCACTACATCAGTGTCACTCCTCCAAGAAGCAGGCACTTTGGGGTCAATAGCCTCTGGTCTCCATTCATTCCTGTGTGGCCTTGGACCCATTGCATAACCTCTCTGAGCCTCAGGTTCCTCATAGGTAATAATCTAGACAATAACACTCTTTTCCCTGCATTTTGGGACCAAGGAAATTACCTGGTATACGCAGCAGGCCTAATCTGTGCTCGGCACATAGTAAGCACATGGTGGTGTTTAACTTCCTTCTCGGGGTCCACCTGTGTCCCTGCTCCTTCATTCCATCTTTCTGAGCACTGAATTGCCAGAAGGCTTATCCTCAGAACAGAGCAGCCTACCCCTGTCTGCTCTCCTTGGTGTACCAAGTGCAGTGGGCATCAAGCTCCCCATGAAAGTCCTTGTGCCGAGTCCCCTTAGGAGGGACAGAGCTGGAATTTGGATGTAATGAGCACTCAGAGCATGCCAATGAGAGACAGGGACCAGAAAGTTAGAGAAGGTGAGGGGGAGAAGGAATGAATAAAGGGAGAAGAAAGAAAGAAATCATGGGGGCAGGAAGGAAAGGAAAAAATCTTTTTTTTTTTTTTCTTTTAAGAGACAAGGTCTCACTATGTTGCCCAGGCTGGTCTCCAACTCCTGGGCTCAAGTGATCCTCCCACCTTGGCCTCCCAAAGTGTTAGGATTACAGGCGTGAGCCACCACGCCTGGCCGGAAGGAATCTTTCATTAGCAACAGACATCTTGTTAATTATACAGTGACTGGTACAGAGGAGGGACTCAAGGCCCTTTGTAGTAACAGATGATGGATGGATGGATGGATGGATGGATGGATGGATGGATGGATGGATGGGTATATGGCTAAATGGAGGGAAAGAAGACAGGGAGGAAAGGAAGGAAGAGGGAAGAGGGAGGGAGGGAGAAAAGGTGGAGGTAGTCTGTGTTCTCCTGGTCTGGGCTCCTCTTCCTGTCCAGCTCTGCTCTGCCTTGAGGGGAGATGGGGCTTCCAGGTAAGAGCCGCTCTGAGGAGTCCTGCAGCAAGGACACCTATTTGATTTTGACTCACTGCTTCCCAAACCTCTACCATCATGTAACTTTTTCTTTTTTTAATTAAGAGCACTTACTTTGCATCCTGAAGATACTAAAGTTTTGTACAGTGCAGTTTAAAAATGTTGCTGTGGACTAGAGAATAGAATATTCACACTGGAAGATTGAAGGGGTCATTGAGGTCTCTCTTGAAAACTCCTACTCACCCTTTGAAGCCCACTTCAAATGCCCTTGGCACTGAGTGGTGTTTCCCTACTTTTCCCCCAGGGAGAATTAACTAGTATCTTTATCTGTGCCTCCATGACCCTTATACACCACTTTATTCTGTTTCCTTCACATGGAGTTGGCTGGTTGTGCCCATCCCTGCCAGACAGAAAACTCTTTGAGGGCAGGAATTATGTGCTGCTCAACTGTTTCCCTAGCATCTGGCATGTAATAGGTCCTCAAAACACATTTATCAGCTGAATTAGTCCAAGATCTTTATTTTATAAAGAAGTAAACTAAGACCTAGGCAGCCACCAGGCCTGGCCCCAGGGTTCACCAGCGAAGCTTGGCAGTGGTGTGTGCCAGCCTAGGTTCCAGCTCCCTGACCCTGAGCTGGCTGCCACAATTGCTGGGTTTTCTCTCAGCATTTCTGTTAACAGTCGAGTAAAGAAAGGACTCAGGTAGGGATAAACTGTAGCTAATACCTCACCTTGGTTAAGCAGATGTCAGGGTGGCCATTTCTGTTCCTACATTAACACCACATTTATGTTACTGGCAGCTGCAGGTTTGCTTTAAGGGCTAATAGGCCCTAACTAGGGTCCTGCCCTGAGCCTAGTTGCATAGAGGATTGTGCTTTCTCTTATTCTTCTGTGTCTCTGACTGCTAGTGCCCTAGTGAGGACAGTAGCCCTCAGTTCAATAAGCGGACTGCTAGTGCCCTAGTGAGGGCAGTAGCCCTCAGTTAAATAAGCTGACTGCTAGTTCCCTAGTGAGGACAGTAGCCCTCAGTTAAATAAGGTAGGTGGAGGGATAGCATCTTGAAGATGAGAGGAGGCCACAGAGAACCTAGTCAGCAAGGAGGCCAGGGCTGACCCCTAAAGGACCCACTTCTCCCAAGTCTTCCTCATGGGCCTTGGGGAGGGGGAGCCTGGAGCTCTGAACCAACCTGGTGGGGACAGGGTGGGGAAAGCAGATGTAGGGAGCTGGAAGAGGGTCCTGGGGCCCCGAGGGCCAACACCACCCCTAGACCTGCTTCTGCCCACCTGCAGAGCCTTCGCCCCAGCCTGGGTTGGTTCCTAGCATCTATGTCTGTGCCCCCAGTGAGTGTGGCCTTGTCTCTACATGGAGTTCACATGCAGGGTGTGGCTTCTGGGGGACAAGGGCGGAATCTTATGTTCGATCGGTTAAACAATTCTGGAGGGGGCATGTTTTGTGTGATGCCTGGAGGGTGGGTGGTGACGGGCACAAAGGTTGTGCCACAGGTAGTTTCCTTTTAGGGCGTTTAGGGTCTTGTGACCCTAGATGTGCCTCTCTACCTTCCCCAGGGCTTAGCAGCTAGGAGGGACCCTGCAGGGGCAGAGTGATCGGTGCCAGCCTGGGGCGGGGCTGTGGGGTGGGCAGCCCCCTTCACAGGCTGTCCATGCACTGGGGTGAGATGGGGCCCAGGGAGGGGTGTGGGGGGAAGGATGATCAGATTTTCCCAATGTGAAGGTGTGGGGCAACAGGGATCCCTATGTTTCTAGAGGAGGGGATGGCAGATGTCACCAGTGCCCTACCCTCGTGCCCTCCACTGGGATGACTCTGAGCTGGGGGTCCCACATGCCTCCCTGAGCTCCTCAATGGGATTAAGGTCCAGTCATCAGGCTTTCCTCCCTCCCCTGCCCGCCTTCCCCACCTCCCTACTGGGACCTCCTGGGATTACCTCCCAAATAAACAACCTGCCCTTGAATCTTTTTCACAGGTCCTGCTTCTGGGGAAACTCAAGACAGTATAAATTGGTGCAATCTATTTGGAGAAAGATTCAGCAATAAGTATCAAAATTATAAATGTACGTGTTCACGGGCCAGCAGCTCCACTTCTGGGAATTTATGCCATAAATATAACCTTTCATATGCCATATGATCTATGAATGAGGTTATTTATGGCAGCACTACTTTTAAGAGCCAAAGATTGAAAACACCTAAATGCCCATCGCTGGGGATGAGTTCGGCAGATCAGGGTTCATTCAACTGGCAGAATATTATGCAATCATTAAAAAGGAATGGAGGGGGCTACTCTTTATGGACTGATTTGGAACAATCTCCAAGATAAATTGCTAAGTGGGAAAAAAAGCAAGGTATAGAAGAGCACGTTTGTATAAAACAAAAAGAATATATAGCCGTAATTGCTTACTTATTGGATCGACGATCTCTGCAAATCTACCAAGAAACTGATAACCTTGGAGCCTGTGGAGAGAGGAATTAGGTGGCTGGGAGTGGGGAAGGGAGGGAGATTTTCAGGATATTTCCTATGCACCTTTTGATTTTTGCATCATGTGCAAGTTTGCATTATCTATTTAAAATGTAGTCTATGCAACTAAAAAAAATTATGAAGAATAATCATATACCTGGGTGCCTGCTATAATGATCAGTCCAATTTTAGCTTGTCTCGGGAAAGTTGAACCCATGGCTGGCAGCTTTCAACCTTCTCTTTCTCATTTACCACTCCCATAAGGTGGTTCTGCATCATTACTCCAGGGTTTCTAAATAATTAAAGTAGGCCTGAGTCCAGCCTTCCCCCAAGATGCTGAGAGTCCAAGCCGTCCTTCCCCTATCCCCTACCTGAGACATCAGAAGCTTCTTAAATAGTCCTGACTATTTAAGGGAAGAAGGACAGTTGCAGCCCTTCCTTTCTCGAGTGATTTGAAATGCAGACCACGGTTTTTGGAGAGGAGGAGATGAGGCAGGAGGCTGGAAGAAATGACCTTTTCACATCAGCTCTTCCTGGGTGGGTACCTATATTCCAGGGGCCTGGCGCAGTACCTGGCGCGTTTGTTGGCTGGCTGGCTGAATGTCTTTTTGTCCCAGAATTCCAGGCATGCAGGAACAAGGGGAAAGATGACCCCTCCTTCCAGTTCCTGGGGTCCTAGTCAATAATGGTTGGTGAGCAGAGCTCTGAAGTTGGACACTTTCGGGTAAAAATCCCAGCTGTAGCCTCCTTACTGCTATGAGACCTTAGGTGAATATCTACCCGAGCCTCAGTTTCCTCATCTACGCAATGGAGACAGAGGCCCCCTTTGCAAAGGATTAAATAAGGTTGCATCGGGGTGCTGCACAGTGTGCCCAGCACATAGTAGGCTTTGCTAGGTGTCTGCATATCTCTCCCCCTCCCTTGGCAGAAGGATGACCACTGCCACTGCTGAGACCAGACACTGTCCCCTCCTTGCCACCCTTGACTTGAGGGTGGAAGGAGGACCACCCTCAAGTCAAGGAGGTCCTCCTTCCATCTAACTGAAAACTCTCCGCTGTTACCCAGGCCGGTGCCCTCCTATGCTACTGTCATGCACAAGAGAAAAAGCTCTCAGCTTGTTCCCACTGAGCCTCTTCCAGATCTGAAGCCCCAAGGAAAGTCAAGGTTGAGTCCTGTGGGCCCAACAATGGGCAGCCCCAGGCCCTCTCTCTTTGCTTCCAATCCAGTCTCATCACTTTTCTCCTCTCTGCCCCCTCCTGGGCAGAGCGACTCTTGGTGCAAGGTCAGCTGTGAGCTGTCCAGGGTCCCTGGGCACACTCCTGCTCCTTCTCTGCCCCATTTCCTTCCCCTGCACCCAGGGAGTTGGGAAATAGCTCAGATTCCGATGACAAGGAGACTGGGCCCTAGGCAGAGCAGTGGCTGACAAGTTGCATGTTACAATAAATCCCCACAATTAGACCCTGCAAACAACACCGCTGCTGTCGCATCCCTAATATACAGCAGGGAGTCGGCTCAGTGTTCCTGGCAACCAATTCTTGAACTAAAAATAGTTGGCTGTGGCTTCACCTTTCCCTCCTCAGCATCCAGTCTCCATAGGTGCCAGGGAGGGAATGACCCTGGTGTCCAGGTCCTGCCCTGGTGCTGGAGGGCAGAGCATCAAGGGTTAACCCAGCCTTCACTAATGTGACTGTCAAGGAATTGCCCGCAGGGTAGGGAGTGGGGGTCTTCTGTGGGGGACGGGAGCCGGCCTGAGCTGTTTTAAAGCAAGTAAGGCTTTTTGAGTAGGCAGCCACCTCCTGAGGCCTCCCAATACCACCTCTTCAGCACCCTCTCGCATCCCCACCCGTCCAGCAGCAGCACAAAGGGGCCCGAAGGTGCAGCATTAGGGAATCTAATGGCCTGAGGAATAAGTTCTCGCCCACTGTGACTCCTTGGGCCAGTCACATCTCTGGATTTCGGCTGCCTCATCTGCAAACGAAGGATTCAATAAGTTGATCTGTTTCTGTCTAGATCCTCAGGCATGGTGAGCCTCACAATGGCAAGTACTCTGTCCCAAGTATGCTCACATGCGTCAAAGTCTCTGAAATGCTGACACGTGGGTGTGCAACCCCCCTCGCAGAGCAGTGGTCAGCACGTACAGAGAAGCAGCCCAGCCCTATGTCAGACCCTCTGCCTTAGAACCACTTGCCAATAATAAATCACCCACCACCCCTATGAAACAGGTGGTTCATGAAGTCTTGTCAATCAGTCATACCTTAGTCTAGAAGTCCTTTCCTGGGAGACAGGGGGAAGCATGGAGTCTGGGGTTCCTCCTGGGGCTGTTGGGATATCAAAAGCCTTACCTGGCTTCCCACCATCCCTGTGGAAATCCCCCAAGTGGAAGCCATGGGCCGCCACAAGACGTGGCCCCAGCCCAGCTTTCCAATCTCAGAACGTCATCCCCTGTCCTGGGGTCCTAGGACTCCTCGCTGTTCCCCAAACAGACGGAGCACAGTCCCACCTCCCGGCCTTTGCTCACAATGGTGCCTCCACCTGGAATGCTGTTGCCCCTTCTCCCCTCTGTCTCTCTCCCCTCTGTCCCCTACATTTCTATGTTGGTAGAAATCCTGCTCATCTTTTAAAGTACAAATGGACCGGGTGCAGTGGCTCACACCTGTAATCTCAGCACTCTGGGAGGCCGAGGCAGGCGGATCGCAAGGTCAGGAGATTGAGACCATCCTGGCTAACACGGTGAAACCCCATTTCTACTAAAAATACAAAAAATTAGCCAGGTGTGGTGGCGGGTGCCTGTAGTCCCAGCTACTCCGGAGGCTGAGGCAGGAGAATGGCGTGAACCCGGTAGGTGGAGCTTGCAGTGAGCCGAGATGGCGCCACTGCCCTCCAGCCTGGGCGACAGAGCGAGACTCCGTCTCAAAAAAAAAAAAAAGAAAAAAGAAAAAAAAGAAAGTACAAGTGCCACCAACTCTTTGATGAAGTTTTCCCTATCCCGTGGCTAGAATGAGCCCCTCAGTGTCCCTCTTCTAACAGCATTTGAAACGATGTAGTTTTGGAACCAGAAGAATCTTAGGGACCATGTACAACAGCGTTTCCCAAGATATTTTGACTGTGACTCATCGTAAGAAATCCACTCTGTTGTGACCCAGCACACACACACACACACACAGAGACACACAAGTGCATAAAACACATGTGCATATACATATAGTCCACACTCAACCATAGACACAAATAGACACACGTACACATACATGCAGGTACCTGTGGAAACATGTACAAGAGATGTGCAGCCAAAAGAAGTTTTTTTGTTTCTTTTTGTTTGTTTGTTTGTTTGTTTGTTTGTTTGTTTTTGAGACAGGGCCTCACTCTGTCACCCAGGCTGGAGTGCAGTGGCACAATCTCAACTCACTGCAGCCTCAATCTCCTGAGCTCAAGCGATCCTCCTGCTTGAGCTCTCAAGTAGCTCGGACTACAGGCATGCACCATCATGACTGGCTAATTTTTATATTTTTGCAGAGATGGGATTTCACAACATTACCCAGGCTGGTCTTGAACTCCTGAGCTCAAGCGATCTGCCCACCTCGACCTTCCAAACTGCTCTGGGGTTGCAGGTGTGAGCCACCGTGTCAGCCCAATAAGTTTCTTTGTGTAATACTTACCTCTATTGTGTGCCGTGTTCTGATGCAGTTGCTTAAAGTTTTTTTCTTTCTTCGAATGTTGGTTCTGACACTAAATTTATCTCCCCATCCTGTAATGGGTTGCAAACTGCAGTTTGGAAAATACTGAACAAGTTCGACCCCTTATTTGCAGATAGAAGTACCAAGGTCCAGAGGGAGGAAGGGACTGGATCAAGGTCATGCAGCCAGTTGGTGGCCAGACTCGGACCACAGTCCAGTGTCCTTGATTCACAGCAGCGACCTTTCCTCTGTCACAGAGCCGCTGATGCTATAGCTATTCCTGCAAGGTTGCAGCTCCACAAGTGAAAGGACCTTGTCCCCAGCACCCCCCACCCTGCCCCAAGGGCCTTGTCTATAGTAGGTGCCCAATAAACGGCTCCATTGGACTGACTGCACAATGATGCAAAAGTGGTTTGGAAGTCAATGAGGTCTCTGCTGGAGTGAGGGGTTAATACATTCAGCTGCTGCGGCCTGGAGACAAGGTCAGCTTTAGCTCATTAGTGGGGCTGGGCTTTCCCAGGGCTTAGGGATTCTGCAATTCACAGTGGAGCAGAAATCCTGCGGCTGAGCTGAGGGGGAGGGGCAGAGACAGGGAGGAAGGGAGGCTGGAAGAGAGGTGGAGATCGATCAGCAGGGAGGGGACGTTTTGGGGAAGGAAGGTGGTCAGGGTGGCTGTGATGGTGACAGCGGGTGGCAGGATATGACGGGATATGAGGGGGTCTGCAGCTCATTGAAAATCTGAACAAGCTCCAAAGAGGATGGAACTCAGTCTCCCCCCAGCTCCTCCTGTCTTCCTCTGAGAAGTGGCAGGGGAGGTTGGCGAGGCAATGTGCTGATGAGCACAGAGAAATGAGGGGCGGCGGAGATGCAGAAATGAGTAATTTCCACACAGCTCTGCTTAATATCAGAGTCTGCGCTGCTCAGAGATGGCCAAGGAGCCACTTGAGGCCTCTACAGCCCCCTCCTTCCTGCGACACTCCCCCCTTCCACCCATCAGAGCTCAGGACACTCATCTGTTAATGAGACGGGCAGCTGGTTCCCCACACCCATCCTCGGATGGAGCTGGCAGGCACGGACTCCTCAGGGGCTGGGGGTGCTAAGCCATCCCCTGTGGCCGCCCCTCTGCTTCCCAATGAGGGGTGTGATTGGCACAGATCACAGAGAAAGGAGACAAGCAGGGTAGCCTGGCAGGAGCAGAGTCCTGGCCATTGGTTTACTCATTCATTTGGTGAGTATCCATTAAGCTCCTGCTGTGTGCCGGGCCCAGTGTGAGGTGTGCAGGAGTGTAGCTGTGAACAAGACTGTTGAGAATGTAGCAGAGAAAACGGGCTTTAGACCTTGCTTTGAGCAAGGGAGAGGCCCACAGGAGGCACTGGTGAAGGCTTCCTAGAGGGGGTGAGGTTTAAGGCAAAATTTCCAAAGAAGTTGAGGAGTCTGGAGTCCAGGTGAGGAGTTGAGATGGGACGGGTGGCTGAGGAGGCCTCTCATATATGTGGTTTGGTGGGGCCTCCTCAGCCCCGTGTCTGGGCCTCAGCTTTGCAGCATGGGGAGCTCTGTTGTTTCAGTCGCCTTTAATGGGAATTCGACTCACAATAAACACACCTTCCAAAGACTGAGTCGTACATCAAAATGTCAATTCATTTTTTTTTAATGGAAATATATTTGACAAGCTAAACCTTATCAGCAGCCTGCTTCAGGATCAGAAATCCAGAGTGTGAGCCTCCATGCCACATCACACCAACTAGGAAACTCTGGGCAAACCTTTCATCTTCTATGAGCTTCAGTTTCCTCATCTGAAAATAGGGTTAATCATAGGACTTACCTAGGGGCATGAGGAGGATAAAGTGAGCTATTATGTGTCAAAGTGCTTCATCTCTATAGAAGGACTATACACAAGCTGGTGAGTTCATAAATTTGCATTTATTTATTTATTTATTTTTATTTATTTACCATTTTGAGACAGAGTCTCACTCCGTCACCCAGGCTGGAGTGCAGTGGCATGATCTTGGCTCACTGCAGCCTTGATCTCTCAGGCTCAAGCAATCCTCTGACCTCAGCCTCCCAAGTAGCTGGGACCACAGATGTGCACCCCCATGACTGGATACTTTTTTTTTTTTTAAGACAGAGTCTTACCATATTGCCCAGGCTGGTCTGAAACTCCTGTGTTCAAGTGATCTGCCCGCCTCAGCTTCCCAAAGTGCTGGGACTACAGGCATGAGCCACCACGCCCAGCCTACATTTATTTTCTTGGTAGATGATGAATGTGCATGGTACAAATTCCAAAGGTACCAAAGGACATAAGTTGACCAGTGAGTCTCCTCCCTGGTCCTCACCCTGCCTCAATCATTAGCTACCCAGTTCCCCTCTTTGGAAGCAACCCAAATTATCAGTCTTTGTGTATAACTTTTTTTCTAAAAAGACTCTTTCATATTACAATAATAACGTGTGGTATAAAAAAAATCCAAAGGGAATAAAATGAACACCTTTTATTCCTTCCAGGCTCCCACCCCAGAGGTAACTGTGGGGCAGTCTCTCGTTTAAAGGATAACTATTATTGCTAGTCCTGGATGTACCTCTCAGGGGCAGCCTACTCAGGAGACCAGGTTATAAATGAGAACATGCTGGATTTGCCAGGAAATGGGAAGAAATGATGTCAGGTTCCCAGGGGATATTTTTATCAACTTAGTGAGAGGTGAAGCCAGCTGGACTTCCCAATTCTAGTGAGGACTTGGAGAACTTTTCTGTCTTATAAGAGGTTTGTAAAATGCACCAATCAGTGCTCTGTAAAAATGCACCAATCGGTGCTCTGTAGCTAGCTAGAGGTTTGTAAAATGCACCAATCCGTGCTCTGTAAAAATGCACCAATCAGTGCTATGTAGCTAGCTAGAGGTTTGTAAAATGGACCAATCAGCATTCTGTAAAATGGACCAATCAGCAGGACATGGGTGGGGACAAATAAGGGAATAAAAGCTGGTCACCTCCCCCCTGCCCCCCATCCCCCCCACCCAACCAGCCAGTAGTGGCAACCAGCTCAGGTCTCCTTCCACGCTGTGGAAGCTTCCTTCTTTCACTCTTCCGCTCTTCATGATAAATCTTGCTGCTGCTCACTATTTTTGGGTCTGTGCCACCGTTAAGAGCTGTAACACTCACCGCGAAGGTCCACAGCTTCATTCTTGAAGTCAGCGGCACCACAAACCCACTGGAAGGAAAAAACTCTGGACACATTAGGGCCAAGGAATGAATGGCCCCTGGTCACTCTAGAAAGATTTACCATCCACCAGTCCTTCTGGTGGGGCCCTCTACAGGGTGCTGTGGAGAACACAAAGATGAATGAGAGAAGCATGCGTCTTTCATCTTTTATTAGTAGGACAAAGGACTTAGGTCCGTGGATTCATCCAAGTCTGAAAGGGACAGGAGAGGTCCCCTAATTACCTCTCAGCACCACTGCTATTTCACAGACCAGGAAACCGAGATCCAGAAGACATGATGTGCCCAAGGCCACACAGCAAGGGGATGGCTGGGTCAGGTCTGGCAGGCAGATTTGGGGATACAACCCTAAAAAAGGTGGGAGCTGATGCATGAGAGTGGGGGGCCTGGAGTGTGTGACAATCCAGAAGAGAAGGAAGGAAGGGTACTCCAGGCAGAGCTTGAGGAAAAGCCCCAGAGCAGGGGGCTTGGGAGTGCACAGGATTCACTCTGACTCCCAGCAGGAGGACCCGGAGCAAGGCTGGGAAGGAGGGGTGGACAGAGGTTCTGTTCCAGCCAGGGAGAGTCACCGTAGGAATACAGCAGCCAGAGGCTCAGGGCCCCCAGTGCTGTTAAACTCCAGAGAACATGTTCCTTCTGCAGCCTGCATGGACGCACCTCTGGAGTCTGCACCACACCACTCCCCCTCTGTATAGTTGGCACAGCTGGAGAGGCATGGCCAGAGCTTCACCTTCACTGCTTTTCTTCCTTGAGCCTCTCTGCCTCCTGCCTCTTTCACCCCATAACAGCATCCTTCCCGTGAGGGGAGACTCCCAGGTCTCCTCTGTGACACCCCTATCAATAAGTCCTCCACCTGCATTTCCTCCACGGGGATCTCTGCTAATTTATTTGGGGTGACTCCCATCCTACCTTCACCCCCTTGCCTTGGGACTGTCCCATCAGGCCCCCTGGGGTGGCCTCCCCATCCCTCCAGTTTGCTGGAATCACAGGCAAGGAAAGCCTCATCATGCACTAGCATTTGCAAACTCAGCTCCCAAGCAGCCTGCAGTCGCCAAGGTCTTAGCGGGAAGCGATGGCCCAAGCCCACTAGTATCTGGATAATTTGAGAAGGTCTTGTTACGGGGACTATTTACAAATATGTGCACAAGGTGGGGAGACCTCAAGGGGACATGCAACATCTTGAGGCCAGTGGGAACTCAGCTGTGACCATTGTTAGGTCCAAAAGAAAAAGGGGAGGGAGGGGTTACCACACCCGGTAGAAGAGCCATGGAGAGAGGCTGCCACGGGAGCCGCAAGGACCTCAGTCAAGGGACACAGCCAGCCCATGGCCAACCCACAGGGAGAGAGTTGGAGGGATAAGTACCCAACCTCACCCTCCTTGCTCCAGCCTGGGCTTCCTATTGGCTGAGCCCAGCCAGAGTGGGAAGGTGACGGAGACCTTAGACAGCCCTGAGCACAGAGCAGACAGGGAGGGTGAAGGGTGGATGTGGAGGGGAATGGGAGATCCCCAGCATAGCCACCTACTTCCTTCACCATGGACTGACGCCCATCCTCCCTCCTGTCCTCACGAGTTCTACCAGGCTGTATGCAGCTGATGAATCCTCGTCTCCCAGGTAACACCTCCTTTCCCTCCCCTCCTCGCCACATGACTTAGGAGCCCTCTGTGCTCCTCCTGCAGCTGGTCTGCAGGTGGGAACCATAACCTAAGCCATTATCACCCCCTTGCCCCAACCCCAGGGGAACAGAACCATCTAGCCAGGCTCAGACCAGTCCTCTCATGAAGGAGGGACTCGGGAAGGGGTGGGCATGAGGCCTTCCTCTTCTGGAATGAGCTGCTGCTGTGTAGCCAGTGGGCTGATCCCTGGTCAGCACTTCCCTGGCTCAGGCATGCCTGGAAGGTGCTGGCCCCCATCCAGCTGAGCCACTGGGGCCTGGCCAGATGGCAGGCAGCAATGCCAAAGCTGGCTCTGAGCCACAGGCCTGGCTGTGAAAATTGAGCAACGGGTGGCCCAAGGGAGGCAGATGCCCTCAGCCACCTAGGGCAGAGCCCCAGGTGGCCCAGCCCCATCCTGCTGTGGCTCACCAGACTTAGACTTCAGGTCCACTGAGTCTGGCAGGGGCCCTGGGGCAGCAGCCATGCCCTGGGAAGGCAATGTGGTACAGAGCCAGGGAGGCTGAGAGCTGGGAGCCCGGGCTCGGCTCTGCGCTGCCCCCACACACATGGTCTTTGGAAAATTGCTTCCTCTTCTGAGCAGAACCTTTCTCCCAAATTGAGATCTCCTATAGAACCCCACTATATAAAACTGGTTGAAACAGAAGTGCACCCCACAGCCCCCTCCCTGGGCTCCCCTTCACCACCCCCTCCCTGCACCCAACCTTCAGCACCAGTCCTAAGGCATCTTTTTGGAATCTTGGGTTCCACAGAAAACGGTTTGGACACCATGGTCTGCGTGCTCCCTGAGTGGTCCCAGGCAGCTCCCACAGGCTGTAAGATTTTTAAATGCATATAAAAATAGGCAAAATGTTATAAACTCCCCATGTACCCATCACTTGGATTCCACAATTAACAACTCACAGCCAATCTTATTTCATCAATATCCTCACCTGCTTCCTCCTTTCCCATAGTATTCAGCAAATTCTGGACATCATGTCATTTCATCTATAAATATTTCAGTCTGTATCTCTAAAAGATAATGACTCATTTTAAATATATAACCACAATGTCATCATTACACCTTTAAAAATTAACAACCATTCCTGAAATCATCAAATATCTAAGCAGGGTTCATATTTCCAATTGTCTGTTTATAGGTTTTTGGTTGTTTTTTAAAATCTGTTAAAAGAGTCAGAGTCCAAATGTCCACATAACATATTGCGGCTGGTTGATATGTCTCTTTGGTCTCTCTTTGTCTTGCTCTGGGAGTTAGAAGTGGCCACTGAAGGTCAGGGTGGCCATTTGCATGGGCTTCCTCGGGGGCAGTGAAGACACTCCCAAGAGCCTGGAGGGGAGATTTGTCCTGCCCTGACCCCTTTGTAAGGCCAGAGGGAAAAGGAGAGGAGGGAAGGAGTGAAGGGCTGGGTGAGGCTGCCGCTGCGTCTTCCCACCAGGAGGCTGTAGCTGCCTGACCGGGGTTGGGTGTGGGGCTGTTCCCATCCAGGACTGGGTGGCCTTGAACCCCAGAAAAGGGGGGTGCCTCACTATAGTGAGCAGGACTCAGAAGAGGATGGTGCTCAGAGAGTGCGCTGCCCTGGAGGCAGGAGCCTGGGGCCTAAGCCGCTGGTAAAAATGACCATTAACCAAAAACATTTCGTTTGGCATCTGCTGAGATATGACTTTGCCAGAGGCTGGGACTGCAGTGACGACTGGAAAGCAGTCTCTGCCCTCTGGGAGCTTGACGCACTTGGAATCAGCTAAGCACATACCTTGTGTATTTAACCTCTAGATTTCAATATACCTATCTGTAAAATGGAAAAATAGTACCTCATCTATTAGAGCAGCTGGTTTCTACCAAAGCGCTTTCTAGCTCTAAAGTGGGATTTTATGAAGAGGGAAAAAAGGGACAACCTATACCTATAGTAGAGATGAGGGGAGGGCAGGGTGAGGAACATCCACACTGAAAGCCCAGAGTCTCAAGTCCTGGCTTGCCTGACTACCAGCTGATGCTCCACCATGGCTATCACCCCAGTGCCTTCCCATGGCCCCAGTGCTCCAGAAATGATGGAGTTCAGGAAATGCAGAGTGGTGGACCCTAGCCTCTTCAGACAGGATGGGTCTGGATCACAACCTCACGGAGGAGCCGCATTTCTGCTGTCCATGGTGCCACACTGTTGACAAGGCCAGGATTCCTCAACCTCAGCACATGGGTATTTTGGGCCAGATAATTCTGTGTTGTGAGGGCTGTCTTGTGCACTGCAGGATGTTTAGCTGGACCACAGCCTCTACCCACCAAATGCCAGTAGCACTCCTTCAGCTATGACAACCCAAAATGTCTTTGGATATTGTGAAACGTCCCCCCGGGAGAGAGCCACTGGTCTGGGCTGGAGGGACGCAACTTCTCTGTAAAGATAAGTGGATGTGTGCAGGTCCTGTCCACGCTGATCTTCTGGCTGACATCTATGATGTGTTTTCACTTCCAAGACGCCTTCTCATTCGCCCAACTCTTCTTATTTCAAACCTCACCTTTAAAAAGTGTTTTTTTGTTTTCTCGTTTGTTTGTTTTTTGAGACAGAGTCTTGCTCTGTCACCCAGGCTGGAGTGCAGTGGCACAATCTCAGCTCACTGCAGCCTCCGCCTCCTGGGTTCACGCCATTCTCCTGCCTCAACCTCCCAAGTAGCTGGGACTACAGGCGCCCGCCACCACACCCAGCTAATTTTTTGTATTTTTAGTAGAGACGGGGTTTCACCATGTTAGCCAGGATGGTCTCAATCTCTTGACCTCATGATCCGCCCGCCTTGGCCGCCCAAAGTGCTGGGATTACAGGTATAAGTCACTACACCCAGCCAAAAAGTGTTCTTAAAAAAAAAAAAAAAAAGCAACAAACTTCAATGGCCCTCTTGGCCACACTTAATAAATGCAAAATATGGTAATTGTGCCCAGGGTAAGTTCTCTTGCCCTTGAGTGGTACAGAGTCAGACTTGGAGGGAGGAGGAGGAGCCCTCTGTGGCCCTCACCTGTTGTCACTGCCAACCTCTGTCCCATGGCTTGTCTCCACTCCCCCCTTTAGCCCATCCACTGGGGAAAGCAAAAAGGGAAGACTAACCCCAGAGCATCATTTTCCTGGAGCTGGAGCCTCCTATAGGTGATACCCCAGCTCACCAGAGGGCTAGGCTCAGGTCACCTCTCCATGGTACACTGGAAAATATCTGGAGTGGGAGTTGGGGACGTGAGGTTCCGATCCTGTCTGTGCGGAAGCCAGCTGTGTGACCTTGGGCTCAGAGGTACTGACCTCTGAACTCAGCCTTCTCATCGGTAAAGTGAGGCTGTTAATACCTCCTTCATGGAGTTATTAAAAGAATTAAATGGGAAAATGTTTGTGAAGGAACTACATAGTGCAAATTGCAAGACAAATCTTAATTATTATTATTATCTGTTGTTCTAAGTGAGAGAATGAAGAACATCACACCCCTTATCCAAAGGCCTGGAAAACCCACAGCCCCTCCCCTGCAACCCCCCAGCCTCATCCCATCTCCTGTTCCCAGCCGACCAGCCCCCTCCCCTGCAGCCCCCCAGCGTCATCCCATCTCCTGTTCCCATCAGACCAGCCCCCTCCCCTGCCCTATACTTGTTCCTTGGGCTCTGTCTCTAAGCGACCCTCCCGCCTTGAAAGTCTCCCTCTCTCACATGTCCATACCCACTTCCTTCAATACCCAGCTCCCAACCCACCTCTTCCAGAAAAATCTTTCCTCTGACAAAGGGGGTGAGCTCAAAGCCAGATCACCTCTTTCCCCAACTGAATTACCTATTGTGACCTCCACAACCCCATGCCAAACTAAGCACACTGCCAGGCAGATCTAGGTGAATAGTAACAATGACAATGACGATCATTCATAATATTGAATAATAAAAATAGCAAACATTTGAAGCATTTACTATGTGCTAGGCACTGCGCTAAGCACTTTACGTATTTTAATTCCTCTATCAAATGCCGGTTGGCCACATGGGATTAAACACCTGCCTCTGCCTCCAAACCCCAGCACAAGCATCACCTCCTTGGTAGAGTCTTCCCCATTGGTCTCAGGCAGAATTAATATTCCTGCCTCCACACCCGCAGTGCCTGGTCTATTGTTGACCTAATTTCACTAGCTCTTAATTATTTATCAAAGTGGCTGCTTCCCATTCCAGCCTGTGAACATCTTGAGGGCCAGGACCCTGTTATATTTATCTTTATTAGCCTCAGTGTCCAACAGTGACTGGTACCTAGTTGCTCCTCATTAAATGTTTGTTGAATGAATGCACAGATGAATGGAGTAATTAATACAATATCCCCCAATGTTCATGGGATTTTAAAGAGGCCACTTTCCTAGCCTCATGCTTCACAAACATTCCAGACCAGTGCTACTCCAAGCATGATCTACAGACCGGCACCTGTCTGCAAACTGTGTTGCCAGTTTATGACCTGGTAAGTGCAGAAATTGAGCATAAGCATTTAGACTTTTTTTTTTTTTTTTTTTTTTTTGGAGTGAGAGTTTTGCTCTTGTCACCCAGGCTGGTGTGCAATGGCGTGATCTCAGCGCACTACAACCTACGCCTCCTGGGTTCAAGCGATTCTCCTGCCTCAGCCTCCCAAGTAGCTGGGATTACAGGCATGCGCCACCATGCCCAGCTAATTTTATATTTTTAGTAGAGATGGGGTTTCTCCATGTTGGTCAGGCTGGTCTCGAACTCCCAACCTCAGGTGATCTGCCTGCCTGGGCCTCCCAAAGTGCTGGGATTATAGGCGTGAGCCATGGCACCCGACCCATGGCTCATATTTAATCTCCACAACTATTGCTATCATCCTATTTTTCAGGGGGAACTGAGGCTTATTGAAGTTAAGCAACTCCCCAAGGTCCTAGAGAGCAGTGGTAGGGCAGAGGTGGTGACCCAAGCACTTTGATCCACAGCTCACGCCTCAGCCACATCACTGGCAGAGAGTCAAGGGACTCAACAGAAACATTCATGCTAACTTCTCGGGTTCTGGAAAGCTCTATGCAGGAGGTGATGTTTGTTCTGAGCCTTGAAGAAGGCATAATGGGGAGGGGCATTCCAAGGCAGAGGCACACAGGAGGCAACCGCGTGAGGGGAGTCTGGTGAGGTTGGGCCGGGTGCGGTGGCTGGTTTCAAACTCCTGACTTCAGGTGATCCACCCTTCTCAGCCTCCCAAAGTGCTGGGATTACAGGTGTGAGCCACTGCACCTAGCTACATTTTGACATTTTTAAGCCATTAGACAGAATAGTTTTATGTCCATTTGATGTGCTAGTGTTTAAAACAGGGCTTTCATTTTGTCTTTTTTTCTTTCTTTCTTTCTTTCTTTTTTTCTTTTTTTTTTTGACTGAGTCTCACTCTGTTGCCCAGGCTGGAGTGCTGTGGCAGGATCTGGGTTCACTGCAACCTCCTCCTCCCAGGTTCCAGCGATTCTCCTGCCTCAGCCTCCCAAGTAGCTGGGATTACAGGCTCGTGCCACTATGCCCGGCTAATTTTTGTACTTTTAGTAGGGATAGGGTTTCACCATGTTGGCCAGGCTAGTCTCAAACTCCTGACCTCAAGTGATCCACCTGCCTTGGCCTCCCAAAGTACTGGGATTACAGGCAATGAGCCACCACATCTGGCCTTTTATTGCATTTTTCTAATAATTCATTCCCGCAGTGTTTTGCAATCGCATTGGCCTGTGACAGATTAGAAATTTTAAAATACAGAACCAGTTCTTTGCCACAGTTGTCTGAGAAGTATGGTTCCAGACCAGCAACCTCCCGGGGATGGTTAAGCCAGTGGAACCCCACAGGTAGGAAGTGCCTATTCAGCCCTGCCTCCCTGGGTCTCACCCATCATTACATCAAATCTGTCTCTCCTACTGTTGGGAAGGACATGTGATTGTCTTTTATTCCTGTTTGGAATCCTCACATTTCTCCTGTCTTCCAAATCTGGCAGATTAAATGAATGAAAGCTGATTCTGCTGCTGGCTGGACAGGAAGGGGTGAGAAGGCAAGGGAGGGATGGGATGAGAAGAGAGTTTGGAAAAGGCCATCCTGGGAAAAGAATGCTGGAATGGAGTAGGAGCCTATCCTGAGGAGGGTGTGCAGAGGCTGCTCTGGCTGGGGCTGAGGGAAGGAAGGGTGTAGGAGGGAGGGACAGGGCAGACACTAGCACCTTCACCAAGCCCAGCAGATGAGAGCCAGGCCCTTGAAGGTGAAAGGAAGTAGTTTCAGGACAAATGAAAGGGGATATTGAACCTTTTTACAGAAGGAATGTTAAACGCCAAACTTTCATAACCCCCCTGAGGCTGCCAAGGCCAAAACTATAAATAAGTAGGTCGAGGAATTAGGCAGAAGCCTCCTCCCCTGACCTGTCCGTCAGCGGGATGTGGTGGGGTGGAGGTTAAGTCAGTGAAATCAACACAGACAGGATGAAATGAGCTATCTGTAGACGCCACTTCAGAAAGCGAGAAGGTCTGACTCCTGGGCAAAAAAGTCAGGAAGAGCAAGACTTGATTGCAGTCCAATCAATGGCATTAGCATATTTAAAGATCATGTCAAGGGGAGGATAATGGGGCTCAGAGAGGCAAAATTTGATGGTGTTTATTAAGCAGAGAGAAACACAGAAGCTGGAGCCGTCTAGTCCTTAGAGAGTGTGCTCCAAGGTGGGACCAGGGAGGGAGCAAGGCCTTGGCTGGGCCTGGGCAAAGCTACCAGAGGACCAACCGGCTTCCTCTCCTCTGATTCCACAGCCTACTGCTGCTGGTGAATTTCTGATCAAGAATTCTGCTCCCCACAAAGAACTGCCTAGAGGGTGGGACCAAGCCACCCCTCACACTTGAGCATCCAGTCCACTCCATCGTGATGATGATGATGATCATAGTATTGGTGACTACAGCTAACCCTCATTAAGCTCTCACTATGTGCCAGGCTCCGTTCCAAGCTCTTTACAAATACCAACTCCTTCAAACTCCCCAACCACCCTCAGAAGTAGCGTTTCTACCCCGATTTTATAGATGAGAAAATTGAGGCATTGTTAAATAACTCTCCAAGTTTATACAGCTTGTAAGTGGAAAAGCCAAGATTCAAACTCAGGCCATCTGACTCCAGAACCTGCACATCAGACTGCCCCGCACTTAACTGTTGTTGGTAACAGTTAGTTGTCCATCTGCTTAGCATGTCCATCCCTTCTGGGGTTGGCTGGGGCAAGTCAGGGCCCAACTCGGCACAGCCAGCTCCGGAGCACTAACCTAATGGGGGTTTTGCAAGACTCGGGACTGTGTGCTTCACCTGGAAAGTGCCAGGTGTGTGGATAAGCCATGTGAGCAGCTGGCTTCCTGGGCAATGCCCCTCCCCACTTCAGTGTCCCAGGCCCCTTTAGGGCCCAGCCCTCCAGGCACTGTGAGCTGGGAATGAGGTGAAGGAGGACTAGGCTTACCCTCTGTGTGCCTCCATTTTCTCACCAGTAAACTGTGTGTGTTGGATCTTACGATCTTCTAAAATAACTCCAGCTCCAAATGAAGGCCAGTGGACCCATGAACACGCTGGCTCTTGCCCAGTGTGCTGAGAAGAGGGCAGGAGGGAGGAGTAGGGTGGGCACGGCAGGGCACAGGGTGCAGGGCAGGTGGGTTCAGTTTGATTTCAAAGCCGACTGCCCGCCGCCCCAGGTGCTCTGGTGTACCCAATAGGGGCTGCATTGGCCAGGCGGCCTAGGCTCTGCGGGTGGAGTGAAGATTTCTCTACCTCCCAGTTTCTCCCTTTTCAGCTCTGGTAGGAGAGAGGAAGAGTGAAGAGGAAGTCAAAAGTTCTGTTCATCTGGAAGGGCTGGGAGTTGCTTCCTGGGATGGGGAGCTCCGAAGCCAATTCAGAAGACGGCCCCGGGGTCTGGCGGGGAGGCCCACCGCTGCCCAGAGGGCTCGGCCGGCCGGGAGGGGGCGCTGTGTCCTCCCCACGCCCTGCCCGCGGGCTCCTAGCAGCGTTCGCCGCGCTGCAACGCAATGCGCGCCCGGCTTTCCCCTGGGCAGCGTTCAGTGCCCGCTTGTCCTGCAGGGCACCGCCGTCTCCCTTTCATCCTGGGGCTCCCAGGTCCAAAGGGTTCCCAGATCCAGCCTCTTGCCTGAACCAAAGTGGCCAGGCACTCAGTTTGTAAGATGAACAAATGAAGGAAAGAAGGAACGAATGAATAAGGGCTCATCTTGCAGAGCGTTCGCGTCTCAGCGCGCACCAGGCACATCAGTGCCAAAGGTGCTGGGGGTCGGGCCCAGCGCCCGGCGCGGCTGGAATGGGGGCGGCGAGGAGCTCCTCCTAGCCAGCCGCAGGGCGGGAACTGCCCAAACGCAGGTCGCAGCCTCACTGGGTTCCGCGGCGGCTCCGCTCAGTAGGGACCGCCCTGTTCCCTAGCCCCCAATAGCCTCGCCCTCATAAATTCACCTGAGCACCCTGGCCCAAGTCACCCCAGATCCCTGGGACTTCCCAGGCCCCGACCTCGGCCGGGCGGGAGGCTGATCCTTTACCGCGGCCCCCTTCCCCCATTCCCGGCTTCTCCCCGGGCTGCGGCGGCCGCCACTGCTGCCAGCGCGCCCCGAGGACTGCCGCAAACCCCGGGCGCAGGGAAAGGGGATCCTGGCGGCGGGACACAGAGAGCGGGCCGGGGGAAGGGGAGGGAACGGAGGAGGCGAGGAGGAGCTGGGAGGGAGCCGAGGGGCGAGGCGCGGAGGAGGGACCGAAGGGGAGCGGAGGGGAGAGGGAGGGGGAGGAAGGGGAGGGGACGAGCTGGGCGAGGGGGCGGGGAGCCGAGGCGAGGAGCGGCGCGGACCGTGGGGGAGGTGGCGGGGGCGAGGCCGGCAAGAGGCGGCCGCGGGCCGGGCTGCGTCGGGAAACGGCGGCCAGACTTCCCCGGGAAGGGGCGAGCGAGAGCCGGGCCGGGCCGGGCCGGGCCGCGGGGCCGGGAAGCGCCGAGCCGGGCATCTCCTCACCAGGCAGCGACCGAGGAGCCCGGCCGCCCACCCCGTGCCGCCCGAGCCCGCAGCCGCCCGCCGGTCCCTCTGGGATGTCCGTAGGACCCGGGCATTCAGGACGGTAGCCGAGCGAGCCCGAGGATGGGAGGGCACCCGCAGCTCCGTCTCGTCAAGGTAACAGCCCGCCGGCCATCCCTCGAGCGCTGGCGCCCCCGGCCCCTGGCGGACGCGGGACGGGGCTGGGCTGTGGGTGTGATGGGGGCGGGGGCGCTGGGAGAGCCGTGCTTAGGTCGGGGAAGGCTGGGCTCCGGGGCAGCCTAACTCTCTGGACCTTTGGAGCCAGGGTTGGGTAGGCAGGGGGAGACTCAGGTGAGAAAAGAAATCGTGGCGAAGCCGCCGGGATGTTGGCGGAGGAGGGGGTCCGCCCACCCGGGTAGCCGGCTCCGCGCCAAGAATCGCTCTAGGCTCTCGGGCAGACGCCTAGGGGAGGGGAGGTTCCACCTCCCACGCCCTTCCTGCAGACCTCGGCCCCGGGACTGGAGACTCTGAAGCGGGGTTCCCACCTCGCCCCAGCGCCCCCAAACAGCTCCCCGACTCCGCACGCCCCCGCCCTAGTCTTGGGAGCGCGTCCTGCCCCTTCCCCTCCGCGGCGAGCTGCGAGTCCGGAGAGATGAATGCCGCCCGCGCCTGCGAGCCCTTGATCAATATCGCAGTCTCGGGGGAGGAGACGGTGCCTCTGGCGGCAGTTCCTGTTCCCCGACCGCGGCTGGGAGCGCGACGCTCGTTCTCCGAGCCTGGGCACCCGCGATCCCCGCGCTGCGCGGCCGACCCTGCGACGCGGATCGGGCGCTGGAGTTTAGGAAAGTAGCCAGACCGCACGTCCAGCGTCTGCCCGCTGAAGTTCGTGGGCGGTGGGGGCGGCCCGCGGGTTGTGTGAGCCAGGGAAGGGCCGGGAGGCCGGCAGTCCGGCCCGCCGCTCGTGTCAGGCGTCACTTGCAGCCCCAAGCGCTTTCCAGAGCGTTTTGGTTTTGCAGGGTATAGGCGCGCCCGCTGCAGCCGGCCGGAGAGGCGGGTGGGCCTCTGCGCTGCTGCCGGGACACCCCGCTTCGCGCCAGTCTGGGCATCGCCTCACCCGGGGCTCGGGACTCCGCAGGGTCCGCTCCAGCCACAAACATAGACACCAGCTTGACCCGGCTCAGGGCATTCAGAGCGATTACATTCAAGAGACTTCGGTGGATTTGGGGGAGGGGTGCGGATTGGCGGAATTTCATTTTTCCATCAGTTATTAAACCAACTGTACGTATACCGGCTTACCAAGTGGTTTGAGTTAAACCACCAAGATTTTTAAATGCAGCAGCTGCTGCTTCCTTAGTTGAGACGTTACAAGTTACTGAGATTTTTCTCTAATCCTGCCCCTCCCCAAATATTTATAAATTGATTCTTAAAATGATCAAGGGTTGGTCTTACTGAACCCACATCCCCTCCCCCATCCGTTACCTGAGGGCTAGGGATGAACTCAGATTATTTTCTGGGCGTTCGAGGAGACAGACAGGTGAGGAAGGTAGAAGAAAAACATCCAGAGAGGTCGAGTAGTTGGCACTGAATGGGAATAGTTTCCAAAAGGCTCGCGTGTACCGAAGCCTGGTCTAAATGCACAAACCAGTTAGACCAAATTCAGTCTTTTAAATGGATTCAAAGAACTGAACTGCGGGTGTTTTCTTTTCTTTTTTTTTTTTTCAGGTTTACGCGGAAATAGATCAATGTTCTTTTTCTGGCCTTTCATAGAATTGTGTGCAAATCTCTGTTTAGAATGATCATGTTTTCCTTAAAAAAGTCTTTTTATTTCCTTTGTTCCTACTAGATGGTGGGGTGTTTGCCCTTTATGCCTGGCCTAATAAACTCAGTAGGCATTCAATAAATTCCAGATGAATGTGGGGCAGTGAGTGAATGGCCAGCGAATGCTGGTTTCAAACGTTGGTTACAATTAAATAGTTGCTTTTCTTCTTTTATTTATGTAGCATGTACAATTCACTGGGCATTATTCTACCTGCTTTGCAAATATTAAGTCATTTAGTCCTCCTAACAGCCCTAGGAAGTAGGAATTATTCCTGAGACACAGAGAGGCTAAGTAACTGGTTCAAGGTCACACAGCCAGTGAGTAGTGAAGTCAGAATTCAAACCCAGACACTCTGATAAAAGGCTTTGTTTTGTTTGCTTTTACCAGAAAATATCCTTTTTTTTTTTTTTTTTTTTCAAGACAGGGTCCCACTCTGTCGCCCAGGTTGGAGTGTAATGGTGTGATCATGGCTCACTGAAGCCTCAACCTCCCTAGGCTCTGGTGATCCTCCCACCCCAGCCTCCAGAATAGCTGGGACCACAGGCATGCACCACCACACCCAGCTAATCTTTGTATTTTTTGTAGAGATGGGGTTTCCCCATATTGCCCTGGCTGGTCTCAAACTCCTGGGCTCAAGCGATCAGCCAGCCTCGGCCTCCCAAAGTGCTAGGATTACAGGCATGAGCCACCATGCCCGGCCATTACCAGAAAATATTCGAAGCCACCTAAATCTCACTCTAGAGCTCAGCCAGATGAGAGCTCAGGTAGTTTTGTCAGCATGAGAGTACAAATCTAGGGGATTTAGGGTTAATCCCAAATCCAGCTCCATCCCCAACAAGTCAGCCAGTGTTGGGAAAGGGTCCACTCTGGGGCCTATATTGTGGGCCTCACACTATAACAGTTACAGAGTCCTGGGGGAAAATGTGTGTGAATGGGGAGAGACAGGGTGTGTGAAAGTGTGTGTGTGAGTGGGGAGAGACGATGTGTGTACAAGTGGCCATGAGTCAGGAGAAGACAGACAAGACATTGTCTCTATCCCCAGGGAGGGGCAGGGGCCTGAGCACCTCGGAGTCAGCCACACACCCACTGCATCTCCTCGTAGGGAGATGGAGTGTGGCTGTAAACATGGGTCCCAGTGTCTGTGAGGGGTGCAGAAGGCAAGGCCTCTGGATGGATTCTAACAGGAGAGTGAGCTCCCAGGAGGGAGCTGGCTATTGTTATTCTTATATAAGCCAATTTAGCAGCAATAGGCAAAGTTTGAAAACCAGAATGGAAAATGATTGCAACCTCACTCTTTTAATCTGGCTACTGTATAATTCATTTAAAAAATAACCCCCACAGGTCCCCTTCTCAAGCACCTGTCTGGGCACAGCTGTGGCCATTGGGCAGCCCTCTCCTCAGTGTCACAGCCCAAGTCTGTTTCACGTTACTCCCGAGGCTCTGCAGGAGACTGTCAATGTCTGCATGTTGCCTGTGAGTGAATGGACTTTGCCATCCCTATATCGGTGCATATCTGGGCCATTTCCAAGTTGTTTCTTTGATTAAACGATATAGAGCCAGGTTTTCGAGGGGAGCGTTGGCAAGAGGCATGAGGAACGCGAAACAGTGAGCCCAGGGTGGGCCAGTGGGCTGCTGTGGCGTGCGGGACTGCTGGCCTGGCCACAGACTGGGGGCAAAGACAGGGAGGGGCCAAAAGCCAGGCCAAGCCCCTTGGATTTGAAATGACCAGCCATAGAGAGGAGTGTGTAGATTATGGAAAAGTTGAACACTCACCCAGAGCCAGTGAGGACGAGCTCAAGTGGAAAATCCATTTCTCACCCTCTCTAACATTTGGCTCCTCAAAAGCATCAACCTCCAGGTTCAGCCACACATAAGGAGTTTGGGGGTCAAGGTGCCACCACCCCAAGTGCCCGTGTGGCCTAGAAGGAAGCAGTTAGGTGCCGGGCTGATAATTTCAGCAGCTATTGAAGGGGAAAGACCATCAGCCTGGGAGTCAGTGAACCTGACTCTGATCCCAGCTCTGCCTCCAATCAGCTGTGTGATGACAGGTAGGTCACCTTCCCTCTCTGAGCCACAGTTTATCTGTCTGTAAACAGGGGTATTGGACTGGATTCTCTGTTATCTCTCATGTCTCTGTGAAAGGTCTGTGTTTTCAAATACTCCTTAGGGACATGACCTCACATAGAAAGAGGGGGGTGCCACGAACTGGATTCCCAGCACTCCCCCTTCCCAGCTCTGCTCAAGCTGAGGGACCTTGGAACATGGTACTTGGACCTAAGTACTCTCTCTGGGCTTCAGTGTCCCCAGCTATAAAATGGGGGAAATGCCTAACTCAGGAGGTTGAGGTAAGGACAAAAGGAATTAATACATGGAAAGTGCCTGGAACAGTGCCTGGCACAGTCTGCTTTCAGAAAAAGCTGCAAGGTGGCTACTCTCAGCAGATATAAGTTAATGCAGGAACAGCAACTAGCAGCTCTTGGACATGCAATATATTATATATTTTTTGCATCTTTTACCCTTCACGGCACTGAGCCTCACAATCCGTTGCACAGAGTAGGTGTTTAACAAATGTTTGTCGACTTCATGGATGAGTTTATTGTTGCTTCTTCCATTTGGTATTGTACAATTGGAAAGAACCCGTTTCTGTTCCCACCAGATGCAGATGTCAGGTCGAAACAGAAGGCTGAGAGATGCTTAAACCACCCTAGCAGAAAAGCCATCTCTGATGCAGAAAGGACTAGAACTCCCCCTTAAGCCCACTGTGGTTATTAAAAAAGAGAAAACAACACACAACCAGTGCAGCACCCCAGTGATCTGGAGAATCCCTTGAGGGTAGAGCCTCAGCCAGTGAAACTCCAGCGCTTTTGCCGTGTCTGGAGGAGGGCAGGTCACTAACAGTGATCTGGGCCGTTTCTTCCTCAGTGAAAAGAGGGAGTAGGGTGATCTCTCCCAGCTCTGATTCTACCCTAACTGCTCACGGTATCAACCAAAGAAGGGTGAGCCCATTTTGAACGTAAGGCCAGGTCGAGATTTCAGCTGCAGTTTTAATAGTCAAACAATGAATTTGTTAACTACAAATCATTCTTGTCTACCTAAATTCAGGGAGGTCCCTGTCAGCAGAGTCCCTAGGAATTTTTTTTTTTTTTTTGGAGACAGGGTCTCACTCTGTTGCCCAGGCTGGAGTGCAGTGGTGTGAACACAGCTCACTGCAGCGTCAACCTTGTGGGCTCAAGTGATCCTCCCACCTCAGCCTCCCAAGTAGCTGGGACTATAGGTGTGCATCACCACACCTAGCTAATTTTAAATTTTTTTGTAGAAACGGTCTTGCCGTATTGCCCAGGCTGGTCTCGAATTCTCAAACTCCTGGGCTCAAGCGATCCTCCCACCTCAGCCTCCCAAAGTGTAGGGTTACAGGCGTAAGCCACAGTGCCCAGCCTTCATCCTTTTAAAATGCTTGTCTTTGGACTTGTTGCTCTAGGCCAGCCATCCCTTACCCCACCCAGTGTGGCAGTCAACATCTTCTTGTATGGGTGGGAACAGCAGATGAAGCAAATGTGGGCTTGAATCCTTACTCTGCCCTGAAGCTGTGGGCAAGTCACCTCTTCATCTGTCTAAAGCGGGGGAAATAATACCTGCTTTATGGCATAATCATAATGACCATGAGATGCCAGGTGTGAAATTATGCACAGTTGCACAGTGTCTGGCACACAGTAAGTGCATAATAAATATTAGCTATAGTAGTCACTTAATAAATCTTACCAACTTCCTCAGTCTAAGAAAGGCCATCAAAAGGAGAAGTGGTGAGGGGATGGGGGTAGAGGAAGGGTATTTGGCGTATAGAATCTCTTCCTGCGTCAGAGCACTTTTCACAGTCCCTGGGGAAAAGGGATCAGCTACCAGCCATCAGCTGAGCTTGAAGGTCATAGACAGACCTGAACATCTGGGATATGGAAAAACCTGACAGTAAAAGTAGATATGTAGGGAGGATAATACGAAATGATTCACTCACTGATGCAAACAATCATTTTGAAAATAACTAGCTGGATTCTATTAGACAACAGATTCTTAATCACTTGTTTTCTGAGTATGTGGTATCCGCTTCCACAAAATTGAATGGATGGCAGGAAGGGAGGGAGGCAGACTTCATGAAACAGGCATGTCAGAATCTGGCTTTGGAAGACGGGTTCCCCTTCACGTAGAACTGCGGATTCAAATGCTTTAGCCAAACATGTTCTTTGGCAACTGTCCACCCAGCAGCCATAAAACTGTTTCTGGGACAAATGAAGATGTTTGCGGCTGTTCTTTCTGCCCTATAAGCACAGGCAATTTGTCCATCTCACCCGCCTGGCACTGTTGGGCCCAGAGAGAAGCCTCAGCGAGGTGCTTTGAGATGGGATTTGTGGGGTGTGCATCTGCCCCCCTCCGCATGTCAGCTGGTTTCCAAGCCCCAGCCAGTCTGGTTGGGAGCCAGTGCGCCTAGGTCAGAGCCCAGAAAAACTGGCTAGACTGGTCCAGTCACTTCGTGGCTGCAGAACCAGGGAGGCAGGGCTTGTTCTAGACTGACCGCTATACTTTAGAGTCTACCCACTGGAGTTTTAAGAGGTAGTGGGGGCTATCAGGAAGCACAGTGAGAATCTTAGTTGAACCTTTGAGTGCTGGGATGTCAGGGGCTTTAGGAGAATTGGGACAATATATTGGTCATCATCCCTGGTCAGTACCAAAGCCCACAGAGCTGAAAGGCACCTGCCCAGGGTGAAAGGCTGGGACAAGTGATGGCCGCAGCATTGCCATTTCCAGTGGGGAGTGCCCTCCCTCTGTGATCCATCCACCTCTCCCTCCCTGTTTTCCCAGCCTCTTTGGCAAGGTGTGTGAAGGGCTCATTTCTAGAAAGCCCTTCCTAGCTCAGCAGAGGCCAGAGGTACCAGGCTGGGTGGGGAGCCTGTGCACAGAGACAGGGAAAAGGAGTGTGGCTGGGGGACAAGGGGCTGGGCTGGGTGGGCTGGAAAAGCAAACCGGGTCCAGGCGGGGTTTTACCCTGGGGAAAGGGCTTTAGGAGAGTCCAGGGCCATCTGAGGCACAGTCCTTACAGGTCCAGGCCCCCTGCACTGGGGACCCAACTGCACTCAGAGCACGGGCCTGGCAGGGTGCCCAAGGGCTCGCTCAGGGTGGATGATTTCACTCTTACGGAAGATGCGGAGACAGACAGACAGTGAGAGAAGCAAAAGGGGAGGGAGAAGAAAAAGACCTGCCTGCCTGCCTTGGTCATTCTTGCTTTTAACTTTCTCCCTAGCATCCAAGAGAGCCTATGCCCGGGTTCTGAGGCCAGCGGTGGCATCTCCTGGAAACTTCCTCTCTGTTTCTCACAAGAATTCCTCCACCCATCCCTATCCTGGTGCCTGGGTGCCCGAAGCCGTCCTCAGCTGTTAGGAGAGCCTTCGGCGCAGAGATGCCCCAGATGAGCTCCCGCCATGATCCCTTCCACCACCCCCAGGGCTGCTCCTCCTCCCCAGAAGCAGGGTGCAGAAGGGACAGGATCTGTTGCCTCTGTGGGCCTGTGTGTTTCTCAGTGGGCATTTTTTTCTCTCTCTCTCTTTCTCTCTCTCTCTCTCTCTCACACACACACACACACACACACACACACACACGCTGGTACCCTGGCGAGTGAGCTACTTTGCAGTGTTTGTAACACCCGCACCTGCCACCTCCCTCAGAAGCCACTGTGTGGTCACCACCTCTCCTCTGAGCATAGCCAGACCTGTACGGCAGGTGTGCAATGCCACCTCAAGGCCAGGGTTAGAGGCTGACTTCCAGAGGAGCAGCTGGGCACCTGGGGACCACGGGCTTAGCTGGGTGAGTGACTAGCAGGTTAGACAGCCTCCCCGGCATCCCTCAGCTGCCCGTGCCTGGCTGGGAGCCCGAGAGACTCAGCCACTCCTTCATCTTCCCAGACGGGTAGGGCAAGGCTGGTCCTTGGAGGGAGGCTGGTCCTTGCGTCCTGGGCTTGGTCTTGGTCTAAGCCACGCCCTTCCCCTTCCTCTTTCTGCCAACTCTGCTCCTGTCCCTTGCCTACGCCTCCCAGGTTCTTTTAAGCAGGTACACTGTTTACTGGCCAGGTGCGCCATTTACTGAGCTGCTGTTGCACTAAGGCCCACACAAGTGACCCCATTGAGTCCTCCCATCCCCTTCTAGAGGGGAAAGAACCTGATGCTCCCCTAATCTCTTGCTCCTCACTCCTGGCCCTCTGCCTGAGTCGCACTGTTCTCCTTCCTCCCCTGCCAACCCCTACCCAGCAGAATATACATATATGACACTTCTCTTACAGGAGCTTCTGCCCCCAAGTCTTTCTGTGCCAATCTTCATCTGTCATGTCCACCAAAGTCTTCCTGAACTGGCCCCACCTCCTCCTCCAGGAAGCCCTCCAGTCTAAATCTGTCTCTCACTGGTTGTTCCTTTGTTCTCACCTCATCCCGTCCCCTGGTGTGAGCCTCTAGCTCATCGTGGATCCTGGGCTGTCCCACAACATGGGGTCTTACAGCTCTTTGATGTATCCCCCCACAGGGGGCTCAAAAACACCTACTAACCAGATTCCACATGGACCCCTGGTGACCCACATCTAACCTGAGCCCTTGTTCCCACCGTAGACTATGAGCTCTGCCTAGACCAGAAAGATTCCCTTACAAAACAAAACAAAACAAAAAAATAACAAAACCTCTGTGTGCCCAGAACTTAGTCCAGAACTGTGCACACAGTAGGTGCACAGTAGATGCTGAACTAAATGGAGGGTCTCTCCCTGCTCCCACTCCCCAATGAACGTCTGTCTGAGTGTGGAAGTGCTATGGCGACAGAAGACACAAGTGGCAAGCCAGACAGATAGGTCCCTCTCTGCCTCCGCGTGTGGATTTGTGACTCAACGGCTTATCAAGGGCTACGCGGCAGCGCGGCTTAGTAACATTAAAAGATTCCAGCACTGCCCTGTGTTCCGCCTCCGGTCCCCATAGCACTGGGGGCGTTGTCCACGTGCACGCAAGGGCAGCATGTTGCTTCATGAGCGGTTCTGGACAGGGATGGTGGGAGATGTTGCTAGAGGGAATTGTGGCCCTGGGCTTAGAAACAAAGGGGCAAGAAGGTCTCAGAAGCTGGGGCCTCCAGAGAGCAGGGTCAGGGCACTCTAGCCTCCAAATGGGGACTGGGGAGGCGGCCTAGGTGGCATCCTGGGGTTCCCTCCCTGGTGCTGTCCTGGTTCTGCTGGTCATGAGGCAGGAGTAGCCAGGCAAGGCAGGGGCGCCAAGAGCACTGGCATTCCTGGTACCTTCGTGAGATCCCGTCCGTTGGCATCCCACCCCTCCAGCTCCCTGTGAGTCGGTGTGGGGGTGCAGCCTGGGGCGTCTTTTCTCTCCTGATGGCTGGGGCCTCATGGCCTGACTGTGGAAGCTGCTGCAAGGCTGTGAAATGCAGGGCAGGGGGGCCTAGGAGTGGTGGGGCTCACATGCACCCTGGAGGAAGGACCACTGTCCCTAAAGCTGACAGGGCAGGAGACCTGGGGTTGGAGCTGACTCAGCCACTTCTTGGATGGGTGACCTTAGGCAAATCACATGACCTCTCTGGACCCTTGTGTCCTCTTTACTGGACCGACCACAATGCAGAATGAAAGAGGAAATGCCTGTGCTGCTGCAAGGGGCCTGCTCCCACCAAAGGCCAGTGAGACCTGCTGTTTTCATGGGTGGGAGTCCCACCCCAGGACTCCCCTCAGAACTAAGCCCAACTATCACTCAAGACCCGCCTCCTCCATGAGGCCTTCCCTGGTGAGCCAGGCATCACACTCTGTCCTCCAGCCAAAGCAGGGCTCTCAAACCAGCTGTGGGGAAGGACCACATGGATTTTTCCAATCCATGGCCAACTGGCGTGTGGTCCTGCTGTGTAGCCTGCACCACGTGATTCACCTGGCAAGTCTGACAGCATCTGAATTGGTCTAGACCCTGTTTGACGAGATGAGTCTTGACTGCATGCTCGGATGTCACCGCAGGGATGGATTCACATGAAATGCTTACTCTCCAGTTTTGTACTTCTCAAGTTGTAGACCAGGAACCAATTGTTGGTAGGTTGGCAAACTTGACCAGTCGGACCAGTCCTCACCACCCTTTGAATAGCACGGGCCTAAAGCCCTCCTTTGGGGCCAGAATTCACTGCCTGGCCCAGATCTCTGGTTCACCCTTCACACAGCCTGCCCCTCCTGCCATGCTTCTTGCACTTGTGTGTCTCCATTGCATGGATGTGAGTGATGTAGTGGCTCTTTCTGGCAGCCAAGGCTGGGCGACGGAAGAAGGAAGAACCCTTGTCCAGGAGGAGGAAACTCTTTGGTTTACTCAGACCCCTTACCCAGTGGCGGGTTCTGAGCAGGCCCCTTCCCCCTCCTTGTCACACTCATCAATCTGCACTTGGTGACAAGGTGAGCTGAGGACCCATGATCAGTGGTCGCAGCCCCTAGTGGGGCAAGGGCAGCCTTGCTCTGTGTGGGTTCCCCAAAGCTCACAGGACTTAGCCCCATGCTGTTCTACCCCTTGTCCCCGCACTCATCCAAGGTAAAGGAATCCCACTTCTCCAGGGCCCAGGGCCCAGGACCCGGCTCTGCCTCCTGCCTCTGAGGTGCCGGCCCTGGAGAGGCTCTGGTGGAGCCTCAGCTGGGTGAGCTCAGCTCGCTGACTCTGGGAAGAGGCTGCTGTTCAAGCTCTTTCTGGGCTGCCTCATTCCTCAACTTTGGCTGCATCAGCAGGCAGACCTTCCTGCATCTCCTGTGCACCCCCTGCAGGAGGAGATCTGGAGGAGCTGACCCAGCAGGGCCAGGACAGAGTGAGTCAGGGGAAGGAGTTCCCATCTGCCCAGCTGGCCAGGAAAGGTCGTTTCCACCAGTCCGCTGCCTTCAGACTGAGGCCAGGAGGTGGGAGACTGACTGATCCAAGGTCGCACAGGGCATTCACCAAGAAGAGTGCAATCCAGGTCCTCTTCCTGCCTTGAAGGTGCCTCTCTCTTGTAATCCCACACTCTTCCCAAGGTCCACTCTACAGCCACCTTCCTCCCCTGCCCCGCCCCCATAATGGGCAGGCAGGCAAGTGTCTTCAAAGCTGGGATGGAGCATTGAAACCCTCCAACCCAGGGCTTCCCAACCTCAGCACTATTGACATTTGGGGCCAGATAATCCTTCACTGTGGGGGCTGGCCTGTGCATTTTAGGATGTTTATCAGCATTCCTGGCCTTTACCCATTAAATGCCAGTCGCACCTCCCCCTTCCTGATTATAGCAACCAAGAATATCTTCAGACATCACCAAACGTCCCCCGGGAGGCAAAATGGCCTCCAGGTGAGAATCTCTGAGCTGGCTGAGTTATCCTCACTTCTGTTGATGCTTCAGAATCACTGGAACGCATTTAAAAAACATAAGGGTCCCTGGGCTCCCCACAGGCCTATTGAACCCCAATTTTGGGGGTGAGTTGTGAGAAATGGGATTTTCTGTCTCCCAGGTCAGGTGTCAAGCACTGTCTGGAAATTCTGATTTTGTCTAAGTCACTGCCTTTACAAGCAAAGAATCAGAGGACGGGGCCGTTGCTTGTTTTATGTCTGGTTAGTCCTTATTTCTGCCCTAAATATTCCCTGTTCGGTGGGGTTTGGCGGTCCAGCAGCCCTCTTTAAACTGACCTTTGGCCTTAGAAGGCAGTCGTTTTTCCAGGAAAAACAGCCCCAAAGCCTTTAGCATTTTTAAATAAAGTAGAACCTAATTTTCAGCCACCAGTTTCACTCTTCCTTTCTGGCCCTCTTTAAATCCCTTTTAAAACGCAGCTCCATAAAGGACATCTTTTCTCTGCCGACACCGAAATCCCCCTCACTTTACACTTGTCAGAGAGCGGCTGAGCCGAGAGCACAGCTGATAGTGTCACCTGCGTAGCTGGTGTCTCTGCGGCTGTCCCCACACCTCGGCTGTGCCTCCCACCCACTCAGGGACAGTTTCCCAGTGTCTGGGAGCCACTCACAGCTAACAGCTCCCAGGGGCAGGCACTGGATCAGAACCCTGGGCTGGGCTCCCCTCTTCTGTGAGAGCCAAACAGAGCCCTTCCTGAGTCCCATCCATTGGCAGGGTCCTACTGTTGTCCGCCCCCTCGTTCCCACTGCCAGCTCTGGGGGAGCTGGGCTGCAGCCAGGAGCCAGAGTTTGAAAGGCAAAGGAAACCTGTACCTATGTGTCTTTTGGAGGATCCAGGCTTGTGATGAGGAAGAGGAGGGAAGGGAAGGCAGGCAGGGCAGGCAGGGAAACAGGCTGTGCTGCCCAGGGGCAGGAGCATGGCTCCAATCCCAGTCCCTCCAGTTACTGCAGTCAAAACCCTGGGTAAGTTACTGTCTCCGGGTGCACCAGTCTCTCGTTTGAACAGTGGGGAGATAGTAAAGGCTCTGACTTGCAGGGGTCGAGAAGGATTAAATGAAGAAATTCACAGGGCCTGGCACTGTGCAAGCCTTCAGTAAAGGCTGAAGAAAGAAAGAAGGAAGAAAGAAAGGAAGGAAAGAAGGGAGGGAGGAAAATGGAAGCCAGGGAAGACTGAGAAAGGTAGAGTGGTTAAGACAGGGAGAGAGCAAGATGGGGAGGAGAGAGGCAGGAGGCCGAGAAGGCACGGGCTACAAGAACATATCCATGAGTCAATTTGAGAGCAAATCATACAAAGACGGGGAGCAAGTGAATGCATGAGAGGCAGAAATGAAGGGAAGACAAGGAGGATGGGAGCTACGCTCCGGGCACCCCCTGCCCCCATGCTTAGCAAATCCATATCATTGACCTGGATGTACACTCCATTCCTGTAGGTGACCACTGCTGGCTTCTGGGAAAGAGTGGAGCTGGAAAGTGGGGTACATGCCCTGAGTGGGCAGGGGGCTGGGCAAGGGGCACTTCTGGGAAGAAAAGCCAAGTCAGGAAGGAAGAACGTGCAAAGTTGAGTAACAGAGTGGTGACCATTTGTGCGGCCTGCGCACCTAGTCCCATGCTGTTTTTTCTTTTTCTTTCTTTCTTTTTTTTTTTTTTTTTTTTTTTTTGAGACGGAGTCTCGCTGTGTCACCCAGGCTGGAGTGCAGTGGCACGATCTCGGCTCACTGCAAGCTCCGCCTCCCGGGTTCATGCCATTCTCCTGCCTCAGCCTCCCGAGGAGCTGGGACTACAGGCGCCCGCCACCACGCCCAGCTAGTTTTTTGTATTTTTAGTAGAGACGGGGTTTCACTGTGGTCTCAATCTCCTGACCTCATGATCCGCCCACCTCGGCCTCCCAAAGTGCTGGGATTACAGGCATGAGCCACCACGCCCGGCCCCATGCAGTTTTATATGCACCATATTGTTGAATCTCTCCAGGAGCTTTGGGATGTGAATATTTTATCCCTATCAGCCCCATTTACAGATGGGGAAAATGAGGCTTGGAGAAGTTCGGTGATTCTCCCAAGGTCACACAGGTAGGAGGGGGCAGATAAAAGATTCCAACAAGCATCTCTCCAGCCCCAAGTTTAGAGATTTGAATTTCTACTCTCCTGTACATCCTGGAGCCAGGGCATATTCAGACCTGGAAAGGAATGTAGAGAACACAGTGACCTCCCCATTTTACAGATGAGGTAACTGAGGTGGGGAGGTGACTTCTCTACCATCACGGAGCAAGTTCAGCAGAGTCAGCCCTGTGCTTCCCACCCAGAGTGCTTTTTCCTCTAGCACATCCTTCTGGAGTCCAAGGTGCGGGGCTATGGCGGGAGCAAGGAGAGGAGAGGGAGCTCCTGCTGAGCAGGAGGAATAGAGAGGAAAATGAGAAAAAGGAAACAGCCCCCTACAATCTCCTGCTGGGAATCATCATGAGACCCCATGGTCAGAGGGGGCAGAAAGTGAAAACCCATCTGTTCACTTATTCATTCAGTCATTTATTCATTCAACAAACATGTTGGGGCCTGCTCTGTATCGGGCCCCACTGAGGATACAAAAATAGCCAAACACGGGCTGGGCAGGGTGGCTCACGCCTGTAATCCCAGCACTTTGGGAGGCCGAGGTAGGTGGATCATCTGAGGTCAGGAGTTCGAGACCAGCATGGCCAACATGGCGAAACCCCATCTCTAATAAAAATATAAAAATTAGCCAGGTGTGATGGTGGGTGCCTGTAATCCCAGCTACTCAGGAGGCTGAGGCATGAGAATCTCTTTAACCCAGGAGGTAGAGGTTGCAGTGAGCCAAGATCGCGCCACTGCACTCCAGCCTGGGCGACAAGGCGAGACTCCGTCTCGGGAAAAAAAAAAAAAAAAAGCCAAACACAGGCCTTGCCTGCAGGGAGCTTACAACTCAAGCTTATAACAGTACATCTGGAACCTTGGAGGGGCGTGTGTGACTCTGGAGCTGGGGTCTCATGGCCCTTGCTGCCCTGGGGTGGGAGAGGCAGGTGACCCACTATTTCTAGCCCTGCTGCAAGGTTTTCTTAGGGGAGTAGAGGCGTGAAGTAGCAGGGAGGGCGGGCGGGGGCACCCTGAGCCGGGGCCCCAGGGAGAAAGGCCGGGGGCGGGGAACACCCAGGCTTCCCCCCTCCCTTAACTGTAGGCAGGAGATTTTCCTTTCCATTTTTTCTTCTCTGTACAACAGCAATTTAAGTTAATTAAATGTAACAATAAATTATTTCTCGCCTGCCTGGAATAATCTTTCAGTGCTCACCCACTTTGAGGGGAAGCACTGGCTCTTTGCCTTGAGATGGGAACTGGTTGTGGCTGTCACAGAAAGAGGCTGTGGGAGGAGGGCCAGGCCCGAGGCGGGATGGGGAGAAGCCTGGGCAGTCAAGAGGGCTGAGAAAGGACCCCTGGCATCTCTGTCCTCTGTGCCTAGTCTAGTTTTACTCTGGCTGGTCTCCACCTGTGGGTGGATGAGAAAAAGGTGCCCCATGAGGGTGCCCCTCTGCTGGTACACATCTTGCAAGTCTATCCCCCACTGACCCCTCCACTTGGCACTTCTGTAGCAAGAAATTCTGCAGAAACCACACAATTGCGTGTGGGGCCTGCCCTGCTCTTGTATTCAATTAGTCCGTAACTACAGATATATCCCCCGTAGGTACAGAGACGTTTCTGAAGAGTTGATTGCACTGACGCTTTATTTCTGCAAACCAGATCCCAGTATTTAAATGCAACGGCGGACCCAGCTTTTTACAGAAATCTTCATTTATGACCTCATTTCTTTTTCGCGTTTAGATTTTCTTCTCTTGCCTTTGCTTAAAATAGGCTCCACCTGAACACAGTGCAAAGCAAAGCAGAGTCAGAAGGGTCGGATATTGGGATTGTGGAGCCTGCAGGACCCCAGGACCCAGGACCTTGGCCAGCAGATGGAAAGTGTGGGCTGGGGCCCTTGCCTCTGGGGTCACCAGGTACATCTTCGATCTTGGCCACACTGGAGAGTCAAGGGCTTCTCTGGGCCCCGAGTCAGGGTCCGCCAGAGTCTCCCAGGCCAGGGAAGGCAACAAGGCCTGGTTTCACTCTGACCTGCTGAACCGCCTCCGTGGAACAGGTGACTGTCGGCTGTCTCGCTGGGATGATGAGGGTGACAAGCTGGGATAATTCACTGCTCAGGAACCTGCCATGGTGCTCCAGGCCGACTGGATCCATCTCAACCCAGTGTCTGAGGCCCTCCGCAGGCAGCCTGCCACACCCCTACAAGCTCAGGACCCTCCCCTTGCCGGGAAGGCCCTCTCCCTCCCTCTGACAGCCACGTCCACTCTGCCCCGACCTCCAGCTCACCTCCTCCAGGAAGCCTGCCCTCATGGCCATGGTGCTGACCCCATCTGAAACTCCATGGTCCCCCTGCCCTCAGTCTGTGCCTCATCTTGCCATCGTCATGTATGTGTGTGTCTGTCTGTCCTTCCCCATCTCTTCTGAGTTCCTTTCCTTTTTTCCAAATCATGTACTTAGTCCTGGACTCTTTGAATGAAGGATCCCAGACCACCAAGGGGGTTGGAGACACCACTCAATCCAGTGGATTTCAAACCTAAAAAGCAACTTACCTTTTAAATGGAAAAACTCCTTCCCAAAGCAAGGCTTCCTGAGAAGGCAGAAGGACCTGGCGGAAGATGAGGAGAGGCCAGGTCCAGCCTGCGGGGCCTCCCCCAGGGCCCGGAAGGGACATCAGGAAAGCTGCTCCAGGCCAGCCCTCTGCAGTGGAGGTGCATTCTGGGGCCCAGAACAGCCAAGCTGGGCTGATGACCCTGCCGATGCTTGTAGGGACTTTATATTGCAGATGCAGGTCTCCTGGTTCCCCACAAATGGTCCATCTCCCAGTGAAGTGGGTAAGAAAGACCACATTGCCCCCACTTCACAGATGAGGATGTTGAGTCTCAGAGGAGTCAGGTGACTCACCGAAAGCCACACAGCCAGTGACAGGACTGCCTTGGGGCTCAGCAGAAGGGCGAGGGACCGTGTTGAAGGATGGCTGTCCAGCTGTGGCTCTGCCGAAGGCCAGTGCGGTCCCTGACCCCTGGGGGCTCTGGGGACTCTCCCAAGCTGAGCATCAGTGCTAGCTGTGAAAGGAGAGAGAAAACAGGCTCCCTTTTCCCTGTTCCCCAGGAACTTGTAGGAACCAGGCCTGAGATGCCTCAGCTGCCTCCAGGCCACCCCTCCCTCCCTCCAGTGGCCTTCAGGACCCTCCCCAAAAGGTTAATTACCGAATCATCACATCAAAGGAAATTGCACTTTTGTGCCTTAAAGACCAAACTGAGCTTCAACAACACGGTTATTTATGGTCTCTGATAAGCATTTTCTGGGTGTGATTAACCTTTGTACCAAAATCACACTGGGAATTGGGATGGCAGCTTCATTCCAGCCCCATTCTGTGCTGGCCCTGGGGGTGGGGGTGTGGGTAGCAGCTGCTGCAGGCTGGAGCAGGCCATGTCAGAACCTGGCCCTCCACCCCCTCCACAGGCTCCTGCACCACCTTCCTCCCCACTGCCCATCCCTTCTTCCAAGGCGCTGTCTTGACCTGCGCCTGGCCAGCCAGAAGGCGCGACTGTCTTCATGGTTCATCTCCTTGAAAGACAGCAGGAGCACCTGCTTACTGAATCCCAGCTCCTAAAAACAGTTATGTGACATTGGGTACATCAACTACCCCAGACTTAAAATGGGAGCATGATACCCGCCCAGTCTGCTTTCCCTTCCATCCCAGGGACCCACTAGATCTTTGGAAAATCCTTTTACGCGATGCTATAATTGAGCCGCACGCACCCTTGGCCTCAGACTTTAACCTTGAAGGTTTGGCTCTTTGGTGAGTGGAGAGATTTGTAGCTCAGCTGCAAGTTTTATTTGGAGCCTTGGGGCTGCCAGGCTGTGCACGGAAGTGAGGCATTAGCCAGTGAGTGAACCTCGTGCTCTGCCAGCTTCAGCTTCAGTGCCGTTTTGATTTTCTCTACTAGTTGGAAGATAGTAAATCACATGAAGTCTTGAAAACTTGGTTCTGAAAGGAGCGCCAGTGGCTGGGACTGGTGATGGAGTGGAGGAGCAAGAGGCATCTGAGAAAGGCCAAAAGCACTTTGGTTTGATTTCAGAGAAGATGACATGTTCAGTTCACCCCATTTACCATATGCTTCGACTGTAGTTCCCACTGTTTCAGGGTGCTAGTTGTTGGTGAGAAGTGGAGGAAGCCAAGAACCCTCCCCGGGAAAATGGTTTTCATCACACACACCAACTGCATTTATTTGCAAATCTTCACACTGCCCGCTCCCCAGGTTAAGAATTCTCCGTGTTTTTTTTTTTGTTTGTTTTGTTTTTTGTTGTTTTAGCCCAGCATGGTGGCTCACTCCTGTAATCCCAGCACTTTGGGAGGCCGAGGCGGGCTGATCACTTGAAGTCAGGAGTTTGAGACCAGCCTGGCCAACAGGGTGAAACCTCATCTCTACTGAAAACACAAAACTTAGCTGGGCATGGTGGTGCAGGCCTGTAATCCCAGCTACTTGGGAGGCTGAGGCAGGAGAATTGCTTGAACCCAGGAGACAGAGGTTGGAGTGAGCGGAGGTCGCACCACTGCACTCTAGCCTGGGCGACAGAGCAAGACTGTCTCAAAAAACAAACAAACAAAAAAATTCTCCATTTTAAGGGCAAACAAACAACATCCTTGAAACTTTGGGGGCCTGTTCCTGCCAGTGCAGTAATTGCCTATTGATGGAGATAGAAAACCACAGTGGAGCTTGAAGAGGAGATCAGCGGATGGTGAAGAGGAGATCAGCGGATGGTGGGAGGAAAAATGCAGGAAATCTCTGGACTTTTCATGGAAGTATGATTCAGGAATAAGGCAGAAGCCCTCACAAACCTTCCACAGAGCAAGAGGTGGCACAGGCACAGATTCTGCTACAGAGCAGACCTTTCCAGAGAGGAAAGGTTGGTTTGGGAATTTTAAGAAGCATTTTTCTTTGCATAACGCAACACCAGTCCTCTGTGTTTAGAAAATGCCTGTGTGAACCATCACATTCAAGAGAGGGACACAAGTGTCAGGGTTCTAGGCAGCCAAGGGAAGACTAGCCCTTTGCCTGGAATTTGGCTTCATTTTCTGACGAATCAAGATTTGCTCTGCTCCTCTGTGCACGCCAGGACATTAAGATGCGAGAATAAGAACTTATAGCCTGTATATTTGCCATCTAATTAGTGTCTTGGGTCCTAAGTGCTTTGTGCCGAGGTGGTTTTCGTGCACTTAGGCTGGTCTAAGTGCTCTACTTGTGAGCCTCACGGGCACAGGGTCCAGTGAGTGTACAGAGTGCACTGGGAAAAGGGGTACATTGGAGGGAGAACTGAGCTGCTTTGCTTTGGAGAGTTGGGCAGGTACTACTAAGCAGACGGGCCCTGGAACTGGCCTCTGAAGAATGCAGAGTTGACCAGGTGACCAGGGGTGGGGGGTGGCACAGACTGCATGGGCAGAGGGTTGCAGACATGAGAAGGATCCCAGATACTGGGAGATAATAAGTAATTGGATGGAAATAGAACGTGATGTGCCTTCAAGGTGGGGGATATGAAAGACCGGAGCACGAAGCACAGCTTAAGGATTAGATGGATAAGTGGAATGTCAGGCAATGGGGCTGATATTGTCAAATAGGATGCCTCCAGTTTCTTTTCTTTCTTTTTTATTTATTTTATTTATTTATTTATTTTGAGATGGAATCTTGCTCTGTTGCCCAGGCTGGAGTGCAATGGCGTGATCTCGGCTCACTGCAACCTCCACCTCCTGGGTTCAAGCAATTCTCCTGCCTCAGCCTCCTGAGTAGCTGGGATTACAGGCATGCCACCATGCCCAGCTAATTTTTGTATTTTTAGTAGAGATGGGGGTTTCACCCTATTGGCCAGGCTGGTCTCAAACTCCCGACCTCAGGTGATCCGCCTGCCTTGGCCTCCCAAAGTGCTGGGATTACAGGCGTGAGCCACTGCACCTGGCCAGTGTCTCCAGTTTCTTTAATTTGCCTGTGGCTGAGCTGGCTCTGGGAGCCCTAGTTTGAGAGAGAGAGTGCGTGTGTGTGTGTGTGTGTGCGTGCGCGTGCGCGTGTGTGCATGTGTGTGTGTTGGGAGGTGGCGTGGGCAGATGTGGGGTGGGAAACGAGGAGTGATGATTTCTAGTCCCCTTCTAGAAGGGGCCTCTGGCCCTAGCATCTGAACTGCCCCTCTCCGGGGACAGAGCCGAGCCTGGGTCCTTGCTGATTGCTGAGCGGGCAGTGCAGCTTTGTCATGAGGACACTTTGCTTTCTGCTTAGCTGGCAAGAGCCACCGGCTGGCCTGGTGGCCTCCTCCTCTCTCTACTTCTGCATTTTCACTTGGAAAATGAGGGTAAAGATATTTCTCCATCTCTCTGGAGACTGTGAAGTTTAATTACTGATTAATAAAGTGTTGGAAGTTCCTTGAGGCCAGAGAGATGAATGGGTTTGTTATCATCACTCCTGAGTCCCAGGCGCGAGTTGGCTAACCCCAGTGCCATCTTGCTGAGTGTCCCGTGTGCAGAGCACAGGATGGGGGTGTGAGGCTGGGGTTATGCTTCAGAACCTGGAGCTTGGTCCAGGGCAGAGAGACCCCTATGAGAGTATCAGCAAGGGAATGGAGTGAACAAAACCACTACAAACTCAGGCACTACCGACTCGGGGGACCATGTGGGTGAGTCATGGGTAGTGGGGACCAGGCTCTGACGAGGAGTGGGCACTCTTCCCCTGGACCTTGGAATGTGGGTGGGAGAGAGGGGAGCAGAGTCTGCCTTCATCATCGGGACAGGACTGGGAGGGAGTGGGTACCGTGAAAGGGGGTGGCCCTGGTGGGGTGGGGTGAGATAAGGGAGAACATTCCCGGCAGGTGAACATGGAAAAGGCAGGTCAGTTTGCTTCTAAGGACAGGGAGAAGGTCCTGAGATCCGAAAAGGGTGAGTGGAGAGGAGTCCAGGGAAGAGAGGATGGACACCCCTGAAGGATATGGGGCAGGCAGGGAAGGAGGGATGGCGTCTGGCTTGGGAAGATGGCGCATGAGTGGGGCCCGACTGGAGTGAAGCAAGTGAGGCATTTCCTCAAACCTCAGTAATCGCAATAGATAATTTTTTTTTTTTTTGAGATAGAGTATTACTCTATCGCCCAGGCTGGAGTGCAGTGGCGTGATCTCGGCTCACTACAACCTCAACCTCCCGGGTTCATGCAATTCTCCTGCCTCAGCCTCCCGAATAGCTGGGATTACAGGTGCCTGCCACCATACCTGGCTAATTTTTGTATTTTTAGTAGAGACGGGGCTTCACCATGTTGGCCAGGCTGGTCTTGAACTGCTGACCTCGTGATCTGGCCTCCCAAAGTGCTGGGATTACAGGCATGAGCCACTGCACCCGGCCATGATAGATAATATTTTAATATCATTACTGACTTTTTCCCTTTTTGCCCCAAGCTCCAACATGGCCCAGCACTGTTACTGAGCCTATCTTTCCTTTAAAAAGTTTTTGATATTTTGCTCATCATGGATTTTTTGGCGTTAATCTTTATTTTAAAAAAATAATTATGTTAAAATATTCCGTATCTTGACGACTAAGATTTTCGATGCTCCCTTCACTTTTGCACTCACCACGTGGAGTCCCGGCCCCTTGTGAGAAGGCTGCGTGCTGCCTGGGCTGGCCACCGACCTGCTTCTAGCCTACACCCTAGAAGTCTTTGCTCACCAAGGGACTTGACAAGCCCCTACCTCTCTCCCGATCTTATTTTCCTGCTGTGAAATCCCAAGCTGGCTTCCAGAGCTAAGGGTCTGTGTCTGAGGCTCTGTAGTGAAATTTGCAGTTGGTACAGAAATGGGCTGGGGCTGAGACACCTGGCCATGGGGTTGGGGGCCTCAGAAGGAGCAGACCCCAAGAAGAAACAGCAGAGAAGTGATGAAGAGAGCAGCCTCCCATGAGGCCTCTTGGGCTTCAGGCTCACCACCCTGTCTGGGAACTCTGCTGGTGGCCGGGCACCCAGCTCCCCACAGCCAGAGGGGAGGACCGGTTACAATGCTCCCCTCTCCCTGCCCCTCACTCATGCTTCTTAACCCCTTTTGAATCAAATCCCAGGGGAAACAGCCACCTCTCCTCCAACAACTAAATAAAAACCACTAAGTTCAGATCAGTTAACATATCCTTCTTGAGTGCCTATTGTATACCAGAAACACAATGTCATTCATTCATTTCTTCAGCAAAATTGAGTGCAATGAACAAAATCCCTGCCCCTACAGAGCATGCAGGGCTATTTAAAGGACTTCAATATACATACATCATGTAAGCTTAAAGGGGGTGGGACAGTTAGACCCATTTTTACAGGTGAGGACACTGAGGCACACAGAGGTCAAGTCCCCTGCCCATGGCAACACAGCGTAACGGGGGGCTAGACACTCGGCCTCTCTCTTGACTCTAACCCTGTCGGGAGGGGGGTAATGCGATGGTTGTGTGGGTGGGTTTAGTTGAAGAAGGGGCAGCCCTCCAGGTATAGGGCCTATGCCACTCCCTTCCCAACTGGGCTAAAATTCTGGAATCAGAGTGACACGGAGCCTTCAGGGAGGTTAAAGGGCAAAGGTCTGCCCTAGAATAGGGTGTCCATCTTTCCAGACACATTTATCCCTTACCTCTCTGTGCCTCAGTTTCCTCATCTGCAAATAGGCACAGCCACACCAACCCCAGGGAAAATTTAGTGTCACGGCAGATGTACAAGAGCTTGATAAATGGTGAGGCACAATTTGTGATGACGGATAATTAGGCAGGCGGGGATGAGGGCCCAGGAAACTGTTCACAAAACAAGAGGCCAGCTCTGGAGGAAGGGAGGGAAGTGGGTGCACGCATGGGGATGTCAGCGGCCATGGTGGTCAGCGGGCCGGTGGGAGGGTGTGTGTGTGTGTGCACATGCACACGTGTATATGGTGGGACACCGTTGGACCATGTTCAGGATTCCATGGGGATGGAGGTGGCTTCCTCTGGCCGCACTCAGCCCCTAGGGGTAAAATTCGCCTCTTCCCTAGGAGCCTGGGCTCCTGATCCTGTCAGCTTCCCTGCCAGGCCCCTCCAAGAGCAGGGCAACTCCAGACCCTCCAGGCAGAGAGGACCCAGAAGGAGGAGAGAGGAGATGAGGGGCGGGTGTCTGGGAAGCGACTGGATGTGTGACAGGGTGGGAGGGGAGGCAGGCAGGTGCAGTGTCACCCCTGCAGTTTTCCTGGGTGATGGAGCAACATGCTCATGGCTCATGGCACCTGCCTAATGTGTCCTTCGCCTCCTGTGCCTGCAGGCCCTTCTCCTTCTGGGGCTGAACCCCGTCTCTGCCTCCCTCCAGGACCAGCACTGCGAGAGCCTGTCCCTGGCCAGCAACATCTCAGGTGAGTCCCCTCAACCCCCTCCTGCAAGATTCCTGGTCACCACAATGCCCCCTACCCCAGGTATCCCAGAGCCTGCACACAGAACCATGCCCTAAGGCAGGATTTGCAGAGTCATTTCCTCTCCAGGGCTCCAAGCAATTCTTCACATCTCCACCGAGCACCGTGTTGAGAAGGATCCTGAGGTTGGGTGTAAGGTTGGTGGGGAAGAGCTGCAGTTGGTTAGTAGCACCTGCCGTGGGCACAGGAGTTTGCAGCAAGGATTCTGAGTAGTTATCTTCCCTGCTTTAGGGTGGGCACAGGGGAGGGCATCCCAGCCCTTGCTGCTGAGTTGTGACTCGGGGAGGCATCAAGGGACGGAGGAAAGGCTGCCACAGTCTGTGGCTAAAAATGCCCAGAGTGTAATACTCCACGGTGCTAACCCGTGCCAGGCACTGATCAAGGACTGGAGCTGTATTAACCCAATTTGCACAATGTCCCTCTGAAGTAGGTGCTGTTGCCCCCATTTTACACATAAGAAAACTGAGGCACAGAGAACTAGTAAGCGCCAGAGCCCTGAGTGGAGCACGGGCAGCCCAGCTTCTGGTTGTGGTCTCCAGCGCCGTGCTCTGTATCTCTCCAATAGAAAAGACAGCATAGCTGCAAATATTATTAATATCTGTGTCACTTTACCATTTACAGAGTGCTTTTGCATAATCATCTCGTTTCATCCTCACAAGAGTGTAAAGCCGAACGTTTGTACAGTTGAGGAAACTGAGGCATGGGAGAGTTACATAACCCCCATGGCACCATGCAGCCAGTACATGGCAGTGACTGGGACCCAAATCTAGGTGTTTGGGCTGCCTAGGGCATGTCTTTTAAAACTTTGGGTGTGGTCCTGGGCATGGCTGCTGCTGGGCAAAAATGGAGAGGGTCCCTGCACCTGAGTGTCTTTGGAAGGCTTGTGGACCTTCTATTTAAGTCTTCAAGCCTCTCCTTGATTCACACCAACTCTTTCATGAAGCACCTACTACACAGCAGGCCCCACGCAGGGCACTGGGGGAAACAAGGGGGCTCACAGGCTAGTCTGGGCATCGAATCCACAAATGCATGTGCGATGAGGCAGAGTGGAAGACGCATGCTTGCAAAGAAACAGACGCAAGTGTCTGCAGGCGGGCAGGAGGCCTTCATTTCTGAAGGTGGCTCTGTGGGAACAGGAGGCCTCCACATCTCATGGTAGCTGCTTCCTGGCCAGCTGTTCCTTCACTAGGGAGAGCCTGGGGGCAGAGGAACAAGCCCTGGACTTGGAGAAGGCACACTGGGTCCCTGTGCTGGCTCACAGAAGGTGCCTGGTCATGTCCCGGCTAGGGGTGGGTACTGGTAGCCACAGGGATGAGCATACCCTCAACCCCTCTTGAACCTCACCTTGCCCAAGTGTAGAGGGATAGGGGGGCTGTTACCTGCCCCAAGGATCTCTTATGAGATTCAATGTACTAAGTTTTATGGCAATATTTCACAAACTGTAAACTGTAGAGTGTCATGCCAGTACTAGGTTTGGTTTGGTTTGGTTTGGTTTGGTTTGGTTTGGTTTTAGAGATGGGATCTCACTCTATCACCTAGGCTGAAGTGCAGTGGCACAATCATAGTTTAGTGCAGCCTCGATCTTCTGATCTCAAGGAATCCTCCTCTCTCAGCCTCCTGAGAAGCTAGGACTACGTGCACACCACCATACCTGGCCTAATTTTTAAAATTGTTTTGTAAAGACAGGGTCTCAGTTGCCCAGGCTGGAGTGCAGTGGCACAATCATAGCTCACTGCAGCCCAGATCTGGGCTCAGGTGATCCTCCTGTCTCAGCCTCAGCAGGCTTTTAAAAGGCTTACTGTATAGCTGGAATGAAGGGAAGGTACTTGCCAGTAATTGCTCATAATGATGGAGGGAGCAGGGAGGCTAAGCAGGGGTGGTGCAAATCCAGGGAGGCTTCCTGAAGGAGGAATTTTCAAGGTGAATATTAAGAGACACTGTTAGTGTGAACTGGCAGAAGAGAGCCAGTGCTGTGAGCTACAGCAGGAGGTGAGCAAGGACCAGTAGGTGGGTTTGGCGGAAGGACCAGGAAGAAGTGAGGAGGGAGGAGTGGGAAACTGAGAAGGTGCTAGGAGCCCAGAGCATCTGGCTGCAAAGTTGATTAAGCTGTGCTTGGGGAATGGGGAAGTAAGTTCTTGAGCATGAGTCTGGAGTTCTAGGAGAGAGAGATGGGGAGGGAGGAGAGCTGCTCAGAGGCTGGGCCTGAGAGGAAAGGCCCTATCCCCAGCTCCCCCATGCTCTGGGGCCAGGTTAGGCTCTATCAACTTGTTCGTTATGCTCAGGAGGAGAGACATCCCTGAGCCCACAGAGGTGTCACCTGTCCTTGGAGCCAGCAGGCCATGATGAATAGTGTTCATTCCCTAGTGATTTGTACTCTGTGCCCGTGCCCCCAGCCCAGCCCAGCCTGCCTGGCTGCATGGCACGCGATCCATCACCCTCCACGATGGCCTCTGATAATGGGCCATTTGTCTTCTGACTCGTAGACCTACCCAGACCGACGGGCACTGGTAGAGACAGATGGTGAGGGTGGGGCGGAGGGGCGAGACAGATGGATGGGCGTCTGGCCGGGGCGGCTGGCACCGAGCCAGGGCCTTTGGGGGGCCTTTTACGTGCCTCATGCCAGGAACTGGGAGAGAGTGGGTCCCCAGGGCTGAGGCCTATCATGTGGCAGACCACAGACTTGGCGACTCATAAAATCATGGCATGAGTATGACAATGCCAGGAGGTAATAGAATCATTTACTAATGACATCACAGACAAATAGAATCTGAGTTGACAATTACCTGGGTTCATCAGTTCTCATCTCTGGTCTTAAGGTAGTGAATGATAATTAATAATAGCTAGGCCAGGCACGGTGGCTCACGCCTGTAATCCCAGCGCTTTGGGAGGCCGAGGCGGTCGGATCACTTGAGGTCAGGTGTTCGAGACCAGCCTGGCCAACATGGTGAAACCCCGTCTCTACTAAAAATAAAAATAAAAAATTAGCCGGGCTTGGTGGTGGGCGCCTATAATCCCAGCTACTCAGGAGGCTGAGGCATGAGAATCGCTTGAGCCTCAGAGGCCGAGGTTGCAGTGAGCCCAGATCACGCCACTGCACTCCAATCTGGGCGACAGAGCGAGACTCTGTCTCAAATAATAATAATAATAATAATAGCTAATGTTTATTTAGTGTCCACTGTGTGTTGGACGCCATTCCAAGTGCTTTAATCTCATTCAATCATTACAATACTGTAGTCAGGAATATTTTTATCCACATGTTACAGTAGAGGAACCTAAGGCTCAGAGAAGTTAAACGAGTTGCCCAAACACACTAAGCAGTTACTAAGCAGTGGCTGCAAGATATGAACCATGTGGGCCTGACTTCAGATTTTGCCACCAGCACTGCGTTATGCGGCCACTCAGAGCCAGGGTGCCCAGGGCCCGGTGTAGTCAGCCGTCTAGGGGTGCAGGGCCACCCCTGCAGTTTTCCGTACCCACACTAGGTTTGCACACGGCCCCATATTCTCCTCCATGCCTCCCGTATGCCTGGCACTGTACTAGCTGCTGGGAAGGCAAAAGTGAAGAGCCCACAGACCCGCAGGACAGGAGGGCCATCCACTTGTCCTGATGGATCACACACCCTACAGAGGCAGCTTTCTTCTCTGCCCAGCCAAACAGAAGGCAGCTCAGCCATGAGGTGGCCGAGCAAAGACCAGGTTTCTGCCACCCTCTCCATGCCAGGGGACCCAGGCAGAGGCCCTGCCCATTCATCCCACAGCACATTCCTCTGACTGGGCAAGAACGTGTGTTTCACAGGCTGCCCTTGGGCCACCTGGCTGCTCCCCCTCTGGACAGCCTGGGCTGAGTCCCCCTCCTGGGTTTAAGCCAAATAGGGGGAAGGGCTTCCCAGCCTCAGGGCTGCTGCCAAGTGCCCACCTCCAGAAGCCGCTGATGGGAGACCCGACGTAACTGGGACAGAGCCAGGTTCCAGCTTCCTCTGAAGTTATCTACCATGGGCGGATCTGCCAAGCACACGTGGACCCTGAGCCTGATGGGAGGCAAACTGTGTAACCTACCTGGGGGAAGAAGCCAGTGCCTGATTGTGCACAGCACTAAATAGGCCACCTTCAAAGGGCTCTTACCTGTTCACTAAAGCAGCCCTCCCAGGACCCTGACCCCGCAGGGTTTCTTCCCTGGCAGGTGGGAGCCCTCCACACCTCTCCTCTGCTCTCCCTTTGCAGGGATTTGAGGCAGTCTGACCAGAATGCGGGCCCCACGCATTTGTTCTGTGCATGTATGGGGAAGGAGGAAGATATAGGACCGGTTTTTGCATTACTTTAGTCCACTTGACTCCAGCAGCTCACCCCCAACCTAAAGGCCTGTGGTGACGTGCGCTGGTGAGTGGGTTGGTTCTACTCCCACATCCCCAACCAGGAAAGACCCTGAAGGCGTCTACCTGCCCCGTGAATGAGGGAGTGAGCCACAGAGTGATAGGAACGTTGACACCTCAGACACACCAAGCACACACCTGCTCCGGGGGTCCTTGTACTTGCAGTTGCCTCTGCTGAGAACACTTTCCCCGCAGGTTTTCTCCCTCACTTCCTTTAGGTATCTGCTTAAATGGTAGTACTTTAGAAGCCACCACACTAAAAGAGCACCTTGGTCAGCCTTTATCTCTTTGCACTGCTTAGTTTTTCTCCATAGTATTTCTCACTGGTTAACAGAAATGTGTGTGTGTGTTTGCTGCCTCTCCACTAGAATGTAAGCACCATGAGGACAGGGCATTTATTTGATTCATTATTATATCCCAAGCCCCTTGAACATTTCTTAGGTAGTCAGTAAATAACAGCTGTCTCTTGGTATCCATGGGGCACTGGTTCCAGAACTCCCCATGGATATCAAAATGCAGGGATGCCCAAGTCACTGATATAAAATGGAGTAGTATTTGCATATAACCTATGCACATCCTCCTGTATACTTTAAATCATCTCTAGATTATTTCTAATACCTACTACAATGTAAATGTTATATAAATATAAATAGCTGTTATACTGTACTGTTTAGGGAATAATTTCAAGAAAAAAGTCTGTACGTGTTCAGTACACTTTTCCCCAAAACCTATGGATATGGAGAAACAATTGTACTTGTTAAATAAAGAGCAAAGTCACTATTCCTTAATTTACCAGGAGAGGCACTGTGGGACAGGGAGCTGTCAGGAGGCGTTGGCACCTAACAGCACCTCTGCCTTTGTGCAGCTGGTTGGTAAATTGGCTTGGCTATTTGCAAGGTTGGATTACTCTGGTCCAAATTCCTCCTCATCCCAGGACTATGACGGCTGACTAGGAAAATACCTCCACCTGCCAGGAGAGCAGAAGAGGTCAGGCTTTTGTGGCACTGGAACTGGAGGGAGGGGACATTGGCCCAAGAATCAGAAGGTCCTTGAGGTCCTTATAGCCATCAAGCTGAGTGACACAGAAACTGACTTCCTGCCTTCTCCCCTTCCCAGCTAGGGGATGGACACCCTCTCTGTCCCCAGCACCTGTGAAATGATCTTTCTCTCTGCCTCCTTCTCCTGACTTCCCGCCTGCCTCTCTCTATTTCTTCCTTAGTGTCTTCTTCTCCATCTTTTTTCCTCTGTCTCCCCACCTCTCTCCTGGCCCACTTGGCCTCCCACCTCCCTCCCTCTCCGCCTGTTTTCTCCTCCTCATTGTAGTCGGGTGGCTTAAGTGAGTGGCATGAATTAAGTCGTGCAAAGCGCCTTTCACAGTGCCTGGTTTATATTATAGTAGTGTCCAACAAATGATCCCCCTCAAGTCCTATACACAATTTCCCTTCTGAGGCCTTGTCCCTACAGGGTCCCAGGGACCCCCCACTCTCCTCCTCCCTGGACTCGGTGTCCGCAGGACGCAGGATGGCGATCTGAAATCCTTGTGGGGATTTCAGACACAGAGACACTAAGGCCCAGAGAGGGCAGGACCCCGAGGCCTTATGGGAAGGCACCGAGCCCACAAGGCAGTCCCAGGCCGGGAAGTCCAGTGGACAGTGCCAACTGGCCAGGAGCGTGGCGCCTGAGGCCCTGTCCTGCTGCCTCCTCCCTGCCCTTGTCCTCTAGGTCCCCTCCCTTCTAACTCCACTCCGCGGCTGAGGCCCTTGTGCCTTTGGCCACGCCCCCCCAACCCCCCCACCCCAAGCCCCTGACCCAGCAGGAGTGCTGACCTTTCACTCGGGGATGGGGGAACTTTGTCTCCTCGCCCCTTTTCATTTGGCTTCTCCTCCCCGTTCTTGCAGCCTCTCTCTCCCTTTCTTCCCGTCTCACACAGACTTTCAATTCCTTCCAGGATTTTCTGGGCTCTTAATGTAAAGGTTGCCACTGATGCTGTGTCACCAGCGCCCCCTCTGTGCATCCTTAGGAGCTGCGGGGGCCAGGAGGGAGGGGGAGGCGCGGCGCTGCTGGGGAACTGGAGTCGCAGCTCTGCGATCGAGGGGCAGCTGCCCAGATCAGGGCCAGCTGTGCAGCTGTGGGCAGCACCCTGAGCTGGCATCAAAAGATGAGCATTGAAAATCCACTCCCGTCTCAGTATCTTTGGTTACTGATTGTCTTGGAATAAGCCATTTGGCCACTTTGGCCTCAGTTTTCTTATCTGTAAAACAAGAGAGAATTAGCACCCATGGTGGCATAGTAGGTGGCTGGGAACCATACCACAGAGGAGAGGCAAATGGCTTCTGACCTGCCCACCCCTTGAAGGTCTCCACGTCCCTGGCCAGCTGTGGACGGGGTCAGGCCTTTGGTTAGAGCCCTTAGAGCTCCCAGCAGTGGCCGGTGCAGGTCCTCTAGGCCAGAAGGCCTATCCTCAGTGGCTGGCCTCTGCCTCGGCTCTGGCCTCGTCCTCGCTGTGGCTGGTGCCCAGTCCTTTCCTGCCCTCCGTGCCTTGCGAAAGCAAGGCGCAAGAAGACTGGCCGGGGAAGGGAAGAAGGAAGGGCAGGGGCCACACTGATGGAGAGGGTGTGTTCCGTGTGTTCATTCCAGACGCTGCCACATGGAACATTACATTTGAGCCTAGCTCCCTAGATACTGTGGATGAATGAGTGAGGAGTGAATGAGCAAGCTACTGAGGAAGGTACAATGGTGCCATTAAATGAGATGGCATATGTCATGTGTGCCTGGCACACAGTCAGCCCTCAACAAACGCTGCTCCCTTCCTGCTGCCCCCTTAACTGTCCCTCACCCCCTGTGACTGACTCACAATGTGGCGTAATGGAAAGAGCACTAGATTTAGAGTCCAAAATACCTGCCTATGAGTCTTGGTTCTTTCACCCATTGACCCATGACCTTGGAAAAGTCACCTAACTTCCCTGGGCCTCAATTTCTTCATCTGTAGAAAGGAAATAATCACATTGCCAGATGTATGAAGATCAAACGAAATAGATGAAGAGCTTTGAAACAGCAGGGCATGGCCTCTATACGATCCTCCCCTCCCCGCGGCCACATGCCCCCAGCTCTCCCCCCAAGTCCCTGTCCCCGGGCTCAACACTGTCAGCAGGATCCAGGACAGGTTAAAATCCCAGCCTGGTACGCCGTTGCCTCGGATGGCCCTGCTTCCTCACTCCACTGCTTCCACTGCCACTCCGTGATAACATTCACAGAGACTCCGCTGTGGCACAGCACCTGGGCTTGGCCCACTCCAGCCGCCTGGCCCGCAGTCACCTCGTGTCCATTAAGCCCCAATCCAGATTTCTTTCTCTTTCAATTAAGCCACTTGGCCTGAAGGCCTCTGCCCCTTGAGTCCTGATTTGCACAAATGCCCTATGAATAGCTTTGATTAGAAAGAAAAACCAGCATTTGGTACAAGTGCTGCTCGGCACTGCCCTGAGTCCAGCAGAGAAAGGGAGCCAATTTAACCCAGTGCTGTTTCCTGAGAGACTGGGGACAAGCTAATTTGGGGAGGAGATGGCAGGCAGCCCCAGCCAGGGCTTGGCAGCTGCTAAGGCCTCGGCCCAGGCCTGAAGAGGCTGCCCCCACACGCGCTGGTTCATGGTTCCTGGCCCTCCGTGGCTTGTCTGTCCACTCTTGTGCCAATTCTAGGTTATTAACCTGGGGACACTGGGGCTCAAAAGGACTGGTGTGCCAGCCTCACTCAGAGGGAGGCACTAAAAGGCAGAGAAAGAAGGGGCAGCCTCAGGGGGGTGCCAGGACTGTGCCAGCCCCCACCCTTTGGAGGCCATATCCACCCTCCCCTCCTGAAGTGTCACTGGGCCTCAACTCTGCCCCAACATCCTCTCTCTCTCGCGTGCTCTCTCTCTCTCCTCCAAAAAGCAAATATTTGGAAGGGGACTTTGACATCTTCTTTCTAGTTCAGATGTTTATATCTCTTTGAGTCACAGACCCCTTTGAGAATCTAATGAAAGCCGTGGGCCCATTTCCCCATTAAAATGCATGTATACACCAATATTTTCATTACATTCAGGGTCTCTGTGAACTGTTGAAGTTTCCAGTGGGCTGAGATTAAGAATTTCTGATCTGGTTCAACCACTTGATTTTATTATAGATGAAGACAAGACACTAAGGCCCAGAGAGGGCAAGTGACTTGCCTATGATCTCACAGCAAATTAGTGGCACAGCCCATTCTGAAGCAGTGGGCCCAGACTCCCAGTTCAGTGTGTCCTTTCCACTCCCCCAGATGGTGTCTCCCTCCCTTTCCTCTCCATAGCTCACTTCTCCATCAGTCCTGTCCTAGGGCCCTGCACAGAACAAAGTACACGTGACGTATGGTCAGTAAGTGTGGTTAACAGGCCAGCCGGAAGAAGGAACAGGCCAGCCGGAAGGAGGGCCAACTTCATTTAGCTGATTCTTCCCTGCAGGGCCAGGGTAGATGTGGTTTGATTGCAGAGACGTGAGGGGCTAGGTCAATGATTGGATGGGTCTGTTCCAGGGTGTTCCTGTGATGTCTCAGAGCTCCAGGCTGTCACCATGCGAGGGACCAAGAGAAGTGTCCTTAGGCTACAGAGCAGGGGACCAGAAGCATGCCCAGGCTTCCTCTAAATGCCAGGACCTTAGCTTTTAACACCACCTCCAGCCATCTCTCTTCCTCCTCTGCTCTGGAACCCATGCTGGCTCCCTAGTACCATAGCATCAGATTCAGATTTCTTCCCCTTGTGTCTTCTTTGCATAGGATGAGCTCATTTCTGCACTGGTCATTGTTGTCATCCTGTCCCTAGCTGGTGTGAGTGGGAACGAGTGGGGAGGTGGGCAGAACTCTGGAATGTCCTCTGCCTGCCTGGGGCCTTGGCCGGATATCTTGCTGTGCCTTACCAGCCGTCTCTGCCCCCAGGACTGCAGTGCAACGCATCCGTGGACCTCATTGGCACCTGCTGGCCCCGCAGCCCTGCGGGGCAGCTAGTGGTTCGGCCCTGCCCTGCCTTTTTCTATGGTGTCCGCTACAATACCACAAGTAAGGAAGAAGTGGAGGGTGGACCATCTGCTGGGAGGTGGGACAGGATGGGGAGAGCTTGGAGGTGGGGGAAGGAAGAATGACGATGACAATAACAGTAATACCTCTTGTGGGGATCGCCCCTGTTTTCCAAAGGTCAGCGCTGTATTCTCCTGGGTGCCCTGTGCTCATTACTCGTGATTCTCACAATACCCTTGCAAGACACTATCACGCCTCCTATAACTAAGGCCCCTGGGGCTCAGGGAGGTTAGGGAACTTGCCCCATTGGCAGCTGGTAAGGGGTGAAGCTGGAATTTGCATCCACGTCTGTCTGGCACTTTCTTCTGCCATTAAACTTCAGGTTAGTCTGTTTGAGCCTACTGTAATACCATGAAGCAGGGCAGGAATCATCAGAGCCCCAGCTGTGTGGATAAGAACCTTGAGTCGAGAGGTTCTGAGGCCTACCCCGGGCCCTCCAGCCAGGAGGCAGGGGACCCAGAGTTTCAGATGCACAGGCACAGGCTCAACTTGCATCCTGGATTTGTAGGTGGAGTGGGGCAGGACGGGGTTGACCCAGGGTCCGTCGGATACTTGATCCTCATGTAAACACCTGGCTCCCCGGAGGCCCGAAACCCCCAGAGCCGGGCTTTGCAGCTCCCTGCTATTCCGCCTGCCACTCTCAGAATTAATTTGCTCTCCCCTGTCAATGAGTCAGGTCCCTGCTTATCAAGAGAGCAACAGCTGTGGGCCAGGAGCCCTAACCTACCTGAGGGGAGGCTGGGGGCCTGATCCCTGCAATTGGGGCCTCCTGTGTGCACCCTTGGGTCCTTGTGGTCTTGAACTCAGAGTCCCAAGAGGGCACAGGGGTGAGCCCAGACACCATGTAGTTTACTCCAAGACTCACTGTGTGACCTCCCAGCACATTGTTGCCCCTCATCTGGCCCTCAGCCCCTCATCTGAGGATGGAGAGGGCTGGATGGCTTGGCTTCTAAGATGTCTTCCAGCTCAAAACTCCCAGATTCCTTCTCCTGCCCCTCTTTCCTCTACCAGATGGATTTGGGGTGTTAAGGTTGGGGGCTACAGCAGAGGAGTAGGAAGACCCAGCCAGAAAGTGACTCCCCAGGGAGTGACTTGGGAGGCCAGGGCAGGGCAGGAGGCTGGGGCAGCCAGATCTAGCAGCCTCGTGTGTCTGTACCATGTCCTGGCCATGGGAGGGACTCGGGAGAGGGAGAAGACACACTGGGAGGGGCTTGGGGGCCAAGGGGAGGAAGTGCAGAAAGGAAGAAGGGCCTCTTGGCCAGGTCAGTCCAAGGGGTGCACAGTTGGCCAGCCCCCAATATAGTCAGGCCCATTTTGTAATAAGGAAATTGAGGCACAGAGAGGCTAATAACCTATCGGAGGTCGCAGAGCCTGGAGGCAGGGTCACAGCCCAGGGACGATAACTCTCACGATGCTGGGGGCTGAGTCCTTCTGGAGCCCCTAGGAAGGAGGCAGCATCTGCACATCAGAGGAGCTTCCAGGAGGAGGCACCAGTTCCTGTCATGTCCACTTCCAGAGTGATCCTCGTGTCTGGGCCTACCTGCCCCCACTCCCCAGCGCCACCGCCCAGCCTCAGGTTTCAGATCTGAGTTGGTCACTCCTTCACTTGGAACCCACTCTTGTGTGGCCTCCGTGTTCAGGCTGCTGGGTGGGGCCGGCCAGGCTGTCTGTGGTCATGGCCCTGTCACCTTTTGCAGCCAGCCCTGGCCACCCCCCATGAGTTCCCTCTGCTCCCGTTGCAAAGGGTTACTTGACATGCTCCAGATAAACATTTTCAGCCCTCAGTGCCTGGGCACACACTTCACTTGCTGGCCCTGCCTGAAGTGGCAGTCAGGAGTCCTAAGTTCTCATTCCAGCTGCATCTGCAGCTGGTTAAGTAGCCCTTGGCACAGACCTTCTGTGGGCCTCAGTTTCTACACCTGCAGAATGGGTGGGAGGATTGAGTGTGGTGCTCTCTAGGCTCCCCCGCACTTCCCTCTGTGATCCCAGGAAAGGAGCTGGGGTGATGGCCTCTCGACATGGGGTCAGTCTGTGAGGGCAGGGCTGGAAGACCCCTTTCCAGGTGCCTCCAGCGCCAGATGAGGTGGAGCACGCCCGTGCAGTCAGTCACAAGTGGGTACCCAGAGCTGCACCTCATCATTAAGCACTAATTAATCCATTTACTGATGAGTTGCTGCCAGGACTTCTAGGCCTTCTCCCTAATGCCCTCCCTCCTGCTGCATCTGATCTTCAAAGGGATGGGAAGCATTTCCAAAAATATCTATTTTCCCGTGATTCTTTGGGAGGACTGCTCAGCTCAGCAATTAAAGACAAGGAGGTCGCATCCTCCCTGGCAACGGCTCCCTGCTTGTTGGGCCTGCTTTCTTTCGGATCACCTCCTTTCTCCCCATCAAAGCCTGCTCCCTCTGGGTGACCCAGCCTCTGATGGGACTCCTGACTCTCCCCCACATGTCAAGGGGGGCAAGGGTGTTGAGCAAAGGGGCTCCTCCCACAATATCCACCGGTACCCTTTGATGGGGACAAGGGACACGCTCTGAGTCTCACGTAAGGTTATATAAATACAGCTCCAAGACAATAATAATAAAAATAACAGCCAACATCACATCCCAGGTACAGTTCCAAGCACCTTGTGCATGTTAACTAAAAATATTCAACTCTTGATGTAGGAGCTGCTATTCAGATGCTCTCACTTACAGAGGAGGAAGCTGACAGGTTTCGGGATTTGCCCAAGGTCACACAGCTAGTGGAAGGTAGTGCCAGGATTTGATGCTAGGCTGTCTGGGTCCAGGGGCCACGCTCTTAGCACTACTCCATGCTGCCTCTTAACTCAAGAACCACCCCACCCCATCCCACCACCCCCGGGCCCCTTCCAGCCGGATCTCTGTCCCAAAGCCCCTATCCCTGGAGGTATTTCAGAGCAGCCTCTGGTCCCGGGACTTCCCAGCCATGGCAGAGACACTGGGTTCTCCTGGTTCCTCGTCTCACCCTCCCCTCAGACCTCCATGAAAACCCACTGGGTGAGCCTCAGCCCTCCGGTAACTCATCCCTCATTTGGCAATTGGAGAGAATCAGCAGCCTCTTCACCAACTCTGCCCAAGGGCCTGAGGCTCCCTGAGACTGCGGTCCACTGACATGGAAGAGCTTTAAAAATCCATTTAGCCGGATCTCCCACTGGCCAGCTGTAGCTGAGCAGCTCCTCAGCAGGGGGACCAGGGAGGGGAATGGAGGGGAGTAGTGCGAGAGAGGAGAGGCCACATCTACTTTTCAGCCCTGGAGGCCAGGACGGGCTCCCTATCATCACCTTCTTGTCCTGATGCTGCCAGCAGAGGCAGCTCCCAGGCTGGATGGTCCCTTGGGGATCAGCCAGTCCAGCCCCTCCTTTTATAAATGAGAAGGGGTCCCCAGAGGTCAGTCATGCAGCACGGCAGCAGCTCAGCTGGTCCCAGGGCCCCAGCCTCTAGATCCTCACAGGGTTCTGCCCCATGGGGCTCCAGACTCAAGGACTGGGACTCCAGCAGCTTTCCCAGCCCTGTTCCAGCCCCAAGGGCCACTGGGAGCCACAGGAAGGCCTACAGTGAGGGAGGCTCCAGGTGAGATACTCAGGGCTTCATTTCTCTGCCAGGCAGTTCTGCCTGAAGTCAGAGCCAGAATTAACTCAAGGAAGCATGTTTAGAGCTACTGATGCCAGAGCCGGGTACAGGGTGGGGTGGGGCAACCTCTGCCAGCAGAGAAGATGAGATGGAATTTAGAACTCATGCTGTCCCTTCCCAGCTAGGTTTTAGGACCCTGGAGCTCAAGCCTGGTAGGCATGAAGGAGGGTAAGGGGAACACGTTGGGCAGCTCTGCCCATCCCAGGGCCCTAAAGCCAGGCATCAATTCAGCTCACAGGGCCCCTCCCCATCTCCTTAGAAGGTGACAGGTTCTGGGCCACAGTCCAGGCCGGTGGCTGCACAAACCTCCATATGTCCCTGGGCCACTCTCCTGCCTTCCTCCTTGAGTGACATGGGCCAGGCTAGGAGCAGCTGTGACAGACCTGAGTGATGACATCTCCCCACACACGCCTGTCACCTGTCATTTTCTGTCCAAGAGACCTCCATCATGGATGTTCCCCCCACCCACAGACCACGACCTTCCAACACAGGCCCGCTATGGGGAAGTGCCACCATGGGACCTTCCCCAAGATCTGCCCCATGAACTCTGAGCCCCCATGTGCAGCACAGCCAGTGAGGACCTCCCACGGCAGCCTCTGTGAGATGGCTCTACCACAAGAAGCCCTGTCATGCCACCTGCCACGCGAGCTGTCACCGCATACCCTTCCACCGTGTCATGCCCAGCCTCGTGAAAATTGACTCATGAGGTCTCACCATTTTTTTGCTGTCTTGCAAGACCCCTGAAAAGGAGATTTCTCAGAAGAGCACCTACCTGTCATCTGCCACCACATAATGACTTGCAAAGGAACAGCCCAGGGAGCTGGTCAAGCCTGTCCACGGGCCAGTCCTGTGGGCATGATCATGCCAGCTTGAGTGGGCAGAGCCGGGGGAGCCACCAACCCCTGCTGGAGGCCAATGGGCAGAAAGAGGCAGGAAGATGGGGGTGGTAAGGAAGCCCCTCTCCCCAGCTTCACTACACAACCCCCAGCCAGCAGGTGCCTGTACTGGCCATCTACAGATCCATCTACGCATCCATCTGGGCCAGGATGGTCAGGCAGGGGCCGGGGCTGCCCCGCCATCACTGCCTCTCTCTTCCTTTTCCAGACAATGGCTACCGGGAGTGCCTGGCCAATGGCAGCTGGGCCGCCCGCGTGAATTACTCCGAGTGCCAGGAGATCCTCAATGAGGAGGTGAGGCTGAGCCGAACAAGGCTGCCCATATGGAGGGGAGTCCAGGGTCCCCAGCAGAGTTTTGTGCCTGCTACTTGGAGTCAGGGAGCCAGAGGCTAATGTCAAGGCCCTGCTCTAGTGAAGCTGACTGGGGAGCTGGAGCTGTCAACTTGGAAAAGGCCCATGAGCAGGCGCCCTCGAGGGCAGGCTGGACCAATGGGGCACTGGGCAGGCTCTGATGGTGATGAGATGGGTCCTTGTTCCTTCCTTCCTTCTCCCTGTGCTCATCGGGCAGCCGCTTGCACTGGGCATGGGACTGTCCTGGGGGTGCAAAGGGAGACCAGACTCGGTCACAGGAGTCCCACCCTTTTCCACAACACATGCCTGAGAGATACATCCAGTTCCAGCCACAGGGCTGTATGGAAACCAGGGACGGGATGGAGGTAGCAATGCAGTTTGAAAAAGCCCTTGGAAAGCCTTTTAAAATGTTAAATGTTTTTGAGCAGATATTGCTTACACAGAACTCAGAAGGTACAAATGGGAATACAATGTCCCCTCCCACCCCGTCCCCAGCCACTGGATTCCCTCCCAGAGGCAACCATTTTGCCAATTTCACAAGTGTCCTTCCAGAGACATTCTCCGCATACACGAGTAATTTTGTATACGTATTCTTTTTTGTTTTTACCTGAATGTTGCATGTTATACACACTGTCTACACCTTGCTTTTTTCATATAATCATCTATCTTAGAGATGGTTCCATATCAGTACATAAAGAGCATCTTCATTCTTTTTGCATTTGCATAATATCACAAAATGTACCATAACTTATTTAAACCAGTCTTTATTCTCAGTCTTTAGTTATTACAAATGCTGCTGCAATGAATAATCTTTGAAGGGTGATATTTGGCAGAGGCACAAATATATCTATCCTGGAGCTGCTACTGCCCTCGGTCTCTCCCACCCTGTCTCCTTTCCCACCCGACGCTTTCTCCCTTGGTGCTGAGGAAGACGGGGGTCAAAGGGCAGAAGGGGGGACACCCCAGGCTGTCCGAGGGCCAGGGATTCTGATTGTGGAAGAGAGAGACTGACCTAAGCAGTCCCAAGAATCCCGTCGCCTAAAGATCAGAGCTGGAAGGGACCGTGGAGACTCTCCTTCCCATCTTGAGGTTCCCAGACTTGCCTGGTTATAAGAATCGTCCAGAGGCAGATCTCCTGAGGTCAGGAGTTCAAGACCAGCCTGTCCAACATGGTGAAACCCCATCTCTACTAAAAATACAAAATTAGCCGGGTGTGGCGGGATTACACCTGTAATCCCAGCTACACGGGAGGCTGAGGCAGGAGAATCGCTTGAAACCAGGAGGCGGAGGTTGCAGTGAGCCGAGATTGTGCCATTGCACTCCAGCCTGGGCAAAAAGAGCGAAATTCCATTAAAAAAAAAAGTGGGGCCAAGTGCGGTGGCTCACGCCTGTAATCCCAGCACTTTGGGAGGACGAGGCAGGCAGATCACGAGGTCAGGAGATCGAGACCATCCTGGCCAACATGGTGAAACCTCATCTCTGCTAAAAATACAAAAATTAGCCGAGCATGGTGGCGCATCCCTGTAATCGCAGCTACTCAGGAGGCTGAGGCAGGAGAATCACTTGAACCAGGGAGGCGGAGGTTGCAGTGAGCCCAGATCGCGCCACAGCACTCCAGCCTGGCGACAGAGCAAGACTCTGTCTCAAAAAAAAAAAAAAAAATGGAATCTCCCAGAGCACTTGTCCAAATACAGGTCCCAGGGCCACACCCAACACCTAAGAAATCACACTGTCCAAGGAGGACCTGGGAATCTGTGTCTTTCATGAGTGCCCCAGGGGAGCCTTCTGATGGGGCAAAAGTGAGAAACTCTAATCTAGTGCGACCCGTTCACACTACAGATGGGGAGACTGGGGCCCAGAAAAGGGGAATGATTCACACAAGGTCACGTGGCTCTGGGACATTCCCTTTTTTTTTTTTTTTTTTTTTTTGAGACAGAGTCTTCCTCTGTCGCCAGGCTGGAGTGCTGTGGCGCGATGTCGGCTCATTGCAACCTCCACCTCCCTGGTTCAAGTGATTCTCCTGCCTCAGCCTCCTGAGTAGCTGCGATTACAGGAATGCACCACCATGCTGGGCTAATTTTTGTATTTTTGGCAGTTAAGTCAGAGCCCGGAACCCAGGGCTTTGGAGCCCAGGCTCCGGAGCACAGGCTCTGCAGCCCAGGCTCTGCTTTGCCCACTGCCAGGTATCTGGCGTGAAACAAAGTTAACGGAGAAAGAATCACTTTCCTTCACCTGTAGCTCCCACCCCGGCCTGGCAAGCTTTGGTTAGCCCCACCCCTGGCTTCCTGGCCTCAAGTCACTGAGCTAATGCGGGGCTCTGCTGTCTCCTTCCGGAAGCTGCAGCTAGGTCAATGCCTAGCTTAAAAGACTCACGAGTTCTTCCACGGTGCTGCTCTGGCAGGGCGAGGGGCTGCCTGGCATCTCAGATCCCACAGGCCAGACCTTTGGGTGGCACTCAAGGCTGGGGTGGGTTGGTCAGGCTCCCTGATGATCTGATCTGAGCAGGGAAAGCCCTCAGCTTGCTAAGCCCCCACACAGAGAGCCCACCTGGGAAGTCCTGGGATTGGGAGGAGGGCTCCTCCTGGACTGGGGGAAGGAGGTGGGGTTCCAGGTTAGGAGACTTAGTTGGGCCAGAGGAGATGGCCTTGGCCTTGGCTGGTGGGGTGGGAGTGGGCAAGACCGTTCAGGGATGTGAGGAGCCCGTAGCCTGGCACACAGTAGAGGAGGTGGGAGGAAAGGAAACAGGGCTGGTGCTCAGAGGAGCGGGTCAGTGCTGTCAGTGACTCAGGACCACACGCCATTGCAGAGAGGGATGGTGTCCAGGAGGCACAGCTAAGCCATGAGGTCAGGCTGCAGGCCGCACTGTCTGTCCCAGCTTCACGCCCTGCACTCAACCCTCCTGAGGGTCAGCGCGGGGTCTTCGTGGTTCACCTGTCTCTCCTGCTCTATTGCAAGCCCCTTCTTTTCAGTTGGCTGATGGGGACACTCGGCAGCCCCCATTTTCCCCAGCACCCTTCAAAGGCCTAAGGGCAGTAGGTTAGCCACCCTCAGCCTGCCCTGCAACACCCAACCCTGCCAGGACAGGGGTCTCTACCTCTGTCCACCAGCAGGGTTAGGACAAGGAAGAGGATCGGGAGCCCGGTCTCATCAGCCCCCTCTTTGCATTGCAGTGGGAATAGCACGGACCTTAGGGTTTGGGTTTCAACGGGAACCTGCTGCATGACCTTGAGGAGGCAACTTAACCTCACCAAGTTCCCAAAAATGGTGGCCAGGAATTCAGATCTCTGCCTTCTGGGGATGGAAGGGTGGTGTTGGCCTGTCTTGGCCTATGGGAGACGTTCCATTCACCTGCCGCCCCCTGTCTCTCATCTCCCCTGTGAGGTCAGGGGAGGTTGTAGTGTACACCTGGGGGAGTGACCCGCCCCACCCCCCAGCCCATCCGTGCCTGGCTCTGCCATCTCTTTCCTCTGCAGCCCCTGCTGGCCTGGTGCCTAGCACTCTGGGTAATCGATTAGTTTAATTAGTGAAAATGCCATTCCCTTCTGCCAGCCCCCAGCCTCGCCAGACCCCTCCCAGAACTGCAGAGGAAAGTATCCAATTAATTGAGTGGTAGGTTTCTCAGCTCTGGGCCTGGGCTAAGCCCTAATTAAGCTCCAGCGCCCTGGGGTATCGCAGATAATGGATTCGCAGAAGTCTGCCTGTGAAATGGGACTTGCAAGGGCACCTCAAGGCCAGGCACCCCAGGAGATCTGCCCGCAGCCAGCACCACCAGGGGACAGGCCCCCAACTGTTGCATGCATGGCTGGCCGGGGGATGGCACTGAGCCCCCAGCACCACCCCTACACCTGCTGCCTGTATCAGCACCCTCTCCTCCCCCCACCACCTCCCGCTACTACTGTTCACTCCCTTCCCCACCGTCCAGCCTTCCCCCACCCACCCAACACTTGCACACACTCTATCCCCTTTCCCCACGTTCTGCTGCGCACAGGAGCCTGGGCCTCAGGCACAGCCTGGGAGAGCACACCGTGGTGGGACATGAAACGGATTCTGGGGGTCTGGTTTGTGGACCAAGGTTCACTGCTCACCGTGTGGGGAGAGGTGAGTGGTGGTTGGACCAGGGCTTCTGAACTGCAGAGGTGCTTTTTCCTAAAACCAAGCTCCGATTCCATGGGCCTGGCGTAGGGCATACATTCCACTTTCCTCAAGATCTCTGCGTGCTCCTCTGCGTGCTGTTGCTGGGCCAGGGGCCACCCTTTGAGGATCGAGGGGCTGGAGTGAGTGCCCACTGCAGGGTAAGAGGAGTAGCTCTGGAAGCCTCGGTGGAGAGGACGTGCCAGAATGGAGTGGGCACCAGTGGGGAGCTTGGAAGGGAGGTCTCATTGCCACCAACCCAGAGAGGCATCAGGACGGATCTGGCACTGCAGCGCCTGGGACGAGGTGGTGTCCTGCAGAGAGTCCAGTCAGAGTCAGCCGGGCACAAATTGCTTATTCAATTCAGATCACTGAGGGTACAGCGGAGTGGCCTCTGCCAAGTACCACGCTGTGCCACCCTCCTTAGGGCGGGGTGCCTGCTGGTCTTAGGTCTCCAGACTGGATGGAGATGGAGTGCTGGTCAGGGCCCGAGGGGTAGCTGTGCCCATTTGTCCTTCGGACATCCCAGCTGCTTTGCTGTTATCGTGGCCATCGGTCGGGGTGTCACTGGCTGTCCCTGGGGGTGCTGCTGACTCTCCTCTCCAGGTATCACTGGCCACCTCTCAGGGTGTTCCTGGGTGCCTCTTAAGGCCTTGCTGTCTCTCTAAATAATGCTGGCCAGAACTCTGGTTGTTATTGGAAATGTCACAGTGTCACTGGCTTCTGTCTGGGTGTCGCAGGATGTATTTGTCTCAGGGTATCAGCAGCCATCCCTCAGGCTGTCTCTCCAGCTGTCTTCTCAGGTTGCATGATGCTGATGTGGCCGATGAGAGACAGGGCTTGAACCCGGCCCAGGCCCGACTGCTCAGGGAGGCACACTGAGACTTTGTCCCCCGGGAATGGTTTGGCCTGATTCTCCCTCAGGCTCTTGGAGGAAAGCCCTCTTGGGCGCTATTGTCCCAGCAGGAGGTCCCCCGAGGCTCCTGGGCCCAAAGTGGCGTGAGACCACCCCAGAGAGTGCCTCTGCTTTCAATTCCTGCTTGTCCCCCAAGAAATGTCGCAGGGGGCCGGACACGGTGGCTCACGCCTGTAATCCCAGCACTTTGGGAGGCCGAGACAGGTGGATTGCCTGAGCTCAGGAGTTCGAGACCAGCCTGGGCAACATGGCAAAACCCCATCTCTACCAAAAAATACAAAATATTAGCTGGGCATGGTGGTGCATGCCTGTGATCCCAGCTACTCGGGAGGCTGAGGCAGGAGAATCACTTGAACCCAGGAAGCAGAGGCTGCAGTGAGCTGAGATCCTGCCACTGCACCACTCCAGACTGGGCGACAGAGTGAGACTCCATCCCTCCCCCACCCAAAAAAAGAAATGTCCCTGGGAAACAGGGAAAAGAGGGAGCTTAAAGCCAGGCAGACCCAGGTTCCAGATACCGGCTGCGTGGCGTGGCCAATTATTCAGTCTCTTCTACGGAAAGAACTGGGATGAGAGGAGCAGTCTCCAAGGGCAGCTGTGGGAAAGAAAAGCAGTAGTGTCTGCAGAGCTCCTGGCACAGTGCTCAGCATACAGCAGGTGCTTAACAGATAACTCCTCCCCACTCCAACCCCAAGGGCCCGGTACGGCCTGACTCGGGAGTGAGGCAGGGGCCCTGGAAGGCAGCACTGAAGGGTCTCCCTGCACACTGCGCTCCTCCCGCCCAGCCTGGGCCTGTGAACAAGGCCGGGGTGTTGTGCCATGCTCGGCTCCACACATGTTGTCATTACCCAGGGGCTTCTCAGCATGGATTTGTGGAAAATTTAATAAAAGGATATTAAATACCAGCTCCAGACAGCCTGTGATGTGTGCATATCTTCCAGAGCCTCCGGATTGGGGCATCTGCCGCCAGGCGCTCAGAGACCCTCCCCACTTGCACGGGTGATAGGTACCCTCTCCTCACTCCCCTCTCTGTCTCTGTCTCTCCTGCCTTCATTTACACCTCCCTGGATCCCAGTCCTTTGGAGGCTGGAGTTGCTAATGTAATTACCTGCCATGTTCCAGAAAGCCTCTGCCTGGAAACCAGCTCCAAGAACAGAGCTTCTGTAGCAGCCTCTGGAGAGGTTCCCCAATGAGGGTGCTCCTTCAGAAGGGCCTTGGTGGCCGGGCGGAACTGGGCATAGGGTCTTGGCTTCTCCTGGGATGCCTGGTGGATAGGGCTGGACTTGATCTCTGGTTTCAAGTGGGTTCTGTAATTCCAACAGGAAGGCCTATGGAGTAGCTCCTTGGTGGCCAGTAGCTCCTTGGTGGCTCTGAGAAGATGATGAGGGCCGTTGTGAGCTCAGTGCTTCTCAGCACTTGCATGTCACCCACCTTTGTGCCTCATGATCATTCAGCCCCACCCTAGAGCCTAGAAACGGGGAGGAAGGGAGGTGCTGCCAGGGACCCCTCCCTTCTCAAAGTCACCTGCTTTTCAACACCCGTCTTTCCTTCCTTCACTCACACACTGCTTTGGAGTTTGACTGCGTGTCAAGCTCTTGGTTTCTAGGCCCTGCTTCTTGGGACCTATAAAAGTGTGGATGGGGGCTGTGCTCTTGGGCAGGAGTCTGCAGAGAGCTGGGCATGGGGACTGACCAGTCCCCTATTATGGGCTGGGGACCTGTTTGCAGCCTTCGTATCTTGCCAATCTACATGTGCAGGCAAGAGGTGGTTTTGGAGTTGCGCGACCTCCAGCGCGTCAGCATAACCTCTGTGCTGTTTTCCTACAAAATAAAGCCCAGATGCCTTTCCGGCTCCCCCCACGGGGTTGCCCTGATGGTTTAAGACGATAACAGATATGAAAATCCTCTGTAAACAGGAAGGCTTCACCACTCTTGGAACTCAAGATTGCTGTAAAGAGGAGGGCAGTGACCTCCATCAGTATATTAAATTCATTAAGAAATAAACCCGGGGAATGTGTTACAGTCCTGGGAGAGGATCCTGCTCACTCTGCACAGATCCCCTTGGGCCAGGGATGGGGAAGGCCCCGGAAAGTGAGTTATGGAGCCTAAGGAGACTTTTCTGTGGTTTCTGCTGATTCTGTGGATGCCAGAGCCCAGCAGCTGCCCGGCCCCTCCTTGCTCACAGGAGCAGGCGGCATTGCAGCAGGAGGGATTTAGGGGTGGCTGAGAAGGTGGTGACTCAGTTCAGAAATGGGTGGAGAAGAGAAATCCCGGGAGTTTGGTGTCTCTGCAGCTGAGAGGTCCACCTGGTGTTCTGACTGGGTGGCAGCATGGGTAGATGCGAGTGTGAGGGCGCACCTGTGAGCCGGCCACATGTGCTTGTGCATGCAGGGGCGGGGGGTCCATGTGGAGTGGGGAATCCCACGTGATGTGGAGATTCAGTTCGACACAACACGGAGCAGTGAACACAGCATGGGATTCAGGGACAAGCAGAGCCTCAAACTGGACGGCGTTGCTCTGCAGCGAGGCCTGACCCTCAGCAGATGCTCAGGAAGGGGGAGTGGCCCTTGAGATCATGACCCGCTCCATCCCAGCCACCCCTAGGCGATGTCCTCACAGAGCAGCTCCCATCCAGCAGAAGGCTCACCTCTGCCCCTCTCTCCTGCTCCAGAAAAAAAGCAAGGTGCACTACCATGTCGCAGTCATCATCAACTACCTGGGCCACTGTATCTCCCTGGTGGCCCTCCTGGTGGCCTTTGTCCTCTTTCTGCGGCTCAGGTGAGAAGACCCCAGCACTGCCTCCTCCTGTCCCCAGGACCTAGAGCAGAAGCAGGGTGGAGAAGTGAGAGGAGCAGCTCTAGGTTGGGGTGGGGGTTGCTGGGAGAGGGTGGCAGGGGCTGGCTTATCTGAGAGTCTCAGGTCTCTGGGAACCTCTGGCAGAGCCGCTCTGCCCTCTCCCCAGTAGCTGCTGGAATGGTGGGGAGGGACAAAACTTGTCTTATGTCACCCATACCCAGGCCAGGCTGCACCCATTGGGGTGACCAGGCAGATGGAGCCCTGGAGGTGGGGGCTCCATGGAGTGGTGCCCCATTTCAGGTTCGAAGGTACCTGGGCCCCAGCACTACCGCCAAGGATGCAGGTGGCAGAGCCGGGGATGGGGATGGTTGGGATCAGGAGCCGAGCATCAGGGCTGGAGGCTGGGAGCAGGGCTGACCCCTGTGACTGTCCATCCTGGAATGGCAGGGAGTAGAAGGCACCCCCAGGGGAAGCGGGCATCGCCAGGAATCCAGCTGCCCTGGTCCATGGAGCACAGGCTCCATGGAGTGCCAGGCTCTGCCTGGGGCTTATGTCTGGGTGGGCTGCAGGCAGGAAGGGCTCCATGGGGCATTAGGAGAGCCTGGCTGTCACCTCCCTGTGTGACTTGGCCAGTCAGCCCCACCCTGTGCCTCAGTTTCCTCATCTACACATCTGGGCTGGGGTGATGGAGGTGGCCTACCCCTCATCCTCTCTCTCCTATCGCTCCCATCATCCACCCGCCCTGCTGCACCAGGAGCATCCGGTGCCTGCGAAACATCATCCACTGGAACCTCATCTCCGCCTTCATCCTGCGCAACGCCACCTGGTTCGTGGTCCAGCTAACCATGAGCCCCGAGGTCCACCAGAGCAACGTGGTACGTCCTGGCAGGGGAGCGGGGAGCAGGTCAGGCCAAACCCAGGTCAGAGGAGGGGCCCGCCTGCCCTGCAGAGGAGGAGCCCACAGAACAGGAGTGGGATCCCAGGGTATGCCCTGTCCTGCCCTGGGGAGGCCCAGGCCCAGGGTTTGGTGCCTCCCCTGCCCCCCATCATCATCTCTGGTTGGGGGTGGGGTGGCAGGGCTGGTGCAGGTTGGTGACAGCCGCCTACAACTACTTCCATGTGACCAACTTCTTCTGGATGTTCGGCGAGGGCTGCTACCTGCACACAGCCATCGTGCTCACCTACTCCACTGACCGGCTGCGCAAATGGATGTTCATCTGCATTGGCTGGGGTGAGCTGGGCAGCCACCTCCGCAGCCTGGGCAGTGGCGGCCGCCGGGCTGCCCTCTCCTCCAGACTCAGGCCAGCGGGCTGGGGGGCCTGAGGGATGGAGGTCGGGTTGGGGCGGTAAGGTGTGCACGATAGCCCTCTGCTCCTCTTGGGGGTGGGCGGCAGTAGAAGCACCTTGAAGGAGGTGTGTGAGTTTGAGATCCACCCTGAGTAACCCCAGACCCCCTGGAGCCTGGGCTGCACTGGGGTTCTCCAGGCCCACATCCTCCAGCCCCCGCTGAGGGCTCTGTGACAGCCCATCTCTCCCCCAGGTGTGCCCTTCCCCATCATTGTGGCCTGGGCCATTGGGAAGCTGTACTACGACAATGAGAAGTAAGTCATCTCCTTTCCCTTCCTGACCCCAAGGTTTAGGCTCCCAGCCCAGCTTGGTGACACTCCCCACGGGCATTGGCCATGCTGGCTTTTTCCCCTCAGGACCATGGTTTCTGCATCTATAAAGGGAGAGATCTGGGGGCTGGACTCATTCAGAGGGTCCCTGCCTGTGCTCTGCCTGGGTGGGGCTGGACAAGCAGGACCCAGCCTCCTTTATCTGCCTTGAGCTTACACAGGAAGCAGCCTGGAGCCAGACTGCCCAGGTTCAAATAGCTGTGTGACCTTGGACAGATTACTGCAGTGTGCCTCAGTTTCCTCATCTGTAAAATGGACATGCTACTGCCTCAAAGGGCTGTTGTGGGGTGATATGAGTCCATCTATATTAAGCATTTACAATAGCTCCTGGCACATAGAGTAAATGCTATATAAATGTGTTCTATTAATATTAAGACATCTTAATAAAAGAGTCCATGAATTTAATAGAAGTGGACCTAGATGATCTCAGAGGCTTCTTCCAGCTCTGAAGTTCTTTGGTTCCTTATGAAATGGACTCAGATGTTTCCAATCGTGCCTGGAAACTTGATTTCTGCTGCAGTGGAGCTCAACTTTGGCTCACATTAGAATCACCTGGAATGCTTGGAAAAGTACCAATGCCCAGGCTTCACCCTCAGAGAATCAGGCGCAATTGGTCTGGGGTGTGGCCTGGCACCCAGAAGTCTTGAAAACTGCCCAGGTGATTCTAATGTGCAGCTCAGATTGAGAACCACTGAGAGAGAGCGGGGCAGAAAAGGTGGACATGGATGGCAGGGGAGCCCCAGGACCTTCTTTGCCAAACAAGTGTTCCCGGGAACCTATCTGACTGACGGACCTGGCGTCCAAGTGGCCTCCACCACAGTGACAAGCCCTCTCCTCCCCCATGGAGGGGAGGGGGCCTGCACGGCTTCATTGGGCTGAAAGAGGAGCCTGGAAGATTATCTTGCGTGTTTATGTGGTTGACTCCCTCCTGACTCCCTCCTGACTCAGGCTGGCTGAGGCCTTGGGAAGCCGAGGCAGGCGGATCACTTGAGGTCAGGAGTTTGAGACCAGCCTGGCTAACATGGTGAAACCCCGTATCTACTAAAAAAAAAACAAAAAAACAAAAATTAGCTGGGTGTGGTGGTGCGCACCTGTAGTCCAGCTACTCGGGAAGGCTGAGGCAGGAGAATCTCTTGAACCCAGGAGGCAGAGGTTGCAGTGAGCCAAGATCGTGCCACTGCACTCCAGCCTGGGCAACAGAGTGAGACTCCATGAGTCTCAAAAAACAAAGCAAAACAAAAACTGTTTGGGCTAAAGGAGAAAGTGAGTCTGAGCGGCTCTGAAGCTCCACCTGGTGGTGAGAATTCAACACTGCAACAGAGAGGATCTGGGTGTGAGAAACCAGAAACGAACTTGCAGACCAGAGGCCCGAGGACTGGACCCGGCCCTCAGAAGCTGTGTGTGGCCAGCATGGTGTTTTCTGAAAACTCGATTTTGTAGCCAACCTTTAAAAAATCCAAAGGTTTCATTTACAAATCTCAATTTCTGGCTTATGAGATCTAGCCACTGGGGGTCTTCATACCCACGAGGACATAAGGGCTTCCAGTTTGTCTGGTCCCCACCCACTCCCCAGGCCTCCCTGGAGCTTGCTGGAGGGACACTCGGGAAAATGCAAAGCAATTACCTCCTGCAGCAGGTAGAACCTGTGCAAGTATTCCTCTCAAGGTTGTTCAGGCTGTGACTGGACAGATTCAGGCTGAGATTGCGAACTGCTGGGTGCCCACTGGGTGACAGGTGTGGTGCCACTCCCACCAGCAGCCCCCCAGAGGGCATGCTGGGCCTCAGCCACTGCCAGGGGACTGTGAGGAGGAGCCGAGGATGCAGCCTCGTGTTGGGCCCATGCCCGTTCCCAGCCACTCAGTCTTTCCCACTGTCTACCTCCTGCCCCGGTGCTTGCTTCCAACTTTGCATCTCATCACAGAGGATGCTGTCCGTTCTGCAGATGGGACAATTGAGGCATGGCAGTGGGATCAAGTGACTTGACCTTCTGCCAGGGTTGGAATTGGGACATCTACCTCTTGGCCTCCAGCCCCAGTCCTGTCCTGGCCAAGCACTGTCCCTCCCCATGCCATCGAGGTGGACGCAGATGACCCTTCCTCCCCTTTCCTCTGTGGCCTTCTAGGTGCTGGTTTGGCAAAAGGCCTGGGGTGTACACCGACTACATCTACCAGGGCCCCATGATCCTGGTCCTGCTGGTAAGAACCTGGGTAGGGGCAGGAGACAGGGCCCAGTGGGGAGGGGCAATCAGTGCCAACCGTGGACAGAAAGGACTCCTCTACCTAGAGGTGGGGGCCACCCAAAGAGGGGGCATGGGTCAGAGATGTGCAGGTGCTCATGAGGAGGAGGGAGAACAGCAGGGGCACTGAGGCCAGAGCTGAGAAGCCTGGGTCCCAAGCCTCTTGCACACTCCGGCCCGCTGGTGTGCTCAAATTGCAGATCAATTTCATCTTCCTTTTCAACATCGTCCGCATCCTCATGACCAAGCTCCGGGCATCCACCACGTCTGAGACCATTCAGTACAGGTAACCGGGTACCACCTTCCTCAGGCCTCCCCCTGATGAAACCCCTGCTCCCCATGCCTCTCACGTGCCAGAGACCTGCCACTCCCTCCCCCGACCTGGCCCTCTTTGCCGAGCCAGCGGGCAGCCCGTCCTGGGGTGGGCTGTGACTCCGAGCCTCCCCACCCGCCCCACCCCAGGAAGGCTGTGAAAGCCACTCTGGTGCTGCTGCCCCTCCTGGGCATCACCTACATGCTGTTCTTCGTCAATCCCGGGGAGGATGAGGTCTCCCGGGTCGTCTTCATCTACTTCAACTCCTTCCTGGAATCCTTCCAGGTACAGCCCTGGAGGGACACATCAGCACCTCCTTGGGTGGGGATTCTGCCAAGCAGAGGCCTGGAGGGCAGGAGGCCAGGGAGAAGCAAGGGGCAGCCCAGAGGCTGGGTGGGCAACACCTGCAGCCGACCTTTGACGCCTCCTCTCTCCTCCCCAGGGCTTCTTTGTGTCTGTGTTCTACTGTTTCCTCAATAGTGAGGTGAGGACCCGGGGGCCCTGCAGCGGGGTTCAGGGCTGTGAGGCCTGTTGGGACTGGCGATTGTCTAGAGCCTTCTCCTCCCCTCCCAGGGCTGCCTCTCTCCCTCCCTGCTCCTAGGTCCCTAGGGGTATGCTGCTGGGAGCCCCAGGGTGGCCCCTCCCACCTGTCCACTCCCACAGTGACAGCCCCCTCCTTTGCTCTCAGAGGCCGCTGGCACCAGGCTGGAAGCCAGAGCTCCAGTATCTTTGATGAGCCTGTGAAAACCAGGAAGGGCTGAGCCCTGGGCAGGGGATACATGTGGGTTGAGGGCAGGGAGCCTTCATGGCAAAGGGCATATGGTGCCTTCGTGTGGGTTAGAAAAGGGTGCCCCTTCCCCAGGACATTTGAGAAACCTGTTCCGACAAATATGCAAAGCAGTCGTGTTAAGGCTGTGAGTGTCATCCCCTACTGAGGACTTCCATGTACTCAGCTGACCTGCACAGCCGCTTACCTGCACAGCTGCTCGTGGCGGCCCAGGGGAGGGAGGGGGTCCTGAGCCACAGGCTCAGATGTCGTGCTCCTCCCTGTGCCCACAGGTCCGTTCTGCCATCCGGAAGAGGTGGCACCGGTGGCAGGACAAGCACTCGATCCGTGCCCGAGTGGCCCGTGCCATGTCCATCCCCACCTCCCCAACCCGTGTCAGCTTTCACAGCATCAAGCAGTCCACAGCAGTCTGAGCTGGCAGGTCATGGAGCAGCCCCCAAAGAGCTGTGGCTGGGGGGATGACGGCCAGGCTCCCTGACCACCCTGCCTGTGGAGGTGACCTGTTAGGTCTCATGCCCACTCCCCCAGGAGCAGCTGGCACTGACAGCCTGGGGGGGCCGCTCTCCCCCTGCAGCCGTGCAGGACTCTAGCTCATGAGTGGAAAGTCACCTACAGGACTGGGCCGGGCCCAGGGCCTCTGGCTTCCCTGCCCAATCCTCCCTGGAGAAGGGACATGGGAATGAATTGAAATGGGGCGCTGGACACCTACAGCAGCACGCATGTCCCTCCAAGGCTGTCTTCTCCCAGAGCACAAGAAGGCCAGCCCACTGGGCCCTGGGGCTGCCCTCGGCAACCGTGGGGAGGCCATTTGCTGCCCTGGGGCATCATGGGCAACTCGTGACAGCCTCTGACTCACCACGATGACGCCTCTGGACCTCGGTGATGCCTTCCGACACCACTGGGAACCAAGGGCCCTCACTCAGGAACCCTGGAGACAGAAGTCAGGTGTCATCATCAGACTTGCGGCCACAGCACTAGAGTCACCCCCCCAGGCCTCCAGAACCTTACTGGCACTGTGGCACTGCCACCAGCAATGCCCTGCCTTGCTGCCTTCACCCTGAACATTTAGTACCCTGCAGGCCAGGCCAGCTTCCCCTCACTTAACCACCCCATACCAGTCACCTCCTGCTCCTTTTCCTCTTTTGTGAGAAGATGGGGGCTGGAGGGGGCAGAGTGGCCTGTGAGCAAGAGCCAGGGGTGTCCCAGTCCCAGCCTCTGGGGCAGAGCTTGTAGCCCTGGATGGCCTCTGGGGCAGGACCACTAGCTAAGCAAGCCAGGAGAAGACCCCTGCCCAAGTGGCTCTTGGGACAACGTGCTGCTTACACTCCAGGTGTGGACCGGCCGCAGCCCCCACTGACCTGCCCATGTCCAGAGGGACTGGACAGCCAGGGCAGGGCTTTGGGGGGCACTAGAAGATGAGGGTGTCGGCTGTGAGGCGGGTGGCTGGTATAAATAATATTTATCTTTTCAACCAGCATTTGTGAAGGCCTGGACTCCACAGGGGGCTGGATGGAGAGGGTGTCTCACAGAGGTGGGGGCTGCTTCCCAGCTTTCAGGGGCTGCTGTGTTGCTGAGAAACCTGACCCCACTCTCACCCCGGCAAGGATGGTGCCAGGAGAGCCCCTGAGGGCCGGGAGAGGGGTGAGGGCAGGAGGGAGGGCTTCGAGGAACAGGTGGGTCTGGCCAGGGCCCCCTTAGTTAGGGACAGCTTGTTGTGAGGAGGTGAATTAGAGGGAGAGGAGGGCCACGGTTAGGGATGCAGAGGAGGGACACCATGGGTCAGGGGAAGGAACAAAGGAGACGGGAGTGTGTCCCAGCCCCAGGCAGGAGCTGTGCTGATTGGTGGGAAGCAGAATTAGGATGCTGGGCCACTGGACAGGCTGTGAATGCAGCTGTCTCCACTAGGGCCGCCACAAGAAGCCATCCCTGAGACCCTGAGGTTTCTTGTGCAAACTCGAGGGAAGGGGAGTACAGAGAGGGCAACAGGGAGTGAAGCCAGGCAAGGAAGGCAGGGGAAAGGTGGGGGCTAGAGGGGGACACGGTAGCCTGTGAGCAAGAGACAGGTATGCCCCAGCCCTGGCCAGTGCCGCTCTGAGGTGGGTGGCACACTCAGGCTCCCCTGGCTTGCTGGCTTCAGTGCCCCCAACTCCGGGCCAGAGCTTGTATAGCCCTGGGTGGCCTCTGGGGCAGGACTGACACTCCAACACTGTTGTGGGCGCCTGGAGCTCCCTTCCGCTGGGGAAGCCCTCCCTCATCCCACCCAACAGGTGAGGGAGCTGGGGTATTTATCCACCATCTCCCATCAGCTGCGGGTTGAGGGCTGCTCCCAGGGGGACATGAACTCTTCTGCATTCCCACATCAGGCTACAGAGGGCCAGAGAGAGTTCTCCGGCACAGTGATGTGCGGGTGGGTGGAAGCCAGTGTGTGCTGCATTGGAGGGGCAGGGGGTGTGGGTGGAACACCAGAACTGGACACAGGGCCCCACTGCAGCCCGGGCCTTGTCTCTGGGTCTCTCTAACCAGGGAGGAGAGCCCCGTGGGTGGGACGTGTGTATACACATGTGCACTTGTGCACCCAGGCGCACACAAGAGCTTGCAGTGTCAGGACACCAGGAACAGACAAAGGTGACACAGTGCCGAAAGCCCCGCAGCTCCTGCTGAGGGAGGGCACGTTTCGTTGGGGAGGGCCTGGGCCCGGGTGTAGCTAAGGATATCCTTGAAGGCCCTATGGGGTACTCTGCTCTGCCAATTCTCCAAGCTCTGTGCCCTGAAGTAGAGAGATGGGGTGGGGGACCCAGGGAGCACCGTGACAGAGGTAGGCTGGAGGCTTCCAGAGCAACGTGGGGGATATTGTGGGGAGTGGGAAGAAGCCCAGTAAAGGGTCCTGGCTGCCTGGAGAGACTAGAAGTGACCTGAGTCTCTAATGGCCACAACGGAGACAGCTTTCCCAACTCTGCCTCTCACCCAGTGAAGGTGGAGAAGTGAGAAGGCGAGGCTTTCCCGAGACAATGCCAGTGGGGATGGGATGAGGGTCGCACCGCAGGGGTGGAGGAGCCGAGAGGGTGGGGGTGAGGGGAAGACAGGGAAGGGACGGTACAGACCAGGAAGTGTGGATAAGCCCAGCCAGGCCGCACCCCGCTTTCCTGAGTGGGCTTCCTGGCTGCTCTCACTGCCAGGCACCTTCTGGGCACCTACTGTGTGCTCAGCACTGTGCTAGGTCTTGGGTGAGAGATGAGCAGCCACCCAGGGGGGACCCCAGGGACCCCCCAAAAAACACAAAGCTCAGAGCCTCTGGCTCTGGAAGGCCACCAAGAGGACAGCTCCAAGACAAGTCTGAGGGTCATCGGAGAAGCTGGAGGCGGAATCCCTGGGCAGGCAGATGGAGCCTGGGGCTCCCCTCCCATTGAGAGAATCTGAGGGCGGAGGGGCTGCTTCAGGGAACAGCCAGGAACATCTGAGCCTCAGAACCTGCAGCCCAGAGGCCCAGAGTTCTATCATCTCCCATGGCAGACATGCGCTCTGGGCTTCGTCGCAGAGAAGGCAGCCCTGAGACCAGGCATCTGGGCCATTCTGCTCAGGTTCAGCTTGGGGTGGCGAGGCCCCTGTGGGAGTGAGTGGGGTGTGATGAGCCGAAAAACACACATGCGACTACACAAAGTTGGGGGAGCCACTGGGGACCCTCCAAGCTGCAGTGGTGGGGGAAGGTCGCTGGAGGCCCTCCCAGACCCGGAAGACCTCATGCCTGGAAGAATTTCTCTCCACACCATGCCTAAAGGCTGCGGTCCCCTAATGCTACCCCCACCTGAGCCCATTTCTCCTTGACGTCCTCCTTCATGGGCACAGAACAGTAGTGGAGGAAAAGCCCCACTGTTTTTCCAGTTCAGGCCACCCCCTCCCCGTCCCTTAGTGTGACAGCACAGCCCCTGCCCAGAGGTCCTCAGCCTCCCCTCCAGGCCTCCTTCTCTAGCCCCCTGCTACTGATGGCTCAGCTCTCCTGGGACCAGGACTGGGTGGAGAGTCAGATGGGGAAAACCATGTGTTAGCAGATGAGGTGGGTTTGGAATCCATAGAATAATACCTTCATTGTGGGTATTGTAGATTACTTTGCCATCCACAAACATCCTTATAACATTTGTCTTTTTTTTTTTTTTTTTTTTTTTTACTACGTGGGTAAATCTCTGTTCGGGGCTCTCAGCTCTGAAGGCTGTGAGACCCCTGATTTCCCACTTCACATCTCTATATTTGTGTGTGTGTGTCTTTATTTGTTTATTTTTATTATACTTTAAGTTCTAGGGTAATCCTCAACTAGCCCACAGAGGTAGTAACCCACCTGTTTTGCAGCCAGGGAAACTGAGGCCTGGCAGCTCCCCTAAGATTGAAGGTCTGGTTCCAAGTCTAAGGCTTTTTTCACCCCTCAGTGAACTGAAGGGGCTTGGGTTCTGGGAGGCCAGAACCAATGAAGAGCTCTGTGGCAAGAGGGCAGCAAGGAGGCCTCAGGGTCTCCGTGATCTGGGACGTGCCCCACGTGAAGATGGGACTTCCCCAAAGATGGCCCCACCAGTGTCCAGCCGCCGAGCAATGAGAGTTCTGTGGATCCAGCATCTCCTTCCCCAGCTTCCTGACATCCTCCACCCCCCAGCTCCTTAAAATGATGCTTAATTTCAAACAATGCAGCCGGGGCCACCATCAGCCACAGTGGGCCCCCCTACACCCCAGCCAAGGAGTGTGCTGCTGGCCTCCAGCCCAGGGGTACCTCAGAGCCAGCTCATCCAAACTGCCAACTGACTTCCAACTCAGCTGCCCACACTTGCTTCAAACCGAGGAGAATGCTTTCTACAATTTGCTAACAGCAACACTGATCATTATTGATTGTTTACCGGGCATCAGGTGCTGCTTAGCCCCTCACATGTTTATCTCATTGACTCTTTATACTGCCCTATGAGGCGGGGCTGTTATCCCCATTTAACAGATAAGGCAAATAAAACCCAGAGAGGTTAAGATACCTGCCTGATGGCACCCACGGATGGATGAAAAGCCAGGGAGGCCACACTAGGCATCCGTGAAGCTTAACCCCTATGCAGTGGGAGTTCTTAGTAAGGCTGTCCTCCCAGCCCCACTGCCCCTTCCAATCCCCTCCCCAGGGAAATCCTTCCATCCCCAGTCTGTGGTCAAACAGCATTCAGAGATGAGCTAGCTGAAGGAATTGGAGCCTGCGGAGCGTGGGCCTCGGGCAGCCCACTCCCCAAATCTGGCCTCCAAGCCAGCTCCACCTGCCAGTCTCCCGTCCCCAGCCCCATCCCAGCTCTACCTCAGAGCATCACCTCCCACCCCTGCCCTCAGCTCACCAACACCTGCAGGTCCTGCTGGCAGACCAGGCTCAAGAGAGGCCTGGGCCATATATATTTATCAAAGCTCTCAGTGGCTTGGGAACACCAATGAGACTATTATTTGGAGATAAGGCCAGAGACCACCCTTGGCTGCCAGATAGCAGCCCTACCGGCTTCTGTCCCTCCAAGGGGTCCTTGACTGATCCCTGCTGCCCAGCCTCATTGCCCATTGGGCCAAGGCAGGTGGAGCAGAAGAAGGGGTGGTGGCCTCTTAGGTGCCTAAGGAGCCCAGGTTGGGGGCACGGCAGGCATCAGCTAGGGTGAGGGGGCATGGGGGCAGCAGCTGGTGGGCCTGCCTGGCTCATCCTCATCACAGGGGAAGGGGGAGGGAGTGGATGGCAATCCACTCTAGAACATGCAGCGGGGAAGCTGCTGGGCAGGGCAGCAAGGGCAGGTGAGGGGCCAGGTGAACTAGGCCCCTTCCCCACCCTTCCTGAGACCTGCTGCCTGGGGCCTGCTGGCCCTGCTGCCCTGTGTGTTGAAGATAAATGTTCCAGGTGCACCTAGGTCCTCAAGTAGAAGGCAGAGACACTACCCCAGCCTGCTCTGGGCAGCCACCCCGAGAGCCCAGGCCATAGCTGAGGGGGCAGTAGGGTGGGGGGAGGGAGGGGGAGTTGTGGGGAGCAAAGTCACAGATACAGGGGGTGCCCTCCAGGAAAGGAGTTGAATCTGGAGTGGGGGTGGGGAGGGTGGCGGGACTGAAGTCTTGGAGCGGGATTTCAGCCTGGCAGTGGGCCATGGCCCCAAGGGGCATCAGCCACTCATGTGAGGGCACTGACCAGTGCTCTGAGTGGCCACCAGAGGAATGATTCCAGGGCTGATGGATGGGGGTGGGCACAGGGATGGGGGACCTGGGGAAGCAATGATCAAACATACCCACGAAAGCCTTCTGTGAGTGGGGTCCCAGGCAGAGTCTCGGAGGGAATGAGCCTTCTGCGAATTATCTGGGCCCTGGGCAACCAGTCCACGGGTAGATCTGGGAGAAGGGGCAGGAGCAAGCTCTGCTTGAGGTGTCTGTGCAGACCCCCAAATTGGGGCATGTGCTGGTGTGATGGAGTCCAGAAGAACTAAAATGAGACCTGTCCTGAGGAGAGAGCAGCTGGAGGGGACTGGAGTTGCTCCATTTCGTCTGGGCGCTGTGGCTCACACCTGTAATCCCAGCACTTTGGGAGGCCAAGGTGGGTGAATCACTTGAGGCCAGGAGTTCGAGACCAGCCTGGCCAACATGGTGAAACCCTGTCTCTCCTAAAAATACGAAAATTAGCTGGGCATGGTGGTGGTGCATGCCTGTAATCCCAGCTACTCGGGAGGCTAAGGCAGGAGAATCACTTGAACCCGGGAGGTGGAGGTTGCAGTGAGCTGAGATTGTACCACTGCACTCCAGCCTGAGGGACAAGAGCGAAATTCCATCTCAAAAAAAAGTCCCATTTCAACCATGTTAGTGCACAATTCAGTGACTTTAAATACACAATGTCGTGCAACTGAAACCACTGAGATAGAAAAAGTTCTGGAACTTCTTCATCACCCCAGATGGAAATCCCATACCCACCAGTCACTCCTCATTCTCCCCTCCCCCAGCCCCTGCCCGCCACGAATCTGCTCTCTGCCTCTGTAGATCTGCCTGTTTTGGCTGTTTCACGTAAGTGGAATTAATCGTACAATATGTGTCCTTTTGTGTCTGGCGTCTTCATTTAGCATAATGTGTTTCCACTTAGCATAATGTGTTTCGGCTTAGCATAATGTTTTCAAGGTCCATCCACATGGTAGCAGGTATCAAAACGTCATTCCTTCTTATGGCTGAATGCTATTCCCTTGTGTGGAGAGACCGCAGTTTCTCCATTCATCAGTGGATGGACATATGGGTTCTCTCCACCTATTCCAAGTTATCATGAATAGTCCTGCTATGAGCATGCATGTACACGCTTTTGTTTGAAGGCCTGATTTCAATTCTTTGGGATATATAGCTGGGAGTATAAGTGCTGGGTCATATGATAACTCTGCTTAACTTATCTAGGAACCACCAAGCTGTTTCCTGCAGCGGCTGCACAATTTTCCATTCCCACCAGCAGTGTATGAGGGTCCCAACTTCCCTATATCCTCGACAAAGCTTGTGATTGTCTGGGTTTTGTGACAAAGTGGGTGTGCTGGTTCTTGTTTTTTAAAAGATCCACGACTCCCTGCGTGGAGAACAGGGCCTGGAGTGAGGGTCTAGGTTGCCCATTCGTTGCTGGGGGGCCAGAAAGGGTTTTACTGTCACAGCCCTCCTGTGGCCTACAGGCGAGCCTCCCTCTCCTAACCACCCTCCTGCCAACCTCCCCTTTGAAATGGGAGCACTCGGAAGGGACAGCTGGCAGCCTCCTCCCCTGGGCTCTGCCTGCTTCTCCTCACACCGGCTGGTGGTTTGTTTGCCAGTCACTTGTATTTGTTCCTGAACATGTTTCTGACAGTTCACTTGTCATTGTAATTACTGTCGTAATCTAACTAAATGTTATATTACTGATGAATCAGAAGTGCACTAACAAGGAGAGATGTTTCTTATGAAAATTCAGTCTAATGCTTTGAAGGATACTTTACAAATGAGTCACCAAAAATATTGGCAAATTAGGTGTGGGTGAGATGAGTGTAAATAACTGGGTGAGAGAGAATTGTCAGAATCTCAGATGGGTTCCACTTGCTGACCACTTCACATGGCCCTTTAAACTCACCCTCCACTTCAAAGAATCCACAGCTGATGTTGGAGATGATGTTTCATCCCTGTGGATTTCCCAAGGAAAGCAGTTTGGGACTGCAAGAGATGGACCCGTAATAGAAGGAGAGGCCTTGACAGGCACGGTGGCTCACGCCTGTAATCCCAGCACTTTGGGGGACCAAGGTGGCTGGATCACCTGAGGCCAGGAGTTTGAGACCAGCCTGGCTAACATGGTGAAACCCCATGTCTACTAAAAATACAAAAATTAGCCAGGTATGGTGGTGGGCGCCTATAATCTCAGCTACTTGGGAGGCTGAGGCAGGAGAATCGCTTGAACTTGGGAGGTGGAGGTTGCAGTGAGCCAAGATTGTGCCACTGCACTCCAGCCTGCCTAGGGGACAGAGTGAGACTCCATCTCAAAGAGAAAAGAAGGAGAGTCCTTGAGAAAGATCAGTGATTGGCCAGGCACAGTGGCTTGTGCCTGTAATCTCAGCACCTCGGGAGGCTGAGGTGGGCGATTCACTTAAGGCCAGGAGTTCGAGACCAGCCTGGGCAAAATGGTGAGACACCATCTGTACTAAAATCACAAAAATTAGCTGGGCATGGTGGCACACACCTGTAATCCCAGCTACTCGGGAGGCTGGGTCGGGGGAGAATTGCTTGAAACCAGGAGGTGGAGTTTGCAGTGAGCTGAGATCGTGCCACTGCACTCCAGCCGAGCAACAGAGCAAGACCCTGTCTCAAAAAAAAAAAAAAAAAAAAATCAGCATGCTTACTCCTTAGAGGTTAAAATTACATGTGTGTTGTGGGGCTGCCCACAATTGTGCCCCCAAATAGGCATGTTGAAGTCCTAAACCCCAGTACCTGTTAATGCGACCTTATTTGGAAGTAGGGTGTTTGCAGACATAATCAAGTTAAGATGGTGTCATTAGGGTGGGCCCTAATCCATTATAACTATGTCTTTATAAAGAAGAGAAGAGACACAGAGACACACAGGGAGAATGCCATGTGACAACCTATGCAGAGACTGGAGTGACAGGCCAGGCCAGTGGGGAGAACATGAGGACAATGGAACCTGGACTGCCAAGCTCCAGCCCCCAAATCCCTCCCTTCTGGTTCCGGAGGCCCCAGGGTTACTCTCCCGCACACTAACTGCTTTGAAAACCTCATTCCTCAAATCTACTCCATCATGGGTGGCCTGAAGAAGCCTGGACAGGAGGTCCTGGGTGACCTGTGAGGGCATACACCACAGAGCTGGGTGCAAACCTGCAGAGCCAAAACCTGGGGCTCCTGGCTTCAAATCCACCTCTCACCAGTATTTGAGTTCTCTTTCCAGCGGAAAGTCTGCCCGGCCTCAGAGTTGCAGCCAGGAGAGTGGCTCAGAATCCAGCATGAAAACATTTGGAAGACATCAAGGTCCATTTAACCAGCACAAGAGCCCCAGCCTTCTTTGCTGTGTCAATGTGGGCTTCTCCAAGCCTCAGTTTTACTTATCCATGAAGTGGGTGTATTAAGGTAACGTTAAGTGGCTATAACAAAGAGACTCATGACAAATCAATGCCTTAAGGAAGATCATGTCTCTCTCTTGTAACAGTCCATAGTGCACATCCTGGGCTACTGTTCCACATGGAATCCAGGGACCTGGTTCCCTTCACTTTCTTCCTCTCCATTCCTTAGGACATTGTCCTCCTCGTCATAGACAGACACATCACAGGCCCGTCCTTGTTCTGACTCCTGAGAAAGGGAAAGAGAGGGTAAACCAGGAGCCCCACGGTCTGTCAGCCTAAGCCCCTGATGTAAAGAGTTCACATCATTTTTGCTTAATTTCTCCTGGTCACCTGTCCGTTCCCAACTGTAAATGGAGTTGGAGGTGAATTCTGGTCATGTGCCTGGTAGAAATGGGGACCAACTTTGAGGGACAGCCTCAGGCTGTGCAGATATAATGACACCTCCTTGCAACTGTGCAATAGGTACAGCTAGGGTACCTGGCGCCTAGTAAGCCCTCGGTAAAAGTGCTCAATGTTACTGAGCTCAGAGCTCCAAGGGACCTTAGAAACTCTCTGGCCCAACGTCCTCATTTCTTTACAGCTAAAGAAACAGGCCTAGAGAGGAGTGACATTGGCCTGTGTTCCCCATGGGTAAGGAGAAAAGTTGGTTCAGAATCCTATCTGGCCTGCAAACCCCATGCTCACACCTTTTATTTCAAAGTACCTGGTCTAAACCCACTAGGGTCTGGGCAGAGAGCAGGGTCCATATGACCTCTCCCCTGGTCTCCCAGGGTTGGGGGGCATCATTCTAGAGGGACCCTGTGCCCCACAGCAGCGCCCTCGGCTGGGGACCACACAGCTTTATGACTAGGTAGGTGTGGCCCTGGTTTCCAGGACAGGTGGCCAGACTGCTCTGTGACAAAGGGCCACGCCTGCCCCTGGGAGGGGTATTGGGCTGCCGCCCGCAGATGTTGCAGTAGGAACTGAAGAAGATGGCGTGCCTGGGCTTCCTCCTCCCCGTGGGCTTCCTCCTCCTCATCAGCACCGTGGCCGGGGGAAAGTACGGCGTGGCCCACGTGGTGTCGGAGAATTGGAGCAAGGACTACTGTATCCTGTTCAGCTCCGACTACATCACCCTCCCCCGGGACCTGCACCACGCCCCACTCCTGCCCCTGTATGATGGCACCAAGGCACCCTGGTGCCCGGGTGAGGATTCCCCCCACCAGGCCCAGCTCCGCTCCCCCAGCCAGCGGCCCCTCCGCCAGACCACTGCCATGGTCATGAGGGGTAACTGCAGCTTCCACACGAAAGGCTGGCTGGCTCAGGGCCAAGGTGCCCACGGGCTGCTCATCGTGAGCCGGGTCAGTGACCAACAGTGCTCAGACACCACCCTGGCACCCCAGGATCCCCGCCAGCCCCTGGCAGACCTCACCATCCCTGTGGCTATGCTCCACTATGCTGACATGCTGGACATCCTCAGCCACACTCGTGGGGAGGCCGTCGTCCGCGTGGCCATGTACGCACCCCCAGAGCCCATCATCGACTACAACATGCTGGTCATCTTCATCCTGGCTGTGGGCACAGTGGCTGCAGGCGGCTACTGGGCCGGCCTGACCGAAGCCAACCGGCTACAGCGGCGCCGTGCCCGAAGAGGAGGGGGGTCTGGTGGTCACCATCAGCTGCAGGAAGCTGCAGCAGCTGAGGGAGCCCAGAAGGAAGATAATGAGGACATCCCAGTGGACTTCACGCCGGCCATGACAGGCGTGGTGGTCACCCTGTCCTGCTCGCTCATGCTGCTGCTCTACTTCTTCTATGACCACTTTGTCTATGTCACCATTGGGATCTTTGGCCTGGGTGCTGGCATTGGCCTCTACAGCTGCCTGTCACCCCTGGTGTGCCGCCTGTCCCTGCGGCAATACCAGAGGCCTCCGCACAGCCTCTGGGCCTCTCTGCCGCTGCCTCTGCTGCTGCTGGCGAGCCTGTGCGCAACCGTGATCATCTTCTGGGTGGCCTACCGCAATGAGGACCGCTGGGCGTGGCTCCTGCAGGACACACTGGGCATTTCCTACTGCCTGTTCGTCCTGCACCGTGTGCGGCTGCCCACTCTCAAGAACTGCTCCTCCTTCCTGCTGGCCCTGCTGGCCTTTGATGTCTTCTTTGTCTTCGTCACCCCCTTCTTCACCAAAACCGGTGAGAGCATCATGGCGCAGGTTGCCTTGGGCCCTGCAGAGTCTTCAAGCCATGAGAGGCTGCCCATGGTACTCAAAGTGCCCCGGCTAAGAGTCTCCGCCTTGACCCTGTGCAGCCAGCCCTTCTCCATCCTTGGCTTCGGTGACATTGTGGTCCCCGGCTTCCTGGTTGCTTACTGTTGCCGCTTTGATGTGCAAGTCTGCTCCCGTCAGATCTACTTCGTGGCCTGCACCGTGGCCTATGCTGTGGGCCTGCTGGTCACATTCATGGCCATGGTCCTCATGCAGATGGGCCAACCTGCCTTGCTCTACCTAGTGTCCAGCACCCTGCTCACCAGCCTGGCTGTGGCTGCCTGCCGCCAAGAGCTCAGCCTCTTCTGGACTGGCCAGGGCAGAGCTAAGATGTGTGGGCTCGGCTGTGCCCCTTCAGCTGGCTCTAGGCAGAAGCAGGAGGGCGCAGCAGATGCCCACACAGCCAGCACACTTGAGAGAGGCACCAGCCGAGGAGCAGGGGACTTAGACAGCAACCCTGGAGAAGACACCACTGAGATTGTCACCATATCTGAGAATGAAGCCACCAATCCAGAGGACCGCAGTGATAGCTCCGAGGGCTGGAGTGACGCCCACTTGGATCCTAATGAGCTGCCCTTCATCCCCCCTGGGGCCTCGGAGGAGCTGATGCCACTGATGCCAATGGCCATGCTGATCCCACTCATGCCCCTGATGCCCCCGCCCTCAGAGCTGGGCCATGTCCATGCCCAGGCCCAGGCCCACGAGACTGGCCTGCCCTGGGCGGGACTCCACAAGAGGAAGGGTTTGAAAGTAAGAAAGAGCATGTCGACCCAGGCTCCCTTGTGAACTGGAGGCACTGGGACACACGCCTCTCAAAGGGCTGGTGGAACATTGCAGAGCAAAGCCATGCATGGCAACAAGAAATCAGGGTATCAAAGAGATTTCATATCTACCCAAGGAGTCTCTCTGTTTGTCGGGAGTGCAAGAGAGCAGCAACCACATAATAAGAGTGTGCAGGGCTCGAAGGGTCCTTAGGAGTGGGCACCACCCCCAAATAATGAAGGGGGGAAACTGAGGCTCCAAGAGGGCCTATGACTTGCACAAGTTCAAGCGGCAAGGTCGGGATTTGCATCCAGGGCTCACTGGGCAGCTACTCCCCTCTGCCTGCTTGCCCAACCCCTTCCCAATCCAGAGTGGCAGCTTCTTAGCCTGGCACACAGCCCCCATCCCATCCCTGCCACCCACCCTAGGCTCATTGCCCATCTTCTCTCCATGCTCAGGTCAAACAGAACTCCTTGTCCTCCCCACCCGCTCTCTCTGCATATGCTGTTCCCTCCAGCTGGGATGCCCTTCCCTCTCCAGACAGAAACACTCCAGCCTGGCTCCCTGACTCACTAGAAGATTCCGAAGCATCCTTTACTCCTCAGCTCACATCCATTCTGCAAAACGTCTCTGTTCAAGAATCCCAGGCAGCAGCACCAAGCCCAGCAAGTTCCTGTATGCACCACCCATTCCATCTTCAGGCATTGAGTATGCCCCTACTATGTGCATCGCCATGTGGTGGGCACAGGGAAGGCCTCTGTCTAGCTGGGGGAGGGGGAGGGGTGGGCAGACAAGAAACAAACTTAGAATTGTCTCAAAGAGGTCGGGAGGGGTTGGAGAGGTTGGGCCCAGGGTGGAAGAATTCCGGAGACCAAGGCCTCCCTCACTGACTCTAAGTAATGTTCAAGCCTCGTTGGGTCTCTGTAGTCTCATCTGCAAAATGAGACTTATAATACCATTTCCATCTGGAGGCAGGGGCATGGACGAGATGACCTCCTAAGGACTCTACAGGCTTTTAGGCCATGTAGGGTGCTGATGTGTTGCTTAATCAGAGCAGACAAACTCTGGGGTGAGAAGGCTTCCTGGAGGAGGTGTTTTTGGAGGGGAGGAAAGTGTATCCCAAGAGGCGGTGTGGTTCAGTGGTTAGGGTTCTACAGCCAGGCTGCCTACCACAAATCCCAGCCCTACCACTGACTTGGAGTATCTCACTGAGCAAATGACTTATCCATTCAGTGCCTCTGTTTTCTTGTGTGTGAAATGGGATAATAGGACCTACCATCTGGTTCTTAGGAAGTTTGAACGAGTTGGCCTATGTCAGGTGATTGGCACAATGCCCTGCCTGTCCGAAGAGCCCCCTGCACGTGAGCTATGTTTATATTGCTCCCCTAGTGAAAGCCTCACAGACTCAAACCCAGCTCCTACAAGACCTTGAGGTCCCAGCCCAACGGCCCTCTTCCACCCCTCCAAACCCCTACCGCCACAAGCACACGCCAGACCCACCACACCCCCCATGCTTTTTCCTCTTCTTGGAACTCTCTTTCTGCCCCTTCCTTACCACGCCCCGTGAACTTGGCCTGGCTGGCTGCTCCTCTTCGCAGCCTTTCCTAAAGCATCCCTGTCTCAATCACACGACCAGGCACCTTTAGTTTTCCGATCTTCCCCGGTAGAGGGCCAGCTTTGGAAGGGCAGGGGCCTTGCCCATCTTGTTCATCTGTGTAATTTCAGGGCTCAGAACAGCCCCTGGAGTGTTACAGGTGCTTGATGTATTTGCTGGAGGAATGAACGGATGGATGAATGAATGAATGAATGAATGAGGAGTTGACCAGCCTGAACTGCAGAGGAGGGAATGCTATGAGGGAAGGCCCCACTGCCCAGGCCACCTCACAGGCTTCCTGCAGGACCTTGGTCAGTGTTGACGTGAGACTTGGCAGGCCTGGCTGGGCCCTGGAGTGGGGAGAGAGTCCCAGGGAGGCAGTGCAGGTGGTGGGCCTCTCAAAGCCCCGCTTGCCAGGGAAGAAGTGCAGCCTCTCGGTACACAGCAGCTGAAGGCCCGCTAGACAAGGGAAGCTTGGAGAACCCGGCCAGGCCACTGCGGAGGTGTTGGCAGCCCCTCCCACCGGAGCAGTGGCCATCTGGCCTGGACAGAGGGCCCTCCGCAGGCCCTGGCTCAGCCCCAGCCTGGGCAGCCTCCCTGCTGCTGGCCTGCGTCACGGGGCCTGCCGAGGGCAGCTGCACCCTCTGCCAGGCCCGATGGGAAGGGCTGGACAGAGCCGAGGCCTCCTGGGCTCCCTGGCCCCCACATCCCCCAAAGCAGGAGGTCAGGATAAAGGAACTTCTCTTTCCCAGAAATCCAGTCTGAGGGCTCTGAGGATGCAGGCCTGGAGCTCCGCAGGCCTGCAGGGAGGCCAATGCCTACCTCCAAGGAGAGGGGATTCAGGGAGGGTCTGGGTCAGGAGGCCTCCCCCTTCCCGGCATCCAGACCTGATGGGGAGGTGAGGGCCCACACGGCCTGGATCTGCTGCCTCCATCCCTCTTCCCCAACCCCCAGCTTGCTGCACTGTGCTTGGGCAGCAGAACTGAGGTGCTCACAGGGTCCCAAGGCCAGGCCTGGGGTGGACAGCAGCCCAGGGTGCAGTGGCATCACAGTGCCCAGGTAGCTCTCAGCTCTGCTTCTCACTGGGAATTCGTCCTAGTCACCTAAGTTTCACCACCCCCTCCCCCTGCTGGTTCCCTAGTGTGGCCACAGCCAGGACTGACCAATGTCGGGGACCTCTATGAAGGACACCCCAGCTCCAGAGCTCCCGAGGGCTCACTGGGGCCCCAGCCAACCGGCCCCGAGGCCCAGCTTCATCCTCACCTTCCTGCAGACCTCACTCCCTCGCAAGCATCTCCCCTGAGACCACTGCCCAGCACCTCCCACCCAGCATGCTCCTGAGGTTCATTCCCAGGGAGCCCAAGCTAAGACACAGGGACAGCTGCCTTCTACGTGTGAACTGGAAAAACTATGTGAGTCCCCCCACACACCCCTACATCCTCCAAGCTCTTCTGCCCTGCTCAGGAAACAAGTGTGGAGACGGGGCTGGAGGCAGGTGATGGGCAGGACCTTTCTTCTTCCTCCCAAGAATACTCTGCAGCAACTCTGCCCATTTCACAGATGGGGCTGGGCAAGGACTCTGGGTCTAGAGGCAGCTTGAGGGTTTAGAAAGAGGCACCCAAGCACGGCTGCAGGTCAGAATCATTGGGGCACCTGCCAAAAATCTGGATTCCTGGCCCCACCGATTCTGAGTTGACAGGTCTGGGGTGGGACCAGGCATCAACCATTTTGAGGGACCCCCACCCCCACCCCAGGGTGAACACCTTTAGAGTTTGGCTTCAGCCTCTTGTCTTGGCTGGGCCAGGAGGAGATGGGGAGGAGGGAGACCAAGGCTTCAAGGTGCCGGGGGCCCAAGGCAGGTCCTGCCTTCCATCCTGACATACACATTCAGCTGGGGGCCCTGCAGGCTCCCCTCCCTGAGCCCTGGGTACACCTGACCACACCCGGAGGCTCAACCTCCACCTTGCTCCCCTGGCCAATCCCGGTCTGGGGCAGGAGAAATTGAAGCAACTTTACCAACCAACAATCTTCACTTAACCGCCACATTTCTCAACCCCCACCCCACTCTCTAGCATGTCCTCTGAGGCAGACTTTGTCCTGTTTTGTTCATCATGCACTGGACCTGGCACATAGTAGGTGCTCAATAAAACATCTGTTGAATGAATTCACTGGCTGGATGAATGTCCCCCTTACTAGCTGTGTGACTTTGAGGATGCAAAAGTCTCCTTACCATAAAGTGGGCGTAATAACACCTCCTGCCCCAGGGGTTGTGGTAAGTAATAAGCCATATGGGTGAGGAGCTGAGCCCAGTGCCCGGCACAGAGTCAAGTCTCCTAGATCTTGCCCTGCTGCCCCTGCTGTGCCCTCTGATGGCCCAATGTCCCTACTCCTGCCCAGAGGCCTCCTCTTACTCTGCCAGTCCTCTTCCCAGAGGACAGGGCCAACTCCAGGTGTCCAGACCACGCTGCCACCTGCCAGCGGTGCCCAAAGCTGGAAGCCCCTGCCTGAATGCCAGAGGGACACAAGATACTGCGCATGGGCATATACACACACGCATGCACACACATTTGCATACATACATATACACATGGGCACATACCCATGCTGCACACTTCACACACCCCCACACCCCACACCTGCACACATATACACCCATGCGCACATCCACACACATATACCTGTACTGAACACATGCACATGCCCCGTGCACACCTGTTCACACCCAACACGTGCACACACACACACACACCTCTGGGCTCTGACCTGCTGCGTGTGGTTCCCTACAGATCCAGCCTTTCCCCACCAGGCCTTTCCTGGGCTTACAGGAGTGGGGGTGCTGATCCCTGGATTTCCCATCCCAAAGGACAGGGTGGTCAAGGTCCCTCCCTGCAGGCCTACCCCTTTCCTGGTGGAACAGATCCCCCTTCAAGACAGAACTCGCTGCCCAGCTGCTCTGAGGAGTGTGGTTCGAGGACAGCCTCCTGGGGGCACCTCAGCTTTCTAGCCCGGCTCACTCGTGCTCTTCAGGGGAGGGGGCACAAAGGGCCGGTTACTGGCTGAGCAAGACAGGGGCCCAGGCCCTGGCTGTCTCCACCCAGAGTGGTCTTTGCTTTGATCCCATGGGCTGGCAGAGGCAGCACAGGGCTGCATCCCAGGCTGCCGGCTCCCCGTGCTGCAAGCTGCTTCCTCCTGGCTCCACCACTAACCACCACAGCACCTGCTTCCTGGACAGCCTCACCTGTGATAGGTGAACCCTCAGATGAGACCAGGGCAGGAATAGCCTCCTCAAGGCCACCCCCAGGGCCCCAGGTGGCCCAGCCTCAGGGTCGAGCTGTTTTACACAGGCCAACTGGCATTTCTGTCTGTGACCTTGGTAATCCCAGCACCAGCTTTATGAGCATGGGCTTGGTTTTCTTTTGTTCATGAGAGGGTTTAGTACTGGAGCTTCTGGATTTCTGGGACAGTGGGGACCAGCAAGGACCTGTGAGATGATCTCATCCACAGATGAGGAAAGGAAAGCCCAGAGAGGGCCAGGACCTGCCCAAGGTCACACAGCAATGGGACAGCAGAAACGAAATGCAAGTCTGGTCTCCTGCCTCCCAGCCCAGCAGCTGGGACCAGCTCTCATCCTCAACAGCCCCTCCCTCCACACACCCTGGTCTCTGATTTTGTTCCTCTGAAATCACACCTCCCCCAGGAAAACTCTGGGTCTACCCACTCCTGTGCCCTGGGAGGTATAGCCCCACATTCTCCTTGAGAAGTATCTGTGTGTGTTGCTTGATAAAGGTTCAGCATCAATCCGCTTGCCAGCTAGAAGGAGAACACAGCTGGACTTTGAGACCTGGGTTCAAAGCCCCACATTGCTTTCTCTTGTCATGTGATGCTGGACAACAGAAGCCAGCCCTCTGAGCTTCAATTTTCTCATCTGTAAAATGGGCTGCTAAGACTCACCTAATGGTTCGTTGTAAGGATTAAATGAAGTGAAGTATGTGTATGAACAGCTAACACTGGCTAAGCACTTACAGCAGGGCAGATAAATGCATTATCTCATTACGTGTGACCCAGGTTTGGGGAAAAACTTTCCAGGACAGCACCTGACATACCCCCAAATGCCGTCTTCCCCAAATGAGCTCCCGGAAGTGGAGTCATCCTCTTCCCTTGGTCTCCCCTGCCCACGCTCACTGGGATGTGGTGTGTGGGTGGGTGCCTGGTGGTAAGCAGGGCACCACCGCAGAGCCAAGAAAAGGTTTCCCAAATTCCCCCACGTACTGGGTCCTGCAGTTTAACTGAACCACCAACGTTTTGCGCCTTTTTTCCTGCAACCCTGAACCTTGAATGCTCCTGTGCTGCCACCTACTGGCCAGGAAGATAAGAGCAAGCAGGGGCTCATGGAATTTGGGGATAATTATAATCAGTAATGATATTTAAAATATGTTTAATAAACTAGCAATCAGCAGAGTTCTGAAGCCCCTATTGGGCTCAAGGTTAACGCTTTAGAATCTGGGTTGTTAGAAGGGTGAGGTGCCCTGGAGGAGGTTATTTTGATATTTTATTGAATGAAATAGCCCAAAACAGCATCACTGAATGTCCTTAATGCCTAAAGACGGTCCATGCCCTGACACTTACCCCACCCCATAGAATCAGACCACCATGAATAAGTGTCCTCAGGCCCCCCGGTTCCTGGACTATTTGTACGCAAGATGAGGAGACTCCCCATATGGCCCCTCCCCACCCCCACCCCCAGGTCCAGACCCAGTCCTTGCCCCTGGAACGGGACCTGGAAGGGAAGCAGACAGCTGGGGCTGCTGCTGAGAGAACCTTGGGCTGCTAAAATCTGAGACGTTCTGAGTTTTTGTTTTTGTTTTGGTTTGGCTTGGTTTGGTTTGTTTTTTGAGACAGGATCTTGCTCTGTCACCAAGGCTGGTGTGCAGTGGCATGATCACAGCCCACTGCAGCCTCAACCTTCCAGGCTCAGGTGATCCTCCCACCTCAGCCTCCCCAGTAGCTGGAACTACAGGCATGCGCCACCATGCCCTGCTAATCTTTGTGTATTTTTTGTAGAGATCGGGTTTTGCCATGTTGCCCAGACTGGTCTCCTAGGCTCAAACAATCCTCCCGCCTTGGCCTCCCAAAGTGTTGGGATTACAGGTGTGAGCCACTGAGCCTGACCTGAGACCTTGTTCTGAGAAATGCCTTTAAGTAGTATTCCCCAGGCTCCCAAAGACTTGAATGGCAGCAAAGATTGGTGGGGTTTGGGGGATTGCAGTGAGGTCTGAATAATGGTGTTGGCAGAGCCTCCAGTGATCATCCAGAACTGAGGACAGAGAGGGAAAGCAGCCTGCCCAAGGTCAGACAGCAGACCCAGTGACAAGCCCAAGGCAACCGAGAACCTGGAAACTAATGCAGAAACCCTTCGTAAACAGGAGACGCTTTCTGGTTTGCCTTTCAGAGGCTGCTTCATGAAGCCCCCAAATTCCCCCACATACTGGGTCTTCTTAAAGCAGGAGGCCCCTGGGTCCAGAGAGAAAAGAACTCTGAGCAAAACCCTCAGTCCCTCGTCCAGCCTGGACCCAGGCTTGGCCCTGCCTGCAGTTCCTGACTTGACCCAGACACTGTAGTGAACTCAGGCAGGAGGGGCCACACCTGAGAACCCTCACCCATCACAGCCCAGGTTCTCTTCCCGGCTATCCCCCGGGACAGCCCCAGAGCATGAGCCAAGGGAGTCTGGTCTCCACCTACCTTGCTTAATCCTTAAAGCCAGTTGTGACACATTGAATAATGTCCTCCCCCAAAAATTTGGAACCTGTGATCATTACCTTCCATGAAAGGGAGCAAAGGAGAAAGGACTTTGCGGAAGTGACTAAGCGAAGGATCCTGAGATGGGGAGATAATCCTCTATCGTCCTAGCGGGCCCTAAACGCAAGCACATGGGCCCTTATGAGAGAGAGAGGGAGAGAGAGAGAGACAGAGACAGAGGAGAAGCTGGGCGCAGTGGCTCACGCCTGTAATCCCAGCACTTTGGAGCCCAAGGCAGGTGGATCAATTGAGGTCAGGAGTTTGAGACCAGACTGGCCAACACAGCGAAACCCTGTCTCTATTAAAAACACAAAAATTAGCCAGGCATGGTGGCACATGTCTGTAATCCCAGCTACTTGGGAGGCTGAGGCAGGAGAGAAAGCTTGAATCCCAGAGGCGGAGGTTGCAGTGAGGGGAGATTGCACCACCGCACTCCGGCCTTGGTGACGGAGTGAGACTCCATCTCAATAAAAAAAAAAAAGAGAGAGAGAGGACTGGGTGCAGTGGCTTATGCTTGTAATCCCAGCACTTTGGAAAGCCGAGGCAAGTGGATCACCTGAGGTCAGGAGTTCGAGACCAGCTTGGACAACATGGTGTAACCCTGTCTCTACTAAAAATACAAAAATTAACCGAGCATGGTGGTGGGTGCCTGTAATCCCAGCTGCTTGGGAGGCTGAGGTAGGAGAACTGCTTGAACCCGGGAGGTGGAGGTTGCAGCGAGCCGAGATTGCGCCACTGCACTCCAGCCTGGGCAACAGAGCGAAGCTCTGTCTCAAAAAAAAAAAAAAAAAGAGCTAGAGAGAGAGACAGAGGAGACAGCAGGATTACACACATGGAAGTGGAGAAGGCAATGTGGTGATGGAGACAGATTGGAGTGATGTGGCCACAAGCCAAGGACTGCCAGCAGCCAGCACGAGCTGGAAGGGGTAAGGAATGAATTCCCCCTAGAGCTTCCAGAGGGAACACAGCCCTGACCCCTTGATTTCAGCCCAATGATCCTGATTCCAGACTTCTGGCCCCCAGAGCCGTGAGAGGGTATATTTCTGTCGTTTGAAGCCATCAGGCGTGTGATCATCTATACAGCAGCCACAGACGCGAATCCAGGGTTCAACAGACATCTGTGGCACAGGCTGCCCTTGCGCCCAGAGCTGTGCCTGAGAAGTAAATGGCTCACAGAGCAGACAAGATGAAGACATAACCCAACCACAAAAGCCCCCTGGCCCGCCGGGTATACTTTCCTGCAGGGGAAAGGTGGGCACAGGGGAGTCAGGGAAAGAGAGGCGAGAACTGGAGTCTTGGCTGCAACAGCCAGTGAGTGCATTCTCAGTTCAAGCCACTGCACTGGGCTCCAGGGACTTCTTTCCACTGTTATTGATTGCACTCTAGAGGAAAATTGGAAAGCACAGGAAAGTAGAAAAAAAAATCCACATTACTATAAGCTTTTGTTTTATTTCCATCCAGTCATTTGTTTTCCCCACGCATAAGGGTTTGGTTTTGTTTTTATTTTTTTAATTGTGGTAAAATACACATAACAAAATTTATCAAAGTGTACAGCTCAGCAATATTATTGAATACACTTACAATGTTGTGCAACTAGCACCACCATCCATTTCTAGAACTCTTCATCTTGTCAAACGAAATTCCATACCCACAAACAATAACTCTCATGCCTTCCTCCCCAGCCTCTGGCAACCACCATTCTACTTCCTGTCTCTATGATTTTGACTACCCTAAGTGCCTCATATAAGTGGAATCACACAGAATTTGTCTTTTTGTGACTGACTCATTTCATTTAGCATAATGGCCTTAAGGCTCATCCATGTGGCAGCATACTGCAGGATTCCTTTCCTTTTTAAGGATGAGTAACATTCACTGTGTGTATGCACCACATTTTGCCTAGCCATTCATTCCTCTGTTGGTGGAAACTTGGGTTACTATAAACATTGGTGTGCAAATATTAGATAGTGCAAAATTTATTGTGGTTTTTGCCATTACTTTCAATATCTCTGAGGCCCTGTTTTTAGTTCTTTGGGTTATATACCCAGAAGTGCAATTTCTGAATCACATGGTAATTCTATGTTCAATTTTTTGTTTATGTATGTATGTATGTATTTATTTATGTATGTATGTATGTATGTATGTATTTATTGGGAATGGGGTCTTGCTGCATTGCTCAGGGTGGTCTCGAACTCCTGGGCTCAAGCAATCCTCCCTCAACCTCCCAAGTAGCGGGGATTACAGGCATGAGCCCCTGGCTTTATGGTGTTTGTTTGTTTGTTTGTTTGAGACAGGGTCTTGCTCAGTAATCCAGGCTGGAGTGCAGTGGCACGATCACTGCTCACTGTAGCCTTGACTTCCTGGGCTCAAGCAATCCTCCCACTTCAGTCCCCCAAGTAGCTGGAACTACAGGTGCACACCACTATGCATGGCTAATTTTTTTTTTTTTTTTTTTTAGTGGAGATGCGGTCTCACTATGTTGCTCAGGCTGGTTGTGAGCTCCTGAGCTCAATCGATCCTCCTGCCTCAGCCTCTCAAAGTGCTGGGATTACAGGTGTAAGCCACGGTGCCCAGCCTCTGTTTAATTTTTTAAGAGATTGCCATACTGTTTCCATAGAGACTATAGCATTTTACATTCCCACCAATAGTGCACATGTGTTCCAATTTCTCTACATCTTCATCAATACCTATTTTCTGGTTTTGGGTTTTTGTTGTTGTTGTTTGTTTGTTTGTTTGTTTTGAGACAGAGTTTCGCTCTTGTCGCCCAGGTTAGAGTACAGTGGCACGATCTCGGCTCATGCAACTTCCACCTCCTGGGTCCAAGCCATTCTCCTGCCTCAGCCTCCCAAGTAGTTGTGGTTACAGGTGTGCACCACCACGCCTGGCTAATTTTTGTGTTTTTAGTAGAGACAAGGTTTCACCATGTTGGCCAGGCTGGTCTCAAACTCCTGACCTCAGGTGATCCATCTCCCTCAGCCTCCAAAACTGCTGGGATTATAGGCATAAGCCACCATGTCCAGCCAATTTTCTGGGGTTTTTTTGTATTGTTTTTTTGTTTTTTTTTTTTAATAGCAGTCTTCTTAATAGATATGAGGTAATATCTCATTATAGTTTTGATTGGCATTTTTCTAATGCTCATTTTTCCATGTGCTTATTGGCCATTTGTCTTTTTAAATGGAGAAATGTATTTTCAAAACCTTTGTCCTTTTTTGAATCAGGTTGTTTGTCTTTTAGTTGTTGAGTTTTAGAAGTTCTCTATATATTCTAAATATTAATCCTTTATCAGATATATAATTTGCAAATATTTTCCTCCATACTGTGGGTTGCCTTTTTACTCTGTTGATAGTGTCTTAGGATTAACAAAATTTTTTTAACTTTTATGAAGTCTAGTTTTTCTTTTTTATGAAGTCTGTTGTCTGTGCCTTTGGTGTCATATCTAAGAAATCATTGCCAAATTCGATGTTGGTAAGCTTTTGCCTGATGTTTTCTTGTAAGAGTTCCATGCATAGGTTTATTATTTGTTCATTTCAGTCCCAAGATGTCATCTGTCACCCAGGCCATCTGAATCCTTGTTAAAGAAAAGGGCACAACTGTTCTTTGTCATGTCCATCCAGCTGCAGGACTTCTGATACCTCCCTACCATTTGTCAAACCAACCCCAACTCCTCAGCCTGGTGTTTAAGGCCATCTGCATCCAGCCTTCCCTCCTGACTGGCCTTCCCTCCACTGGCCCCTATACATCCTGTTCACATGGCTCTTCTCACACGCTCACCCTTGCTCCGTGCCTCTGCTCACCTGGAATGAGCTTCTTCCACCTTCCTCTAATTCCTATAAACAAGAATCCACTGAGACAGTCCACATTCCAGGGCCCCTGTGCTGGGCCCTGTCCAAGGTCCTGGAGATGAACATAAACAAGATGTGAGAGTGGCGGGAGAGGGTCATGGATGCATTCTCTTTAAGACTCTTTCGGCTTTGAAGAATAAGAAACTGCTCAAAGTAGCTTAAGCCAAAAGAGAAGCATATTTGAAGGGACACAGGAATTTCTCAGAACAGAAGGGCAAACAGCCCAGTCAGGGCTCATGGGAACTGGGAATTAGAAAGCTTTCTGCCTCGCCGAGCTTCATAATCTCTGGGCCTCCACTTCCTCTTCTCCCCTCCCTGGGCTGGCTGCCTCTGCTCACCCATTTTGCCCTTGTCTCGTCATGCCACTGGCCCCCAACTCCACGTCATTGCCTCTCAGCCCAGGGGTCACCAACAACAGGCAACGGTGTCTATGCAGCCACATTTCAGACTCTCTCGAGAGAATCTACCTGGCTTCCACACTCTCTAGGGACCCTATTTGTTTGGCATCCTGTCACTGACTGTGGGTGAGCCCATGGGTCCCTGACTCAGGTGCCCACCCCAGGTCCAATCAGCTGTGGCTGGAGAGGGAGGGTGAGGAAGGCAGGGGCCACTGGATCACAAGGTTGTTCTTCCTGGAGATTGCTTCTCCCGGATCAGAGTCTGAATTTTATCAGGATCCCTGGGTGAATCATGGGCAGATTAAAGTGTAAGAAGCAGGCCGGGTGCAGTGGCTCAGCCCTGTAATCCCAGCACTTTGGGCCAAGGCAGGAGGATCACTTGAGGTCAGGAGTTCGAGACCAGCCTGGATAACGTGGCAAAACCCTGTCTCTACTAAAAATACAAAAATTAGCCAGGAGTGGTGGTGCGTGCCTGTAATTCCAGCTACTCAAAAGGCTGAGGCAGGAGAATCACTTGAACCCAGGAGGCAGAGGTTGTAGTAAGCCGAGATTGTGCCACTGCACTCTACCCTGGGCGACTGAGACTCTGTCTCAAAAAATAAATAAATAAGTGAAAACAAAAATAATAAAGTGTAAGAAGTGCAGCTGTGGAGCTGCGGTTCTCCGAGAGTGGTCCCTGATCCAGCAGCCTCTGCATCACTGGGCAACTTGTTAGAAATGCAGATTATGGGCCGGGTGCGGCGGCGCATGCCTGTAACCCCAGCACTTCCGGAGGGCGAGGCGGGTGGATCACCTGAGGTCAGGAGTTCAAGACCAGCCTGGCCAACATGGTGAAACCCCGTCTCTACTAAAAATACAAAAAATCAGCCTGGCATGGTGGCGTGTGCCTGTAATCCCAGCTACTCGGGAGGCTGAGGCAGGAGAATCACTTGAACCTGGGCGGCAGAGGTTACAGTGAGCCAAGATCACACCACTGCATTCCAGCCTTGGCAACAGAGTGACACTCTGTCTCAAAAACAAAAGAAACAAACAAACAAAAAAATGCAGATTATGAAGCCCTATCTTAGACCTGCTGAATCTGAAACTCTGGGGGTGGGGCCCAGTCCTTTGTTTTCACAGCCCTCCAGGTGACTCAGATGGGCACCAAAGTTTGAGAACTATTGCCCTAAAGCAGGGATTGGCAAGCTTTTCCTCTAAAGGGCTAGATGGTAAATACTTTAGACTTGGTGGCCTCAACTCTGCTGTCATAGCACTTAAGCAGCCATAACAATAGATAATAAAGAATAGGCACATGTGGCAGGCAGGATTCTCAGGCAAGTCTGGGCCCTTTTTGATTTTTGCTGCCATGTCTTGGCTGACCTCAGTTTCTGGACTTCTGGTTTCTGCTTGACTTGTCATCAAATGACCTTTGTTCTCTCATGGATCTAACACTTGCTCTTCTTGTCTTTATTGGGAGCTCACCTCTCCAGTCTGCCCACAGCTCCCACATGGCTGCCTGGTGGCCAGCACAGCTCAGAAGCATGGGTGACGGGTAGGAAGTGTTGTAGGAACAACAGGTTTGTATGCCCACTGTGCGCTAACAGACCCAGTAACTGAGACAGCAGCGTTGACAGGGAGAAAGAGTTTAATGATCGCAGGGCACCAAGTGAGGAGATGGAGACCCTCAAATCCATCTCCCACAGTAGTTTTGGGTGAGGTCTCTAAGGGGATTGTGGAGGGTGAGCTAGTGAAGAACTGGGGCTGTTGACTGGTTGGATCCTTTCAAGAATCATGAGTTTCAGTGCCCTGGTTGGTTCCTACCTGCGCTCATGCCCCACGGTTGGTATAACAAATTTCCACAAACCAGGTGGCTTAAGACAACAGACATTTCTTTTCTCCCCATCTGGAGCACAGAAGTCTGAAGTTTAGGTGTGCCCAGCAGGGCTGTACTCCCCATAAAGGCTCTGGGAGGAGTCCTGTGTTTCCTCTCCCCACCTCTGGTGACTTTAGGCACTCCTTGGCTTGTGGCAACATCGCTCCAATTTCCACCTCCACTGATATGTGACCTCCTCCGCACCTTTGCGCATTTCAAATCTCCCCCTGCCTTTCTCTCATGGTGCACTTGTCACTGGATTTAGGGCCTGCCTGGAGATCCAGGATGATCTCATTTTGAAGCTCTTCACTAATTACATCTGCAAGACCCATTTTCCAAATAAGGTCACATCCACAGCTTCCTGTGGACATCTATTTGGTGGTTGAGGCACACTATTCAAACCCTTACACCACCCTCCCCATCAAACACACAGGACCAGACTAGGGACAATTGGTGTCTCCACTCCACCTCCATCCTAATCAGAACTACAAAGGACAAGGTTTCTGGTCATCCCCATACTACAGCCAGAGCCAGAAGAACATCTGAGAAATAAGGCATGGCCCCTCTTCTCCAGGAACCCATGGCTCAATGGAAGCAGAGCTGCCAAGAGGAGTGCCATATTTCTACCCCACTATGGCAGTGCCTACCCCTGCCCACTAGCTCCTTTCAGGTTCTGGAGCTATGCCCAGAGGATGAGATAACGCCCACGGGGAGCCGGAGCATCCTGGAGAGCATCCCATCCTGGATGGATGGGTCTTGCAGGGCGCCCAGTGATCCTGACACACACACAAACTCCCTTCTGCAGCTTCCGTTCTCCTAGTGCAGGAGATTTTACAGTTGCCAGGATGGCAATTAGGAAGGGAACGAGCAGCCAAATGGCGCATTCTTGGGCCCCGCAGCCAGCATTCTGTGCTGCCCGTCTCAGTGCCAGGAGGATGAGACTTTCCAGAAAGCAAGCTATGTCCAGACAAGATCCATCCTGAACATTAGCTCAGCAACAATGAGGGAAATGAAGAGTAAGCAGGCCTGGCCTGCTGTGCTTCTCTGACAGATGCTGATAAGAATGGTCCAGCTGGGGACTGCTATACATGGGCCCAGGGAAGAGAGAAGCAGCTGAGAGTTAAGGAGAATTGAGGACAGAGCGTCATGGCAGGAATAAGTAAATAGGTTAGACTTGGGTTATCTTCCCAGATCTGCTACTAATTCGCTGTGCAAGCTTGGAAAGGTTCGAAAAGAACCCCTACCAATCGTTAGAAAAACAAATAATCCAACAGAGAAAATGATGGGCAAAGAATTTGAATAGGCATTTTACATAAAAAATACAGATGGTCCAAAAAATATGAAAAGATGTTCTATCTTCCTAGTCATTAAGGAAGTAAAATTTAAAATAACCAGAACACTAGTCAAAAAAGTAGTGACATCTGAATTAAGTCCATAGTTTAATTAATAGCATTGTTCCAGTGTTAATTTCTTTGTTTTGGTCACTGTGTGTCCACAGTCGGTTCCTTCCAGTGGGTTCGTGGTCTTGCTGACTTCCAGAATGAAGCCTCGGACCCTCGCAGTGAGTGTTACAGCTCTTAAAGATGGCACGAACTCAAAGAATAAACGCAAGATTTACTGTGAAGACTGAAAAGCCAAAGAATAAACCTGCCACAGCGTTGAAGGGGACCCAAGCAGATTGCCGCTGCTGGCTGGGAGAGGCTGTGTTGGGTGGCGGGGATGGGGTTGGCCAGCTTTTATTCCGTTATTTGCCCCCGCCCATGTTCCATTTCTGTCCTATCAGAATGCCCTTTTTTCAATCCTCCCCGCGATTGGCTACTTTTAGGATCCTGCTGATTGGTGTGTTTTAGAGAGCGCTGATTGGTACATTTTACAGGGTGCTGATCGGTGCGTTTTACAGAGTGCTGACTGGTGCATTTTACAATCATCTTGCTAGCTACAGAGTGCTGATTGGTGCATTTTTACAGGGTGCTGATTGGTGCATTTTACAGTCCTCTTGCTAGCTACAGAGCGCTGATTGGTGCATTTTACAATCCTCTTGTAAGACAGAAAAGTTCTCCAAGTCCCCACTCACCCAGAAAGTCCAGCTGGCTTCACCTCTCAATTGTATTGTGGTTAGGTAAGATGCTCACATTAGGAAAAGCTGGAGAAACGGTCTGTGAGAACACTGTATCTTTATAACTTTCTGCAAGCCTAAACTTATTTCAAAATGAAAAGGTAGGCCACGCATGGTAGCTTGCACCTGTAAAAATCCCAGCATTTCAGGAGGACATGGCAAGAGGATTGCTTGAGTCCAGGAGTTCAAGACCCAGCCTGGACAACATAGTGAGACCCCGTCTCTACTAAAAAAGAAAAGATAAACAACAATAACAGAAAACAACAAAGAAAACTGTTTACCCATCTGATACAAAGTTTTTTGGAGAGCACTTTGGCAGTTTGGATTACCGTTTCACTGTGTGTGCCCCTTGACCCAGGAATTCCACAACTTGGTATTCACCCTCCACAAATCCTTGCACTTGTATTCAAAGAGATGTGGCCAAGGGTATTTGTGATAGCCAGGAGCAACCTAAATGACCACCAACAGGGAAAAGTTAAATGATACAGCGTAACTAACCATGAACTACTATGCAGCAGGTAGAAAGAATGCCATATGCTATGTGAGCAAAAATGCAAAGGTTTCCAAAGCAAAAAAGTAAGCTGCAAAACAATATATACGGTATGATCTTATGGATGTAAAGGAAAAGCACAAATAAAGCCATACATCTCTAAATGTATGTATACAAATGTACGTGCCCATCCAAAGTCAGGAAAGATCTCCCCAACATCCCATTAGCCAGAGTTCCCTCTGGAGAGGGCAGTGGGACTGGAGATTGGAATAGATAGGACAGGCGGAGGTCATGACGAAGACTCACTTTTTCTGTATTCTTCAAATTTTTAACAATAAGACTTTCATGTATTATTTGTGCAGTGTTTGTTGTTGTTGTTTTGGGTTTGTTTGTTTGTTTTTTTGTTTTTTGAGACAGGGTCTCGCTCTGTCGCCCAGGCTGGAGTGCAGTGACGCAATCATGGCTCACTGCAGCCTCAATCTCCTGGGCTCAAGTGATCCTCCCACCTCAGCCTCCCGAGTAGCTGGGAGATGCGTGCCACTGCACCCAACTAATTTTTTTTGTAGAGACAGGGTTTCACTATGTTGTCCAGGTTGTATTTTTTTGTAGAGACGGGGTTTCACTATGTTGTCCAGGTTGATCTCAAACTCCTGAGCTCAAGCAATCTCCCCACCTCAGCCTCCTAAGGTGCTGGGATTACAGGTGTGAGCCACCAACAGGTGCTAACCTTCTCCGGCATGCAGTTTTCTTGTTTTTAAAATAGAGTTGGGGCAGGGCCCCCCGAGAGGCTGCTTCCAGCTCTGACTTTCTCTTTACCATGAAGCTGAGGTTGTGTCCTATTATGCCCTCTTTCCACACTCCCCCTCCCCACTCTGCAGCACACTGGTCCAACCAGCTGGCTTCTCTCTATTCCTCAAATTTTCCAGCTCATTCCTGACGTAGGGCCTTTGTCCTGTGGTCGCCTCCACTGGCAAGCTCTTCCCACAGCCTCAGATAGCTGGCTCCTTCTTACCGTGCATAGCTCAGCTTAAAGTTCACCTCTGCAGGGAGGCCTCCCTGACTGTGCAGAGTAACAACAAGGTGGGAGAGAAGGGCAGAGCTGAATCAGAAAGGGCCTGTGGACTAGAGTGAGGAGTTAGGGGTTCAGCCTCAGGAGGGTTTGAAATGCTCAAGGAGGAGGCTAGGAGATGAGGAGTGGGGCTGGGCTGCCTCTGCACATCATCAAAGCCAACACTCAGTCTAATCCAAATCTTGCTAGAGCATAGAACATAAGGTAGAATGAGTCTTTAAGCAACTGGGAGTCATCTCGAGGTAAACAGAACTCCAAGAGTAACGAAGGCCCAGAGTGAATTTATTTTGAGAGAGTTTCCTGTTGGAGTAGCAGACACTCTGCAGTAGTGTTTTTCTCTCTCCTGGGTGGGACTGCCCTGCCTATATGCACTTAAGGCATAGAGTTTCCTGTTCTTGCCTCTTCTCAGAGCCTTGCATTGAAACTCAAATGTATTCTCAGAAATTTCTCTCCACACAATGACATATCGCCTCTGTGCTTTTACTCTCTTTGTCTTTCTCTTTCTCTCAACCATTGTTTTCCACCCATCCTCTTTTTCCTAAACTTCTTAAGATTGTTGGCCATTTCCCTTTCTCCCTCCCCTCTCTATGTTTCTGTGTGAGATCTGCCATCCTTTAACCATTCCTCTTCCCCGGGGTAGCCGGTTGTAGCTGATCCTGCCCACCCTTTCCGGTGGTCTCTCAGCCTGGCCACACCTTCCACGGCTGGGCCCCCCTCACCTGCTCACAGCTGGATTCCCCCAGGCTGAACCCCCAGACCAGCTTGCAGGGCTTCCTCTCTCTTCATTCTTCCCACAAGCCTAGCCAAGAGCTTAACACTCACCAGATGCAAATGGTTAAGTGCAACTCGCTTGGGAAGAGGGGGTGTTGTTGGTTCATAACGAACTGCAGAGGGCGAGGGGCAGGGAAAGCTCCAGCCATGACTCAAACCCCATCGGGCATCTCTCCCCTCCTGTTTCTGTTTCTCTCGGGTGGGCTTTCTCTGGAAGGCTAGAACCATGGACACTGCAGAGTGAGGGTTCATTCCTTCCCAGCTTGGCCATCTGAGAGTAGAGGAGCCTCTTCCTCCAGTTCCAACTAGAAAAATCCCAGGGGTCGGCCAAGCTTGGATCACAGGCTCACTTGCACAGCCAGAGGGATGGCCACCATAGTAGAAGACCCTGACCAGAACCACATAGGGGTATTTCTCCTAAAGACAAGGACATCTATGCTCTAGAAAGGGGAAAAGAGTCCCAGGCAGACAAAACAACAGGTGTCCACACTGCCCCATGTTCAGCCTGGGAACCCAAAAGTCTCAATCAATTTCGAAAGCTTATTTTGCCAAGGTTAAGGAAGCACCCATGACAGCCTCAGGAGGTCCTGATGACACATGCCCCAGGTGGTCGGGGCACAGCTTGCTTTTATACATTTTAGGGATACGTGAGACATCAATCAATATGTGTAAAATGTACATTGGTTCTGTCCGGAGAGGTGGGACAACTCGAAGCGGGGAGCCTTCCAGGTCATAGGTAGGTAATAGACAAACAGTTGCATTTTTTGGGGTATTTGATCAGCCTTTCACCAAATACACAATTTACATATGAGAGGGGATAGAGGAATAGTCCCTTATGCCTTAATGTGGCTCAGTGAATCTGCATTTTTACGTAAACAATAGGGCAGAGGAAGCAATTGGATATGAGTTTGTCTTGGGTGAGCAAAAGAATGACTTTGAGTTCTGTCCTTTGTCCCATACCTGTGAAGATAAGCTATCAATTTACATTGCCAGGGTGAAATTCCACAGAACTGTTTTAGGGTAAAGATCTTGAGGCCCACAAGGAATTTCTTTGTGGACAAATTGTGAGGGGGGTATGGAGCTTTTTAAAAAAATCTTTGTAGCTATCTTACTTAGGAATTAAATGAGAGGCAGTTTGACTGACACACTTCCTGGCTTGACTTTTCCCTTTGGCTTAGTGATTTGGGGGTCCCGAGACTTAACTTTCCTTTCACAAGCCCACATGGCCTGGTCTTGGTGTGTGTGAAGACAGGCTTCTCGGCAGGCAGGTGAGCCCTTGGGAACACGAGCTGCTTCACTTCCCCACCCAGTTGCTGTCTTCAAGAGCAAGTGCTGGCTCCAACAGCCCCTCCTGCAAGGCATTCACTTCTAAGGCACCAGAACCCTTGGAGCTGCCAAGTCTGACTTTTGTCAGCAACAAACCCATACAGGCGAAAGTCATTTTTTATTTTAAACTGTCAAATCTGGGGGCCGATTGTCTCAGAAATGCATCATTTGAATACAAAAGATGGGCTCACACTTCTCTCTAGGATGCTGCTTCTTGAAGAATCATAGTTATTTTTTAGAGCTAAGACCCTTAGAGGTCTTCTATTCCAACCCCCTCATTCTTACAAACAAGGCAATGGGCATAGAGAGGTTGAGCATTTTGCCCAGTTATACCAGATAGTAAGAAGCAAGGGCAATAAGGGAATCCAAAAGTACTAACTACTTAACTAATCCTAACTACTAGGTAGTTAGTAAGTAGTCGGGCAATAAGGGAATCAACACTAGGGGTTTCCATCTGATATTTGCAAACCAGTTCAGAGAAAAACGTGGTAACAAACAATTCTCCTGGTAAAGTGTGCCTCACTTTTTTTTTACTATTTTTTTTTATTTTCGTAGAGACAATGTCTCACTATGTTGCCCAGGCTGGTCTCAAACTCCTGGGCTCAAGCAATCCTCCCACCTTGGCCTCCCAAAGTGTTGGGATTACAGATGTGAGCCACCACGACCAGCCTCACTTTTTTTTTAAGGCTTCAGATTTAAGCCATAGATACTTTTAAACTATATTAATATTAAATCTTAACTTTTCTCTCTTGTGAATTCATCTATAAAATGCTTCATCCTTGTATGTGATTGATCTTCAGTGGTCATGAATCCCAGCTTTACATTTCTCTGGCCATCACCACTACCTAGGGCATTTCGGGACCTGTAAATAAACACTTCAGGGCACCATGGGAATGACGGCTAAAGGAGTTCTTTGTAAAAGGTTCCCTTCAGCCACTGGTCACTCTACCTGGTTAATCTAGTTCGGAGTTTCACGCTTGTCTTCCTCAAAGAGGAATACACCCTTATATTTATAATCGTTCAGTATAATTTTTCTTCTTTAGTTGGTTCTTAATTTTGTTTTCATATTCCAAACCCAAAGTCACCAGCCCTAACTTGCAAGAGAAAGAAGTTACTGTGGATGAACAAGCAAAGCACGTGGGGCCCAAGATGCTATTGTTGGACACAAAAGCCCTTCTATGGCTTTGGGAGAGCCAATCCCCCATCACACAGCGCAGGAAGAAGGGCACTCACTGTGCTCACGCTCTGTGCAGCCCTCCTGAATTTGTAAACAACCCAAACGTTACACAAACAAGTTGTTGTTTTTCTTAGCTTGCTGGTGTTTTTAACTCAATAAAATGTCAATTAACTTCGTGAGCTTTCCTTTAACTCTATATAATCTTTGCGTTTGAATGGCTGCCAATCAAACGCAAAGATAGATGTTTTCTTTGAATATGGGCCAATTTCCGTGTATGCACCTTGTTGTCAGGATCAGCTAGATTATGGTGTAGTAACAATGTCGATATCTCAATGGCTTGACAAAAGTTTGGTTTCCGCTCATGCTACGTGTTCTGTGAGATCAGTGGGGAGCTCGGAGTTTCCACAGTTACCAGCAAACGGAGAGAATTCTGGAGGGCCTCGAACAGGCAAGCAAATGATCTAGCCCGGAAGTGATGTTTGTCACTTTCCTTCACATCTCATTGGTCTGAACTGGTCACATGACCCCAGGCAACCCCAGAGGGCCAGGAAATTCGGGCTCCTTGTGCTTGCCAGGAAAGGAGAGTGGCCCTGTTGAAACCGCCTGTGACTGAGACAGTGAAAGAAATTTGACCTAACCAACTCCATCTTGCTTCTAGCCTCCAAGTTGTCCTTGTTCATTCCTAGGCACAGGCTGAACTAACTTTGGGAGGAGATTATTATAGTTTATAGTTTAAAACAAAGACAATAACAGCACTTTCCCAAAAGAAATTTCCTTCTTGCCTGAGGACTAAACTGCCTTTGTAGGACTGACAAATTAGCCACAAGATTAGAAATTATGCTTTAGGAGTCATGCAGCTGAAAGCTACAAGATTCTGACCCTCCTTAAACTGCTCCTAAGATCAGTGTTTGAGACATTTTGCAGACCCTGCACTTGATGGATCAGCTGGCACCACCCAGATCAATTAAATGGCTCATCTGATCTTGTGGCCCCCGCCCAGGAACTGACTCAGCGCAAGAGGACAGCTTCAATTCCCTATTACTTCATCTCCTACCTAACCAATCAGCACTCCTGGCTCACTGGCTTCCGCCCCACCAAGTTGTCCTTAAAAACTCTAATCCCCGAAACCTCAGGAAGACTGAGTTGAGTAATAATAAAACTCTGGTCTCCCCCACAGCTGGCTCTGGGTGAATTACTCTTTCTCTACTGCAATTCCCCTGTCTTGAGAAATCAGCTCTGTTTAGTCAGCAGGCAAGGTGAACCCACTGGACGGTTACACTGTTGCTCAGCACAGAACTCAGTGTACCCACAACGCTGCACGCCAGAATCCCACCTTCATACCAGGTCCAGGTAACAGCATCTTTGAGGAGAGCCCAGAGCTGAAGCAATTAGTCAAAGGTTTAAGTACCAATTATGAGAGAGGCCCTGGACAGGACTGAGGAGTAAGGAATAGGTATTTAGACCAAAGTGATAGAGGTGCTATAGCATCTAGTGGGTAGAGGCCAGGGGAACTGCTACACATCCTACAACACACAGGACACCCCCACAATAAGACTTACATGTGGCTGGGCACAGAGACTCATGTGTGCAATCCCAGTGGTTTGGGAGGCCAAGGTGGCAGAATCACTTGAGGTCAGGAGTCTGAGACCAGCCTGGGCAACATAGCAAGAACCTTCTCTACAAAAGTAAAAATAAAAGTTTGGGCGCTGTGATTCACGCCTGTAATCCCAGCACTTTGGTAGGCCAAGGCAGGAGAATCACTTGAACTCAGAAGGCCGAGACCAGCTTGGGCAACATGGCAAAACCCTGTCTCTAAAAAAAATACAAAAAATTAGCGGGCATCGTAACACAAGCCTGTAGGCCCGGCTACTTGTGGGGCTGAGGCGGGAGGATCGCTTGAGCCTGGGAGGTCAGGCTGCAGTGAGTTGATATCGTACCACTGCACTCCAGCCTGGGTGACAAAGTGAGACCGTGTTTCAAAAAAATATAAAAAATAAAAAAATTAGCTAGGCATGGTGGTGCCCACCTGTAGTTCCAGCTACTCAAGAGGCTGAAACAGGAGGATCACTTTAGCCCAGGAGTTCAAGGCTGCAGTGAGCTATGATCCCGCCACTGCGCTCCAGCCTGACCTACAGAGCAAGACCTTGTCTCTAAAAAATTTTTTTTAATTTAAAAAACAAAGATGCATGTGGTCTAAAATTGTGCCATGGTCCAGAAATTCTAGATCAGAGTAATGCAAAGTTCACATTTTGGGGGTCGGGGAAGCAAAACAAAAACAAAAATAAATCCCCAAAACACAACAAGCAAAAACATCTGCCTGGAGTTCCACCCCTGAGTGCTGGATTAGCGACCAGGCCACAGCTGCCCTTGTAAGAGGCACGCAGGAGGCCCATGAGGTGAGCTGCTGCAGGGCCTTGGGCACGGCCAGGGACCGGGTACGGGTTACCACTGGCCTTTACTCTCCAAATGTCAGGAGCACTACCTCCCATCAGTGACAACTAAAAATGTCTCCAGACATTAACAAATGTCCCGGGGCAAAATCTCCCCAGGTGAGAACTCTCCTCTAATAGAACTTCCAAGTTGGCCCCGCAGGCACTATTTTGGTGCAGAGGAACCCGTCAAGCTTGACTTTAAATCTGGCTCTGCCACTAAATCACCCAGGGCCTTTCCTCTTTGGGCCCCCGTTTCCCTGTCTGTAAAATGAGAGGATTGAACAGGGCAGTCCCTAGAGTCTGTTCAGAAGTTCTCAGACTGGGACTTGGGTTCTTGCACTTTTCATTTTGTCACTGTTGATGTCATCACACACACACCCACGCACAGAGTGGAGTGAGGATTTCGGCTGCACAGCAGGATGGCCCAGATGATAGGAGGAGGCAGGGGGCGATCACTGGCTGGGAGGATGGCTGGGAAAAGAGGAGGAAGGGGAAAGGCACGCGAGGTCACAAATGCACCAAAAGGCATTTCCTGGCCTAGCCCTGTGCCTCCCTTCTAAAGAGCCATCACAGGACCTAAGGAATAAGAGACAGAGAGGGACTGGTAAAGGATTTTGGGAGGAGAAGTTAAGAGGATAAACAGCAAGCAGTATATACCCAGAAAAGTGCAATGTGCCCAAGAATAGGAGGGAAGTTTGTGGGGTGTGTGTGTGTGGGTGTGTGTGTGTGTGTGTGTTTGTGTGTGTGTGTGCTGTATCCTTGCTATTGGCAAGAAGAATTGAACAGCTTCAATTCAGTTTGAATCAGCCTGTAGCTTAGGAAAAAGTCATTATCGAGGGATTATTGAGTTTGCTGATCTCTTACCGGCCTCTTGCCCCTTGTTCAGTTGTAATCAAAAGACAGGGGTGGGAGGGGGGAAAGGAAGAGATGCCCCCTGCTCCTTAACATTCACGTTTCCTTCTGGTCCATCTCAGAATGCAATAAAGTTTGACAGTGACCTTGAAAGGGAGTGAGTGTTATTTAATAAAAGGCTGTTCAGTCTAAACAATGATTCAGGACTTTTTGAAAGCCAGAAGAGACAGCCTGAATGCCCTTTTCCATGCTAGGTCCTCTAAAAAGGGTTTATGTATATCTTTTATTTGTCTTAGGTCTGTACCTGTTTCCCACCCCCGACCCCCACCTCTCCCCAACCCCCACTAACTGAACACTTTTCTGGGTTGCTAATAAACTGAGCTCCCAGGCTATGCTATGCTCCACAATAGCACCTGTTTCTCAGAAGTATTTCACCCGGCTGTTCTTTCATCCATCCAGTCTGTCAGCCATTCATCAGCTATTTTCAAAGAACCTACTGTGCATCCAGGGCTGTTGATATGGTTTGGCTTTGTGTCCCCACCCAAATCTCATCTCAAATTGTAATCCTTGTGTGTCGAGGGCAGGACCTGGTGGGAGGTGATTGGATCATGGGGATGGTTTCCCCCATGCTGTTCTCATGATAGTGAGGGCATTCTCACAATAGCTGATGGTTTTTAAAGTGTTTGGCAGTTCCACGGCCAGGCATGGTAGCTCACGCCTGTAATCCCAACACTTTGGGAGGCTGAGGCAGGTGGATCACCTGAGGTCAAGAGTTCGAGACCAGCCTGGCCAACACAGTGAAACTCCATCTCTACTAAAAACACAAAAATTAGCCTGGGGTGGTGACGCATGCCTGTAATCCCAGCTACTCAGGAGGCTGAGGCAGGAGAATCACTTGAATCTGGGAGGTGGAGGTTGCAGTGGGCTGAGATCACGCCACTGCATTCCAGCCTCAGTGACAGAGCAAGACTCTGTCTCAAAAAAAAAAAAAGCGTTTGACAGTTCTCCCTTTGCTGTCTCCTGCCACCATGGAAGACGTGCCTTGCTTCCCCTTTGCCTTTCACCATGATTTGAGTTTCCTAAGGCCTCTCCAGTCATGCAAACCTGTGAGTCAATTAAACCTCTTTTGTTTATAAATTACCCAGTCCCAGGTAGTATCTTTATAGCAGTGTGAGAATGGACTAATACAACTGTGTTATGGGTGGAGGGTACAATGGTGAGTAAAATACAGGCCAGGCATTCTGAGTCATCACACGAGAGTGGGCATAGGTATGTTCACAGGCGATCACACCCCAGCGTGGTGAGTGTGGTGAGTGGGACACCCACGGCAACTCCTGACCCTAAAAAGGGAGGGGAGGCCTCCATAGAAGGAGCCCCTGAGCTGAGCCTTGAAGGACACAGGGACTACTCAGGCAGAGATAAGAGAATGATCCGGGCTGTGAAAGACATGAAAGAGACTGGTGATTCATTGAACTGTGGAGAGCAAGATGTGTTAGCATAGTAGCCAGCAAAGTGGGGATGGTGAGGACTGAGACCAAGCTGGCCAACCGAGGCCACATCTGCCCTGTCAAGGGGCTCTGCTCTAGGGCTCTGTCCCTCGTTACCAAGCTATGGTCCATTTTAAGGATTTGCAGTGGCCATGTCCCACGAAGTTACCATGAACACTGAATGAATGAAAGCTGAACCGGGGCTCCTAGGGGAAATACAGCATTAGATTCCTGCCGGCCTCTGATAACATCATCATCAATTGATCAATACATAACCTTTTTATGTGCATTTCTGTTTTAAAATATTATTTAATATATGCTGTTCATTCATTAACATCAAACTCACAGCCAACAGCACCATAATTCATACCTGAATAAAGCTTATCTAACGCACATATTTTCTCTATAAGGCACATCACAGACTTCTTTTTTACTTTTTTCTTTCCTTTAGAAACAGGGTCTCACTTTGTTGCCCAGGCTGAAGTGCAGTGTAGCAATTATAGCTCATTGCAGCCTCAACCTCCTGGGCTCAATAGATCCTCCCATCTCAGCCTCCTGAGTAGCTGGGACTATAAGTGTAAGCCACTACACTCAGTTAATTAAAAAAATTTTTTTTGTAGAGACAGGGTCTCACTATGTTGTCCAGGCTAGCCTCTAACTCCTGGCCTCAAGTGATTCTCCTGTCTCGGCCTTCCAAAGCACTGGGATTACAGGTGTAAGCCACTAAGCCTGCCCCAATCGCAGCCTTCTTGAGCATAGAAACACTAGACAGCACTTCAGCACTGCATTGGAGGGCCATTTTAAACAGTGAAATTGGCCAGGCATGGTGGCTCACAGCTGTAATCCAGCACTTTGTGAGGCCGAGGTGGGCAGATCACCTGAGGCCAGGAGCTCGAGACCAACGTGGCCAACATGGTGAAACCCCATCTCTACTAAAACTACAAAAAAAAAATAGCCAGGCATGGTGCCAGGCACCTGTAATCCCAGCTACTCAGGAGGCTGACGCAGAAGGATTGCTTGAACCCAGGAGACGGAGGTTGCAGTGAGCCAAGATCGTGCCATTGCACTCCAGCCTGGGCAACAGAGTGAGATTCCATCAAAAAAAACAAAAACATAACAACAACAACAAAAAAAAAACAATGAAATCACCAATAAAAAGTACAAAAGTGAAATGCAAAAAATATGTGGCACTAAATAGACCATGAAAAGGACACTCATTACAGTATGAGAGCTGAACAAGAAGGCAGGGTGTTGCTTTGTTTGAGCTCAGCTGGGAACATGTCTCAGAGTAAGCAAAGTCTTTGCCACCCTGCACATGTCCATGAATAGCCACAAAAGTGCCCTGAGCCTTGATTTGGGGGTTACAAACCCATTTTTAGCAAGTAGAAAGATTAGCAAATATTAGAATTATGAATAATGAGGATCCAAACCATAAATATGAACCCCTAAATTCTCTGTACAGCCAATGACTACGATGTGCATGAGAATATTTTACTAGAATATTTTTACTCTCTCTACAGAGATTTCTCCTCTAATATAGAAGAAAGACATGAGTGAATTTAGGGATATCTATGGGTTGAAGGCTAAAGATATGGGAACTCATATACAGCCACACTATACTACAGCAGTGTCCAAACAGACACTGTGTCAGCCTAGAGACAGCCTGTCAGAGGGTGACTTACAGCTCATTTCCTGATGCGAGGCAAGCCAGACAAGATCGAAACCTCAGAGCCCCCAGGGTTTCTCTGCTGTGTCAGCTGTCAGCACTGACACTCTCTGCGTTCATTCCTATGTGGAGGAGCGTCAGGAAGTCAGTGTGTCTTGGACCCACCAGTTGCAGACCGAAACGCAGCAGCCCACCCAGCAATGTGTTGAGAGAACAGTCTGGGCAGCCTGATGCTTCAGAATTTTCCAGAACAGAGTGATAAGTAAACTCCTGGAGCTGCTCAGGCCCAGGGATTCTTGTAGGGCAATTGTGTATTTGAAATGCCAGACATTGCGCTGACAGGTTTTATTTACTATTTTAAAGTACATATTAGAAATCATAAGTGTCAACGTATTTTTTTAAAAAAAGAAAAAAGTAGTATTTGAAAGCACAGATAGTTTCCTGTATGGGGAAAAAAGGTATAGAACACAATTCCTTCAGAGTATAATCTCCAAGCTGATCTGCTGAACTCAGCAGGGACTTTCCTTTGTCATTGAAGTGTATAATTTGTTGCTTAGAATTTCATTTTTAAAGGACGTATGCTACACACAATAGTTGAAAGTGATCATCTGAAGCTTCGCAGAGGGTATCTAACCCCCAATTTTTGTGGATTTCCCCAGTTATGTTTTAATTTTTTTTTTTTTTTTTTTTTGAGACAGATTCTCACTCTGTTGCTCAGGCTGGAGTGCAGTGGCATGATCCTGGCTCACTGCAGCCTCGACCTCCTGGACTCAGGTGATCCTCCCACTTCAGCCTCCTGAGTAGCTGGGACCACCATGCCCCCAAGCCCAGATAAGTCTTGTATTTTTTGCAGAGACAGGGTTTTGCCATGTTGCACAGGCTGGTCTCGAACTTCTGAGCTCAAGCTGTCTGCCATCTCAGGCTCCCAAAGTGCTGGGATTACAGGCGTGAGCCACCATGCCAATCTATTTTTTCATTTTTAATTTAAAACATAGACTACTTTTTAGAGCAATTTTAAGTTCACAGCAAAATTGAGCAGAAAGTACAGAAAATCCCCGTATACCCTCTGCTCTATACAGCCTCCCGCACTATCGACATCCCCCACCAGAGTGGTACATTTCTTACAATCCATGAACCTACCTTGACATGTCATTATAACCCAAAGTCCATAGTTTATATTAGGGCTCACTCTTGCTGTTGTATACTCTATAGGTTTTGACAAATATACAATCACATGTATCCACGATTATACTAGCATACAGAACAGTCTCATTGCCCTAAAAATCCCCCGTGCTCTGCCTATCCATCCCTCCCTCCCTGCTAACCCCTGGCAGCCACTGATCTTTTTGCTGCCTCCATAGTTTTGCCTTTTCCAGAATTTCATATCGTTGAATCCTACAGTATGTAGCCTTTTCAGAGTAGTTATCCCCAAATTCTTGAAATCAATATAAATATTTATTTATTTACTTATTTTTTGAGACAGAGTCTTGCTGTCATCCAGGCTGGAGTGCAGGCACTATCTCGGCTCACTCCAACCTCCGCCTCCCGGATTCAAGCGATTCTCCTGCCTCAGCCTCCCAAGTAGCTGGGATTACAGGCATGTACCACCACGCTTCGCTAATTTTTGTATTTTTAGAAGAGACAGGGTTTCACCATGTTCTCAGGCTGGTCTCGAACTCCTGACCTCAGGTGATCCACCCGCCTCGGCCTCCCAAAGTGCTAGGATTACAGGTGTGAGCCACCATGCCTAGCTAGACCAATATAAATTAATAGGCTGGGTGCGGTGGCTCAGCTTGTAATCCCAGGACTTTGGGAGGCCAAGGCGGGCGGCTCATGAGGTCAGGAGACTGAGACCATCCTGGCTAACATGGTGAAACCCTGTCTCTACTAAAAAATACAAAACATTAGCTGGGCGTGGTGGCAGGCACCTGTAGTCCCAGCTACTTGGGAGGCTGAGGCAGGAGAATGGCGTGAACCCGGGAGGCGGAGCTTGCAGTGAGCCGAGATCGCACCACTGCACTCCAGCCTGGACGACAGAGCAAGACTCCGTCTCAAAAAACCAACCAACAAACTATATATATATATATATATAACTCACCTGCAAATCACTACATTGTAAGCAACTTAAGATCTTAGTCCTCATTGTATTCACGGTGTACAGGGACACTCAAACACCTGTTGAATGGATGGAAAGATGAATAGCCTGCCTCTCCGATTTCAAAAGAAAAACCAGAACACTAATCTAGTAACAGTGAGTGGTTGTACTTAGTATTACTTAGAAAAAGAGATGCTAATTCTTTTTATTCCGAATAAAGAACAGCTTGTAAAAAATGAAGCCCAAGCCAGGAACAGTGGCTTACACCTGTAGTCCCAGCTACTTGGGAGTCTGAGGCAGGAGGATGGCTTGAACCCAGGAGTTCAAGACCAGCCTGGGCAACACAGTGAGAACCTGTCTCCACACACACACACAAATTATCTAGACATGGTGGTGCGCGCTTGTAGTCCCAGCTACTCGGATGGCTGAGTTGGGAGGATCGCCTGAACCCAGAAGATCGAGGCTACAGTGAGGTCTGATCACAGTATTACACTTCAGCCTGGGTGACAGAGTGAGACCCTGTATCTAAATAAAATAAGTATCAATGCCAGACTATAGGTCATGAGATTTGACTCAGATCTTAATATTTTGGTAACTTTTAAATTTCCGATTATATCTTCCATAAAGTAGGATTTCACAACTGATAGCATGGTTTCTGTGAAAGGGATTTCTGCTCACCCTTTTCAAGTTTTGTATTTGGGGCACTCTTCAAATGATCTGTCATTCCCCTATGCCAGGATATCCAGAGTGTCTGCACAAAGCCAAATATGATGAGAAGATGAGCTCATGGATCGGTGATGCCTTGTCCCTATTTCTGGACCCCAGGATCATCCTTGCTTTTTTGACGATAGAGTCATGCTGCTGAGTCATGGGTAACTCAAACCCTCATCTGCAGTTACCTTCTTCTTGCTAGAACCCGGGAAACCTGGACAAGGGGCAGTTGTCACTGGCAGGATAATGGAGGGAAGGGCAGGTGGGAAGGAGGCATCCAGGAAATAGACACACAGAAAGGAACATGTGGGTCTAAACAATAATCAGTGAGAGGTAAGTCCAGGGAAATGAAAGCATGGATCTGCCTCACGTTATATAATTAAGATGTTGAAAATGTCCGCATAAACCAACTCACATTTCATTTGCAACAGGAGAACTGACATTAGGGGAACCTGGTAATGGTTCATTTTGTAGAGTGAAGTATTTGTCTGTAATGTTAATACTCTCTTTCTAATTTAGCTGTATTTTATATTGATATTTCCCAATATTGGCTTTGAGAGAGGGCTGTCGTGTCTCATCAAAGCACCCTGTTTAGCAGACAATTAGGCAGAACAAATGCATGTTAGTCTGTCTAAATATGCCCTGAATTTGGTGTCTGAATTTACAATAGAAAATAAAGGAATGTTAGTCTTGAAGGCTGTCATCTGTTTCGGTAGAAAATGCCTTTTTATGAAAGTGTTTTCATGAAACTATTTCAAAGAGTAAGCTGCTCATGATAACTGGGAAGAATTACCAAGTATGATGGCCTCTTAGCATTATTGTGGCTGTTCCCCAATGTCCCCTTCTCCTCCTATAGCTGGTATTTAGCTGGACACAAGTCCCTGTAATAAAAATATATTTTCCAGCCTCGATGGCAACTTTGTGTGGTAATGTCTAAATTCTGGCCAATAGGATGTTAGCAAGGATGTCATATGTGACTTCCAGGAAATGTCCTTAAAGTAAAGTTGTTCTCTTCCTCATCTCTTCCTTCTTTCTGGGGGCTAGAATGCAGATGTAATGACTGGAGCTCAGGCAGCTGTTTTGGACTATGAGGCAGCATGCTAAGGATGGTAGAGAAATCATACAGCTGGATAAGAGCTCCCTGATGGTCTTGGAGCTTCTAAAACAGCCTTTGACTCCTACTTCTGGACTTCTATGTAAGAGAGAAATAAGAGAAATTGCTGTCCCTTAGCAATCATGGTTGGGCAAGGGAGTAGCAACCGGTGCCCAGGTAACAAACGTGTTCCTCCCTGCTGCACTGTATAATTGCAGCCCTACTTCCTGCTAATGACTAAAGTTAATTATCCCTTCCAAGATGGTAACTTTTCTTTTTGCCTGCTGATGTCTGGACCTAAGGAAGCAGAAGGGCTCAGGCAGCAGCCACAGCTGATAGTTCAATAAAACTGTGCTGTGTCCCCTGGTGGAAGTTTTCCCTTTGGGAGACCAGGACCTCTAACCCTGAAGAGCTTAGAGCTGTAATGATGTGGCGGTAAATGCGGCCACTTCAGTTTTCACCCTTGGTTCCCAAACCCATGTATTTTTTCCTGTCGGGGTTTGTTTTCTATCGCTGCTGGAACCAATTAAAGACTGGGATACGTTCTAAGAAATGCTTCATTAGGTGATTTCTTCATGTGAGCGTCATAGAGTGCACTTACACAGCCTAGATGGCACTAGGTACTACTAAATGCCTGGGCTATATGGTATAGCCTTTTGCTCCTAGGCTACAAACCTGTACAGCATGTTACTGTACTGAGTACTGCAGCAACGGTAACACAATAGTAAGTATTTGTGTATCTAAATGTGTCTAAACATAGTAAATGTATAGTAAAAGCAGTATAAAATAGTATAAACGCAGCGGCTCATGCCAGTAATCCCAGCACTTTGGGAGGCCCAGCCAGGAAGATCACTTGAGCCCAGGAGTTCGAGATCAGCCTAGGCAACACAGCGAGACCTTGTCTCTACAAAAAATCAAAAATTAGCCAGGTATGGTGGCATGCACCTGCAATCCCAGCTACCCAGGAGGCTGAGGTAGGAGGATTGCTTGAGCCCAGGAGTTCAAGGTTGCAGTGAGCCATGATTGCACCACTGCACTCTACCCTGGCAGACAGAGTGAGACTCTATCTCAAAAAATAAAATAAAATAAAATAAAATAAAAAGTTGAAAAACAGTACCTCTGTTTAGGACACTTACCATGAATGGAACTTGTAGGACTGGAAGTTGCTCTGGGTGAGTCAGTGAGTGAGTGGTGAGTGAATGTAAAGGCCTAGGACATCACTGTACACTACTGTTGACTTTTTTTTTTTTTTTTGAGATGGAATTTCACTCTTCTTGCCCAGGCTGGAGTGCAATGGCAGGAGCTTGGCTCACCGCAACCTCTGCCTCCCGGGTTCAAGAGATTCTCCTACCTCAGCCTCCCAAGTAGCTGGGATTACAGGCATGCACCACCACACCCAGATAATTTTTTGTATTTTTAGTAGAGATTGGGTTTCTCAATGGTGGTCAGGCTGGTCTTGAACTCCTGACCTCAGGTGACCCACCCGCCTCAGCCTCCCAAAGTGCTGGGATTACAGGTGTGAGCCACAGCTCCCAGCCTGCTATCAACTTTATAAACACTGTACATTTAGTCCATATTAAAGTTATTAAAATTATTTTTCTTCAACAATAAATTAAACTTAGCACACTGTAACTTGTTTTGCTTTATAAACTCTTAAATTTTTAAACCTTTTTGACTTTTGTAGTAACGTTTAGCTTAAAACACAAATACATTTTCAGCTGTACAAAAATTCTTTCTTTATGTCCTTATCCTATAAGCTTTTTTCTATTTTGTTTTTTTTTACTTGTTACACTTTTCTTGGTAAAAACTAAGACATCAACACACATATTAGCCTAGTCCTACAAAGGGTCAAGGTCATCAGTATCACCACCATCTTCTACCTCCCCATCTTGTCCCACTGGAAGGTCTTCAGGGGCAGTAACATGCATGAAGCCGTCATCTCCTATTATAACAATGCCTTCTTCTGGAATCCCTCACGAAGGCCCTGCCTGAGGCTGTTTCACAGTTAACTTTTTTTTTTAATAAGTAGAAGAAGTACACTCTAGAATAATAATAAAAAATATAGTATAGTAAGTACCCAAACCAGTAACACAGTCGTTTATTATCATTATCCAATTTTTTTTTTCAAATGGAGTCTCACTCTGTTGCCCAGGCTGGAGTGCAATGGCGCGATCTCCACTCACTGCAACCTCCACCTCCCATGTTCAAGTGATTCTCCTGCCTCAGCCTCCTGAGTAGCTGCAATTGCAGGTGCCCGCTACCACGCCCGGCTAATTTTTGTATTTTTAGTAGAAACAGGGTTTCACCATGTTGGCCAGGGTGGTCTCAAACTCCTGACCTCAGGTGATCCACCCACCTTGGCCTCCCAGAGTGCTGGGATTACAGGTATGAGCCATTGCACCCAGCCATCATTATCCAATATTATGTACTGTACATAATTGTATGTGCTAGACTTTTATACAACAGCCAGCAAGTAGGTTTGCATACCGGCATCATCACAAACACAGGAGTAATGTATTGTGCTACAACATCATCACCGCTATGAAGTCACTAGGCAGTAGGGATTTTTCAGCTCCAGTGTAATCTTATGGGACTGCCGTCATAAATGCAGTCCATTGTGGTTGTCTGGTGTATGGCTGTGCTACAAACTCAGTGGCTTAAAACAATGCAAATATATCATCTTAGAGTTCTGTAGGTCAGAAGTCCAACAAAGACCTCACTAGGCTAAAATCAAGGTGTCGACAGGGAGGCTCTAGCAGAGGATCCTGCATCCTTTGTAAAGAATTTTTACCCTTGTAAAGAATTGATGGTTCGGCTGTGCCTTCCAAGCTGTGCTTGACCAATTCTCTCAGGGTAGCCGCTTCTAGATGGAGAAGCCTATGATATAACCAGTGGATCCCGTGGCTGTGGGTTCACTCCCACCCCTCCCCTGCTTCACCTCTTCCAGTTTCTAGAGTAGGTGGACTCCTTAGCACTTGGCCTCTTCCTCATCTTCAAAGCCAGCAACATCACGGCCGGGTGCTGTGGCTCATGCCTGTAATCCCAGCACTTTGGGAGACTGAGGCTGGTGGATCACTTGAGGCCAGGAGTTTCAGACCAGCCTGACCAACATGGCAAAACCCTGTCTCTACTAAAAGTACAAAAAAAAATAAAATAAAATTAGCTGGGCGTGGTGGCACACGCCTGTGATCTCAGCTACTCGGGAGGCTGAGGCAGGAGAATCGCTTGAACCCAGGAGATGGAGGTTGCAGTGAGCTGAGATGTCGCTACTGCACTCCAGCCTGGGTGACAGAGTGAGACCCTGTCTCAAAAAAAAAAAAAAAAAAAAAAGCCAGCAACGTTACATCTCTCTGATCCTTCTTCTGTGTCACATCTCTCACTCTTACTGCAGCCAGGAAATTATTTCCACTTTTAAGGACTCTTGTGACTATACTGGGCTCACCTGGATAATCGGGGATCCACCCGTCATCTCAAGGTCCCTACTTTTCATCACATTTGCAAAGTTCCTTTTGCTATGTACACTAACACATTCACAGGTCCCACATGGTGAAACCCCGTTTCTACTAAAAACACAAAAATTAGTCAGGTGTGGTGGTGTGCACCTGCAGTCCCAGCTACTCGGGAGGCTGAGGCAGGAGAATTCCTTGAGCCCAGGAGGCGGAGGCTGCGGTGAGCCAAGATTGCGCCACTGCACTCCAGCCTGGGCAACAGAGCGAGACCCCATCTCAAAACAAACAAACAAACACACAAACACAAACAAACAAACAAAAACCACATTCACAGGTCCCAGGGACTTGGGCATGAACTTCTTTAGGGCCATTTTTCTACCACAAGGCTGTAAAAAGGTCTTTGATTCAAGGTCTGTCCTGCATCCTGGAGTACGTCTCCTACCCTTGTAAAGAATTGATGGTTCAGGTGTGCCTTCCAAACTCAGGGCAGCTGCTTCTAGATGGAGAAGCCTATGAATTAACTAGAGGATCCCGTGGCTGTGGGTTCAGTCCCACCCCTCCCCTGCTGTAAAGCAGTTCCCTTGGTCTCATGTGACACTATGTGGGACCCTGTACTGGAGAATCAAACACACTGTAAGCCCTCAGATAAGGATACTGGCTTAGGCACCGAAGGCAGGAAAGGCAAATCCGTACTCAGATCATGGGTCTACTCCTGTCAGAACAAATTACTGGGCCTTATGTGTGGAGGGACCCCAACAAAGTCAACCTGCCGGTTCGTCTTTTTGAGAAATGGTCCATTCTGAAGACTTAGCACTGGTCTCTGTTGCGGGAGGTTGGACATTTGGTGGCAGCGGTAGCCTTGGTACATGGGACCCATCCTGCACATAGCATCCATTTCTGTCACCACTGCTGCTTCATTCGTATGTCCATCAGGTCAGCATTGGGACGGCCCATGGCAGAGGCCAACTGGCATCCCCCACTCTCGTCCTCTTGTCTACTTGGTTGTCCACTGTCTCTTCCATAGTAGGTCATCTCTAGTGGGCATTAACACGTGGCACAAAGATCAAGCTTTGTGTGCTCTTTTTTTTTTTTTTTTTTTTCTGGAGACAGAGTTGCTCTTTCGCCCAGGCTGGAGTGCAGTGACGCGATCTTGGCTCACTGCAACCTCTGCCTCCCAGGTTCAAACCATTGTCCTGCCTCAGCCTCCCAAGTAGCTGGGATTATAGGCACGGGCCACCACACCCAGCTAATTTTTGTATTTTTACTAGATACGAGGTTTCACCATGTTGGCCAGGCTGTTCTCGAACTCCTGACCTCAGGTGATCCACCTGCCTCGGCCTCCCAAAGTGCTGGGATTACAGGTACCAGCCACCAGGCCTGGCCCTTTGTGTACTCTTGCCTTTGTCATCCACATGCCTCTGCCCAGATCTCCTTGTCTCCAGTCTTCTAATTGTTCCCTTTCCACATCTATGATCAGCTGGCCAGGCCATTCACCACTACCCAAAAGTTTGTATATATTCTCACCTTGAGCTCTGCTCTGTCCATACAAAATGGGTGAACAGCTACACCACCCAAATCCCTGCCCATTAGGAGGGTTTTGCCTTGCCACTCTCTTTCAAGGCCACCCTTGAGTGAGATTGTAGTACATTTCCTGTCGTTTTCAGCCTAAACCCACAAACCAAGCCAAGCCATTCACAAACCAAACTTGCTCTTTCCTCTTCCATCAGCTGGTCAGAAGGACCCCTCCTATAACCTTAGGTGTGTGTAGAGGGAGGGTGCTGGTGCAACTCCGGTGGGTGGCTTGGGAGTCTGAACAGACTGCACGTGCAGCTTGCTTGTGGCCCAGGTCCTGTCCATGCTCAATCCCAGATGTACAACTTCCATCTAACAATGGATTGTTGCTGGGCTTGCCTAACCTTATAATTTAACTCATCTGATGTAACCCAGTTAATGAAGGGCAGTTCCAGGTGCAAGATCAGTTGGTATCCCACCATCAGGTGCTCCATTTCTACCAGGGCACAGCAGCGTGCCAGGAGTTGTTTTGCCAAAGGCATATGATCCTCCACTGCAGATGGCATGGCCTTGCTCCAGAACCCTGGGAGCCTGCACTGTGACTCTCCCACTGGGGCATGCTACAAGCTCTACACAGCATCTTCTTCATCATCATGCCTTTTGTACTATAGAGTCTGCTGGGTTGATGGCTCAATCGCAAGGCTACTTGCACTGCTGCCTGGACCTACTGCAGAGCCCTTTCCTGTTCTGGGCCCCAATTCAAGCTGACAGCCTTTCAGGTTAACTGGTTATTATTGGTCAAGTGGTATTCCCAGGTGTGGAATATGCTATCTCCAGAAGCCAAAGAGAATGTCTAAGTTTTGTGCTTCCTTCTTCATGGTGAGAAATATGAGATGCAATCATTTGATTTTGACTTTGGATGGACTGTCCTGACATGCTCCTGTCCACAGGACCCCTAAAATTGTTCCTGGTGTGCAGGCTCCTAAATATCTGTAGTATTCATCTCCCACCCTCTAGAGTGTGTGTAACCTACCAATGCCTTTAACATGCTAGCCACTTTTTGCTCCTTTGGCCCATTTAGCAGGATGTCATTCACATAACAGATCAAGGCCATGTTCTGCAAAATGTCCAGATGGCCCAGATCTCTTTGTATCATTCAGGGTCCAAAACAGGGACAGAAGCCACAGAGTAATTTGAACAGGAAAAGTTTAAGATAAAGAAGCAGTGATTCCAACAGAGGAGGAATTATAAGGGTGCTGGTGAGCAGTGCACAGAGGTAGTCGGGGCATCAGGAGCCTGCTTGCACTGAGGCAGAGTAAGGACTGAGGTGTGCCATATCTGTATTAGGGGGGCCCCAGGAAGCAACCCTGCATTATACAGGTGAGCCAGTGCTGGAAGGTGGATGCACAGGAGGAGTCGGTGTGTCAGGAGCTTGATCCCTAGCAGAGCAGTGTAAATCCTGGGTGCATGTAACCTCATTGGGAGAGCCACAGTGAGCTGGGCACCTAGCTGGGGCCAATGCTGTGAGCTCACCAAGGACCCCACACTCTGCGTATGGAGCTGGGGCAGAGGCCCTCTCTCCTGTGCCTCTGGCAACCATACAGTAGAGGCAAGAAGAAGCAAAACCCAAGCATGACAGAAACAGCAAGAAAAGCCTTTTCTTTTCTTTTCTTTTTCTTTTTTCTTTTTTCTTTTTTTTTGAGATGGAGTCTCACTCTATTGCCCAGGCTGGAGTGCAGTGGTGTGATCTTGGCTCACTGCAAGCTCCACCTCCTGGATTCAAGTGATTCTCCTGCCTCAGCCTCCTGAGTAGCTGGGATTACAGGTGCATGCCACCATACCCAGCTAATTTTTGTATTTTTAGTAGAGACAAGGTTTCACCATGTTGGCCAGGCAGGTCTTGAACTCCTGACCTCAGGTGATCCACCTGCCTCAGCCTCCCAAAGTGCTAGGATTACAGGCATGAGCCACCACACCCAGCTGGAAAGGCTTTTCTTTCTGCTTTGTCGCTCTAGGGCATCTACAACAAAGCTTAACCTGATGCTCACCACAAGGGAGAAATGCTTAAAGTGTCTAGCTCCATTATCACAAAGCAGGTAATGCAGGGTGACTTGGAGATGAGAGTCAATACATTGAAAAACTGGCACAGACCAGACTGTGACAGACGGTGGGAAAGTTAATGTATGGGGGGGAGTTGTAAATGTATACTGTTGTCCATTCCATGTGAATGTGGACTATTTTGAATCCTCTTTTCAGATAGGAAGAGAAAAGAATGAATTCTCTAACAATGGCCACACACTATGTGTCTGAAACTGTTCATCTATTCTAGCAAAGATCTGGCATGGTAGGTGCAATGGCAGCTACTACTCCATTTACTTTGCAGTAGTCTAGTGTCATTCCATAGAATCCCTCTTCTCCTACATGAACCATACTAGAGACATGAAGGTAACTATTACCCTTGCATCCTTCAGTTCCCCAAGGGTGGCATTAACCTTCTCAACTCTTTCATCCCGGGATGCAATATTGTTTCTGATTTATTATGTTGACCTGGGTTGGAAGGGGACTGCTTGGAGGCTTCTCAACTACTATAGCTCTTACTCCACAAGCCAGCTCAGTGTGTATATAGGAGAGGATCACACACACTCCAAGAATTCATCCTTGGTTTCTTTTGATGGTGCAGGTTGAGCAGTCCCGTTTTCAGTCTCCCATCTCTCTTTGCCCTCAGGGACTCTGTGCTCTATTACCCACTTCCACAACTCTCTGTAGATCAGGCTCCTGGGCTGTCACTCCACCTGTAGATCACATCCGGGTCAAATATTTCTATCTCGATTTTTCATGTGGGAGATAATGACTGGATGGGGTCCGTGGACCCAGTGGACTCACTGTCAGCCAGACCTTGGCCGGGACTCAATTTATTACCAGGTCTCCAAATACTTCCTCTCTAACGAAGGCCGTGATGATACTTCAGGCCTCTGGTTATCAATGCCAGCTCAGACACTGTGTCTTACAGTCCTCAGGATATTTGGGTATTCCTCTTTTCCCATTTGCCATGGTGCTGCACAGTCCTTCTTAATGAGGAGCCAGGCTTCTTCTCAATCAATTGGTTCTGGATCTGAAAACTACCTCAGGTCTGAAAACTGGGCAACGTGTGACTTTTTACTGGGGTGTCTGCCTTAGCTTCCTGATCATTCATCATGATTTATTCTAATGGTGCAGGTTGAGCAGTACCCTTTTGGGTCTCCCATCTCTTTTTCTTTTCTTTGTTTGTTTTTGTTTTTTTGTGAGACAGAGTCTTGCTCTGTCACCCAGGCTGGATTGCAGTGGCACAAGGTCGGCTCACTGCAACCTCCGCCTCCCAGGTTCAAATGATTCTCCTGCCTCAGCCTCCTGAGTAGCTGGCCCTTCAGGTGCCCGCCACCACGCCCGGCTAATTTTTGTATTTTTGGTAGAGATGGGGTTTCACCATATTGACTAGGCTGGTCTCAAACTCCTGACCTTGTGATCTGCCCACCTCAGCCTCCCAAAGTGCTGGTATTACAGGCATGAGCCACCTCGCCTGGCCTGGTCTCCCATCTCTTTTGCCCCCATGGACTCTGTGCTCTATCACCCACTTCCATAACTCTCTGTAGACCAGGCTCCTGGGCTGCCACTCCAACCTGGCCAGTTACTACAATCAGTGCACTTGCCTGGCTTCTGATGGTGCCCCAGTTGTGCCTCCTCAGGTAGTGGAAGGAATCACAAGAAGACTCCTGAAAGTATACTCACATAGGGCTTTCATAAAACTAAAGAAAATAATATAGCAGGATAAAGGCAAACACCAGGGAGCTGTCCGACATCCAGGCGCATCTTCCTTTCAGGTACATAGGATGTACTTGATCTTAGGATGATAAACCACCAAGATACATGCAAAATGCCTTGGTCTCAGGGAAGTCACAATCTCATCTAAGATGGTTTTTAATATCCTTCTGGTCACATAGCCAAAACCAGCTTGCATGATCAGGCTCAACTAAGATAATCTAACAGAAACCAGGTGAAAATAATCAATCTGTACATTTTCACTTAACAATGGTGACAAGTTGGTACAGAATATCTGTAGTAGTTTTTGGACTCAGTACAGAACTACACTAATCAATGGTTTGCAAATTCCATTCTGGATGGATCACGACTCAGCACTATGGCTTCGGGATCCCCTAGAGATAAGCACAAGGTTGCAGCCAGGAAAAATGACCCCCATACCCACACAGATAGTTAAGGGCCAAACCACCTCTGTTGTTTTGGGTCCTATCATTCTCTCTGCTATCAGTAGGCCTTATTCTATAAGAACTTCTTCAATCCAGTATTGGCCTACAGAGACAGCTAAGTCTACATTTTATTTATTTATTTATTTATTTATTTATTTATTTATTTACTTATGACACAGGTTCTTGCTCTTTCCCCCAGGCTGGAGTGCAGTAGGTGTGATCTTGGCTCATTGCAGCCTTGAACTTCCAGGCCCTGCCTCAGCCTCCCAAGTGGCTGGGACTACAGGTGTGCGCCACAAAGCCTGGTTAATTTTTGCATTTTTTTGCAGAAACGGGGTTTTGCCACATTGCCCAGGTTGGTCTCTCACTCCTGGGCTCTAGTGATCCTTCTGCCTTGGCCTCCCAAAGTATTGAGATTACAGGTGTGAGCCACCCTACCCGGCCTGAATTTTTTATTGATGCTGGTGTCCCCTCTCATCAGTACACTCTGATGTCCTCAGAATGGTTGTCCTCTGCGCCTCCCTATGGAACATTACCATCAGGTGGGTTTTCTGGACTTTTTGCAGTGTGTCTACTCCAGAAGGTTACTGCCCTTCCCCTTGTGACACCTTCCTCTACTGTCCACCAGGACAATGATGGCATTTCTACCCCATTTACTACGGGCTTTATTTTTTATTTTTATTTATTTATTTATTTATTTTTTGAGACAACAGTCTCACTCTGTTGTCCAGGCTGTAGTGCAGTGGCACGATCTCAGCTCACTGCAACCTCCGCCTCCCAGGTTCAAGCAGTCTTTCTGCCTCAGTCCACCAGTAGCTGGGATTACAGGCATTTGCCACCATGCCCGGCTTGTTTTTGTATTTTTTTTTTTTAGTAGAGACAGGGTTTCACCACGTTGGCCAGGCTGGTCTCAAACTCCTGACTTCAGGTGATCCACCTGCCTCAGCCTCCCAAAGTGCTGGGATTACAGATGTGAGCCACTGCACCCAGCAGGCCTTTATTTTTTTCATGCTTCTAAGAGTGAGTTCATAGAATCTCTGGGAGCCTTTGCTAGGATGTTAAATTGTGTATTATGGGATAGAATGCTCCCAAGTCAACACAGTCTCCCTCATCCAATCTCATGTTCTGGCCACCTTGATCAAGCACCCTCAGCATTCAGTCCCACATGTCCTTCCCAGCTTCTTGCTGGTGTATGCTGGTTAGGTCTTGCAGCTACTTTGGGGTATAATCCCTTTTCTCCTTTATTAGGCCCATCATGTCCCTGAGTTATACTGTGACTTAACCCTAGTTTACATTTCATGGCCAGGAGGGGAGGTGGGTTCCTTGTTGACTGTGGGAAAAAGCCTTGGCATTTTCGAGTAGGAGCCAGGGAAGGGCACTTCTGCAGGCTCAGAGCATTCAAGAGAATCTGGAAATCCAAGATTTTCAGGGGCATCAACTCAGATGTCCCTGTTTCACATGTCAGGGTCCCATCCTTTCCCAACAAGGGCTCTGACCTTGATATAGCAGGCCTACCTTGCTTGGAAGCTGCATTCGTCCTTTCTCATGCTGCTAATAAAGACATACCAAAGATTGGGTAATTTATAAAGGAAAAAGGTTTAATTGACTCACAGTTCAGCATGTCTGGGGAAGTGTTAGGAAACTTACAATCATGGCAGAAGAGAAAGCAAACCATCCTTTCTCACATGGTGACAGGAAGAGCAAAGCGGGGTAAGCCCCTTACAAAACCACCAGATCTCATGAGAACTCACTATCACGAGAACACCATGGAGGTAACTGCCCCCATGATTCAATTACCTCCCACCAGGTCCCTCCCACGACATGTGGGGATTATGCGAACTCCAACTCAAGATGAGATTTGGGTGGGGACACAGCCAAACCATATCAGAAGCTTAACCTTCTTTGGAGCATGATTATTCAGTTGAACCTAAGTTCAGTAGTCACCCAGTTATGCTGTCTTCAGCTACTATTTTCCATATGTTTCTCAAACATCTGATATATCACACTGGCTAGTGCACTTTCTTCCACCAGCATACCATCTCAATTTACCACTTTAACAATTGGACTGCCACTTTGTGTCAGGGACTATCTGTGCTCCAACTACTACAAGTGATAAGGTCCTCACTGACAGCCAGGGAGCAAGTGATCCAGCTCTAAAACTCACCTTATCATCTGCTTTCCTAGACCACTCCTAACAACCAACTATTCTGGGTTGAGTTCTCCAAGAGGCAGAGAGTTCAGGATACAGAATGTTGTTTTGTTTTTGTTGTTGTTGCTGTTGTTGTTTGTGTGTGTGTTTGGGCTTTTTTGAGACGGAGTCTCACTCTGTTGCCCAGGTAGAAGTGCAGTGGCATGATCTCAGCTCCCTGCAACCTCCACCTCCTGGGTTTAAGTGATTCCCCTGCCTCCACCTCCTGAGTAGCTGGGACTACAAGTGTGCGCCACCACACCCAGCTAATTTTTGTGTTTTTAGTAGAAATGGGGTTTTACCATGTTGGCTAGGCTGCTCCCAAACTCCTGACCTCCAGTGATCCACCTACCTCTGCCTCCCAAAGTGCTGGGATTACAGGCGTGAGCCACCACACCCAGCCCAGAATGTTTATTAGAATGCACAATTAATACCAGAGGCAGTGGGGAAGGAAGGACTGAGCAGAGGAGGAAGTTGAGTTGTGATTCAACCCAACAACTGCCTGGCTGGCATGGGGAGCTCTGGAGTTAAATAGGGCCATCAGACTTTCCCAGTGTGGGGCCAACATGACTGGGTCTTTATACCCCCACCTCTGTCAGTCACTCAACGTGGTCTCCCTGCAACAAGGTGACTCTTGCAGCCGAGACAATCCCTGAAGGGACAGAGGGCTGAAGCCTGTCTGCCAACAGCACTCCCAGTGGCTGGAACAAGTCCTTCCCTATAGGGGAATCTGGGCGGCACACCTCCATCTCCATGTCCATCACATACGATATCACAGACATTTAAATATTTTGATAACTGTACATAAGAGTTTCCTTTATAATCTTATAGATCTTATTTTATGCATTTGAAAATATTCTTCTGAGACAGGGCTTTTATCATATTGCCATAGGGTGCCACGATATAAAAAAGGTTAAATACTCTCTGATTCAGAAGTATCCAATGATGACTTCTCTCTCATGCATTTAATTGAAAATCTGGTTTTTCTCCTTCTCTGCTAGTTCTCTACCTCTCTCCCCACCTCCCACATCATAGCCTATTCACATATGTCTGAATCTCATGATAGACAAGTTCAGGTTCTTTTCCCAGGTTCTTTTTACCACATCCCCCCACCCCCACATAAAAAGTATATATGGCACAGCCTAGGTTCCACCCAAATCCTTTCTCCTCTTCTTCCTGGGCCCACAACTCTCCTACATACATTGGTATACCTTGCGCTTAGGGATGGCCATGTGACTAAGTTCTAACAGTGGAACATGATCAGATGCCACTTCCAGCCTCTAAGACAGCCAGTGTGTTTCCTCCATAAGCTCCTTCTCTTCCTCCCAACTGGAGACTCTAAATGATGACCCTGCCTCAAGCAAGCAAACAACAAGTCCCTCAGGGGTGGTGTAGGCTGCAAATGGAAGGAGCTTGAGTCCCAAACCTTCCACGGAGAAGGCTGGCTACCAACCTGGATCACTCACCCAAGACTGCTCGAAGAGTTGGTTTGAACCATTGTGTTTTGGGGTCTATTTATTACAACAGTTTAGCTTGCTTTGTGAATAGATTTAGTGGCAGAGCCTCCAAATTCTATAGATACATTGATCTCAGTCCTAACCGCATCTGGAACACCATTAAATAAAGGAATTGCAAACCCAGAGAAGGTAATGAATTTGTCTAAGGTCATACAAGATGGCTAGGATCAGGACCCAACTCTCCAGTTTTCTTTCTTCTCTGCTATTCTGCCTTCTGTGATCCTACATAAGTGGGCATGATTGTATAACATATGCGGCCATGAGATTTCTCTTTCAGCAAGAGAAAGGGACAGGAAGAAAGAGAGGGAATGCATTTTCTTGGCCTGAATTAGTGTGAGCCATTAGTTACCTACATTGACTAAATTATCTGGAATGAACATTCAACTCTACATCACATATAGTTAAAATGACAGATCTGCTTAAGATTGTTTCTAGCATACGTTATTTCAATTTAGGCAAATGTGACCATTCAGTGTGAGGGGACCATACTGTCATTAGGTCCCTGTCAGTTCTCAATTATACTGTTATCTTAGAGGGGGAAAAATGTGAAATTTGAATGTAGACGAGTGTTGATTTGACTGCTACAGTTTATTTTACGTATAGAAATAAAATAATGTGTAGCAAAAGCATTATTACAAAGATGATAATGAAATAACTAGTATTTATAATAGTATAATAGTATAGTATTTATAATAGTATGATAGTTTAATGACTATTTGTCAGATGTTGTGTAAGAAACTTTATACACACACACACACACACCTCATTTAATTCCTGTATCAATCAGGATACAGGACGCTGTGGTAACAACTCCTCAAATCTCGGTGGCTTGCACAACAAATGCTTATTTCTTTTTTTTTTTTGACACCAAGTCTTGCTCTGTAACAGGCTGGAGTGCAATGGTGCAATCTCGGCTCACTGCAGCCTCTGCCTCCTGGGTTCAAGCGATTCTCCTGCCTCAGTCTCTCGAGTAGCTGGGAACACAGGCACGCGCCACCACATCTGGCTAATTTTTGTGATTTTAGTAGAGATGGGATTTCACCATGTTGCTCAGGCTGGCCTTGAACTCCTGACCTCAAGCGATCCACCCACCTCAGCCTCCCAAAGTGCTGGGATTACAGGCATGAGCCACTGCGCCCAGCCCCAAATGTTTATTTCTTGCTCATGTGACATGTACTTCCTCGAGTTTTTCCTTCCTGAGATCTAAGCTGAAGGAACAGCTCTCTGGAGCCACGCCATTCTGGTGGCGGAAAGGAAGAGTAAAAGTGGTAGAACCTTGCAATGCTCTTGAAGCGCCTATTTGGAATGTCTACATCATGTAAATGGTAATGGACAAGTATGTATAATCCCCACACCAAAAAAAGGGGACACTATTGGGGACAATAACCACATTTCAATGCTGCAAGACGGATATTGACTGCACCCCCTTCCCACTTTCAGAAAGAAGAAGAGTAATTTTGCTGAACTCCTTCTAGAGACTGGAAATGTCCCTTCCAGTTGGGGTGATTAGGGAAGGCTTTGGTAAAATTTGAGCTAGAGTTTGAAGGTTAGGTAGACTACTGGTGGGTGAAGAAAGAACAAGGACCTTTGTAGGCAAAGGAAAACCTCAGAATTACAGAGGTGGAAAAAGAGTTCTAGTCAAGCCACTTCAGCTGGCTACAGAGTAGGTGGGAAAGAAAATGGGAGGACAAGGGCTCAGATGATGGGGGGTTGGGGCATTGGGGGGACACTTGAAAGCTAAACTAAGGGGTTGAACTTAATTTAGGAGGCAGTTAGAAGCTTTTACATATTTTTGAGCAAGAGAGTGACATAATTAAAATGATCTGGGCCAGGTGTGGTGGCTCACACCTGTAATCCCAGCACTTTGGGAGGCTGAGGAGCTTGGGTCACCTGAGGTCAGGAGATCGAGACCAGCCTGGCCAACATGGTGAAATCCCGTCCTACTAAAAATACAAAAATTAGCCGGGAGTGGTGGCATATGCCTGTAATCCCAGTAGCTGGGAGGCTGAGACAGGAAAATCGCTTGAACCCGGGAAACAGGTTGCAGTGAGCCGAGATCGTGCCACTGCACTCCAGCCTGGGCAACAGAGCGAGACTCCATCTCAAAAAAACAAAACAAACACACACAAAAAACCAAAAATAAATAAATAAAATGATCACTTCTGAATACTGATCTAACTAGGGGTTGCAGGGTGGGCTGATATAGGGAGAAACTGGAGAGCAAGGAGATCACTAAGGTCCCTACATGTCCAGAACCAAGATAGAGGTCTTGAACTAGGATGGTGGCAGTTAGAACAACAACAACAAAAAGTCAATTCCAGGCTGAGTGCAGTGGCTCATGCCTGTAATCCCAACGCTTTGGGAGGCTGAGGTGGGAGTTAGAAAGCAGCCTGGGCAACACTGCAAGACCTCCTCTCTAAAAAAAAAAAAAAAAAAAAGTTAGCCAGGTGTGGTGGTGCCCACCTGTAGTCCCAGCAACTCAGAAGGCTGAGGTGGGAAGATTGCTTGAGCCCCAGGAGTTCAAGCTTGCCGTGAGCTACGATTGTGCCACTGCACTCCAGCCTGAGCAAGACCTTGTCTCCAAAAAAAGGTCAATTCCACTGACTTTTCTAAGGTGTACACCATCAAGGGGCAGCTCCATCTCCAGGCCATTGGCTCATGAGACATTCTGTAGTCAGAAGGCTAGGGCAGATTGCTTTGAGCAAGCCCCCATGGTGGTTCTCACTCCTACTTCTTTGGGTATATGCCCCTCTGTTTAAAAATAAAGTTAATATGCATTTAAAAAAAAAAAGGAGAAAAAGGTCAGTTCCAGAAACTGTGTGAATAAAGCATTTTACTTGCTTTTTCTATTAATCTATAACATATGTTGATTTTTTAAAAAGAATATAAGAGCTATGCAAATTGGAGCTTCAAGACAACTTCCCATCTCCCTAGGAGGAGATGGCTGCCCTAAACCCCCCTACATAGAAATCATCCCACTGCTTGGGCTTAAACTTGATGTTGGGGAAATGAAAAATCCAAGCTAAGGCCGAAGCCTGGGGCCTGGGCGACCAGCAGAATGAGGACCACTGGTCAGTTTCAGGCTGAGGTGCGTCTTCCAGGGGACAATCTCTAGCTGGCCCTTAAACATTCAGACTTCAAGCTCTATTTACAGCATAAAGGTGTTTCAAAAGACGTGATACAAATAACTGCAAATGCTCTGCGATGTGTTAAGCACTGTTTGAAATTCGTCTAATTTAAGATTTTTTTTTCTGACGTAACGGTTAGATTCACGTTTCTTTTTTTTTAAGTACAGTTCTACTGTATTGTAACTGAGTTAGCTTGCTTTAAGCCGATTTGTTAAGGAAAGGATTCACCTTGGTCAGTAACAAAAAAGGTGGGAAAAAAGCAAGGAGAAAGGAAGCAGCCTGGGGGAAAGAGACCTTAGCCAGGGGGGCGGTTTCGGGACTACGAAGGGTCGGGGCGGACGGACTCGAGGGCCGGCCACGTGGAAGGCCGCTCAGGACTTCTGTAGGAGAGGACACCGCCCCAGGCTGACTGAAAGTAAAGGGCAGCGGACCCAGCGGCGGAGCCACTGGCCTTGCCCCGACCCCGCATGGCCCGAAGGAGGACACCCACCCCCGCAACGACACAAAGACTCCAACTACAGGAGGTGGAGAAAGCGCGTGCGCCACGGAACGCGCGTGCGCGCTGCGGTCAGCGCCGCGGCCTGAGGCGTAGCGGGAGGGGGACCGCGAAAGGGCAGCGCCGAGAGGAACGAGCCGGGAGACGCCGGACGGCCGAGCGGCAGGGCGCTCGCGCGCGCCCACTAGTGGCCGGAGGAGAAGGCTCCCGCGGAGGCCGCGCTGCCCGCCCCCTCCCCTGGGGAGGCTCGCGTTCCCGCTGCTCGCGCCTGCGCCGCCCGCCGGCCTCAGGAACGCGCCCTCTTCGCCGGCGCGCGCCCTCGCAGTCACCGCCACCCACCAGCTCCGGCACCAACAGCAGCGCCGCTGCCACCGCCCACCTTCTGCCGCCGCCACCACAGCCACCTTCTCCTCCTCCGCTGTCCTCTCCCGTCCTCGCCTCTGTCGACTATCAGGTAAGCGCCGCGGCTCCGAAATCTGCCTCGCCGTCCGCCTCTGTGCACCCCTGCGCCGCCGCCCCTCGCCCTCCCTCTCCGCAGACTGGGGCTTCGTGCGCCGGGCATCGGTCGGGGCCACCGCAGGGCCCCTCCCTGCCTCCCCTGCTCGGGGGCTGGGGCCAGGGCGGCCTGGAAAGGGACCTGAGCAAGGGATGCACGCACGCGTGAGTGCGCGCGTGTGTGTGTGCTGGAGGGTCTTCACCACCAGATTCGCGCAGACCCCAGGTGGAGGCTGTGCCGGCAGGGTGGGGCGCGGCGGCGGTGACTTGGGGGAGGGGGCTGCCCTTCACTCTCGACTGCAGCCTTTTGCCGCAATGGGCGTGTGTGTGTGTGTGTGTGTGTGTGTGTGTGTGTGTGTGTGTGGAGGGGTCCGATAACGACCCCCGAAACCGAATCTGAAATCCGCTGTCCCTGCCGCTGTTCGCCATCAGCTCTAAGAAAGACGTGGATCGGGTTCTAGAAAAGATGACTCCCTGCACGCCCCTCCCTGCACCTCCCGAGCAGTGATTCCGACAGGGCCTTCACTGCCCCTGATTTTAGGCGGGGGCCGGCCCCCTCCCCTTTTCCTCCTTCAGAAACCCGTAGGGGACATTTGGGGGCTGGGAGAAATCGAGGAGATGGGGAGGGGTCCACGCGCTGTCACTTTAGTTGCCCTTCCCCCTGCGCACGCCTGGCACAGAGACGCGAGCAGCGCCGTGCCTGAGAACAGTGCGCGGATCCCACTGTGCACGCTCGCAAAGGCAGGGTTCACCTGGCCTGGCGATGTGGACGGACTCGGCGGCCGCTGGTCCCCGTTCGCGGGCACGCACAGCCGCAGCCACGCACGGATGGGCGCGGGGCTGCAGGTGCATCTCGGGGCGGATTTCTTTCTCAGCGCTCGGAGCGCAGGGCGCCCGGCGTGTGCGCTCCCTGCCGGAGGCGCGGGGCTGGCGCGCAGGGCTCGCCCCTCACTGCGGCAGTGGGTGTGGACCCTGGTGGGCGAGGAAGGGGGAGGATAGGCTGTGCCTCCTCCCACTCCCGCCCCCAGCCCCCCTTTTTTTCCCCCTCGGAACGCGAGGTGCCATCTTTTTTCGGCGTGTCACGTCTTTACGGTGCCATGCCAAACCGGGTGGCCGGGCTTCATAGGACAGGGCGGGGCCTGGCATTAAAGGGAGGGGGACAATCAGCGCTGAAATCTTGGCGTTTTGCTGCTGCGGGCGTGAGCACTGGGGGCGTTCGCCCAGCACCTTCTTCGGGGGCTCTTTGCTTTGTCTGTAGAGGTTACGTGATCTGCGCTCCCAGCCCTGGTTTCTGGCTTTTATTCTGAGGGTGTTCAGTCAACCTCCCCCCTACGCCCATGCGCCTCTCTTTCCTTTTTCGCTCCTCATTTCCGAGCCCATTGTTGGATCTCGAGGCTTGCTGGGTTCGATGAACTCGAGTCAACCCCCCGACCCCCGGCACGCATGGAACGGGCGTGACCGCGCGCAGCCTCGTCTCGGAGTCTGCCGGCGCCGGGAAGCTTCTGAAGGGATGGGATTCGAGTCTCCGTGCGCGCTGCGGGCGGCGGCAGAGGGATCTCGCCCCTCCCTACACCCCAAGTGTCCTGAGGGCCACGCCACACCAGGTTGCCCAGCGAGGGACGCTGGCTACCCATCCGGGGATGGGTGGGGAGCCCTGGCGGGGCCTCTCCGGCTTTACGCCCTGTTGCTTCGCCTGGCCGGAGAATGTGAGGAAGGGGCATAAGGTTACTGGTGCTTCGGCCACACCCATCTTTCTGAGCCCACTGGACTGGGCGCAGAGGGGGGATTGCCATGGAAACCACAGGTGTCCGGAGAGGGGATCTTGGGGCTGGCCTCACCCCTTCCCTGCGGAGATTGGGGACCCTGGGGTAGGGGGAGCCGCGCCCAGTCGGCCTCCTGGAGGACACGGGAGGAAGCCCCGAACCCCCGCGCCTGAGGCTGTTTCTGATTGGCCCCTGGAGGCCGCAGACACGCAGATAGGCGGCCCTGGGTGTATTTTTATTAATATTATGTCCGTACTGATTAATATTATTTATCTTAAATAAATTTCACCCGTGTCCAAGTTCACCGCGCCCCCAAAACCGAGTCTGGGGCGGCAGGGGGAACTCCTGGCCAACGAATCCATGCCTCGCCCTCCTGTGATGAACCTGGTACGCACGGTTTTCTGGTTAATTCTATCGCTGAAAACTGGTGCGGGGGGCGCACTTCTGAGACGGAAGAGCATCTAGGAGCTGAATCCTCCACGCGGGTCGCCCAGGTTGATCTGAATTTCTGGGGAATGGCTTGGCTGCCCGCCCGGGACCAGGCCGACCCTCCTTGACGGTGGCGTAGAGGGCTGGAGCCTGGGTACTGCGAGGCTCCTCGCATGGCTGGGCCCGCCGCGAGGGGTTGCAGAGCGGCTCAGGGATCGATTCAAGCATCGTCTCTCCTCCCTCGCCCCCAGACAGAGCTGGGCGCGGGGTTCCCCTTCCAGATGGAGCGAGGGTCTCGGGGTGGCCCCGGAAAAGGGGAGCCCGCGGCCACGGCTACGTATTGCCATCTCGCGAGCAGAGATGTCACCTCCTGCCTTTGGAGGAAAGGGAGCCCGGTGGGGATGAGCGCATTTAGCCCAATGCTGGGAACAAAGCGCACTCCGCGCTTCTGCGATTTCGCTCCATTTTGAAATGTGTTGGCGCTTTGGTGGGGCCGCTGCGGTGGGCAAGGCCGGGGGCGCTGTTAATGGAGGAACCTCAGGGGGACGGTCCTTCGTAGGAAACTCTATCCTGGCTCTGCGCGCGCTTTAAGGAAATGGCTTCCCTCCAGGACCTCGAGGGATGCAGCTTTTGCGCGGATGACGGTGGGGTGCTGAACCAGCCGGTGCGCCTCTGGAAATGTCTGGGCACGGATCCTGGGGCCATCGACGACTCCTCCCCATTCCCAGCAGGCGGGAGCTCTTACATTCCGAGCGAGTGACCCCTCTCACCCTCTGGCGCTCACACACCTGTAACTCCAAACCTCCGTCTCAGAATGGTCCAGGCTGGAAGGGATGATGGGGGCTCCGACAGCGACTGCCTAGCTCACCCCTCTGCGTGCTCAGGCTCCAGGCTCAGCAGGACCAATTTGAGTTCTATCTGATCCCCCTCGGCCCCTTAACTGACCCATCCTACAGGAGACAGGGAAATGTCTTTCCTACCGCGGTTGATTCTGGGGTGTCATTTTGTGTTTTGTGATGGCTGCTTATATTTACTGTATAAGCATTGTATTTACTGTATAAGCATTGTATTATAATTACTGTATAAGCTGCTTATATTTACTGTATAAGCATCTCCAAATCCTCCCTCTACGTAAACAAATTAATGGATAAACAGATAAGTGTATCCCCTGCCCCCACCCCTGCTACGCAGGTCCGGAGTGACTCTTGAAGCTCATACATTCCTTGGCCAAGTTTGCTTCTCTAACAGATGTTTATATAGCAATAACCTGGCTTGGCTCTTGGGTTCACCTTTGGACGATTTGGGGAAGGGGCTTGTTGGCTTTGCTGGGTTTTGGATGAGTGACAGTCCATGACTGTTCCTGCTGGAAGGGCGTGACTTTTAAGTGGTTTCTAATATCAGGCATTGCTCCTCCGACAGGAACAAAAGAAATGGATACTGCCCATAAATTGTTAGAAAACTTAGAATCGCTTTGATTGAGGAAAGGTTAGATTTATTCCGGTTGGAAAAAGTGGCCTTTCTATTAAACGTGCCCTTTGACCCTCATGCCCTTGGAGGTCGGTGCCAGCCTGGAGATGGGATAAGATTGTGGTTTTCCTTCTGCCTTTTTAACATCTGTTGTTACAGTCCATTTGTTGAAAATTTAAAGAAACTGTTTTATTCCACTTTCCCTCAGCATTTATGTGTGTGGTTTCAGTAGCTCTGTGGCTATATGTACGAACACGTGTTATTTTTCCAATTGGACATGTGATAATTTTCCAACTGGACCTTGCCTTCTATTGATGTATTTATTTAGCATCTTCCTTACTCCCTCCTTGAAAAAGAATCACTCAAAAACAAATAAAAACAGCCGTAGGGGCCTAATACAGTGCTAGACATACAAGAGGTATTCGGTCCATACCAAATGGATTTTATCCATGAAGGATAAATGGGGAAATACAGTGGGAAGCAGGTGGGAAACTGCGTTTGACTCTGCTCTTTCCTCCACCACCACTTTCCTCATCACCGTGTTCAGAGACCCCCAAAGCCCCCTCACACTCCCAGAAACACCCCCCTGGCCACTCCTAACTTGCCATGCCCAGGAGTTAGGTGCTTCCACTAGTGACATGGAGCTGGCGTTTGGGGGGCACCTCAGCAGGTGACGGGAAGAGAAGACCCCAGCCTCACCAGCTGGGCTGCAGCAGGGAGAGGAGTCCTCATGTTCCAGCAGGGACTCTCAGCTGTTTTCCTGTAAAACCATGGTTCTCAACTGGGGGCCACTGAGATGTCTAGAGAGATGTTTTTGTTTTCACAACTCGGGGAGGGTGCTACTGACATCTTGTGGGTAGAGGCCAGGAATGCTGTTAAACATCCTACAAGGAAGGCACAGGACAGTCTCCTACATCAAAATATGACCCAGTCCCAATGTCACCACTGCTGGGGTTGACACTGGCACTGCTATCTTAATTACATTCATTGAGTGTCTTTTAGGAGGCCCTATTCTAAGTGCTTGCTAAGATTATCTCATTTAATCCTCACAACACTTCCGCTATGTAGCAGGTGCTGTTATTATCTCCGTGATGGGGAAACTGAAGCACAGAGAGGGTTAGTAACTTGCTAAAGGTCACAGAGCCAGTGGGTGGTGGAGCTGGTTGCCTGACACTAGTTCCCTCCCCTCTCAGCCACATGTGGGTTTACTTGGCCATTGTGGACTAGTCTGGGAACCCAGATATGATCTATAACATTGACCCAGTAGAATATTGATTCCAAAACCACTGTCTCACAAATGAATTTTTACAAGAGTCTGTAATCGGAGCATGACCCAGAATAAGGTTAGGGAGATGTGGAGTTAAAGCTCTCAATTTCTTATCTGGCCCCGACACAGAGAGCAAGGCATTTCACTCTACATTGGTGCTCTGTTTATAAAACAAAGAGCAAATATCTCTTCCTAAGGTCCTTAAACCTCTTCCCCCAATCCAGGGTTTCTGGACTGCTCTGCCATATGACGGGGCAGCTGGTTTGATTGACCCAGGGAAGGCTGGAAATCAAGACTGGGGGATCAAGACGTAGATTCAGTGTGGCCAAGGTCAAGTCTCTGAGGTTTAGGGACATCAGATCCCCAGCTTAGGTTCTGTACCTCGGCAAGGTGAAAGCGTTGGCGCCCACTGATGAGGCCTGCTCTGAGATTGTGGGTGTGGGTTGAGTTGGGTGGGCATAGGCAAGTCCTCTTGTAAGAATCTTTTGGCAAAGATGGGCCTGGGAGGCTTTTCTCACTTCCTGGGGCCCAGGCTTTGCAATAAGTATTCCATTATACTGTGGTACCTTGGGGCTACCTGAGAATCCTCTGTCTCGCCCCTGTTGCCTTGCCAAAGAGTTTGCTGTCCAAGAATTCCTTTCCTGTCTCCAGGTGCCATGCTCCTGCCACCTCTGCCAGGTTCCCTGCCTGCCCAGATGGCTCCCAACTGAGTGTGAGGAGGAATTTGAGACAGGTTTTGAGCTTTCTGGGTTCTCCAGTTAGGAAACTTTCTGTAAGCATGCAGATAGAATGGGCTTCAGCAAAATACAAACTCGAACAACTTCCATGTATAGTCCCTTAATTTTCTTTGCTTTTTTCATATTTCATCAGGCTCCATGCTGAGCCCAATCAGGGACCCGATAGAAATCCAAACACCATGTCAGCGAGTCCCCAAGAAATGCATTTTGTGCCAAGGCTATTCAAGGAAGGTTTGGGAGCAGCTCAAGGGCAGACACTGTTACCCTCCCCCAGGTCCCCAGTGCAGGGCAGTGTTCTGCATGTGGAGGCAGTTTGGCCTAATGGTTAAGGAGGTAGGCTCTGATCGGGCCTCCTGGGCACAAATCCCAGCTCCCTGCTCACTGTGAGACCTAAGCCATATTGTTTAGCTGCTTGGAGAGTTTTTTGTCATCCACAACTTGGAGTATGATGGTACCTGTCTCACGGGTTGCCATGGGGTTCACACAAGCTAACCCGGTACTCACTAGGGCCAAGCACATAGTAACTGCTCAGTAAATGGCATCATCGGCGGTGTCCTGTGGATGAGTGCTTGTGATTGGCTGAATGACCAGAGGGGTCTAAAGATCCTGGTGATGGAATCAGTTGTACAGATAAATTGTTACACTGAGTAGGGATCAAGATAGGAAAAGTCGGCAACTACCCAGCTCCCCTGCACCAAACTGGGCAGAAGTGGATCCTCTGAAAATTGCACACACCCATGTTTAAATGTACACACAGAACTCTTGCCACAGGCAAGCGGAGATTTGTCATCTGCTGTCCCTGCCTCATCTTCTTCCTGAAATCCACTCCATGCCAGGAATAAACTGCATGCTCTCCACCAGCCCAAACTGACCTGCCTTCCCGCCAGCCATCCCGGGCAGGGTGACCTGGCTTAGTACATCGGGTTCAGAGATCTTTCCAGTTTACTCGTTGAATAAAAAGTGAGGGCTGATCGAGAAAGTAATGGCAGTCAGGGAAGGCGAAGGAGGTAAAGAAGAGATTTTACAAATGAAGTAATTCAACAGAGTGCTGACATTGGTAAACTGGCAAACAGATTTCAGGGTGGTTGGTTGAGAGTAGAGTAGAAAAGGATTAAATAAAGCAAACTTGTGGTGTACTGAATCTTAGGAATTCCATGTATCCAATAAGTATAGTCATTTATGAATTAATAAATTCGGCCTAAGAAGCCTTCTTATCGCTTAAATCAAGACTAAGTAACAATATATCAGTTTTAAAAAGTCATTATATCAGAAAATCATTTAAATGATACACATAGATTTCCAAGATTTTACTTTAACCGAAACTATATAAATGTGAATTTGTTCACCCATCTTTTGACACAGGGCTCAGGTCTTCTCTTGGTGTCTGGATCAGCCAGTTGAAATTTCTTGTCTGTTTTGCCTATGCCACATTAATAATGCACTGTCTGGGTCCTCCGATTTCAGTTTGGATTTTGGGTTTACATTGTGGAGTCATCTGAATGCAGAATCCTTCAGGGATTTTACTTTTTTTTTTTTTTTTCATGGTCTTTACCATCCCATTTGATAGTAAATATTACTCACCTTTATGAAGTCTTTCCAAAACATTCAACTAAATTTTCTTAAAATCATTGAATGATTTGAAGAGCTTATTCCTCAGCACTTTTACTCCATCAGCTTGCACCTTATTTTTTAATCTTTTTTTGAGACGGAGTCTCGCTCTATCGCCCAGGCTTAAGTGCAATGGCGCGATCTTGGCTCACTGCGACCTCCACCTCCTGGGTTCAAGCAATTCCGCCTCAGCCTCCGCCGTAGCCGGGACTACAGGTACACACCATAATGCTCGGCTGATTTTTGTATTTTTGTAGGGATGGGGTATCGCCATGTTGGCCAGGCTGGTCCCGAACTTCTGACCCAAGTGATCCACCCACCTCGGCCTCCCAAAGTGCTGGGATTACAGGTGTGAGCCACCGCGCCCGGCCAGCTTGCACCTTATTTAGGATATGTGATTATTATAGCAAGTCTGGTGTACATACAAGATTTTGAATGGGCACAGATGACCTTTAGTAAGTGCTTGGCTGTGATAAGAGGCAGTCCTGACTGCAGATCAGGCTGTGTGGACCCCAGCCTTGCATGTTTACAGACCTTCATGTCTTATTCTTACAGGGTATCAGAAGAACACCTACTGGGGAAACTTATAAATTAGTAAAAGGTGGGCATTCTCCCCGCCCATCTTCTGTCTGTCTGCCAGGACTAGCACAGCACTTTGAAGTCATTCACATAGAATCCCAACTTAAGAGGGTAAAATCCTCCTCAACAGACTGAAAATAAGTTTAAATTCCCTTTGCTATATTAACTCCCCTGAGGAAAGAGTCTTAGATCAATGTCCAACACTAAAAACAGTTTTAAATCAGCAAGTGAGAATTAAATCTGAAGCAATTGATAATAATGTTTCATTCATTCCTCTCCTTTGGCCCCGTCCACCCTACTGCTAAATCCAGGCATCAAAGAGAAGAGGGACATAATTATCTCTAGTCCCAGCTGCTGGTTTTCCTTCCAGCCTATGGCCCAGTTTTCTGTTTTACTGAGAAGGCTGGTGATGTTATCTTGGGATCTAAGTCTGCAGTTTCACCACAAAAAGTCCAGGGATGCACTTTCATGCTTGTGTCCTCCTCCCTGGGATAGCAAGGATATTAGAAGACCCCTGGCTCTGTAATTGCTTGTCATGTGCTCTACAGACGCCACAGAATGCCAAGAACGAAGTGCTGGGAAGGACAAATTCATGGAACCGTGGGACGGTGCTCCTCCCCCAGCGTAAAGGACAGCTCCTCCTCCTGAATTGGAGCCAGCGTTCTAAATCATGTGTCAACAGAGTTGTCCTGGATCGGATCCAGTTCTGCCATTGATTTGCAGGTCATTTCAGTGGTACCTGTTTCCAGTTGTTCTTAATTGAACAGTGGCACCAAACTATTGTCTTGCCTCATCCCCCTCCCATGGCCTGTCCCCCAAAAAGAGACTTCTTGGGTAATTAATCAGGGCAACATCAGGCAGTCTGGGCGCGGTGGCTCACGCCTGTAATCCCAGCACTTTGGGAGGCCGAGGCGGGCAGATCATGAGGTTAGGAGATTGAGACCATCCTGGCTTTGTGAAACCCCGTCTCTACTAAAAATACAAAAAATTAGCCGGGCGTGGTGGCGGGCGCCTGTAGTCCCAGCTACTCGAGAGGCTGAGGCAGGGGAATGGCGTGAACCCGGGAGGTGGAGGTTGCAGTGAGCCGAGATCGCACCACTGCACTCTAGCCTGGGCGACAGAGCTAGACTTCTTCTCAAAAAAAAAAAAAAAAAGGAATCTCTTTGGTTTTATATATATTTTTTTTATATATATAATATATATTAAAATATAATATATATATTTATATAATATAATATATAAATATATTATATATTATATATTTTATATATTATATATTATATATATTATATATTATATATTTATATATTTATATATTATATATATTTATATATTATATATTTATATATATTATATATTTATATATAATATATATTATATATTATATATTATATATTATATATTATATATTTATATATATTATATATTATATATATTATATATTATATATTTATATATTATATATTTATATATATTATATATTATATATTATATATTTATATATTATATATTTATATATTATATATATTTATATATATTATATATTATATATTATATATGTATATATTATATATGTTATATATTATATATATTTATATATATAATATATTGTATATATTATATATCTAATATATTATATATATTATATATATTATATATTATAATATATATTATATATTATATATTATATATATTTTTATATATATAATATGTATAATATATAATATATATAAAAACATATATAATATATATTATATATTATATATATATTATATATATTATATATATTAAATATATTTTATATATATTATATATATATACACATATATATATATAAATGAGGCCAGGCTCGGTGGCTCACACTTGTAATCCCAGCACTGTGGGAGGATCACTTGAAGCCAGGAGTCTGAGACTAGCCTGGGCAACAAAACAAGATCCTGTCTCTACAAAAGGAAACTGTAAAAATTAGCTGGGCATGATGGCATGTGTCTGTAGCCCTAGCTACTTGGGAGGCCGAAGCAGGAGGATCGCTTGAGCCCAGGAGTTCAAGGCTACAGTGAGCTATGATTGTCCCATAGCACTCCAGCCTGGGTAACACAGCAAGGCCCTGTCTCTAAACTTTTTTTTTTTAATTCTATTTATATTTACATGTATTTAAATGTGAATATTCACTACCTATTTGTTGCATGCCTGCATTTTTTATACTGGGCTTGCCAAAAACCCGAACAGCTTTCTACTTTGACAATGTATCAGAATTTAAATCAGCAATATGTTAATAAGCCAAGCAAAGGTTATATATGCAAATAAAACTGTTGTCTATAACCTCCTGTTACACTGGGGCACAGCAAAAGTCATGGTGTAGTCGCATGTGAACCTGTCCCTTTCATAGCTGCTCATTGCCAGGAAACATCAGGAATAGCCATTTGGAAGAGTCATCAGCCCTCCCACCATCCGTTTTCTGTCTTGTCTTTTCCCTATGAGCAGGGGAAATTCCACGCTGGCCCCAATCCCCAGTGCAGCGGCTCAGCCTCTGCCTCTGCTGCTGGTCCCCATGAGGCCAGCTTAGAAACGGAGGATTTTGCAGAACATCCCTAAATCCGCTTGAATAATGAAGTGATCATTCATAAACTCACCTGAACCTTATTAAAACCTATTTAATATTTTTCCTGGATAATCCTATAGGGATAACTTGCCTCCTGGGCTTCTCTCCACCGGGTTCAGTTCTTCCTTTAGTGGTGAAGTTCCTCCCTTCTTAGCATCTCAACTGTGCCTGAGAAAAGGCCAGTGGCGGCTGCACTCTGTTCCCTGTGGAGTGTTAATAAAGACTGAATAAATTGAAATAAATCCCTTTCAATGTCATTAAGTGCTATAAATAATCATGAACCAATGTTCGATGGCTGATGAGAAATGCAAGAAAAAATTTTTAATCAGTAGGATTCATAAGTTGACAATCTGGGCCAAGTTAAAAAAAATAAAAATAAAAAGACTTTTAAAAAGATCTTATCGTTTGTTACCAGTAAGACTGAATTCCAGAAGCAAGCTACTCCCTCATTTGTGGGCCCCTGTTATCACTGGCTGCTTAGGGTTGCCAAGCCCTGAATTCATTTGTCAACTAAGAGATTTTTGGCCAAGATTAAGATTTCCCATGCCTCCATATTTCCATCTGAGAAATGGAGATTATACTGTCTTCCCCCTCAGAATGGATGATAATGTGGTCTCTCTTCTGTTCGCATAGTCATAGAACTGAAATAAAACAACTTAAGAGAATTCCTTTGAGCTTCTCAGAAGTGCTGCAGGGCTGGGGGATGCCTCCCAGGAGCCGCAGTCAGGTGCTGATCTGAAGTCTTTGGTGGGCTGACTTTAGCCTGACCTGAAATAGTATAGCTGCTGCCACCTGGCTCCCTTAGCGTCAGTCAGACGGTGCAGCTGGTTCCTAGGGGTGAGGGCTGAGCCAGCAGGGTCCGTGCCCAGGAGGGATGCATGGGTGGCCACAGCCCAGCCTGCACTGATCTTGTCTGTCCCCTTCTTTGGAAGGAAGGAGCCCCAAACCAGGGTGCAAGACAGTGGGTGGGGGTGCCTTGAGCATGACCTCAAGTGATTTCCAGCCCCTGCCAGTGCTGACTTCTCTGGGGAAGGGCTGGGACTTCCTTCTGGGCTCAAGTCACGACCCTTGGATGGAATTTCCTGGGAGCTTTTCTGTTTTTTCTGGAGTTTTCAGTTTTTTCCTAACCAGACAGGGACTTGGTACAGAATCTCATATTCTAATTATGCCTAGGAGCAGCCTCTCCCCACCACTCACAGTGTTTAGCATGTGACAGGAATCGATTAAGGCATGAGTGATTAAATTAAAGCCAGGCATTGACTTGGATGGTGTAATATTCTGACATCTGTTTGGTGTCAAAGGCACGGGGCAGGCGCGTTAATTGAACTGCTTGCACCTGGCATTTGAATTGAGCCAGAGCGGGGCTAAAGTCAGTTTGCCTTCACCCTGTAAATGGAGGGTTTCTCCGGAGCGTGGATGGTGGGAGGTATTTCAGGGTGTATGCATAACCCCCACCCTGACAATGGCCCATCTCTTCTCCAGCGTGGCCAGGTTTGAGTGCCAGTCCTGGGTGTCCAGTGGCCCCATAGCCTTGCGTTTTAGTAAAATGCTGCCCCCATTACCACCTGGTCTGTGCACTTCGGTCACTGGAATTTGCCATCTTCCAGTCCCGAATGTGGCAAGCCATGGAGCCTTAAGCTCTTCTCCCTCCACATCCTGGAACAGACCCGCCAGTTTCTTCCAGGCATTGCCTCAGTTTGCCCCTCTGTTTCCAGTCACACTCTCACCAGCGATAAAATGATTTTAGACCTTATCATCTCACCCTCGGATCCTTATGGAAACAATAATGAGTTGTTCCCTGTTTCAATTCCAAAATTCATATCCAATCCGTTTTGCATGCCATTGCCAAATTCCTCCCAGAGCAACCCCGTCACCTGCCCTGGCCCTCTCCAAGTGTGGTCCTGCCATGGGCATCGCCTGCTAAGCCAAGCTGGCCTCGAGCTGCCTGCCCGGGTCCCCACACCTTGGCTCACCTCCCTGCCCAGTCCCGCCTCCTGCCAGCCTGCCCTGTGGCTCCTTCATAGATGCCGTGCTCTTTCTGCCCCTTGCTCACCCATGGCAGCCTTGCCCCTCTCTCCCTGCCCCACCCCCTATTTAAATTGACCTGACCTTCCTCAGTGTCCATCTTCCCCGAAGCTTTCCCCAGCCTTGGCACTCAAGGTCCAGAGGCTACGCGTTTCCTCTCACCTGTGGCAGCGCCGTGCTCCCCAGTGCCTCACAGTTTCCTTCTTGCCCCCGCTTCCTGTGTAGGACTCATCTGCCCACAGGTTGCACGTCCTGTGAGGGCAAGGACTGTGTCTTATGTGACTTTCCTTCTCCAGTCACAGAGCTGGGCACATAGATAGCTCAAAACCCTCTTTATTAACACAGTTGGATGTTGAGAAATCAAACAGGCCAATGTCAAATGAGCTCTCCTTATTTAAATCAAGTCAGTTCTCCACCTCCTAGCACTCAGTTCCAGTACTCTATATACATGGAAATAATAAAAAACACATTTCCTTTGAAACATTCTATAATCGTTCCTTTGCCCTACTTCAGACCAACTTAACGCACTCCCCATTGGTCCAAATGAGTTTTGCTATACGAAGATGCTGATAATAATAGCAGCAGTGGATTATTCTGCTAAAACCATTGCCTCGTTAATCCTCAGTCCCGAGGTGGGGATTATTATCCTCATTTTGCAGAGAAGCAAACTGAGACTCAGAGATTTCACAGCTGGGGAGGGAGCCAGCTCATCCCTCTGTCCAGGCCCAAGCTCTCTCCCGCTTGCCTTCCTGCCTCTGCAACCTCAGAGCATCCCCCATCTGGTTCTACTGCCTGTGCTAGTCGTGCAGGAGCCAAAAGACACGTCTTTAGTGCTAAGGACTGGAGAAGCCATGCCCTCCAGCCTCTGTGAATGGGTCATATGTAACATGAGCCTGGAGAAATTATTTGAAACCAAAGGCAAGCCTCTAAACCAGGCTGCTGCTTCATGGCGCCGGTGACGGCAGAACCAAATTTAGTGCTGTGGGCAGGTCCACACTTATCAAATAGAGAAGCTCATTTTTCTTCCGGCTCACATCAAGCATGAAAAATGTTCACACATACCCCCCACACACACATGCTTTCCGGAGGGGTCCATGTGGCTAGAGGCTGGAAGATGTGGATGAGAGGAGCCTGGCAGGTAAGCCCAGGGAAGATGACATTCAGCTTCCCAGACAGCATCTACAGGGAGAAATTTAATTAAAAGTGGGGCGGTTTCCCTGAGCAAGGCAGACAAAGTCAGCCCTCTACTGTTAAGAAAAAGGGTCACAGTGAGAGGGGAGGTGAGGAGACTGAGTCTGTATTTTCTAGTCTGTTGGGCTACACTACCTGATCCCCCTTCCTCAAAAATCCACTTTACTTTCCCCATGTCTACACCAATGTGGTTCACACTCTGGGACCAGGAAAAGGGGGAGTGATGGGGAACAGAGAAGGGAGGAGCTCACACAGCTGAGGCTGGGGTTATGCATATCGAATTACTTAGAATTTGCAACCTCACAGGGTACTTTCATGGCGTTGAAATACACTTCCCACAGCCACCCTCCCTCTAACTAAAAGCAAGAGTCATTTCTCAGTTCTGGTCTTGCCTCCCACGTTCTCCTCCACATTTAAGAAAATCCACCAGCTACAAAGTGAAGATACCATATGTGATATCCCACCCTAGTTTCTGTTTTATCAGGGTTTGGAGCAGGTGGAGCAGGCAGAGGGATCATTTCAGCCTATAAATTGTATTAAGGGTGAGTACTGAGTCATTCTTCAAGAAAAGTTTTAGAAGCATCCAAAACTGAAGGGTGGAGCCACCTGGAGACAGTATCATCAGTCCTGGCCCCGAGCATGGCCTGCATAGGCCCCCATGGATCCCAGCGGGAGCTGCAGAGTGCGGGCACCTTGGCACACAGCCCTGAGTGCAAAATTAGGAGCTGGGCAGAGGGCATCTCTCTGTCGCCATTGGGCAGCCCAGGGCACACTGGTCATAGCCTTAGACCACGAACACCCTGTGCCCGGGGGACAGATGCAACCAGTGTGCCCTGGGCTGCCCAATGGCAACAGAGAGATCGACACCTGGACCCCATGTCACGGGGACTCCACTACTAAGGCTCCTAAGACTGCCACCTTCCAGTGGGATAAGCCCTGCCTCCTACTGGGCCCACAATGTGCAGAGAACACTTGGGACTACCTGGCTTTCTGGATACACAAATATTGATCCAATCTGGACTAATTAGAAGGTCAGTCCCAATAACAAATCGAAGTCAGCTGGGCGTGATGGCTCACTCCTATAATCCCAGCACTTTGGGAGGCTGAGGTGGGCAGATCATTTGAAGCCAGAAGTTCAAGACCAGCCTGGGCAACATAGCAAAACCCTGTCTCTACTAAAAATACAAATAATTAGGCTGGGTGTGGTGGCTCATGCCTGTAATCCCAACAGTTTGGGAGGCTGAGGCAGGTGGTCACCTGAGGTCAGGAGTTTGAGACCAGCCTGGCCAACAGGGTGAAACCCCGTGTCTACTAAAAACATAAAAATTAGCCAAGCATGATGGCATGTGCCTATAATCCTGGCTACTAGGGAGGCTGAGACAGGAGAGAATCGCTTGAATCCAGGAGGTGGTTGCAGTGAGCTGAGATGGTGCCACTGCACTCCAGCCTGGTTGACAGAGCAAGACTCTGTCTCAAAAAAAAAAAAAAAAAAAAAAAAGCCATGCCTGGTGGAGCACTACGTGTAATCTCAGCTATTTGGGAGGCTGAGGCACGAGAATCACTTGAACCTGGGAGGCAGTGGTTGCAGTGAGCTGAGATCGCGCCACTGCACTCCAGCCTGGGCGACAGAGTGAGTGAGACTCCATTTCAAAAAAATAATAAATCTGAGTCACTTTAATATTGTTATTTGGATGTCAACCTCTAGGTGTTTGAGACAGGAGAGTGATATGGGGGCACTGGAAACACACAGGCACGGGGTGTCCTCACACTTGGGTAGCCCACACGATGTGATTTCAGGGTGCTGGGAGGTCCCCCCACTCCCCAAATTACTAACAAGTGGATAGTACTTTACAGTTTATATGATCTCATTTGATTCTTAACATGAGCCTGTGAGTGAAAAATTCCTTCCCCTCTTCTACAGATTAGGACGTTGAGATTCAGGGAGGTTCAGAGGGATTCAGGGAAGTCAAGTGGCACCTGGAGTCCCGTGGCTAATTTGAGGCCGGTAGGGGATTCGAACCCAGGATTTGTGCTTCTTATGCCTGGGCTTCTGCTCCCTGGGGCATGGTCTTCCCCCTAGCTTTCCCATTCACTGCTTTAGCCTAGGGGTCCTACCCTTTATTAAACTGCCAGTGCCTCACTGCTTTTCTCCCCCAAAGACAAAAAAAAAGTGTTTTTGCTTTTGTTTTGTTTTTCATGGGCAGAGACCTGGAATTTCAGCTTGAGAATTTGTGCCATATGATAAATAAATCAACAGATGGCTTTTTCCTTAAAAAAAAAAAAAAAAAAAACTAAGATGTATTTGCAGTGAGGCATAATTTGTACCAAAAAGTGCTCACCACACTGTAGTCATGGGGGCAGGAGGCAGCCGCGGGTGAAGGGAGAAATCTTGGAGTCCAGGCAGCCCCCTTCTGGGCTGAACTGGGGAGCTGGGGGTGCTGCCAGCCCTGCCAGGTTCTCCTAGGAGGCGGCAGCTCATATGGCTGTGGGAGGAGGCAGAGGGAGCCTCATATGCACCCACATTTCCAGGGATCTAGAAGACAGAAGGAGGAAAACCACCATCATGTTAAAGCAGACAGTTAGGTAACACATCCTGTAATACAAGTTATTTTTTCCACATCTAAAGGCTAAAAATAGTTGTTAGAATTTAAAGATAATTGGTAAATGAGTTTCTATCCTTCTAGTTTCACATCAAATGGAATCATGCTGCCTTCACATCACTAGTGCCCGTTATTTGTGTTTAATTTCCACAATGTTGTCTAATTCCACTCTTTGGGCTTCCCCAGGGATCCAGCCTCCCTCACTCGCCCATCGCAGGGAGATGCTTTATTCATCTTTGTGTCTTCTGTGCCGGGCATAGCGCATGGCACAGAATAAGCACTCAGTAATTGATTCACGAGTGAATAAATGGATGAGTGGGTGAGTTCAATATTGACTACAAAAACCCTAAGGCCACACTGGTGAGTGGCTGCGCCTGTAGTCCCAGCTGCTGGGGAATCTGAGGCAGGAGGATCTCTTGAGCCCAGGAGTTTGAAACTAGCCTGGGCGATATAGCGAGAACCTGTCTCAAATGACAAAAACAGGGCCAGGTGCAGTGGCTCACGCCTGGAATCCCAGCACTTTAGGAGGCCAAGATGGGAGGATCACTTGAGGCCAGGAGTCCGAGACCAGCCTGGGCAACATAGGGAGACCCTGTCTCTACAAAAAATTTTTTAAAAATTAGCTGGGCATGGCGGTGTGCGCTTGTAGTCCCAGCTACTCAGGAGGCTGAGGCAGGAGGATCACTTGAGCCCAGGAAATTGAGGCTGCAGCGAGCCATGATGGCACCACTGCACTGCAGCCTGGGCGTCAGAACGAGACCTGCTCTCAAAAAAACAAACAAACAACAAAAAAAAAGGCTTTCTTAAAGAGACTTGAGAACAGAAAGGGGAACAGATACATAACTTATATATTTATTTGTTCATCTTTCCACCTTCCTGGAGGGTGGAGGGGAACAGGTCTGTATTTGGAGTTTTGAATGCTAAAAGTGGGAATACATGTACTGTTTGCCATGATCTGTTCAAAAGTTAAGCCAAATGCCTTAGATTCTCCTGAAAACTGGAATGCCACTGTAAACTATAAGCCCCACTTCAAAGATAAAAGATCTTGATGAACAGGGCTGGGTCTGTGGACTGGGCCTCTCCCCACCACACAAGGAAGGGTGGTGCCAGTTGAAGGAAAATCACTTAAATCCTTGCTGTCTCCTAATAAGGTGTGGTCCCAGGTAGGGCTGTCAGAATTAGCAAATTAAAACACAGGGCATCTGTGAAAATTAGAATTTCAGATAACAACAAATAATTGGCATAGGCTGCATAATGTCCCTCAAAGATATCAGGTCCTAATCTCCAGAACCTGTAAATGTGATCTTATTTGGAAAAGGGGTCTTTGTAGATGTGGTTAAATTAAGGATTTTGAGATGGGGGGATTATCCTGTATTATCTAGGTAGGTCCTAAATGCAGTCACACTCATCCTTGTAAGAGGAAGGAAGAGAGAGATGGAAAACACAGAAGAGAAGACAATGTGGTGATGGAGGCAGAGATTGGAGTGAGGTGGCCACAAGCCAAGGACTGCTGGCAGCTACCAGCAGCCAGAAAAGTCCAGGAACCAATTCTCTCTTGGAGCTCCAGAGGGAGTGTGGCCCTGCTGACACCTTAGCTTCAACCTAGTGATCCTGATTTTGGACTTTGGCCTTCAGAAGTGTGAGGGAATGAATATCTGTTGTTTTAAGCCACCAAGTTTATGGTCATTTCCTACAGCAGCCACAGGAATCAAAAACAGTAAGTATGTCCCATGCAATGTTTGTGACACACACCAAAAATATTACTTGTTGTTCACCTGAAATTCAAATTTAACTGGGTCTCCTGTATTTTATTTGGCCAACCTAGTTCCCAGGCCCAAAGAAAGAGGCTTTTGAAATTTGCAAGAAAGCTGGTTGGAGCTGTCAGAAAGTGGACTTTGTAAACACAGTACCACCGAACCAATTTGAACTGTACTACCTCTAGACAAAAGAGAGGGCAGTCAGACAGTTGTTCGTGATTTCTTCTTTCAACAGTCATTTGAGCACTTACTACAAAACAGAAGCTATGTGTAAGGGTGGAGGCGTTAGCTGTTAATCAGGACCTCCAGGCTAAGTTTCTGTATTAGTCCGTTTTCACGCTGCTGATAAAGACATACCCGAGACTGGGGAATTTACAAAAGAAAGAGGTTTAATTGGACTTACAGTTCCAAGTGGCTGGGGAAGCCTCACAATCATGGCAGAAGGCAAGGAGGAGCAAGCCACATCTTACATGGATGGCAGCAGACAGACAGGGAGAGAGAGCTTGTGCAGGGGAACTCCTCTTTTTAAAACCATCAGATCTCGTTAGACTTATTCACTATCAAGAGAACAGCACAGAAAAGACCTGCCCCCATGATTCAGTTACTTCCCACCAGATCCCTCCCACAACATGTGGGAATTCAAGATGAGATTTGTTACCATATCAGTTACCAACCCTTCCAGATAAATCACGTGAAATATCGCCATTAACAGAGTGAGCTCAGGTGGTTCTTCAGTGCATTTCTGATACCTGAACCTTCCCTGGGAATTTCACAGACCATCAGGCTCTCCACCCTTTGATAGCAGGATAGCAGGGCCCAGGTTCTGCAGGAGGAGATGTTACCACAGGCCTGAAAGGGAGGGAGGGGCAGATGCTACAGGAAGATGCTGGCTCTGGATTCGCTGGAGGAGCTTTCAAGGGAAGTAGATACACACTGTCTCCATCATTTCATGTCCATCACACTCTAAAATGCTTTGGACAAGAAGCAAATGTTAAAGACAAATGTGGCCCATTTTCCTGTACAAAGAGGGCTGCTCCCATGCCAGGCTATTGGCACTGGTGGGCATGAGGCTTCTCTGCTGCCCTGGCCGGGGGGTTCTCTCACTCACCATTGGCTCTCTGACACCTGGAGAGACCACCACCCTTGGGCTTTCATGATGCTCACAGAATCCACACTGTTGGAGCTTTAAGGAGCCTGGATCAACTGGAACAGGCAGGGAGTACTAGGACAGCCCAGCATTGCCCCAAAATATCCAGGCCTGATAAAAGAGAAAAACAGGTAGCTCACAGGAAAAGGATAAAAAAAGGAGGAGGGATTTAACATGAAAAGGTGCTTGATCTCCCTCATAATAAAAAGACTGCTGATTCCATCCAGGCAAGTGACAGAAAAAAAAAAATTAATTTAAAAAGACTGCTGATAAAACCACAGCGAGACACTGCTGCTCAGGGATCTGAGGGTGTGGGCAGCCAGGCTGCCACGCATCATGGGTCGGAGAGGAAGACCACACCCCTGGAGCAGAGGGCGGCTGATCTGTCAGATGCCCTTTGACAGCACCTCAGCTTCCAAGAATTAACCCTTTCTATGTGAGCAGAGGCATCCATGGGGGGACACACTGGTGAATCATCTGTTATGTAGAAGTCTGGAAAACATCAGGATGGAACTGGTGAAATAAGTGTGGCCTCTGACGGAATGGAGCGGTCCGTCTGCACTGCTGCGGGTGCCCCTCAGATCCTGTGGGTCAGTGAGAAAAGCAGTGAGGAACAAGGCAGGTACTGTGTACTGTCCTCTGCGTGCAAGGAAGGCCAGCGCATGCAACAGAGTCCACACAGACATAGCCTAACTCTGGAAGGAAGAATGAGAATGCAGTTTCAGTGGTGGCCTCTGGTGGGGAGAAACTGGGTGAAGGGAGATGTCATTTCCATTTCTCTACTATTAATTTTGTATTACCATGCTTAAATGTTACTTTTTACCTTTTTTTTTTTTTTTGAGACAGGGTCTCTCTCTGTTGCCCAGGCAGGAGTGCAGTGGTACAATCATGGTTCACTGCAGCCTGAACCTCCCAGGCTCAAGCAATCCTCCCACCTCAGCCTCCTGAGTAGCTGGGACTATAGGCACGCATACCACCGTGCCCAGCTATTTTTTTTAATCAAGATGGAGTTTTTCTATGTTGCCCAGGCTGGTCTCAAGCTCCTGGACTCAAGCAATCCTCCTGCCTCAGCCTCCCAAAGGGCTGAGATTAAAACGTGAGTCACCCTGCCCAGCCAATTGCTTTTTAAAAAAGATTAAATGCATGTATACGCTCAGGCATCAGCACACTTGGAAAGGATGAAAATATCCGGAAGAAGGGTTCTTTTAAAAGGCTCCTCAAGTGATGCTGGCAGGCATGACGAATGTCCCTGGTCACAAAAGCTCTGATCTGGCCTAACCCTGTCATGTTAGAGACTGGAGTGCGTGTGTGTGCGCGCAAAGTGTGGGGGGATGGGGGTGAGTGTGTGTGGTGTGTAAGCATGAGTGTGTATGTGTGTGGTGTGGGGGTGTGTGCTGTGTGAGCGTGTGTGAGTCTGTGTGTGTAGTGTGTGTGTGAAGTATGTGGTGTGTATGTGTGACGTGAGGTGTGTGTGGTGTGTGAGTTGTGTATGGTGTGTGCATGAGCATGTGTGTGGGCATGTGATGTGTGTGTGGTGTGTAAGCATGTGTGAGTGTGTATGTTTGAGCATGTGTGGTGTGTTGTGATATGTGTGTGGTGTGTGAGCATGTGTGTGTGATGTGTCTGTGTGTGGTGTGTGTGAGCATGTGTGTTGTGTGTGTGGTGCATGTGTGTGGCGTGTGAGCGTGTGTGTGCATTGTGTCTGTGAGCATGTGTGAGTGTGTGTGTGTTCAGCATATATAAGGCATGTAACTGAACACAGCACTTTAGAGGGCTCTCCTGGAGTCAGAGGGGGTGGGTAGGAGGAGAAGGGAGGTGGGCTAGTGTGCTGAAGTATCTACTCCTTGTCATAGTCTGTGACAACCCAGACTAGCCCATGAGCCACCCTGTTCCCTGCATTTCCAATGAGACCTCGGTGGACATGTTCCCTGAGGTGAGGCTGACTGATGTCATTTGACGATCTTGATGCCAAATCCTTTTATATCAAAAACAACCAGAACACTCTCTTTTCTCTTAGTGCTTTCACCCAGATGACCACATTTCATCCTCCCAGCCACTCTGGGCCAGGTGGCACTGCTGGTTTGAAAGGGAGGTCTCCCCTGGAGTAACTTCCGTGGGCGGATTCACACCCTGCCCACAGTCCTGTCCCAGTCAGCCCACCATGGTGGTCTCCGGTTCCTCCAGAATTCCCGCTTTTCAGCTCATCCCCACATTCCCGGAGGGACTGAGAGCGCAGCCCCAGGGCCCTGCTCTTTGGGGGCCGTCTCTACACCCAGAGAAGCAGCAAGGCATTCCTAGGTTTCTCTTTCAGATGCAGAACTTCAGTGTTCAGAGATGTTCCCACTGGTCCTGAGAGGGCTCAGTTCAGCTTTAATGACTGCGCTGTTGCGTGTGCTCTGCAGAGGGCGGGTGGCCCAGCGTGGCTGACTGCAGTTTTCCTGACGTGGAGCCCGAGCCTGCCCCGCTGTTTATTAATTAAGGATCACTCTGCTTGCAGAACCCTGAACTCCCCAGAACTGTGAGGTGGGAGAACCCCGAGAGGCCACCTGGCCCCACTTCCCACCTGCTGCCCAAACCCCCTCTCTGCCTTCCTGACAGTCACCCCAACTCCCAGTGATCCCCATCAACCATCTGACAAGGGGACTGAGAGGGAAGAGAAAGGAGGGGCCCAAAGAGGAAGGTAAAACTGTCGGGAACAGCCCCCAAATGTGTGACAGCCTTCAGTGGAGTTGCCCACTTTCCCTTTTCTCCTCCCTGCAGGACCTCCCTTCTCCCCAGTCCTCCCCAACTTCTGAGGTTACATTGAGAAAAGTCTGCAGAGAGGTGCCAGCATCACAAGGTGTTAAGGACCACGAGTTTGGCATTTTAACAGATGCCAGAGCCACTTGAGAAATGTGGTAACTAAGCCCAGAGAGGTACAGTTAACCTCCCCAGAGTCACACAGCAGGTTCATGGCAAAGCTGGACTAGCACAGGTGTCCTTCCCCTGCAGATCCCCTTCTGTGCCCCACATCACCTCCCTCCAGTGTCTGGGCCACCTGGAGATGGGCCCTCAGACTCACCCGGCCAGAGGTGCCATCTCATGGGAGAGGTCTGGCCAGGAAGCATCGATATTTGAGATCCCAAGAAATGAAGACTTGGCCTGTCAGATGACAGACTTCGGTCATGGGAACACGTGATCTGTTTTACACATGCGTCCCCTCAGCAGCAGCTTTCCAGAACATTCCCACTTTCTTCTGTAGTGAGAAGAACTCTTTCCCTGCAGCCTCCTGCCCAACTCCTCCTTCAGTGTCTTTGCTTCAGTGTCTTTGATAAACCATTCTGCTTTGCAGAGTGCGAGCTCTGCCTTGCAGGGTTCGCATCTGCCTGTGCTGAGTAACCAACGCTAAGGTCGAGTGGTCGGTCACCTCTCATAAGAGCTAGGGTTGTCTCATGCTGATGACTAGGACTTGCCCTCAAGGAGAAAAATAAATCAAAACAAAAGCAAAAACAGCAAACATGCATCTCTTAAAGAAGGCTCTGAGTCCAGGTAAATTTCCTTCCACTGAAGCAGCCAGGCTGAATTCGAATTATCTTTGCCCCTGCTTAAAAACTAATGCAAATTTTCCTAGAGAATATCCACTAATTCCTGGAGGGGGCATGGGCATTCCTGATGCCCATGAGAGGACCATTTGCTCTTCCCTCAGTATGCTAAATAACAGAAGCGACATTTGTTGCTGGAAAGTATCAGTGAAGTTAATAAGGTTTTTCTTGCCCAGGGTGAGGGAACAGTTCCCAATGACAAATGCTGTATGGGAAGGGGCTGTAGAACTGCCAGCCCCTTTGGTCCATCCGTAAAGTGAACTCTGTGGATCCTGGAGGATTCCAGCGTCTTTTTTTTTTTTTCTTTTTTTTTAAGACAGAGCCTTGCTGTCACCCAGGCTGGAGTGCAGTGGCACGATCTCAGTTCACTGCAACCTCCGCCTCCCGGGTTCAAGCGATTCTCATGTCTCGGCCTCCCGAGCAGCAAGACTACAGGTGCGCACCACCATGCCCGACTAATTTTTGTATTATTAGTAGAGACGGGGGTTTCACTCTGTTGGCCAGGCTGGTCTCAAACTCCTGACCTCAGGTGATCCACCCGCCTCAGCCTCCCAAAGTGCTGGGATTACAGGCATGAGCCACCATGCCCAGCCAGCATCTTTCATTTTTCTGTCTGCTTTGGCCCTTTCCTCTCTCACTGTCTTCCTTTTCCATTTCCAAAGTCAGTCCATCTCACTATTAGCACAAAAACTGCTAGAGCGCTTGTCATTGGTCATCTCTCCCTGCACCTGGCTGGTCTGTTCTTGGCCACTGAAGCGTTTCCCCCAGCTGTTGCTTTAATCATTTTATTGTTATTATGCCTTACTTAAGAAATGGATATGAGATGCATTTACCTGTCTCTTCCTGCCACTCTGCAGAGCCAGTAAGATGTGGTGGAAAGGGCCCAGGCTTTGGAGGAGGGCTGGCTGGGGTTGGATCTTGGCTGCCCCCTACTAGCTGTGTGACCTTGGGTAAGTAGCTGGACCTCTCTGAGCCTGGTTCGGAATCATAGCACCTCTCTTTCAGGGCTGCTGTAAGGAATAGCAGTGGTGTGTATAAAGCAGAGCGCACAGCCAGCAACTGGCCCCTAGCCACACTGCTGAGCACCTACTGTGATAAGCTGCCATTGTGGTGTGTGAAGCAAAGGGGAAACATGCCTGCTGTAGTGAGCTTCCTGTAGGGCAGGTTGTAGAACCAGAGGTGGGTTCCAAGGTTACAAAGGGACTCTTAGTGTATTAGTCTGTTCTCACATTACTATAAAGACCTACCTGAGACTGGATCATTTATAAAGAAAAGAGGTTTAATTGGCTCACATTGGCTGGGTGCGGTGGCTCACGCCTGTAATCCCAGCATTTTGGGAGGCCAAGGCCGGCGGATCACTTGAGGTCAGGAATTTGAGACCAGCCTGGCCAACATGGTGAAACCCTGTCTCTTCTAAAATAAAATACAAAAATTAGCTGGCCATGGTGGTGTGCGCCTGGAATCCCAGCTACTCAGGAGGCTGAGGTGGAAGAATTGCTTGAGCCCGGGAGGTGGAGGTTGCAGTGAGCCAAGATCGCCCCACTGCACTCTAGCCTGGGCAGCAGACTGAGACTCTGTCTCAATAAAAAAAAAAAAAAAGAAAAGAAAAAGAATTGCAAGAAATAAATTATTGTTTATGAGCTATATGGTCTGTGGTACCTTGTTGTGGGACTGGGAGTCTTGGCGTCTCCCTGACCCTGCCTGTTGCTGCAGCACCGCTCAGCCCTGCCTGCTCCCTACCTGCCTCCCCTCGGCCTCTCCTGCCTCCACCGGGCCCCTGGTGCCTCCTCTAGAGACAGTCCTCCTGGGACCGATTGTGTTCTCACTTACACGAGGCATCCAGGACTACAGATAACCAGAGGAAGGGGCGCCCCCCCCGCCTGCCCTCCTCCCTGGCATCCTCACGCTGCAGAGGTCAGAGCCTCATCCCAGCCCCTTACCTGCCCCTACTCTGTGGAGAACCGTGGTCAGTTCGCCAGGCCGGATCCACGAACGGCCTTGTGGAAGATGGTGAGCTCACACCCAGAGCTGGCTCCGATGACCCTGTCTCCTTTACATGTTTCTACCTTCCCCTCCCTACCTTCCCCCACTGCTGGGCGCAGAGTGGAGGCAGATGAGGTTTAAAGCTCAGAAGGGCTTAAACGGGTTGGGGCGCAGTGGCTCATGCCTGTAATCCCGGCACTTTGGGAGGCCAAGGCAGAGGATCACTTGAGCCCAGGAGTTCGAGACCAACCTGAGCAACATAGTGAGACCGCGTCTCTACAAAAAATAAAATAAATAAAATTAGCTTTGCAGGGTGGCATGCACCTGCAGTCCCTGCTACTCAGAAGGCTGAGGTGGGAGGATCGCTTGTGCCCAGGAGTTTGAGGCTGCAGTGAGCTATGCTGGCACCACAGCACTCCAGCCTGAGTAACAGAATGAGATCCTGTCTCAAAACAAACAAACAAACAAACAAAAGAAGGCTTAAAGGGGGCTCCAGGTGGGCTTGGCAGCACAAAGCTATGAAGTTCTATCTTAGACACAAGTTCTGTTACTGGGCCTTTGCAGGCTGGCCTGGGTACCTGGCTGCCATAGACAGGGAACCTTCCAGATGAGCTGCAGGCGTGGAGCACAGGAGCCAGGGTGCTCTTCCTGGGCTCTGTCCACAGGCAGAACGTACACAGTCTTTGTACACGTCCGGCGGCTCTGGTGCCTATTTTTGTTTGTGTTTTTCTTTTGTTTGGGGGGATGGATTTGGTTTCCCCCGAGCCCTCTGTCCTCCTGTCACCTGGCTGGTGCTCGGCAATGTTGACCAGCTGCCTGGCTGGAGTTGGCAGTGGCTAAGGCTGTGACAGCTAACATGTTCCTGAGTCCTCTCATTTCTTCACCATAATGCCCTGTTGAGTTTGCAGATACTGTCTCTGTTTTTATCTCCCGGGGAAACTGAGGCTCAGAGTGGCTAGGCCACCTTCCCATGGTCCCTCAGCTCATGAGGGCCACACAGGGCATTGCGGTGGCCTTCTCCTCAGCCTTGACCCTCCGGCCCCAGCATTGCTGCCTCAAGGGGTCTCCTCTGCTGAGCCGTGCACCTTCTGCCTGGCAGCTCCAACTCTGTGGCTGTGTTCAGTGGCTCAGCACTGCCCCTTGACCCTCCCTGGCCTTCTGCGGATGCCAGACTGGAGCACTCTGACAAGGTCTGGGGTGGTTGTATGGGTCCTGTGACCTCTATACACCTCCCAGTGCCTGGGAATCCTGCAGATACACCCTCCTTAGCCGTCCCTAACCATAGAGGACATTTCTGAGGTCCCCGAGAGAGTGGGGCACCCCTGCAGGATCCAACTGCTGGGCCCAGGAAGGATAGCAGCAGCATGAGGGGTTCCATTAGCCACAAACTCACGGCATGGAACCTTCACCCACCTCGCCCCTCATCTGCTGTTTAGCACCTGGCACGCCGTGTATACTTACTGATTATTACATTTTAATGGCAAATTATAGTGGCAAACGTATGCATCTTTGCACAATTGTTGTACAGCATGATGAACAAGTCATTAATAGTAAAGAATAAATGTGAAAGTGAGAAAAATCTGACTGCCAAAGTTTTTACTCCTTCCTTCCCTCCCCAGACTTTTAAATGAAAGTTTAGGGATAATCCCTTAGTTGTCCTGCTAGTAGGACTTGCAATTAAAAGAATTGGGCCAAGAACACTTCTACGCTTCTCCTTTTAGGTTTGGGTGTAAATTCGGGGTATTTCTCACTGATGAAAGCCTGGTGCAGGGCAGACCGTGGGAAGCTTTCATTTCCGGAATGGACCATCAACATCCCTTGGAGAAGAATTCTCTTCTCCAGACCCAGACCTGGTGTCCTGGCACCCATTGGGCAAGTGGGTCCTAGAAGACAAACCTGGTCAGAGCCTGGAGGCTGCTTAGCATTCCCCACGCACATTAGCAGCTCGGAGAGCTCAGGAAGCCGCAGCCCCTCCTTGCCTCACCAGCCTGGATCAGGACAGCATCCCCTGGAAGACACACAGGGCCTGGCCTCTGATTACCCAGCCTGGAGGGAAAGCTCAATCGAGCATCATGTCACCCGGTGCCCCCATGCAGGGTGGCACTGGTGAGACCCCCAAGCCAATGATACCACCTCACAGGAGTGCAGGCCCATTGTGGCCAGATCATCTTGACTTTTCAAGATAAATCAGAAATCGTATTTCCATGAGATATCCCTATTTGCAAGTGATGGTGACTAAATTAGAAGTTTTTGAATATTGTAACATGTTCGTAGGCTGTTTGTCTGGTTTAAACTCTATCTGGAGGAATTCAAGCTAGACTTCAGGAATAACTTCTTGAGGCAAGGATTTTGAGACCTTAGGGAAAGAAGGACGTCTTGGGGGTATTCTGACTGTTGTCCTCCTGGAAGGGAAGAACAGAGAACTAGAAGACTGCCCTTAGCGAAGTTCAAAGCACCTAAGCCCGGGACCCTCAGCAAGTGTTCTTGAGTCACAGATTCTCCCTGAGGCGCCTCTTTCTGGCTCCATAGAATGGCTGATTCTGTAACTCGGTGAGTTTGCTTTTTTTTTTTCCTCCATCACCCAGGCTGGAGTGCAGTGAAGCTGGAGTGCCGTGGAGCGATCACTGCAACCTCTGTCTCCCAGGTTCAAGCAATTCTCCTTCCTCAGCCTCCCAAGTAGCTGGGATTACAAGCATGCAGCACCACACCTGGCTAATTTTTGTGTTTTTAATAGAGACGGCCCGAAGTGCTAGGATTACAGGCATGAGCCACCGCGGCCAGCCATAACTCTGTGACTCTTGTTACAAAGGCCTTATATTTTGCTCTTTGAGGGTGGTTTTGGTTTGATGCCTGTTGGTTGCCATCTTTTAACTAGGGATGTTTTATCAAAATGCCCAGCCAAAGTGTCCAAACAAATTATACCTTAAAGTTTGAAAATGTCTGGCACTTCTAATTCAATGCCTGTTGTGCCAGGCACTGGGCTGCTGAGGAACTGAGTCCCGTCCCTGCAGGCTAGCTAGAGAACACACACACACACACACACACACACACACACAGAGTGGTCTTACAAGTCAGTTTTATATTCTACCTATATGCAATAAAGGTATTATTATGTTGAGGTGCCTTGATATAAAAATTTTTCTTAAAGGAGAGGATGCCTAAAACAGGCATTACCTGAAACCTCCTCTCTCCAGCATTGGTTGTCTTCTGTCATGACTCAGGGTTTTCACTGAGAATGGGATGGAAATGTGGTCTAAAGATAGGGCCAATGTTGGGACTGGATCCCCTCTGGGAAGTCAGACCAGGCTAGGGCAGGTCCTTGAAGCCATCAGGAAAAGCCTCTGGAGCCAGAAACAAAACAAAAAAAAAATGGTGTTAACTAAACTCAGTCTCAAATCCTGAATAGGACTCAAGTCAAGCAAAATAATTAAAGGAGTTAGCAAAGGGCAAGTCAGAGAGACCGAGCAACACCAATGTCTTCCGGGAGCCCTGTGGCGAGTGACAGAGCCTGGACTCTGGAGTAGAACTCATCTTGTGTCTTCTTCTGCCACTCGTTAGCTGGGTGACCTTGAGCCAAGCCCCTTAACCTCTTGGACCCTATGTTCTTATCTCTAAGTAGGGGCTGGTAATATCTTCCCCTTTGAGGAATGCCCTCTAAGGGGTGTTGTGAAGATTCGGTAAGGTGGCAGGGGTAGGACTCCTGGCCAGAAACAGGCACATAATAAATGCTAAGTCTCTCCTTCTCTCCACCTGCTGGATGCTGTAGATACTAAGGATTTCGATGTGAATGAGACAAAACCCCTGCCTTCCAGGAGCCTTTGAGAATCAGAGAACTAGACCCATTTCCAGAACAAGGGGATGCAGGGTCTGGATAAAGTTTTGGGGATCAATAGAGCAGAGGGCTCCCAGAGGATCCCATAGGGTTGACTCCTAACTCAAGGGCATGAGACAACCCCCAGGAAGGGCACCCTGGAAGGGGTCCGGCTGTCCCTGATTTACTTGTGGGCACTGGGGGAATGCCCGGAGCCATCCAGCCCTCAGGGCTCTGTGTGATTCTGGGTTCCTCCCATAAAAGATAATCAGATTCTTTCACGTTAATGTCTTTCTCCACCTCATTGCACATCATGCAGCTATTCATTGACTCAGCAAGTATCAGCTTTGCATGCGACCTTGGCCTACCCACTTTAGCTTTTAGTAATAGCTCCCTTCTTGAATAATACAACCAGTGGGGAAACAGAACCTAACTCTTACCTCTGGGAGGCTTATTTGCTTTGAGAACATATGTCCTGCAGTTTTGTTCATATGGCAGTGAAGTTTCGTGCACACACTCTAGAGCCAGGCAGCCTGGGTTCAAAGCGCAGCTCTGCCAGGTCCTAACTGCATGAATTTGGGCAAGTCGCTCAACCTCTCCATGCCTGAGTTTCCTCATCTGTAAGATTGGAGCAATGGTAATACCTGCTTTTTAGGGTTGAGAAGAGAATTAAATGAATTAAGATGGGTAAAGTGCTTAGAGTGGAGCTTTGCAAGTAGTAAGTGCTATGTAAGTGTTCGATTTAAAATGAAAGACCCTTAAATACATTCTTTGTTCATTTCACAAGCCCTTCATTTCACAACCTTACATTTCACAACCAAGCTCTGTCTCCCCTGGAATCCAGCCATAACTCTGCTCACAAGTGTGAGACAGGCCCCAGCAGAGCTGCACGAAGAGGAGAGAAGGCAGCCCCCCAGACTCCCAACCCCCTGTCCAAGATGGCAAAACCAGAACACAGCCTCTGTACCACCCCAGCAGGTATTCAGAATCTGCAATCTCCAAAGCCCACTTCAATTGTAAATGTAGAGCCACGTGCGCTTTAAGTCACCTGTCACTCTGGAGGCTCTTTTGCTCAGTTCCTCACCATTAGCAGGGATGACAGGGAGTGCAGGAGTGCGGTCGACTCCCAGATATTGGAGAGCGCTGGGCTAGCTGCCCATTCTCCCGGCCTCCACTCCTCTTTGCTGTCCAGCCATCACTTGCTCTTTGAAGGCAAACAAAACAGAAAACAGTGCCAAAAGTATGGGAAGAAAGCCAGCTTCTCCCCTGGGGTGCCTGTGATGCCATGCCCACCCTCCCTGACCACGCAGCCCCTGTGGACCCTCAGGGCCCCAAGCCCCCATTTCCATCACATGCGTACACCCATGTGTGTCCATAGCCGCCCATCTCAGTCAATAAGGCTGCTCCTGCCCACTTGGAATAGTGGTGACAACCAGGAGTGGCTTATGGGAACTATCCCAATGGCCTGACAGCATGTCCGCTGCAAACCGCTGAGGTAGGACACTGCCCTCATGTCTAGCTGATCAGCAAGAGGCGCAGTTGCTTTCTTAGGTAACATTGCTGCTGTGTCCTGGCCATTGCTGGGGGGTGGCACTTAATCTACACCAGAATTTTCCCTCCTGTATCTTCCAAGCTGCTTGGATCTTGGTGCTGAATTAGGTTGGACTTTGTCTTGTGGGGAAGGGAGGACTATAGACCCTCAACGTAAGCAATGGTCAGACTATTCTAAGAAAACTCGCCGAATTAAAGCATGAGGTAAATTTAGTTCTGACTTCTGTCCACCCCACTGCCACTGTCCCCTTTTATCCCATGATCCCTTGCTTTTCTTTTCCTCCTCTCTCCCTATCTCTTGTGTTTGACGCATGATAGGAATTCAGAAATATATGTTTGTGGATTTGTTTATTCACGTAGCAAACCATTTCTTGAGTGCCTACCATGGGCCAGGTAGAATGGGCGGCCCCGGGCTGCAGTGGTTTCTTCAGCCCCTCTCCAGGGTTTACACTGTGCAAGACGGTTTGTGATGGGTCCTCCCATCGAGGACCACACTCTTCTTTCTCTGTGCCCCTTGGTCCTCAGTCTCTGACCCCACTTCAAAGGCAGCATTCACTCAGGGAAGCTCCCATACAATGCTAGTCAGAGTAAAAGTTTGGACAAATTGCCAGGAAGCAGCTTGTCAGTATGCATAAACAGCCTTTAAAATATTACTACTCTTTGACCCAGAATTTCACTTCTAGGAATCTGTCCTAAGGAAGTAGTCACATGCAAAAGATTTATGTACCAAGATGTTCATCAAAGTGTTGTTTTATAACAGGAAGTCTCAGAAGCTGGATAAATATCCAACCTCTGGAAATGGTTAGATAGAATAGTATGTAGCCATTAGAAAATTATGTCTATGGGGTTTAAAATGTCATGGGAAAACACTTCTGACATAAAAGAGCATGAGAACTGTATATTTAGCATAATCTTAACTATGTTTTAGAATGCACAGGAAAAAAATGTACAAACATATTCATAGTGATGTCTCTGGTGGTAGGATTATGATCAGTAAGTACTTCTGTCTCTTCATATTTTCCTGTATTTGATAATACATGCATATGTTGTTTTTAAAATAAGAAAAATTTTAAGTTTAAAATTGGAGCTGAAAAGTGTTTTTAGGTCAGGCGAGGTGGCTCACACCTGTAATAGCACCACTTTGGGAGGCTGAGGCAGTCAGATCACTTGAGCCCAGGAGTTCGAGACCAGCCTGGCCAACATGGTGAAACCCCATCTCTACTAAAAATAAAAAAATTAGCCATGTGTGGTGGCACACATCTGTAATCCCAGCTACTTGGGAGGCTGAGGCATGAGAATTGCTTGAACCCAGGAGGTGGAGGTTGCAGTGAGCCAAGATCGTGCCACTGCACTCTAGTCTGGGCAACAGAGTAAGACTCTATGTCAAAGAAAAAAAAAAAAGAAAAGCCTTTTTAAACAGTAGCAGACATAACTATATAATCCTTACTAAGCTGTCGGTCAAATTTTTATTTATATATTTATTTTATTCATTTATTATTTTTAGACAGGGTCTCACTCTGTTGCCCAGGCTGGAGTACAGTGGCGTGATCATGGCTCTCTTCAAACTTGACCTCCCGGGCTCAAGTGATCCTCCCATCTTAGCCTCCCAAGTAGATGGGACCACAGGTGCATACCACCACACCTGGCTAATTTTTTTTATTTTTTATTTTTAGAGATGGTGTTTACTATGTTGCCCAGGCTAGTCTCAAACTCCTGGGCTCAAGCTATCCTCCCACCTCGGCCTCCCGAAGTGCTGGGGTTACCAGCATGAGCCACTGTACCCAGCCCTCAAATTTTTAAAAATCTATAAGAGACATTATTGGACAATTAGAGAAATTCACATATGGACTTATAATAGTATCAGAGTGTGTGGTGTGATGGTTCTGGAGGGAATGGACTTTTTCTTTGGAGACAGGCTTTTCTATGCCCACCCTTTTATCTTGCTAACTTATCATCATCCAGGTTCCAGCAGAAACATTACTTCCCCCAGGAAATTTCTTAAGGGTGCAGTATCATGATGTCTGCAGCAAATTCTCAAATAGCTCAGGAAAAAAGTACGTGTGTGGTATGAGTGTGTGTATGTATGTGTGTATATATATACACATATATACACATATATATACATATATGTGTATATATATACATATATGTGTATATATATACACACACATACACATATATATACACACACACATACATACATGTATTTTTATATAATTATATATGCAGAGAGTGCAAATGTTGCCAAGTTAAAGATTGGTGAGTCTAGGTGAAGGGAATATGGTATTTATTGTATTATTTGTGCAACTTTTCTTAAGTTTGAAAATTTTCAAAACAAAAAATTGGAGGAAGAAGGCATGCCAGTCTACCCCAAGCCCTCCATTGGAATGCTGAAAATCTAAACAATGTGATTTGGCAATTTCATTTCTTTTCTGTTGTGGGCCAGTAGTCCTTAGATGTTGGGGAAGGGGGTAGTCGCTGAGGTGTGGTTGACTTAGGATGGAAGAAGCAGAAGTCAAGACTCCCAGGGTCAAAGTGGTTTGCTCTGCTGACCCAAGTGTGGGAGGCCCAGAGTCAGCGTTTCAGGTGTGCTAATTCAGCATGGTTCTATTCACGGCCAAAGTCCACCCTGGGCACCTCTCTGGCAGCAATCTTGGGTGACTCTACTAAGGCCAGGCCTCCATGACCCTATGTCTGGATCCCATATCTCCACCTCTCCCACTGTCTCAGGAACGGTGCTTAGCTTTTTCTTTTCCCTCTCCTGTCTTCTTTGCCAGCATGTAGAAAGTTTAAATAATTCCCCTCTTTACAACAAAACAAAACATACCCCCTTCAGTCAACCACCCTAGCTCTCTTCTCCTTTTCCCAGCCAGATTTTTTTAAAAGCATCCTAGGCCAGGCGCGGTGACTCACGCCTGTAATTCCAGCACTTTGGGAGGCCAAGGTGGGTGGATCACAAGGTCAGGAGATCGAGACCATCCTGGCTAACATGGTGAAACCCCATCTCTACTAAAAATACAAAAAAGTAGCCGGGAGTGGTGGCAGGTGCCTGTAGTCCCAGCTACTCGGGAGGCTGAGGCAGGAGAATGGCGTGAACCTGGTAGGCGGAGGTTGCAGTGAGCCGAGATGGCGCCACTGCACTCCAGCCTGGGTGACAGAGTGAGACTCCGTCTCAGGAAAAAAAAAAAAAAAAAAAAAAAAAGCATCCTCAGCACTTTGGCAACTCCATCTCCTCCCAACATGTCCCTGTTACTGGAATCCAGCCAGGACTCAGCCCCGATCTTTCTACTCTAACCAGTTGTCTCAGTTAACAAGGACAGGTTTATGCTGCAGTGACAAACAAGATCCCAAATTCTTGTGGCTTCACACATCTGGCACCACCTCATCTTCCAGCCTTAGGAGTCATCTTTTAGTTCCTTGAAAACTCTTTACAGTTTTCTGTTGGGGCCTTGTCATATACTATTCCCCTGGAATGTTCTTTCCTATCCCCTCCCTTTCACCTTGCTAACTTGTGCCCATCCTTCAGGTCTCAGCAGAAACATCACTTCCTTGGGGAAGTTTTCTCCAACACCCACACTACACAGGTGTCCCATCTACACTCCTATGACTTTGTGGTACTTGTCTCACTTCATTTTCCACTGCCTTCCCCACAAGGCACCTGCACAAGGGCAAGGACCGTACCACTGTACCTATGTCACTCATTGCTGTGGTCACCTGCACTCTGGCTGCCTACCTTAACTACACATTAGAATCACCTGAGGAGCTTTTAAAGCCACAATGCAAGACTCCACCCTAGGCCAATTGGATCCAAATCCCTGGGGTAGGGCCAGACATCAGTGGAGTTATATATACATATATATATTTTGTTTGTTTGTTTGTTTGTTTTTTGAGACAGAGTTTTGCTCTGTCACCCAGGCTGGAGTGCAGTGGCGCGATCTTGGCTCACTGCAAGCTCCGCCTCTCGGGTTCACACCATTCTCCTGCCTCAGCCTCCTGAGTGGCTGGAACTACAAGTGCTCGCCACCACGCCCAGCTAATTTTTTTGTGTTTTTAGTAGAGATGGGGTTTCACCGTGTTAGCCAGGATGGTCTCGATCTCCTGACCTCATGATCTGCCTGCCTCATCAGCCTCCCAGAGTGCTGGGATTACAGGCATGAGCCACTGCACCCGGCCATCAGTGGATATATTTTTAAAGCACTGCAGAGAATTCTGTTGCATCAGCTTGAGAACCACTGATCTGCCTTGTGCTTCACATTTAAAACTTTTTTTTAATGAATAAATAAACCCCAAAAAATTAATCTCCCTAAGCCTCCCTAGAAGATAGGATGGTAAGGATATTTTCCTAGGTAAAAATATGTTAATTTCATATTTCATGAAATTTCATGTTTCATTTCAATCAAGCTCTGTCATACACCTTACATGGGGCAAGCCCAGTGCCTGGGCAGGGTGTAATTATACTCATTACACAGGCAAGGAAAAGTCACATTAGGTGATGGAGCACAAATAGGCAGTTAATGGTTTCAGGGCTAGTTAGGATATGTTTGTCTTTCAATTGCAAGTAATAGAAGCCCAAAGAAATTGGTTATTTATATAATATAATTGATTGGTTCCCAAATTTGAAAAATTCAGGAATAGACCCAGCTTAGGTACAGCTGGATCCAGTCACTCAAACAATGTCACAAAGAACCCTTTGACAGGAATGTATCCTGTGTTGACTCTACTTTGCTCTGAGTAGTCTTTCCCCAGGTGATGATAAAAATGGTCATCATCGCCAGGCTTGTGTCCTGTTTAGTAGGAATATACAAGAAGAGCTCAGTAAATGCTGGCCCCACCACTAAGCAAAAACAAAACTTTTGTTGTTGTTATTGTTGTTTTAAATAACAGCTTAGACCTTTCTTCTTTCCTTGTTATTCTCTTTCATCTGTAATCCAGTTTTCTACTTCTGAAGTATAGAATGTTCTGATGATTTATTCTTCATTACCCACAACTTGCACATGTTTATTTAAAAATGCCAGGATTGCCTGGCCGTTGTGTGCTGTTAACCTTTGTTTGCTGTTAGTGGATCCCTGAAGTTCAGGCTCCCAGGGGAGCAGATAATGGGTATCCAGTTCCTGCAATATCCACCCTCTGGCAAGCCAAGTTCCTTCCTGGGTAAGGTTTTGCCTACCTGCATTCCTAGGGAAGTTTCTGGGCCTGACCACCAAGCCAGCTCTGAGAAGGGGTGCATAAGCCCCACCATGCTTTGGCTCTGTCCCTATAGAATATTTTATGTTGTTACTGAAAACTAAAGGAAGATGGGTGCGGTGGCTCATGCCTGTAATCCCAGCACTTTGGGAGGCCAAGACAGATTGATCACTCGATGCCAGGAGTTCAAGACCAGCCTGGCCAACATGGTGAAACCTTGTCTCTACAAAAACAAAACAAAACAAAAATTAGCCGGGTATGGTGGCATGCACCTGTGGTACCAGCTACTCAAGAGGCTGAGGCACAAGAATCTCTTGAACCTGGGAGGTAGAGGTTGCAGTGAGCCGAGATCGCACTACTGCATTCCAGCCTGGGTGACAGAGCAAGATTCTGTCTCCAAAAAAAAAAAAAAAAAGAAAAGGAAAGCTAAAGGAGAGAGACTAAAATGATATCAGGTTCCTGGAGAACAAACAGACATGATTTTGCTTCATGGCAGGACAGCCGGAAGAAGTGGGATTATATCCTCACATTACAAATAAGAAAACTGAGACTCAGAATGGTTAAGTCACTTGTCCCAGGCCACACAGCCAGTAAATTACAGAAACAGAATTTGAACCCAAATCTTCCAGCTCCAAAGCTTGTGTTCTTTTCACTACCTCCTGCTTAATTTTTTAATTTCTAAGATTAGACCCTTCATCTATCCATGACACCTGCCTGTCATCCCCTGAAAAAAGGTGAACGCCGTTCAGAAATTTTTCTAGCCTGAGCTCACTCCCAGTTCACTTATTTTTGCTTTGTCATGGCTGCCCAGTCCCCACTTGTAGACCAGGAATAGGTCATGGCTGCGGGGACTACACGCTGTCGCTGCTGCAAGGGCCGGCCTCTGTTTCCGGGGCTGAGTGGGGGCCAGACCTGCCAGGAGCACCATCTTCTGTGGGTCCTGCCTGGATGTCACATCCCGGCCCCAAGAAGTCACTGCAAACCTTCGTATTATTGAGCTTCACATCCTAGAATTTGCTGTCACTGTGGCTGCTGCATGAAGTTGTCCTGAGAGAAACGGGCATTGTCATTAACAGGGAAATTGATGGTCTGGGGGAAAAGTCATCCTCATTCTCTTGCAGATCTATGGGTGATTGAGACTGGCTGATGTTGAAGGGGTTTCTCAGCCATCGTGTGCCATGTTATGGAACAGTGGTGTAGCCAGCCATTTGACACCCAGCGCTGACCTTTGTTTAACAACCTCACCTATATATGACAAAATGATTGTCAGAAATAATCGTGTAATGAAATGACTGTAATAATGGCCAGAAAAGAAACGCAGATAGTAAAATGTTTCTCTTGTTGAACTCTGTACATATAATTGCACCAGGATTTTTTTCAAATAAAAAGTAAATATTATACTACAAAAAAGGGAAAAAGCACAAGCATTTATTAAATAGCTTTCTATATCTTTCTGAGTTTTGATCCTTTGATTGCAGACTGATGTAATATTTTATGTAAATCATTGCTTGGTTACTAAGTGAACTTTAAGAAAAGTGAGACGTCTGCAGAAGTTGCCCATAATTTAGCAGCTACTGTATTGTACCATTGATGTACGGCTTTATTTTCTTGATTAATTATTTAAACAATATAATTCACAATTTTAAAATAATAAATTTCCACTTAAAATGGTATTTAAACTCAGCAAAATATATCATCTATGAGTAAAATTTGTATTTACCAAGCAAAAATATTACAGTTTGTGGTTCACATGCTGTCTCACTGTTTTAAATTTTAAATACAAAAACTCCAAGTAGGCTGGGTGTGGTGGCTCACACCTGTAATCCCAGTACTTTGGGAGGCTGAGGCAGGCATATCGCTTGAGTTCAGGAGTTCAAGATTTGCCTGGGCAACATAGTGAGATCCTGTCTCTACTGAAAACAATTAGCTGGGTGTGGTGGCACATGCCTGCGGTCCCAGCTACTCAGGAGGCTGAGATAGGAGGATCACTTGAACCCTGGGGGACAGAGGTTGCAGTGAGGCAAGATTGCACCACTGCACTCCAGCCTGGGTGACAGATTGAGACCCTGTCTCAAAAAAAGAAAAAAAAAAAAGAAACACAAAAACTCCAGGTGGTCGCACAGAATGACAGGACTGAAGTAACTTAGCTCCAATTTCTGTCTTCATAATCACTGTCCTACCATTGTCTGTGCTTAGAATCTACTTGCTTAATGCAGGAACATGTGTTCTCACAGAGATGGAAAATGCAAATGGCGCCAGAAGCAAGCTGGAAATTCTGAACCATTAAGAATTTACTCTCTGCCAGGCACGGTGGCTCACGCCTGTAATCCCAGGACTTTGGGAGGCTGAGGCAGGCAGATCATCTGAGGTCAGGAGTTCAAGACCAGCCTGGCCAACATGGTGAAACTTCATCTCTACAAAAATACAAAAATTAGCCAGGCATGATGGTGGGTGCCTGTAATCCCAGCTACTCGGGAGGCTGAGGCAGGAGAATCGCTTGCACCTGAGAGGTGGAGGTTGCAGTGAGCCGAGATCTATCTGCACCATTGCACTTCAGCCTGGGAGACAGAGTAAGACTCCATCTCAAAAAAAAAAAAAAAAAAAAAGAACTTACTCTCAAAATAAATACGTGTGGCTGACTCCACATATGGTAGGGCCAACTGTATAACTAGAAGTTCTCCAAATAACTTCTGTGGAGAAAAAAAAGTTTATTAAAGGTTAACTTTTTTAAAGTGCTAACTAGAACCTTACTAACACTGAGATCGCACCAATTGTTTATAACTTAGACAGGGCCGGGTGCAGTGGCTCATGCCTATAATCCCAACACTTTGGGAGGCCGAGGCAGGTGGATCACTTGATGTCAGGAGTTCGAGACCAGCCTAACCAACATGATGAAACCCCATCTCTACTAAAAATACAAAAATTAGCCAGGCACGGTGGTACACGCCTGTAATCCCAGCTACTGGGGAGGGTGAGGCAGGAGAATCTCTTGAACCCAGGAGGCGGAGATTGCAGTGGGCCAAGATCGCACCATTGCACTCTAGCCCCAGCAACAAGAGTGAAACTCTGTTTCAAACAAACAAACAAAAAAAAAAACCTCTTGGACCAGGAAAATATTTTTTAAGGGAGGAGTATTTTATCACTGGCATTGTTTAGGATTGCAGGCACATGATGCTAATGAAAAGCAGACTAACTATTAGTTGGTTTTATTACTGTTTTTGAACTCTCTCTCTCCCTTTTTTTTTTTTTTGAGACAGAGTCTCTCTCTCTGTCACCCAGGCTGGAATGCAGTGACTGCAGTCTCAGCTCACTACATCCTCTGCCTCCTCAGTTCAAGTGATTCTCGTGCCTCAGCCTCCCGAGTAGCTGGGATTACAGGGCACCACACCAGGCTAAGTTTTTGTATTTTTAGTAGAGGCAGGGTTTCACCATGTTGCCCAGGCTGGTCTCAAACTCCTGGCCTCAAGCGATCTGCCCATCTTGACCTCCCAAAGTGTTGGGATTACAGGCGTGAGCCACCGTGCCTAGCCCTGTTTTTGAACTCTCTAGAGACAGTCCAGCCCCTTATTACTTGTCCTGAGGCAGCTGCTCCCTTCACCTGGCCCCCCGCATTGTGTTCCGGACCCTTGTCCTGGTGGTGCTAAAGAATATCTCTGTCGATCCTTTGGGGACTGGGGAAACTGAGGCCCAGTGCCACGCGATGCCATTTGTTCAGGGAAGATTAGGTCATCTGCTAGGTCCCCAGTCACTTGACCTTCTTCCCAGACAGGAAGAAGCTGCTCTGGGTCTCTCAGTGCTCCACGTGTCTTTGCACATTGAAATGTTTTCTGATTTTTTTTTTTTTTTTTTGCTGTTACATTTACTTTTAAAAAATAACAAGCAATAAAATGTTACATTTGAGAAGGTTGAAATGAGAATTGATTTGAGTTAAATTCTAGCAGATTTTTCTTAGAAGAATGATATCATCATCTCCAGCTACCTGCAATTGATCTACTCTGAATTAAGAAAGAGACTTCCATTTGTTGTTTATATTTTGCACTCTTGATGTGTTTCTTTAAATTATGGTCATGGGCCAGGTGTAGGAGCTCACACCTGTAATCCCAGCACCTTGGGACTCTGAGGAGGGAGGATCACTGGAGGCCAGGAGTTCAAGACCTCGTCTGTACAGTAAATTTTAAAAATTAGCCAGGCATGGTAGCATTCACCTGTAGTCTTAGCTACTTGGGAGGCTGAGATGGGAGGATTGCTTGAGCCAGAACTTTGAGGCTACAGTGAGTTATTTTCACGCCACTGCCCTCTAGCCTGGCTGACAGAGCAAGACCTGCCTCAAAAAAATAAGTAAAAAATAAATTAAATTTCAATCATTAGCAGTCATTAGGATATTTAAATACAGTATGTTGAATCAAAGTTACGCATGTGTGTATTTTTTTTTCCAGAGAGTTGTTTATCATGTGGGTTTTAATTTAACTTTAAAAAAATGTTGGCTGGACAGTTGCCCAAATGGTATCATCAGCCATTTGGTTGAGAACGTATGTCCTGCGGGCTCCTCTGTCACTGGAGTTTTGCTAGCTGACAGCCACTGGCTAGTTAGAGACTGCAGTCAGCACAGATGCAGGCGTGGACTTGCGCACGTAACCATGTCAATGCAAAGCCATCACTTCTTAAAAATTCTGAACCCTGCTGTCTGAGATGGTGGTGCAGCGGATAGAACTCTGCTCTAAGAGGCAGTAGCTAATTCCATGTCTTCTTTGCCCTTGACTAGCTGAGTGACTTTGCACATGGGGCTTGCCTCTCTGTTGCCTTGTCTGCAAAGTGGAATCATCTTTTCCTTGCTAGACAGAAGGTGGACCCTGGACCTATGGCCTTTTTGAGTTTCCCCCCCGCTTCTTAGAAGGACCTCTGATCCTACTGAGTTTAATACCCACGGGTTAATAATTGGGAAAAGCAAAGGAAGCGCTTCTGTTTAGGTAATTATATGCATGTTTTTGTCTTTTTCTGGCTGGAAAGATATCCAAGCCACTGGGAAGGTCCGTGGCTACCCAGGGTAGCCCTCTCTGGGGAGGGCTGCTATATCCAAGAGCCCCTCATGAGAATTTGAAAATCGACCATGGTAGGGCCTGCTGACTTTTGACAGCTAATGGTGTGCTGAGAATTGTCCCTCCAAAGATGCCTTTCCATTCCCTCGGGAGAGTCTGGGCAGCCCCTACTGGGGGCTGGGATGCTGGCTCTTCCCTCAGCCTCCACCCCAACTGCTCTCTTCCCTCCTCCCCTCCCCAGCCCCCTAATTTCTCTCACAAGGCTTTGTTCTGCAGCAACCTTTCCTAATGCAGTCCTGGCCTCTTCGCAGCTTCATTACATAACCTTCCGTGGACTCCTGGTCCAAGGATCACCCCAGAAAGCCAGTCAGAGGTAGGCACGCAGCTGGGGTCCATTTACTTACCTTCCCCACCCCCTCGGAACTCAGAGGTGGTGCAGGAATTTGGACTCCAAGAATTAACAGCTCCACCACCATCACCAGAGCCAAAACTCAGGATGCATGTGCTTCATCTGCTGCTTATTTCCAGCTGAGAGCCAGTGGTGCCATGGTTCCTTAGGGAGCCGGTCCCCTGATGCCGGCTCCTGGCCCCAAATCTCTCTGATCCGGGCTCTTCCAGAATGTCTTGTCTCCACCATCGCCTTTGACCAATGGTGTCCCTTTGCCTGGTAATGTCCCCTTTGCCTGATGATGGCCCTGTCACTCCTCTCTTTAGCACAGAGGAGGCTGTTTCATCCCTTCAAGCCTGCCCTCCCTTCAAGTCTTAGCTCAAGTTCACCTTCTCCGCAGAGCCTTCTCCAATCTTCTTGACTACGTCTCCTCTCAGCTCCAGCAACCTCTGTCTCTGGCACTGATTCCTTACTTAGCTAAGAGAATCACAGACACTTGGGGCTCAGGACAATCTGCTTTCTCTCTTCTTACCCATGGCCTTGGACTGTGTGTACCTCTTTGTCTCCACTCCCAAACCCAACCCCCAGAGGGCAGAGAGCATGTTGTCTGTCCCTTTGCTCAGCATGAAGCCATGCGTGTGGTAGATCGGCAGAGTTCCATAACTTGTGTTGACCGAGGGGTCACTTTGCTCTGAAATTACCCCTGTGTCCTTCAGTATTTGCACAGATAGCTTCCTGGCCAGACCGAATATATCCAAGGGCATGGCCCACCTCTGCTCCTGTTTCCAGGTCCCTGGTGGGGGTTAGTTCATGCCTTCCTCATAATCTGCCCACTGGCCTGGTCCTCAAGGTCTTCCCAACTGCTCAGCCAGAGTTGAGAAAATGGGTCGCTCCATCCTGTTTGTGTCGTTCTCTCCTTCCTGGCCCACTCTCCTGCCCACAGGTATCCAGGGGCTGCCTGTAGCATTAGAGGACATACATGCACATGCGTGGGCATGGGACACTCACGTAGCCTCCAAGCACAGCATCAATAATGCATTCTGTGCTTTATAGCATGGAAAGCTGCTCTAAACTTTATTACACAGTGGACATGTCTGAAGCAGCTCCCAAATCCACCCCTGAGTGTGTTGGAATTGGCAAGCCTATCACTTGGGAGTCTAGTTTTTTTGTTCGTTAATAATAGATGCTTCCTGTGGCCCCAGCTTGGCAATTTTGATTTAAAGTGATCTTAACTGAAGAGACTAATGGACGGGTCTGAATTTGTGCCTTTTAAGCACAAAGTATTGCTCTTAATTAACTGGATTCTATCCTTTGAGCAGGCAGAGGCCTTCCCCCAAGGGCGTCATTAACGATCCACATCTGGACATCTTCCAAAGCCTTCTTCTGTTTCAGGCCAACCGCAGGTGTGTTCCTGAACACCCAGGAGGCTATGAGAGCCACATATGCCTCCCAAATACACACAGTGTGCATGCCCAGGGACATAGAGCAGTGTGCAAAGTCCCATTCCATCTCTCTCCACCTGGGAGAGGATGGCTCTTCTGTCTGATTCATGGCTCAAAGTGGTAAAGGAGCTCCCCACTCCCCGTCCCACGCCTACTCAGAGTCTGCAAATATGTATGCGATATGAGAGCTCGTCAGTTAGCTGTCTTCAGTGTGGCGCACATTTGAGGAGTCTGACTCCCCTCCAGCACAGGCCAATGTGCACTGCTCTCCTATCTTTGTACCCCCACTGTTGCACTGTGCAGAGGTTGGAGCCATAGAAGTACCAGAGCTGTGAAAGGAGAGGCCCCCTCTCACCTCTGCCCTGGTCTCCATCCCCACTTTCTCTAGGAAGCTAGTAGGTGCTGACAGGGGAGAGAAGGGAGGGGAGGGGTCCAGAAACAGTGGCTCATGCCTGCAATCCTAGCACTTTGGGAGGCTGAGGCAGGAGGATCATTTGAGGTCAGGAGTTTGAGACCAGCCTGGGCAATGTAGCAAGACCCTATCTCTACAAAAAGAAAAAATGTAATTAGCTGGGTGTGGTGGTGGGCACCTGTAGTCCTAGCTACTTGGGAGGATGAGGTGGGAGGATTGCTTGAGCCCAAGAGTTTGAGGTTACAGTAAGCTGTGATTGCACCACTGCACTCCAGCCTGGGCAACAGAGCTGAGACCCTATCTCAAAAAAAGAAAAAAAAAAAGAAAGGAGAGAGAGAGAAAGAAAAGAAAAGAAAAAAAAAAAAGAAGGGAAGGGAAAGCCCAGAAGAGTGTGGGGAGAGGAGGCGGCCGTCATTCTGGGGCCCTCAGTGTGCACAACCAGATAACACATGCTCTGTGGGCTTTTGTACCATTTTGCTTGAGCATAAAGAAAGGAAGGCTGCCCCTAAATAGAAAGCACTCTGGAGGCAAACAAATCTGACTCCAATCCTGGCCCTGCCACTTTCCCAGCTGAGGACTTAGACAAGCACCCTAGCCTCTTGGACATTCTCAGAGCCATCTGCTGCAAGTGGGTGCTGCCATACCCACCTTACTGGGCAGGCTTGGGGGACCAAGGGTGGTAAATGGCTCAGTCTTTCATGATGCGGCCACACAGCAGGTGCGCCATCCAGGTCCATTTCTTTCCTTCCTTTCCCCCAAATCAAGTTGTCATTAAAGTACTAGTCCACATTAATGAAATCAACTGTATTAATTTTCTATTTGCTGCTATAATAAATCATCAGAAATTTAGTGGCTTAAACCAACACAAATGTATTACCTTACAGTTCTGGAGGCCAGAAGCCCTCCATAGGTGTCACTGGGCTGAAATCAAGGTTTTGGCAAGGTTGCGGTCCTTTCTGGAGGGTCCAGGGGAGAATCCATTTTCTTCCTTTTTCCAGCTTCTAAAGGTTTCATGCATTCCTTGGCTCATGATCTTCTATAGCTATAGTCAGAAAAATTTTCCATCAATCATCTTCAAAGCCAGCAATGGCAGGATGAGTCCTCACATCACCTTGCTCTGACACCAGTTCTCTGCCTCCCTCTTCCACATGTCAGGACCCTCATGATTACTTTGGGCTCACTCTGATAATCTGGGATGATCTCTCTATTTTAGAGTCAGCTGACTGGGAACCTTAATTCCATCTACAACCCCAATTCCTCTTTGCCATGTACAGTGACATATTCACAGGTTCTGGGGATTAGGACGAGCCTGTCTCTGAAAGGCTACTTTACATGAAAATTCATTTTTTTAATTAAGATTTTTTTTTCCTCTTGAGACAAGGTCTCACTCTATGGTTCAGGCTGGAGTGCAGTGGTATGATCACAGCTCACTGCAGCCTCGACGTCTCTGGGCTCAGGTGATCCTCCCACCTCAGCTTCCCTAGTAGCTGGAACTACAGGGGTGAGCCCCCATGCCCAGCTAATTTTTTTTTTTTTTTTTTTTTGAGACAGAGTCTCACTCAGTCACCCAGGCTGGTGTGCAGTGGTGCAATCTCAGCTCACAGCAACCTCCGCCTCCTGGGTTCAAGTGATTCTTGTGCCTCAGCCTCCCAAGGAGCTGGGACTACAGGTGTGCACCACCACGCCCGACTAATTTTTGTATTTTTAGTAAAGATGGGGTTTCACCATGTTGGCCAGGCTGGTCTCAAACTCCTGATCTCAAGTGATCCACCAACCTCAGCCTCTCAAAGTGCTGGGATTACAGGTGTAAGCCAACATGCCCGGCCCCAGCTAATTTTTAAATATTTTTTTTGTAGAGATGGGGTTTTACCATTTTGTCTAGGCTGGTCTTGAACTCCTGGGCTCAAGCAAACCTCCCACCTTGGTCTCCCAAAGTGCTGGGATTACAGCATGAGCCACTGCACTCGGCCTTAAGAGAAGATTTAATAATTAATACTTTACAACAAGATCTGGAAGAGGTGGGATGAGTAACTAAATGAGGATACAAGTAACCCGGGTCATATTTGCTAATACCCTTGGTCACATTGAACTTGATATCTTATCAGATTTTCCTAATCAGCTCCTTTAGCAGCAGTGTTGCAGCATCTTATCTCATTTTGTTTTTTGTTTTTTTGCCTAGCACATGCCTGTAAATCACTGGATTGAGGTGTTTAGATGTTTGTTGTCCTTTGGATGCTTCTTATAAATCCATATTTCATGGCTCCCTGGAAAGTGCTATGCAAATGATAAGCTGCAAGGATGGAAAGGAAATTGCAGTGCTCCTGAATTGTAAATGGGCTTTTACGAGGAGGTTTCTAATTACTCGCTCTTTCTCTTGAACTGAGGAGTTGAAGTGTAGGTGGCAGATCCATAACAGATAATCATGTGTGTGATGTGACTTCAGCCTGAGCGTCGAGGACCAAGTCACAGAGCAGGAACAGCCACTCTCCAGTGTCCTTGGGGCTACGTCTGAGGAGAACCTGGGATTTCATATATGACCTGCACTGGCTGGGGGGCTCTCTTGACGTAACGTGTTCCCTCTGAGCATGTTACAGATTCTGACATTCTTATGTTCCTTCTGTGGAGAGACATGTACTTAGTGACCTAACTCACTTTAGCATATTTTTGCTCATCGTTTGTGTAGCTTAAAGGAATCAGATAATTACCCCCTCCCCACTACTTTCGGAAGCACAAATGCAATGCCCTAGAATTGTACTGGGGACTCAAAAAGAAAAGAGAGTAGTAAAATCTATTAAAGGGGACAAAGACAGCCTATATACTACAAGCTTTCTATTTTTATGGCAGAGAATGCCATTTTCTAAGTAAACAGAGAACTGCATTTGACCTGCAATATCAAATGCATGGATTTGATGCTTTGGAAAGCAACTGTTTTCTGCGTTAATCTGGGTGTCTTCCGTGAAATGTCCTCCTGCCTTTGGCTTAAACACTAGCTTTGTCTACAGCCATTCCATCCTGAACCTGCCCAATCTTGTCTGAATCCTGGTTTCACCACTGACAAGCTGTGTGTCCTTGGGCAAGTTACTTCACCTGTCTGTGCTTCAGAGTCCTCATCTGTGAGTTGGGGAATCTGGACAGAATCTACCCCATAGGGCGTAGTGAGGATGTGTTGAATTATCCCAAGTGGCTACACAGAGTAAGCACTCAAATGATGTCATCGTTGTCATGATTGCTGTTACCAGAGCCTAGAGTTCATTCTGATACTCGAGTCTGTGGCCCATCCAGCCCAGGTAAGGAATAGTTGGAGGAGTTGGGCATGTTCAGCTTGAAGAGGAGACGACAGGGGATATGGGATAGTTGAATCTGTGAAGGGCCCCCTGGGATGAAGAACTGGCATGTTCTGTGTGGCTCCAGGGCACTGAGCAGGACCCATTTGCCAAAGTCTCAGGGACACAGTTTCTAGCTATAGACAGAAAAATTTTCTGTCACTCAGAGGATGAAAATAGAATGAGCCCCCTTAAGAGGTAATGAGCTCCCTGTCATTGGAAGGATTCCAGAAGAGCTAGGTAACCACTTTAGGTGCTATCAAGGGGCTTTTTTCTTTAAAGTCCTTTCCAAAAGCTTCTGAGATTGCATAAACAATAGGAAGCCATCTTGGTGCTTTAACACAAACTCTCCCCAGTGATGAGGGTTGAGCCAAAGCCAGATTGGCAAGCAGAGAGGAGACTTGTGTACAAGGAGTTCCTCGAGTCAATTGCTTTTTCCTTGTTCTAGCCAGCCAGAGGGCTCCTGTTGGAAAACAGGAGACCGGAGAGGCTGAGGCCTGACCAAACCAGCTTCTGCAGGCCAGCTGGGAGGCCACAACTCCTACCTACGGGAAAACTGAAGGGCATCTCTATTTTTAGATTAGCAAAAGAAAATAAATTTAAGTTTGAGTCTCCTTTGCAACTTTTAAAAGACATCTTTATTGAGATGATCATTCACATTCTATAAAATTCCCCCACTTTGAGTTACAATTCAGTGGTTTTAGTCTTCCTTGATGATTTTGATGGTCTTTTCTTAAGGCTCTTGGAAGACCCAGAAGCCTCTCAGACACAGGTGGGTGTGGAGGGCGTAGCACAGAGGCAGACTTCTCATTTCCTGGGTCTCCCCTTTAATGACTCTCAGAGACCCCTCCTTCCCCCTGCCCCTGGCTTCTACCCCAGGGGTGTAGAGTTTTGCCATTTTCCAAGCAGAACTTCATTTCCTCTTCTGTGTCTACACTCTTTGTGCTTCTTTCTTGCCAGCTTTTTCTCCTTTGCCCGCCCTTCCTTCCTTCCTTCCCTCCCTCCCCCCTTCCCTCCTTCCCTCTTTCCCTCCTTCCCCCCTTCCACCCTTCCCCCCTTCCCCCCTTCCCTCCTTCCTTCCTTCCTTCCTGCCTGCCTTCCTTCCTTCCTTCCTTCCTTCCTTCCTTCCTTCCTTCCTTCCTTCCTGGTATGTGACTAATTTCTGTTTCAGGACATAAATGTTGTCCAGGCTGTTCTTTGGTCTTTCTGTTGGATAATGGACATTTGGCATTGAGAGAGGCTGCTTTTTCTGAAATCATGTTCTTGGGGCCCAGAACCTAGGTGTGTGCTTCTGACTTTGTTTTCTTCCTGATCCAAATTCTGATATGTCCATTTAAATTGATCTAGACCCACAGGGCACTGTGGGACAGATCCTCAGTGGAACATGACTCTGTAACGAGAGCATTTTGTTTTGTCAAAATGAGAACATATTATTGCCTTTCATCTGATTGTAAACATAATACATGTTTATAAAACAGTATAATGAGACAAAAATGTAGACACTAATAAGGGAAAATCTCCCTAATTGTATTTCTCTTCACAGAGAAAGCCCCTGTTGGGCATATATACTCTAGTTTGTTTATTTGTTTGACTACACATATATGTATTCTTTTCTTATGTATAAAAATTCTGAACATGCACATTTCTGCAACTACTGTTTTCACTTGATGATGCATGGACCTCTCTAGAGTGTACGTTTCTTCTTCCTTACAAAGCAGTTGGCTTCGCCCAGGGTGCACCAGGACACGGTTTTGGCTCTGTCCCCAGGGTGTCACGGGACCAGGGGATGATCTCACAGGGTCTGCCATCTGCCCTGCCTGGCCGGAGGCTGCATCGAGAGGGCCAAGGGGCACCACGTGTCGTGGGTACTGTCAAACAAGAGCCTTCAGAGCCTTCCACAGTCTTTCTTTTGCTTCCCAGCATTGCTTCCCCGCTGGTGGACTCTGAATCTAGAACTAGCTCCAGGCGCCTCTCCAAATTCAGACGGGAGCTGGGGCACTATTATAATGCAAATCTAGGCAAAGCCCTCCCAATACCAGGATCCAGAATGGGGTGGGGCCCTTTGCCCTGAAAAGCTGTTTAGTTTGAAAATACAAACAGGAGACAGAAAAGTTTGGCTAAATTAATGGATAAAGTTTTAACGATGGTAACCATAGTAGGGTTCATCGACAGCCAGCGATGGTTCTGAACACTTGACATGTATTAACTCACCTAATCCCCACATTTTACAGACAATGCAAAGGAGGCTCTGGGAGGTTGAGTGACTTGCCCCAAAGTCGCACAGCTCCTAAGTGAAGGATTCGGAGTGGACTCCAGGCAGCCTGGTCTGACTCCCTGCACTGCGCTGTGCTTATCTCTGGCCCCAATGCCGCCATGCAGAAGTGTCTGGGGGCACTTTGTCTCTGTCAGACAGAATTCGGAGATGTGTATGCTTGCCCTGGTATGGCACTTCTCTTTTTTTGAGACAGAATCTCACTCTGTCACCCTGGCTGGAGTGCAGTGGCATGATCTCAGCTCACTGCAACCTCCGCCTCCCAGGTTCAAGCAATTCTTGTGCCTCAGCCTCCCAAGTAGCTGGGATTATAGATGTGCACCATCGTGCCTAGCTAAATTTTTGTACTTTTAGTAAAGATGTTGTTTTGCTGTGTTGGCCAAGCTGATCTCGAACTTTTGGCCTCAAGTGATCTGCCTACCTCAGCCTCCCAAAGTGCTGGGATTACAGGCATGAGCCACCATGCCTGGCAGTGTGGCACTTCTTACGTGTGTTCAGCGGACACTGTTTATCTTCTGTCCCTCCAAGACGGTGCTGAGCTCAGGTCGTTCATTACTGGCAGACAACTGCTGATTTCCAACAGAATTGCCATCCTCTTCTCCCCTGCGACTTTCAGAGTGTGACCTCAGACTCAAAAATTAGAAGTGAAAACATCTTAAAAACTATCACCTTTTCTTCCTAATCCTCCTCTCCCCTCCCTGTCTTCCTTGTTGTCCCCATCTAATGAACTATCATGGCAAAAAGAGCCCATTTCTGGTCATTTTCTGTGGCCTTTCAAACTCCCACCTACCCCACTGCTCCTGGGTGCATTACCCGAAAGCTGAGACTTCAGTGCAGAAAGTGCCAGGCCCTCTGTCCCCCCAGATCGCCTTCCTTGTCTTCCCTGTGCTTGCCTGTCACATTGTGTGGGTTCCAGCGCTGGAAGGAATGAGGAACAGATTCTCTGGTTCTCCTTTTGAAGTTTACCTTCGCTCCACCACTTCTGAGACCTTCCCGGAAGTTGCCCCTTGTTTCTCTCCTCTCCAGGGCTGCCCCAGAGCTGCCTCTCACCTCTTCCTGCTGTCACCCCACCACCATCAGGGCAGAAGTTGGGACAAAGCCTCTCCTACTGGCTCCTGCTTTTCTCCCTTAGGTCCAGCCTCCTCTTCTCCATCTTCAGGAGTCTCCTTCTCCACTCACACGTCATGACTTCAGCACCTCGCATCAGTCCAGAATATGACTGCTTGTTCAAGTGCCACCTTTCTCATGCATTTTTTTCTAGTGACAATCACAGCCACCCTGTGGGGCAGGAGTGTCATCATCCCCATGTTTCAAATGAAGAATTGCAGTTCAGAGAGGGCAAGTGACTGGCCCAGCCTCAACAGCTAGCCAGTGGACCCCACCAGGGCTTCTGACTCCAGTCCGGGTTCCCTTTCCACCCAAATCCATGGAGGGAGCTGAGCCGAGAACAGGTGTCCTTCAGGAAGACGTGAAGCCAAAGCCTCCACCTCCAAACTCAGGGGCCCAGGGAGTCCAGGCACCCATCCACTCACAAGGCTGGATATGGTGCATTCCAGGAGAGGGGTTGGGGGCGAGTGGCCTCTCTGTGTACCCGTGGGGATAGATGCGCAAGTGGCATCGCCACATCGTGAGTCCTGGCTTCATGGGTGAGCTCCAGGTCCAACGAGAAGCCAAGCAGGGGGCCCTTCAAGCTCAGCTTTGGGCCCGGGTCGGGGTACAGGGTAGAGCGGGCCTCCCCAGCCCCTGCCATGAGGCCAAGGCAGTGCATCGTTCGCAGCGTACATTCAGAAACCAAAGCCTAGGAGCTGGTTATCATTCCGGTTTACAGCTGATGGAAGAGCAGGTGCTTCCGAGAACCCACAGTGCTCTTTGGCCAGTGACCCAAGGGTGCCTCTGAGAGGCCTCGCAGCACCCGGAGGTGCTGCTGAGGCAACGCCCTGACTGTAAGAAGGACCATTCATCCTCAGAGAGTGGCCGTGATGCTGCTGCGACAGTCCCACCATCCCTCCCGACTCTCACTCCCAACAGACTTCCCACTGTAAAGCTGAACTCTCCAGCAAATCACCTCTCGCCAGACTCTCTCCTCACTCTCTCTGGGTCCACTAGAGGTTCCTCAGCCTCTCTTTGCCTTGGTTTTCCCAGCTGTAAAATGGAGCAAAGAGGGCCTATGTACCCACAAAGGTGTGGTTGGAGCGACTCCTCCTACATTAGGGCCTCGAGTGGGGCTTCATGATTGGTTGGTGGAGGTCTCCAAACCCACCCAGTGCCACCGAAGGCTGAGACTGCAGATGCAATGCCACAGGTGTCCTTCCTCAGCCTGGGCAGCTGAACATCATGTGTAAAACGGGGATAATAAGATAATAACAGCCCCTTGCACCTATGTGGCTGTGAGGATTAAACAAGATAAATGTGTAACAGTGCCTGGCTATAGAAATATTTACTCTTGTTATTAAGGGAAGAATATGTGTGGCTAAAAAGGGATCGAAGATGTAAAAGCCAATCCCTCCCCCTCTAGCATATTTAAGGGTAATGTTGAGTTGGTTTGTGGACCATTTGCTGCCTGTTAGAGCTGGAAGGTAGGGACCCCCTCTCAACAGCGATGCTACAAATTATACCCATTGGAGGTCAACCAAAAGACAAAGCTTATTGGCTGGACATGGTGGCTCACACCTGTAATCCTAGCACTTTGGGAGGCCAAGGCAGGCGGATCACTTGAGATCAGGAGTTCGAGACCAGCCTGGCCAACATGGTGAAACCCCATCCCTACTAAAAATACAAAAATTAGCTGGGCGTGGTGGTGCACACCTGTAATCCCAGCTACTCAGGAGGCTGAGGCAGGAGAATCACTAGAACCCAGGAGGTGAAGGTTGCAGTGAGCCGAGATCGCACCACTGTACTCAAACCGAGGCAACAGAGGGAGACGCAATCTCAAAAAAAAAGAAAAAAAGACAAAGCTTGTTAATACCAGCATATTGTTAAGGGAATAAAGTAGGCTGCAGAACAACTGGTGTAATATGGTGCCATGTAGGGAAAATTACATGTGTGCATAGGAGAGGGGTCTGCAAGGTTGTGCCCTAAGATGTTAGAGTGGTTCCTTTGCTTTTCTCTTTTATAATTTTGTATTTGACTTTTAAATAAGGACCATAAATCACTTTTATAAAATACATTCTCTCCAGCCCCTACTACTCCTTTAAAGAATAAGAGTGGTTTGCCCAAGAAAGACAGTTTTTTTTGCTCTGGTTTTCTTGATTCTGACATCAGAGGAAACTGCTTCTCATCCACTTGGGGCTCTGGGTTCAGGGGATTCATTTCAGGCAGATTAAAGTGGTGACCAGGGGCATTCGTGGACACAGGGAGGGACAGGAGCACCATCAGTTTGTCTCACACAACCACTGTCATCCTCACTGAAGGCTGTTGCCTGATCAAAAACAGTATTGGGCCAGGCACGGTGGCTCACACCTGTAATACCACCACTTTGGGAGGCTGAGGTGAGTGGATCACTTGAGGTCAGGAGTTCGAGATCAACCTGGCCAACATGGTGAAACCTTGTCTCTACTAAAAGTTCAAAAATTAGCCAGGCGTGGTGGGTGCCTGTAGTCCCAGCTACTTGGGAGGCTGAGGCAGGAGAATTGCTTGAACCCGAGAGGTAGAGGTTGCAGTGAGCCGAGATGGCACCACCACACTCCAGCCTGGGCGACCGAGGGGGACTCTGTCTTAAAAAAAAAAAAAAAAAATATATATATATATATATATATATGTCAAAAATGGGGTAGTTTTTAGATCTATAGTAGTTCTAAAAACAAAGGCCATCCAAGCATGACAGATTTACAAGCACTATTGGCTATTCCAGTAGTTACAATGGAGGAGAGAAGCTTTTAGTTAAAACAAACAAACAACACAACAAACCCAGAAACCTTAGGTCAAAACCAAAATTGTCCTCTCAGACACAATCTGGGAATTTTCTCATGACAGTGGGCATTAGCCAACTGACATCAGCAGCAACCATCCGTGTGCACACAGTGGCACCACCTCCTCCCAAAAAGCAGCCTTCATCTATGCCCTCATACAATCGTTGATTATTCTCTTTGGATTGAGGCCCGGAATTATTTAAGTTTCTTCTTGCCAGCATGAGTCTTTCCTTTCTGTATGCTCCTTATCTTCTCTCTTTAATTTGGCAGTTCTGCTTGAAATCTGGGTCTTTCATTAGTAGTAGTTCAATTTGGTTCCAGAACATTCTGTGGTGTGATGCAATGTGACCAGAGCTCACACTTCAGAGCTCTTCAAGGGCCAGTCTTACTGAGCACCTCCCAGTGGCTGCCTGTGTGCTGGGCGCCACTTGTGGTGGGCAGGAGAGAGGAGGGGACACAAAAGGAGACACAGCTCCTTCTTAGAAGCTCAAAGTTGGGGACCAGCTGCCACAGAAGAGTATGTTTAGCATCTGAGACACCAAGATCCAGCGTCACAAGGGTGTTTATTAAGCCTCCTCATCTCTTTCTTTTTCTTTTTTTTTTTTTTTTTCCTCAGGCAGTCTTACTCTGTCACCCAGGCTGGAGTGCAGTGGCATGATCTCGGCTCACTGCATGCAACCACCACCTCCCGGGTTTAAGCAATTCTCCTGCCTCAGCCTCCCCAGTAGCTGGGATTACAGGTGCCCACCACCACACCCAGCTAATTTTTGTGTTTTTAGTAGAGACAGGGTTTCACCATGTTGGTCAGGCTGGTCTCGAACTCCTGACCTCAGATGATTCACCCACCTCGGCCTCCCAGTGTGCTGGGATTACAGGTGTGAGCCACCGCGCCTGGCCTTGCTGTTGATTCATCTATAGTATGTTTGACTTGATGACCTCCAGTTACCTTAGACAGAGGTTCTCATCTAAGCTCCAACTTTCCATTTCCTTTGTCCTCGTCTTTCCCCTTAACCCCTCCACATTTCTCTCAAAATCACCCCACTTCTAAAAAATACTGTTTATTTTTCTTTTAAATTTCAAATTATCTATACTCATTGAAATAAATCAAAATAGCATGGAATAAGCGAAAAAAATGGATCCCACCCTTCCCCACTCCCATTCCCTAGGGCTAACCATAGTTAACCATTTAATGACTAGGTTTTTTTGTTGTTGTTATTTTTTATTTATTTATTTTGAGACAGAGTCTTACTCTGTCACCCAGGCTGGAGTGCAGTGGTGTGATCTCGGCTCACTGCAACCTCTGCCTCCCAGGTTCAAGCATTCTCCTGCCTCTGCCTCCTGAGTAGCTGGGATTACAGGTGCCTGCCACCACACCTGGCTAATTTTTGTACTTTTGGTAGAGACAGGGTTTCTCAATGTTAGCCAGGCTGGTCTCGAACTCCTGGCCTCAAGTGATCTGCCCACCTTGGCCTTCCAAAATACTGGGATTAAGGTATGAGCCACCGCACCCAGCCCTCCTGGGCTCTTTTCCTTTAGTTGCACTCGCTCCCCGCTCCTGGAGTAGAGGGATTTCCGAGAGACTGTGGGCTCCAGCCTTCACCTAGGCCCAGGACTAGGATGCCTGCCCTAACATTTATCTTTATACCTTAAAGCAAAACAGCTGGACCATAAGCATTCAAGAACAAACTGTGAATAAGGAGAAAGTTCTCCCAGGAAACAAGAGCTTTAGTTCTGTTGGGCCAGCCCTTATATTCCTTAGCTGTTACCAGTCACTGCTTGATTTAATCTCGGCTATCACTTGGCCTGACAGGTCTGCTGCTGGTGCCAGGATGTCTGGGTTTTGAAGCCTGGCTCCATTACATACTTCCTGTGTGACCTTGGGCAACTTACTCAACCTGTCTGTTCCTCAGTTTCCCCAGCTGTATTATGTCAGCATAATAGTTTGTTGTGTGAATTAAATGAGGTAATAACTGGAAATGCTTCAAACATGGTTCCTATCATGAGAAATCCTGCTTTCCGCCTAAATGTGCTGGAAAATTCCTGGTGGTGCAGAACAGGAGACCAGAGCAAAGGAAAGACAGGGTGCAGAAGCCAAAAATTACCTTGGAGAACAAAGCGCATGTTAAGGTTATTTTTGGATTCTAGGTTTATCTCTGCTTGGTCTTCAGTTACCTGCAAGAGATCCATTTAGGGGATTTTTGTTTGTTTTTAACGATAGCTTTATTGAGATATAATTCATATGCCATAAAAGTCACTCTTTTAAAATGTTTCCGGTATATTCACAAGGCTGTGCAGCCTTCCCTGTCCTTGATTCCAGTCTGAGTTTTTAACTGAAGGGATAAGGAGGACCACGCTTTCCCCAGACCAGAACCGCGGGCCAGGGGGCGATTCTGCTGAGTCACCGCGGGCGCCTGGTGCGCGGCGGCGGAGCCCGGGACCTTCCTTGGCTGCCCCCTAGCGAGGGCCGCAGCGCAGCCTGAGACACCCGCCGGGGCCGCTCCACGGCCGTCGGATTTAGACTGGAAGCTCGGTCCAGGTCCCCAGCTTGATGCGCCCGCGGTGTAGGAGACCAGCCCGACTCGGGCTTCCCCTGAGCCCCTGGACTCTTGACTCCAGCAGGGCCTGGGTAATGAACGTCAGCTCCCCTTTCCCAAAGGGGTTGCTCTGTTGGGAAGGCACCCGTTTGATACAGTAGCATAGAGATGGGTTTTAGCATCAAAATATCAGAATTCAAGCCTTGCTCTCTGCTTACTAGCTGTGTGACCCTAAAAAGGTTTCTGAACGTCTCTGAGCTTCAGTTTCCTCATCATTCCTTCTCACGGGGTGGTTGTGAGCATTACAGAGATCCTCTCTGTGAAGCCCCTGTGAGTGGCTCATCCTGAGGGCTGAAATAAACATGTTATTAATAATCCAAAACTGGCAAGGGATGTTGACTGGTCCCCCTCCCTTGCCCAAGGAGCTTTCTAGAACCTGAGTTATCATTACCAAACTGTACTGCCTTGAGTAAGAAAGTTAGAAGGAATGGGAAGGATGGTGGCAGGTGGAGGAAGGCGGATTGGTCATCACCTCCTTGCAGCAAGAAACAGCCCCAGATCGTGGGAAACCTACAGACCTGCTAGACAGACTAGGAGCAAAAGCTGGGGCTTTAAGAATCCCCAGGGAGGTTCTCCTGAGAGAGTAGCCAGTTGGATTTTGTAAGCAGAGATTTGTTTGGGGAGGAGGTGACAACGTAGGGAGCAGAGGGGCAAAGCTGTCGGGAATCCTGCCTTGAGGGCAGGGATGTGTGTTGGGGGGAGTTGGGTCACTGGGGCTCGGTGGCCTTGGGCAAGTTTCTACCTCTCAGGTCCTTTACCCACCTAGGGTCGCCATCCTGCCCACCTCACAGGTTACAGTGAGCCTGGATGCACTGTCATGGGCAGGTGCCCAGGAAAATGGCAGACATGTTCCAAACAGCACGCAGCATTCCCCAGTGATGCCCAGGGTCACCTTGGAGGTGGGCGAGATGCCTGGGGTTTCTCGTCCACCCCACAACACCTCAGGGGACAGCCAAAGCTGTCCCTTCAGGTAAGCTGCACAGAAGATGTGAACTCTGCTGCAAAGACTCTATTCTTTGGGAGCAAAAGGGACCCAGGGTCTCACCTGCACATCCCTGTCCCTGAGGGCCTAGGGGTTCTTGGAGGCCCCAGCCTTGGCAAAATGAGGAAGAAGGTGAAGGTTGTCTGGGCCCCTGCCAGGCTCCTTCCTCGGCCACGCACTCCCCTTCCTGCACACACACCCTTCTCCCTCCACCCCATCTCCATTGTTGTCAGAAAAGTCACAATAAAAAGGTCCATATTGTCTAGTTCCCATACTTTTAATTTTTAAAATTTTATTTATTTATTTATTTATGTATTTTTTGAGACAGAGTCTTAACCCAGGCTGGAGTTCAGTGGCATGATCTAGGCTCACTGCAACCTCTCCCTCCTGGGTTCAAGTGATTCTCATGCCTCAGCCTCCCGAGTAGCTGAGATTACAGATATGTGCCACTATGCCCAGCTAATTTTTGTATTTTTAGTAGAGACGGGGTTTCACCATGTTGGCCAGGCTGGTCTCGAACTCCTGGCCTCAAGTGATCTGCCTGCCTGAGCCTCCGGAAGTGCTGGGATTTCAGGTGTGAGCCACCGCACTCGGCTCCACACTTTTCACTTATTAAAAGACTGTGGTGTCCATCAATGGATGAATGAATAAACCAATGTGGACTATCCCTCCCATTACCCAAGGAATGAAGCACGGAGCCGTGCCAAGATCTGGATTCACAGTGAAAGAAGCCAGTCACCAAAAGCCACGTGCTGTGTGACTTCCCTTATACGAAATATCCAGAAGAGATACATCCATGGTGACAGAAAGTAGATGAGCAGCTGGGGACTGGCGAAGGGGAGAAGGGGGAGCAGCTGTCTATGAGGTCCAGCCTTTCTTCTGGGTTTGGTGAGAATGTTTTGGAACTAGATAGAGGTGATAGTTGTACAACATTGTGAATGTACTAAATGCCACTGAATCATTCATTTTAAATCGTTCTTTACGTTGCATGAATTTTAAGTCAATCAAAAACAGTTGTTTGAAAAGAGAAAAGCCTATGGGTAGCGGCAGCAGTGATTGGATTTATGATTCGATTCCATGGCTCATCCCTCCCCTGCCTCACCCCCTCGCCCTCCGACGTCTTCTTCTTTTACTCTGAACTGTTATCTTTGTTCTCATCTCTCTCTCTCTCTCTCAACCCTGCAGACACTTTTCCCTTTCTTTGTCTGCCCCCACCCTCCAGATTTCCGTGTCTCCAGTGTCTCCCTACGAGGCATGAATTGAGACTGGGAGGGTGTGATTCTGAAGAAGGCACCAACAGTGACTCAGCTAGCCCCTTCCCCCACCCCGCCCCCCGGGCCTCAATTTAGCTAAAAAACCACAGGGACGGACTCAGGAGGCAATACCTTTCCAAGGGTCCCTAAAAAATGTCCCATTTTAGTGTCCAGGTTTCACTCAACTTTAGTGCCTCCCCTAAAATGTGTTCCTTACCTCCCACCCCACTGCATCTAAGTCACTGCCTGAGAAAACAGGATTGAGGAAAGGAGAAAGGAAGAGAGAGAGAGAGGAGGAGAGAGAGAGAGAGGGAGGAAGGCTGATGGATTTAGAAAAGAAGAAAACAAGTGGTCTGAGGAAAACAGCCTTGGTGTGTTTATTTTCCTGTCTGTGTATCGCTTCTCGGCCTTTTGGCTAAGATCAAGTGTATTTTCCTGTCTGTGTGTCTCGCTTAGATTACAGGGATCTGTGGGTGATGACACGTCTGGTCCAGGCTGCGTAGTCACCTCAAGGGCATGCTTATTGATGTGTTTTTCAATTCACTATCTTTGCATGGGAGTCCCAGGCCAAGAGGCACAGCTGCGCCATTTGTCTGTTGGTTTAGATATCCTTTATCCAGTTCTTCCAGAGAAATCATCCTGCCCTTCTGGAGGAGGTGGGCAGCAGGGGTCAGAGATGGGAGGGAAAGGAAGGAGCCAGGTCCTTGGCTAGGATGCCAGGGTCCCCTGCCTCTCACCTGGCCTGGGCTGGAGGCCTCCTGCTGTCCTGTCACTGATCACTACCCCGCCCCAGCCTCCTGAGTTAGAAGACACAGGCTAAAGTAGAGTATTTCTTCATTGAAAAACCCATACAAAATAAAGGTTCATAAAAAATAAAAATTTAGACTGGGTGCTGTGGCTCACACCTGTGATCCCAGCACTTTGGGAGGCCAAGGCAGGTGGATCGCTTGAGCCCTGGGGTTCATGACCAGCCTGGGCAACATAGTGAAACCCCATCTCTACAAAAAATACAAAAAATTAGCCAGGCATGGTGGTGCATACCTGTGGTCCCAGCTTCTCAGCCTATGGACCCACATAGAATACAATGTCAGCATAAGAAGGGAGCCCTGGGGTCACCAAATGGTTTGGGCGGCAAAGAACCTGAAGGTTGAGAGAAGTGGCTTGGTTACCCAGCTGTTGGATGTGAGACCTGGCCACTGCTTCTTCCATACCCTAGACCTGCACCCTGACATCTCAAGTAAAAAGTTGGGGGATGTTTTATGGTCCAGGATGAAGGAAGGGCAGTGAGGGGCAGCGGAGCATCACTTTGCATTTCTGTCTGCCTCTTACTGGCTGTGTGACCTGGGGCAGGTAACTTCCCAGACTCCTGGGAATCATAACACCTATGATGATGATGATGATGATGATGATGATGACACCTACCTCAAGGATTGCCCTGAAGGGTCACAGAGATGCCTGCAAGGCACCTGCATGGAGCAAGCGCCCCTTCTCTGGCAGGTGCTGGGTGAGCACTACCTGCTGCCAGGCCCTGGGGCTATGGCACTGCGTGACCCTGCAAGTCCTACCTGGCGAAGCTGTCGTTCTTGTGCTCAGTCAGTGTTGGTTGTAAGACTGAGAAGAGTCACTTCATTTTGCTCTCCAGGGACATCTTTCTGGGTCCTATTTTCTGCCTATGTCAAGTAGCGCCTCAAGGATGCTCCTGAAAATGGGCTTGTCTTTCTTAACATGGCAGGTAGGTCCCAAAGCATTAGCATGGGGCAGCTGACCTAGCCCAGCCAATGCAGTGCAGTGACTCTTGCAACCGAGTCTAATCAGAAGGTCCATGAACCTACGAGCATTTCCTGTCCCAGGATCAGGGTGGAGGCTGAGCCTCCCTGCTTAGAGATTCTTCCCATGCATTCCACTTTTTTCCCCAAAAGAAAATATTGACCCTTGAGAGGCACACAGTTTATTTATTTTGCATAGTAAATAGTAGCCTGTATTTTAAGGATGAGTTGATTTCTGCATCAGCCCCTGTAGGTCATCAGCCTTCTATTGGTGCATCTGACTCTCTCTAGCCCTGCAGGGATGGTGGAGGGGGAGGGGAAGGAGGGATCTTTATTGGAAACCAGGACAGTGAGACTCATTGCCCTGTCATCTGCTCTGTGGTGCTGAATGAGGCAGCCCAACAGAGAAATACCCTGAGCGAGCATCCCCAGCCTCCAAAACAGTGGCGCATTGCCCTGAGTCCTGGGAATGACCTTTGATTCTCCTGCTCCTGACTTGGAACCCATGGAAACCTCTAGAAGCAGCTGAGGAAAACCCAACATGAAAAGCAGAACTCCACACTGAGAATATAGGAGGTGATCGGAACATACAATGATTCTTGCTAAGACCGATTCACAGTTTTTCTTTTTTTTCGATCGAAGAAATACTGGAGAAGCCTAAAGAAGGAGTCTAAAAACTCTGGCACGTGGGCCAAAACTGTCCTTGAGCTAAGAATGATTTTCACATTTTTAAGTGGTTGAAAAATGAAATAAAATAAGATGATGTTTTGTGACACATGAAAGCTATGGGAAATTCAAATTCTAATATCTATAAATAGTGTTTTATCAGAACACAGTCATGCTCATTTATTTATGCTCGATGGCTGCTTTCCCGCTACAATTACGTTGAGCAGTTACAACAGAGACCACGTGGCCCACAAAGCCTTACAATATTTACTATCTGGCCCTTTCCAGAAAAAAATGTGCCGACTCTTGACCTTAACCTCAGCAATTTGGGAGGCCGAGGCAGGCGGATCGCTTGAGCTCTGGAGTTCATGACCAGCCTGGGCAACATAGTAAGACTCCATCTCTACAAAAAATACAAAACATTAGCCAGGCATGGTGGTGCACACCTGTGGTCCTAGCCACTCGGGAGACTGAGGTGGGAGGATCGCCTGAGCCCAGGAAGTCGAGGCTGCAGTGAGCTGTGATGGCACCACTGCACCTCAGCCTGGGCGACAGAGCAAGACCTTGTCTCCAAATAAATAAATAATGCAAAGTAAAATAAATAAAACCATATAAAAAGGAATCAATTTAAAATTATAATGAAAGCTGGCCGGGCATGGTGGCTCACGCCTGTAATCCCAGCACTTTGGGAGGCTGAGGTGGGTGGATCACGAGGCCAGGAGATCGAGACCATCTTGGCTAACACGGTGAAACCCCGTCTCTACTAAAAATACAAAAAAAAAATTAGCCGGGCACAGTGGCGGGCGCCTGTAGTCCCAGCTACTCGGGAGGCTGAGGCAGGAGAATGTCTTGAACCCGGGAGGTGGAGCTTGCAGTGAGCCGAGATCGTGCCACTTGCAGTCCAGCCTGGGCGAAAGAGCGAGACTCCGTCTCAAAAACAAAAACAAAAACAAAAACAAAAAAAAATTATAATGAAAGCCAAGGGGCATAGTAGAACAAATTTTCTAGAGCTCATTAAGTCAAATGAGTCACCAGTTAGTAAAACGCAGTCACGGGGAAGAGAGGGCAGGATTCTTTGAAGCAGCGGCTCTCCTAAAAACAACCCACCCTTGTCCAGCTGCCTTCCCTCCTGAGGGTGTTCCCTTTGACTGTGTGACCCCCATCCCCTATTTCCCAACCGTCCAAGCCCACCTCTAGCATAATACGAGCTTTTAATCCCTCTCCCTGACCCCAACCCGATTTTGAAGCCCAGTCTAGTATTTTCTCAAATACACTTCTTGGCTCCATTCCTTCCTTTCCATCACCTCTGCCTTTTCACTGCATGCTTGGACCACTGCAGTCAGCTCCCTATGAACAGTTGCTCTCTACCCATCCAATCGGCCCCGCCTGCTGCTGCCAAATTCACCGAGGGCACCTCTGTGGTGCTGCCTGTGGACAAAGTCCAAGCCAGCCACCTCACCCACCTACAGGTGAGTGGGGAGCAGCCAGCGTGTCCAGTGGTTTACCCCATCGCCACAGACTTGGTGATGTGTCGATGTGCAGAGAAGGGGTGTTGGCAGCCACAACACAAGCAACCCCGCCCCATGTGAGATCTAAGATGGGCGTGCTGGGAGCCACCTCTGAGAATCCAACAGAAGGCAGAGGGGAGAACGGCTCACACGGCACAAACACTCCTTCCTTTTTTTTTTTTCTTTTTCCTTTTTGAAAGGAGTCTCACTCTATTGCCCAGGCAGGAGTGCAGTGGTGCAATCTCAGCTCACTGCAACCTCCGCCTCCTAGGTTCAAGCGATTCTCCAGCCTCAGCTTCCCAAGTAGCTGGGATTACAGGTACACTCCACCATGCCCGGCTAATTTTTGTGTTTTTAGTAGAGACGGGGTTTCCCTATGTTGGCCAGGCTGGTCTTGAGCTCCTGACCTCAGGTGATCTGCCTGCCTTGGCCTCCCAAAGTGCTGGGATTACAGGTGTGAGCCATGGGGCCTAGCCTCCTTCCATTTAAATGTATGCCTAATTTGCCCATTGAGAACGGCTGAGACGCATTTTAAGTGGCCAGGGTCTACTTAGAGTTAGTGCTCATGACCAGGCCCAGGTCAAGCCTGGCTGGCCAGATGGTGCCTTTGACCTGCTCTGTCTCTGTGCAAAGGAATGAGCTGAAGGATGGGGGTGCAGTGTGTGGGCAGTGGGCTGGGGCTGGCAGGACTCAGTGACTAAGGGAAGAGAACTTTCCTCACTACCAGCCTGTCTTTTCAGGGCACCGCGGGGGGCTTTGGGACTTGGTGATGAACACAGCACAGAGAGCTGTCCAGCATGCGGGTCCCTGGCTTCTCACACTTCCCAGGCTCCTTCAGAGGCTCTCTCCAAAGGGAGCTGCTCTCTCTAGAACCCATGAATTTGGAATATAGGCAACCACTGCATTGGGGACCACTGACCTCAAACATAGAGACCAGAGCAAATGGGGCTCATCACGTGAAACTCATCTGGAACTCTAGCAGGTTCTTTTATATATATATATATATATATATATATATATATATATATATATATATATATATTTTTTATTATTATACTTTAAGTTCTAGGGTACATGTGCACAACATGCAGGTTTGTTACATATGTATACATGTGCCATGTTGGTGTGCTGCACCCATTAATTCATCATTTACATTAGGTATATCTCCTAATGCTATCCCTCCCCACTCCCCCCACCCCACAACAGGCCCCAGTGTGTGATGTTCCCCTTCCTGTGTCCAAGTGTTCTCATTGTTCAATTCCCACCTACGAGTGAGAACATGCTGTGTTTGGTTTTTTTGTCCTTGCGATAGTTTGCTGAGAATGATGGTTTCCAGCTTCATCCATGTCCCTACAAAGGACATGAACTCATCATTTTTTATGGCTGCATAGTATTCCATGGTGTATATGTGCCACATTTTCTTAATCCAGTCTATCATTGTTGGACATTTGGGTTGGTTCCAAGTCTTTGCTATTGTGAATAGTGCCGCAATAAACATACGTGTGCATGTGTCTTTATAACAGCATGATTTATATTCCTTTGGTTATATACCCAGTAATGAGATGGCTGGGTCAAATGGTATTTCTAGTTCTAGATCCCTGAGGAATCGCCACACTGTCTTCCACAATGGTTGAACTAGTTTACAGTCCTACCAACAGTGTAAAAGTGTTCCTATTTCTCCACATCCTCTCCAGCAGCTGTTGTTTCCTGACTTTTTAATGATCGCCATTCTAACTGGTGTGAGATGTTATCTCATGGTGGTTTTGATTTGCATTTCTCTGATGGCCAGTGATGATGAGCATTTTTTCACGTGTCTGTTGGCGAACTCTAGCAGCTTCTTTTCACAAGTTCATGGAGAGAGGTTTCCCACTGAGGGAATCACATCTGTCTGATCAAAAGAGGCTTGGGAAATGGCTCTCCTGTTCATTCCCTGAAAACCTCTGATGGAACCACTGCCACTGTGGCAGCCCCAGCACTGGCACCCCAGCCATGATTGGTGCCCCAGCCACATCTCTGCTGTGAGCCCCAGAGCCCTGGTTAATTAATCATCCACGTGTTGATGGGGAGAGGCCCATTCACAAAAGCGACATAAAGCCCAGGGAGACGTGGCCGTGGCAAGAAGGGTGTGGGACTACATTCCGCCCCCAACTGAGAGATTCAGAAACCAGAAAAAAATGGAAAAACATACTGTGCTCTTGGGTGGGAAAACTAAATATCATGAAGGGAGCAATTTTTATAGTTTTGGCCTATAATACAATTCCAGCCGAAATCCCAGTGGAACTTTGAGAATTTGCAGGAAAAAAAAAAATGTCTAAAGTACATCTGGAAGACAAACTTACAAGAAGGTCAAATAATTTTGAAAAAGAAAATGATATCTAAGCCCACCTAGAGAATAAGACTTGAGATCCAAAGCTAAATCAGGAGGCTCTAGCAAAATTGACAGATAAGCAGGACAGAGTGCATGGTGCATTCACCTGGGGAAGAGGGCAGATTGGTCTACAAATAGGCCTGGGTCCACTGACTTTAGCTGTTATATTTGGGGAGAAACTTTTCAACCTCACTCCATCTTAAACCTAAAAATATTCCAGATGAATTAATAAATATAAAAAATTAGACCACTAAAAATGTAGAAGAAAATGGATGATCTTTCTATACCATAGAGCAATGGAATAAATCACAAAGGAAAACAGATTTGACTATATAAAACTTAAACCCTGCCCATCAAAAACCATCAGAAACCAAAATAAAAGGCAACCAACTGGAGAAGATAGTTGCCACAAATATGATCAAGGGTTAATGTTATTCATAAATTAAGAGCCCACACAAGTCATTAGAATAAGCACTGAGACCTGAACAGACAAGCAAAAAGAATGAGAGTGGGTCGGCGCGGCGGCTCATGCCTGTAATCCCAGCACTTTGGAAGGCTGAAGCAGGCGGATCACTTGATCCCAGGAGTTCCAACACCAGCCTGAGCAACATGGTGAAACCCTGCCTCTACAAAAGTCATAAATATTAGCCGGGTGTGATGGCACACGCCTGTAGTCCCAGCTACTCAGGAGGCTGAGGTGGGTGGATCACTTGAGCCCGGGAGGTAGAGTCTGCAGTGAGCCAAGATCACACCGCTGCACTCCAGCTGGAGCAACAGAGTGAGACCCTGACTTAAAAGAAAAAAAAAAAAAAAGAGGAGAAAAATGCTGATCTCACTAGTAATTAAAACATCAGGCCAGGCGCAGTGGCTCACACCTTTAATCCCAGCACTCTGGGAGGCTGAGGCAGGCAGATCACTTGAGATCAGGAGTTCTAGACCAGCTTGGCCAACATGGTGAAATCCCGTCTCTACAAAAAATACAAAAATTCGCCAAGCGTGGTGGCACATGCCTGTGATCCCAGCTACTCGGGAGGCTGAGACAGGAGAATTGCTTGAACACGGGAGGCAGAGGTTGCAGTAAGCTGAGATCGTACCATTCCAGTCCAGCCTGGGCTACAGAGCGAGACTCTGTCCCAGAAAAAATTAAAACATCACATATTTAAACAACTCTAGGATATCATTTAAAAAAACATTAATAGACTGTTTTTTAGAGCACTTTTAGGTTCACAGTGAAACTGAGTGGAAGGTACAGAGACTTCCCGTATGTTCCCTGCCCTCCACGTACAGCCTCCCCCACTGCCAACGTCCTGCACCAGAGTGGTACACTTGTTACAACCAATGAATCCTCATTAACATATCATTATCACCCAAGTTCATAGTTTACATTAGTAAAACATCATCTTTCATCTATAAGCACAAAAATTTTTTGGCATTTATTTAGGTGTATGATTAACTCAGTGTTGACAAGACTCACACTTCATACCCACTTGCACTGCATCTGAGAAGCAATTGGTGTCTACAGCCGCTACACCCTCAACAAGCCCGATCTTGTTTGAAAAGCAATTGGTGATGCTTCTCAAAATTCTATGGACAAAGTCAGCCGGGCATGGTGGCTCATGCCTGTAATCCCTAAACTTTGGGAGGCCGAGGCAGGCAGATCACCTGAGGTCTGGTGAAACCCTGTCTCTACTAAAAATGCAAAAATTACCCAGGCATGGTGGCTGGGGCCTGTAATCCCAGCTACTCGGGAGGCTGAGGCAGGAGAATCGCTTGAAGCAAGGAGGCGGAGGTTTCAGTGAGCCAAGATTGCACCACTGCACTCCAGCCTGGGTGACAAGAGTGAAACTCCATCTAAAAAAAAAAAATTATGGACAAAGTTTTTCAAAAAGATATTTAATGCAACTTTATTTGTAATATTGGAACATCTGAGGCCATTTCAGTGCTAACTATTAGGGGATGGTTAGGAAAATATGGTACATATGTGGAAAGGAACATTTGGTAGTTAGTGCCCCTGATGTTTACAAAGGCTTTTAGTGACCAACAAATGCTCATGCTATAATCTTATGTGAAAAAAGCAAGTAGCATAATTGCAACTATATTTTTAATGCATAGAATAAAAGGCTAGAAGGAAATATCACAGATCCTTGACATACATTCCCAAACCTTTGTAAATCCGCGGATTCATGAAAACAGACACATTTGCACAAGTGCCTGATCTTTTCTGTTATACATTCATTAGAAGTCAAGCCCTGGTGCCACAAAGTATCTGCCTTTTCAAATGTGATCAGAATGTTCTCTTTTGCTTCAAGGCCATTTTTCACGAAGCAGTGGCATTTTTGCCTCTTCATCAGAGTCACCGTGTGCCCTGGAGGACTGAGAACAGCAGAGCCGTTTTAGGATGGGACAGGGCAGCCAGGAGGATTGGGCTCACTCCCTACTGAGTGCCTCACTCCCGTACAGCCCCCATAGAGGAAGAGGGGTTCAAATTTATTCCTCAGCCAGATGGCATGTGCCGCCTGTCCTGGAATTTCACATCACTTATGATGGACCAAAATTCCAAAAGCTGAATCCATGATTGTCAAAGTCTGGTATGGCAGGATGTCAACAGTAATCGTTTCTGGGCAGAGGGATGATTTTCTCTTCCCATCTTGCTTTGTATAAATACATTTTCTATAATAAGGTTGTATTACTTTTCTCATCAAGAAATAGCAAAGTACTGTTTTACTCAAAATATGAATAGAGCCAGGCATGGTGGCAGCTTATGCCTGTAATCCCAACACTTTGAGAGGCGGATATGGGAGGATCACTTTAGCCCAGGAGTTTGAGACCAGCCTGGGCAACATAGTGAGACCCCCGTCCCCACTCCCCCAAAGAAAACCCACAAAGCATTTATCCTGGATTATTCACAGGGGCCAAAAAAAAAAAAAAAAATTCAGGCCTCCTATAGCCATGAGCTACGAATATGAAAATATGCAAATGTGTAAGAAAAGCCAGCACATCCGATTTTTACTTTTACTTTCACACCTCTGTCCACCATGTTCCAAGAGAAGAAACTTGGTCATTGAAAGGAATAGATCAAATCCAAAGAACAAAACCACTGTGCTCATTAAACTTCTTAGTGTTCACAAAGCTTTAGCTGCAGGTTGAATGGGGCAACCCGAATTGGCTGGCTCACCTGGGCTGCAGGGAGCAGAGATCGCGACACTGCACTCCAGCCTGGGCAACAAAGCGAGACTCTATCTCAAAAAAAAAAAAGTTCATAAATTCAAAGTTATGAATTATTTTTAAAATAATAATAATTTACAATAAAGATGAGGACAAAGTGTGAGTAAATGGTGGTTTCTATCCAGCTCTGTTGAGCTGAAGTGGCATCTCCCTGCTGGGGCTTTTGGGGAAGAAGGGTGTGTGTTGCTCTTCAGATCCCAAGCCTCATGCCCCTACTGGGCCCTGTGGGGTGCTTCTCAGCCCACCAGGAGAGCCACCGTTGGAACACACACGTGGGGGACCTGGTGGGTGCCGGTGTGGTGAATGGGGGCCACAGCCTGACTCCAGGAAGCCAGCAAACTCGGAGCTGGAGGAGTCAGGACACCCCCGATGAGTCAAGAGTTGGTTTTGCTGCCAGTTGACATCTGATTGAACCATCTCTTCACTTCTCCGTGCCTCACTTTCCTTACCAGACAGGCTCTGCTGATGCTGTCCCTCTCCTGTTCAGTCGTGCCCTCACCGTTAAAGAGAAAGAGCAAACTGCTGGGCAGCAGCATTGATTTTTTTAATGAAGTGGAAAGAGAGCTGGGAATAACAAGTCGGGCCCACCTCACCTGCCTCACCTGGTGGGTTTATTTGTTTTGTTTTTTTTTTTTTGTTTTGAGACAGAGTTTCACCCTGTCACCCAGGCTGGAGTGCAGTGGTGTAATCTCAGCTCACTGCAACCTCCACCTGCCAGGTTCAATTGATTCTCCTGCCTCAGCCTCCCCAGTAGCTGGGATTACAGGCACCTGCCACATGCCTGGCTAATTATTGTATTTTTAGTAGAGATGGGGTTTTACCATGTTGGCCAGGCTGGTCTCGATCCCCTGACCTCAGGTGATCCACCCACCTCGGCCTCCCAAAGTGCTGAGATCACAGGCGTGAGCCACCATGCCTGGCCGTCACCTGGTGGTGTTGAATATGAACTGCTGCGGTGTTGGTAAATTAAGCAAGCAGATAGATGTAAATAACGCTTGGGCAGGAATATGGAGCACGGGATGAGGATGGGCGGCCAACTGTTAGAGAGGGTAGCAGGGAGGCTGAGATCTGCCTGCCATGAACTGGGAGGAGAGGCTCCTCTCTCTCTTCACCCCCACTCTGCCCCCCAACACTCCTCAGAACTTATCCTCTCCTCTTCTTTCCCCAGGTGAACTTTGAACCAGGATGGCTGAGCCCCGCCAGGAGTTCGAAGTGATGGAAGATCACGCTGGGACGTACGGGTTGGGGGACAGGAAAGATCAGGGGGGCTACACCATGCACCAAGACCAAGAGGGTGACACGGACGCTGGCCTGAAAGGTTAGTGGACAGCCATGCACAGCAGGCCCAGATCACTGCAAGCCAAGGGGTGGCGGGAACAGTTTGCATCCAGAATTGCAAAGAAATTTTAAATACATTATTGTCTTAGACTGTCAGTAAAGTAAAGCCTCATTAATTTGAGTGGGCCAAGATAACTCAAGCAGTGAGATAATGGCCAGACACGGTGGCTCACGCCTGTAATCCCAGCACTTTGGAAGGCCCAGGCAGGAGGATCCCTTGAGGCCAGGAATTTGAGACCGGCCTGGGCAACATAGCAAGACCCCGTCTCTAAAATAATTTAAAAATTAGCCAGGTGTTGTGGTGCATGTCTATAGTCCTAGCTACTCAGGATGCTGAGGCAGAAGGATCACTTGAGCCCAGGAGTTCAAGGTTGCAGTAAGCTGTGATTATAAAACTGCACTCCAGCCTGAGCAACAGAGCAAGACCCTGTCAAAAAAAAAAGAAAAGAAAAAAGAAAGAAAGAAATTTACCTTGAGTTACCCACATGAGTGAATGTAGGGACAGAGATTTTAGGGCCTTAACAATCTCTCAAATACAGGGTACTTTTTGAGGCATTAGCCACACCTGTTAGCTTATAAATCAGTGGTATTGATTAGCATGTAAAATATGTGACTTTAAACATTGCTTTTTATCTCTTACTTAGATCAGGCCTGAGTGGCCTCTCTTTAGCAAGAGTTGGTTAGCCCTGGGATTCTTACTGTAGCCACATTAATAAACAACATCGACTTCTAAACATTCTATAATACCATCTTTTGGCCAAATTGACTTCGCCTCTTCCTCTCTCTTTCCAAATGAAATGTGTTTCATTTCACTGTCAGACCACATGGTTGGGGACCCCACAGAGCACACAGCCCTCCCTCTGCCTTCCCATGCTGGCCCTTCACCCACTGCTGGAGTGCCAGGTTGGTCCAAGGGTTGGACCAAGTTGTCTGAGGTTGTCTCAAGGTTGGTCGAGGCTGTCTCCGCGCTGGGTTGTGCTACAAGGAGCCCTTCTTTCCATGGGTGTGGCTGGCAGTGAGTGCTCACAGCAACAGCCCACAGTGCAGCCCGAGGGCAGGATGGACTCAGTCCCTGCCTCCATACCCATTTCTAAGGAGGCAAAATGGCAAACACTCTACTTTTCTCTTTTAATGCTAAAAATAAGAAAACACCTTGCAGCCCAGGGTATGGGTAGTGCATGGAAGCCGTGGAGTTGTGAGGTGGGAAGTGACCTCTGCTGGATATGTCTATTCAGGAAGATTGCTGGAGTGGGTGGGGTCTCTGGGAGGTCCCCTGAGTGTGGGAAGCTGGGACCACCAGCTTTCTCGCACAGGGAGTGGCCATCCCAGCTTGGAGAGGTTCCAGGACTGGTTGGGAGGCACGTTTCAGATTTCTATCTGTTGAATCAGCGAAGATATTGGATTATGAGGAATTTGGGAATTAGGAAAGTGGGTGCAGGTGGGTTGGGGGTAGGTGAAGGAAGACATGGGCGTATTGGGGGAGCAGGGGCTGCTCAGAGGTGTTCCAGAAGCTCTGGGTGAGGAGGTGAGAGGGACCGGGGAATGCAGCTCGGCCCAGCCTCCCTGCCTGAGGTCAGCCATCACGTGGTGATGGCAAGATGGAAATGTGCTTTCTGACTGCTCCAGCCAGTGCTGCCAGATTCAGCTCCCCAGGGAGGGCACCTGAGAGGCTCCAAGCCAGGAGATCTGTTTTCTCCTTTGTTTTGTTTTTTTTTGTTTTGTTTTGTTTTATTATACTTTAAGTTCTAGGGTACATGTGCACAACGTGCAGGTTTGTTACATATGTATACATGTGCCATGTTGGTGTGCTGCACCCATCAACTTGTCATTTACATTAGGTATATCTCCTAATGCTATCCCTCCCCCCTCCCCCCACCCCCTGTTTTCTCCTTTGAATCCTTCTTAGAGGCCGGGCGCGGTGGCTCACGCCTGTAATCCCAGCACTTTGGGAGGCTGCGGCAGGAGGATTGCTTGAGCCCAGGAGTTCCAGACCAGCCTGGGCAACATAGTGAGACCTCGTCTCTACAGATAATAATTTTAAAAATTATCCGGGCATAGTGGCATGCACCTATAGTCCCAGCTACTCAAGAGGCAGAGGCAGGAGGATCACTTGAGCCCAGGAGGCGGAGGTTGCCGTGAGCCAAGATCCCACCACTGCACTCCAGCCTGGGCGACAGAGACCCCCATGTCAAATAATAATAATAATAAATAAATCCTTCTCAGTCCCTTCCTCACTGTGTCCCCCTCCACTGAATTTTTCCACCTCCTCTCCCACTTCCCCCACTCCCGCTTTCCCTCTCCTTCTCTCCCCACTCCATCTTTTTCTTTCTCTGCTGTTTCTCGTCCCTCCCTCCTCTCCATCCCACAACACTGCCTACCCTGTCCCTGCCCCACCCTGGTGCTCAGGATGTGTGAAGTGAGGGGTGGTAGCCCCCAAGACCTCAACCCCGAAGGTTAGCCTGTTGAAACCACTTTCTCCCAGCTGCCCCCCTGGCAGTTGGTGCTGCTGGGGGAAACTGGGATTGGGGGCCAGATTTTGCCTCTTTTCCTGACAAAGAGAGATGAAGAGTTCTCTCACCAGGTGCCTGGGACTGGGGTGTGGGTGTCCCAGCCTATCCCAGCGCATCTGTTCTGCATCATGATTAATAGTGCTGCTTTCAGCCGGGCGCGGTGGCTCACACCTGTAATCCCAGCACTTTGGGAGGCTAAGGTGGGCAGATCACAAGGTCAGGAGTTCGAGACCAGCCTGGCCAACATGGTGAAACCTCGTCTCTACTAAAAATACAAAAATTAACCAGGTGTGGTGGTGGGTGCCTGTAGTCCCAGCTACTTGGGAGGCTGAGGCAGGAGAATCACTTGAATCTGGGAAGCAGAGGTTGCAGTGAGCCAAGATCGTGCCACTGCACTCCAGCCTGGGTGACAGAGTGAGACTCCGTCCTAAAAAAAAAGGAGTTTTGCTCTGTCGCCCAGGCTGGAGTGTAGTGGCGCCATCTCGGCTCACCGCAACCTGCGCCTCCCGGGTGCAAGCGATTCTCCTGCCTCAGCCTCCCAAGTAGCTAGGATTACAGGCGCCTACCACCACGCCTGGCCAGTTCTTGTATTTTTAGAAGAGACGGGGTTTCACCCTGTTGGCCAGGCTCGTCTGGGACTCCTGACCTCAGGTAATCCGCCCACCTCAGCCTCCCAAAGTGCTGGGATTGCAGGCATGAGCCACCGTGCCCAGTCAACTCCTTCTCAAAAAAAAAAAAATAGTGCTGCTTTCTCTTTCAAGTGTCCTGATTTGGGTGATAGTAAATGCCACTCTACTTATAAGGGATCTACCTCAGAATGCTAATTGGGACATTTTTGTAGCACTCTACTGTTGGCAGCAGGTGATGCTCACAACAGCCCGTGAGGGTGGATGACGTCCGCTTCACAGATGACAAAGGAGCCTCATGCTCAGACCGTGGGCTGCCAGAGCAGGTCCATGGCTGCAGCCCCACATGGACCATATTTCCCCCTTGTCACTCTTTCCACCAAGCTCCCTTGGAACTTCAGTTATTAAGCTCTCTTGGGTGGAATCCAAGTTAGAATCACAACATGTGCCTCATATGGATTGTGCCAGTGAAAAATGACATTCTATTTAGAGGCAGGGCAGCCTGGCTTAGAGTCAGTTTAAAATATGTATTATGCTGCAACAAATGTACCATGATCCTGTAAGATGTTCACAACAAGGGAACTGGATGTGGGGTATACTGTCTGTACTAACTTCACAAGTTTTCTGTAAATCTAAAACTGTTCCAAAATAACAAGTTCGTTTAAAATTAACTCCAGGAGACCAGGTACGGTAGCTAATGCCTATAATCCCAGCACTTCGGAAGGCTGAGGCAGGTGGATTGCTTGAGCCCAGGAGTTTGAGACAAGCCTGGGCAACATGGTGAAATCCTGTCTCTAAAAAAAATCACAAAAATTAGCCAGGTGTGGTGGCGCATTCCTGTAGTCCCAGCTACTTGCGGGGCTGAGGTGGGAGAATCATCTGAGCCCAGGAGTTTGAGGCTGCAGTGAGCTGTGATTGTACCACTGCACTCCAACCTGGGCAACAGAGCAAGACCCTGTCTCAAAAAACAAAAATGAAATAAAGTCCAGGAAAGAAGTAGGTTTTACCACTCTTATTTTCTGAAGAGAAAACTAAATTTAATGTGTAAAGTGAGGACAAGTTCACCAAGTTAGTGTTTGAGTTGCCTAAAATATGTTTGCTAAAACTATTCAAAGCTTTCACATAAAACATGATCAGAAGTTCTATGCCAAAACATATGTGTGTGTATATATATATGCACTATATATACTGTATATAAAAATGCAAAATCTAAATTGCCAACCTTTTAGAAATTGCTCTGAAAGGAAAGCATTTCAAGATAATTTGCTTACCCAAAGAATATACTTTCCAAGAAAGCAAGTAATACTTAAGGTGTTCATAATCCTCATCAAATTAATTCTTGCTACTGAAAGCTTACAAGGAGCTGTTTTGATGTCGGGTGTGACAGGTTTGACTTGGCAGAAGGTGTCACTTTACTAACAACATTTTAAATAAGTGACAGAAGACAAGAAACTACACGTTAAATGCCAGAACAAAGAGTGTCTAAGTGGATGCTAAGAGTTGAAATATGGCTGGATACCTGCCCAAGAGAGCTGAAAAGTAGATGAAAGTTGGTTACCTATAAACTAGTGCACCCTAATGAATTAAAAGGTGTTGATGAGTTAACTTGTTATGCCTTCCAGATAAGACATGCAAATGGGGCTTCTTCCTCCTTCACTACTTCCAAGGGATTTAACAAGGAGACCAATGCAAATGATAAGGACTGTAGGGCTCAAGCTGGGGACAGATTGGGGAAAGGGGGACCATCATGCCCATATAGATGTCCCTGTGCCCTGGCAGTCAAGGCTGCTGAAAAATAACAAAACCCAGAAGTCTGCGTGATGCTGCCTCTCCATTTGTCCAAAGCCTTCTTGCGGCAGTTTGCAGGCTTTTGCAAAAGCTCCAGGACCAAGGAGCTATGTTCATGCTGGAAGCTTGTTCAGGATTAGCTGTTCTTTGTGGGATGGGTGCAGCCAGGGCCAGGTGTCCAGGGACAGTGTTTTAACAAAGGGCATGAGGTGTCTGATCTCACAGTGGAACTCCACTTGCCTTTTTTTCATCTTCTCATTCTGCTTCATGCACAGAACCAGCCCCATCCTGAAACTGACTCTAAATTACTCCCGCCCCAGGTGGAGTGCCTTTCTCGGAGTTCAACAGAGCCTTCCTGTCGCCCAAGGGACAACTCCACTGAATGCCCAAGCCACACCCAAAACCTAACAAGTAAAAACCAAATTCTGTGCTCCCCCATCCTGGGCCATTCCTGGTTTCTCTACTGCTGTTGGTGATACCACCATCAGCTTGTCCATCATGACCCTGGCCAGTTCCTCCCACAACCCTCCACAGCACCCAGGGACCTCACCTCCATTCCATCCGACACAGATCTCCTCACCACAAACCTTGGTTTTGCAACAGCAGCCATGAGACCTTTACACCCTCCGCCCTTCATCCTGTCCCCCACTGAGGCCCCAGAGCCATTCCTTAAAGCAGCGCGCCACAAACTATAACCCACAAGCCAATTCTGGTACCCAGCCTGTTTTGCACAGCCAGTGAACTGACAATGATCTTTTCATACAGCCAGAAAAACAAAACAAAACAAAAAACAACAAAAAAAAACCCCACCATTCTGAGCATGTGACTTCCATGTTCAAGATGTCTCATGTTCAGAAAGGCCCCTGGAAAAGGAGGAAGGGGAGCTGGGCACAAAGGGAGACCCTCTCAGCTGAGCTCCTCCCATCCAGACATTTTCCTGGACTTCCTATCCAATGACTTCCCTTAGCTTCTTATCAGCCACCCCTGTCTGCCCAGGAGGCTGGAAGATGTGGCCTTTTAACTGGGCACAGCTCTGTCCTCTATCATATCAGGGCTCTGTTCCCAAGGAGGGTAGAGAGAATGGACACCAGGTGGACCCTCAGCAGTCTGTGCCACAGAGGGAGTGTTTGCAATTTCCAGACTAAAAGTCCCCATGTGCTTGACGGGGTATGTGACTACAACGTGATGCTTGACTTTTCCTCATATGACCAGAGCCACTTTGTCCATCTGGTACAATGTCAGCTATCTGCTAGGGGCCCTCCAGGATTCCCAGTCAATTCCATATCTGCATCACCACCATTGGCACTAAATAAAATAAAATACTCAAGTTCCTGCTGGTGAGCATGAGCAGTGCTACACTGGGCCCTTCAACCAAGGTGACATGATAATGACTGAAAATAATCACTGCCACTTATTGGGGACGTCTCATCTGCCAGGCATGGTACAAAGTGCTTTAAATAAGCATTCAACAATTTCATGCTGACAGAAGCCCTGTGAGCCAGTGGAGCTACTACTATGCCCATTATACAGGGGAGAAAACTGAGGCAGAGAGAGGTTAGGTAATTCGCTCAGCCTCACACAACCAATAGGTGGTGGAGCCAGGATTTGGGCCCCATCTGCCTGACTCTCTAGAGGCTCTATCTTCCAGTCTTCCAGAGTTGAGTCTAAGCCATGAATAGGACAATTAGACAGCAGAGGAAACCCATTCAGCCACCATGTGCATGAAGAGTAAGGAATTTCTGTCATACAGAGGGGAGTGAATTCACTGAGCTGAGAGCTGAGGAACCATTGATCTGATGGCTGAGACACCACTGGGAAGACTGGAGAGGCTTTTCTGGGCATGCAGTGCCAGGCACAGGAGGAGCTGAGGGAAGATGACTAAGAGGTACTGGCAAAGAATTCAGAAATTCTGATGGAAGCTTTACATGTTACCATCACATCCATCCATCTATCCACCCATCCATCCACCCATATCTTCCTCCCTCCACCCAATCATGCATACATCCAGTCATCTATACACCACCCACCCACCCATCCATCCATCCATCCATCCCTTCATCCATCCCATCATCCATCCAATTATACATACATCCAATCATATATCTGTACATAATCCATTCTTCCCTCGGTTCATCCATCCATCCATTCATCCATCCATCCACCCATCCCTTCCTTCATCCTTCCTATCATCCATCCAATCATATATCTGTACATAATCCATTCTTCCCTCGGTTCATCCATCCATCCATTCATCCATCCATCCACCCATCCCTTCCTTCATCCTTCCTATCATCCATCCAATCATACATATATCCAATCATACATCTGCACATCACCAGCTCATCCATCTATCCATTTATCCATCCATCCTTCCTTCCATCCATCATTCATCCATCATACATACATCTAACCATACATCTCTACATCATTCATTCTTCCATCGATTCATCCAATTATCCATCATTCCTTCCTCCATCCATCCCATTATCCATTTGATCATACATATATCATCTATACATCATCCATTCATCCATCCATCCATCCATCCACCCATATCTTCATCCAATCAATCATACATACATCGAATCATCTACACATCACCCATCCATCCATCCATCCATTCATCTATCCACCCATCCATCCATCCATCCATCCATTCATCTATCCACCCATCCATCCATCCATCCATCCATCCATCCATGTAACCATCCAGTCATATATCCAATTACACATCCATCCAGTTATACATTCATACATGCATCTAATCATTCAATTATACATACACACATCCATATAATTCTACATCCAATTATACCTCCATCCAATTACACATTCATACACCCACCTAATAAATTATTAATTCATATATCCATCCATATAATTATACATCAATTATACATCCATCTAATCATTCAGTAATTCACCCACCATCCAGTCATCTATCCAATAATACATTCATCCAATCATCCATCCATCCATCCACCCATTCATCCATCCATCCGTCCGTCCACCCATCATGGTATGAGCCATGATTTACCACGATGGTCCCCTGTGGACAGCCCAGGTGGGGCAGAACTGAAGGGAAGCCCAGGGCTGCCCCCATAAACATTTGCCTCCTTTACATGGATGAGAACTAGATCCACATGTATAAATCCTCATGATTTGAAGGTGCTTTTACCAACATTCACTCATGGGATTCTCCCAGGAGCTCTAGGAGGAGGCAGGTAGAGTTGAGGTCATCTCACGCATTTTACAGATGAGGAAACGGAGGCCCTGAGAGGCAGGTCCAAGGCCACCTGACCAGAAAGAAGTGGAACTGGGACTTGAACCCAGCCATCTTGCCCCTTGGTCCCATGCTCTCTAGCCTGTAACTCCTGCTTCCTGGTGGGGCATCTCCAGGAGGACCCTATCGGCTGGCCATGGGCCTGCCCTGGAGTCTTTTGCTCTGTGTGGCCATCCTTCCTCCCTCAGGAGAGTGTGTGCTCCCAGAGCACAGGCTGTATCTTCTGAGCATTTTGTCCCTTCCCAGTACCTAGCACTCAGCTCTGTATACATTGGGCTCTCAAGAATTCTCAACCTTCCAGAGTGTAAGGCCTTGACCTGCTCAGCCCTGGATACTGCATGATGCATTGATAAGCCCATAAAATAACCAGGGCAGATTGACTCCCAGTGGCCAAAGTGCCACAGGGAAGGGACAATTCAGCCCTTCTAGGAGGAGGAGGAGGTAGTTTTCTCATTTCTATTAAGGCAACAAAAGCTGCCTTACTAAGGACATTCTTGGTGGAGGGCGTGACTGTCAACCACTGTGATCATTTGGGCCTCTCTTGCCCAGGCTTCCCATTCTGAAAGGACAGTTTTATTGTAGGTACACATGGCTGCCATTTCAAATGTAACTCACAGCTTGTCCATCAGTCCTTGGAGGTCTTTCTATGAAAGGAGCTTGGTGGCGTCCAAACACCACCCAATGTCCACTTAGAAGTAAGCACCGTGTCTGCCCTGAGCTGACTCCTTTTCCAAGGAAGGGGTTGGATCGCTGAGTGTTTTTCCAGGTGTCTACTTGTTGTTAATTAATAGCAATGACAAAGCAGAAGGTTCATGCGTAGCTCGGCTTTCTGGTATTTGCTGCCCGTTGACCAATGGAAGATAAACCTTTGCCTCAGGTGGCACCACTAGCTGGTTAAGAGGCACTTTGTCCTTTCACCCAGGAGCAAACGCACATCACCTGTGTCCTCATCTGATGGCCCTGGTGTGGGGCACAGTCGTGTTGGCAGGGAGGGAGGTGGGGTTGGTCCCCTTTGTGGGTTTGTTGCGAGGCCGTGTTCCAGCTGTTTCCACAGGGAGCGATTTTCAGCTCCACAGGACACTGCTCCCCAGTTCCTCCTGAGAACAAAAGGGGGCGCTGGGGAGAGGCCACCGTTCTGAGGGCTCACTGTATGTGTTCCAGAATCTCCCCTGCAGACCCCCACTGAGGACGGATCTGAGGAACCGGGCTCTGAAACCTCTGATGCTAAGAGCACTCCAACAGCGGAAGGTGGGCCCCCCTTCAGACGCCCCCTCCATGCCTCCAGCCTGTGCTTAGCCGTGCTTTGAGCCTCCCTCCTGGCTGCATCTGCTGCTCCCCCTGGCTGAGAGATGTGCTCACTCCTTCGGTGCTTTGCAGGACAGCGTGGTGGGAGCTGAGCCTTGCGTCGATGCCTTGCTTGCTGGTGCTGAGTGTGGGCACCTTCATCCCGTGTGTGCTCTGGAGGCAGCCACCCTTGGACAGTCCCGCGCACAGCTCCACAAAGCCCCGCTCCATACGATTGTCCTCCCACACCCCCTTCAAAAGCCCCCTCCTCTCTCTTTCTTCAGGGGCCAGTAGGTCCCAGAGCAGCCATTTGGCTGAGGGAAGGGGCAGGTCAGTGGACATCTGATCTTGGTTTAGTATCCTTCATTTTGGGGGCTCTGGGTGTGGCCTGGGCCTCTGGACTTTGGCCACGGTGTTTGTTCCAGCCCTTCTCCTAACCTGTCCTTTCCAGACACTCGGCATCTAGGTTATTAGCACCTCGCATACTTTCTGACATGCTCCTCAGTCCTGATTTTGACCATCTTCTCTTGCTTCCCATCTGTGTCAGTCAAGACTGCATTTGGCTGTAAGAAACAGAAACCCCAACTAACTGTGGCATTTACATGAAGAGGTTTACTTTTCTCACATAATCAGATGTCTAGACTTGGCCAGCACCTCAAGGGTCATTGATGCTCTCCTGTCTTTATTTTCTGTCATCTTTAGTGGTTGGATTGTTGCCTCATGGTTACAAAGTGGCTGCTGCACTTCCAGGCATCACATCTGCCTTTGAAGCAGGAACAAGTTGCAAAGTAAAGTGGCCAAAAGGGCCCTGAAACTAAATGTGTCCCCTTAGGAAAGCAGGAGTTTTCTTGCAAGTGGCAATCTTCTGCTTATGTCTCATTGGCCAGAGCTGGGTCTTACGGCCACCCCTTGCTGCGAGCAAGGCTGGGACATTGAGCATTTTGCCGTCCAACCTCTTTAGCAGAATAAACCAAGGGGGAAGAACGTTAATAGTGGCTTTTGAGTCACTAGTTGGCAGTATCTGCCCCTCTATCTTTCCATCCTCCCCATGGAGTTTCAAGGTTCCTTTCTCAGTACTTCTTCAGGCTCTGCACGTTCATTTGGATCTTGTGTCTTGGGGTGAAAAACTGGCCCAAGTGTCTCCCCAAGCATCCACCTTTGGATTAATTTGGAAAATGGCTGTCAAGTGCCCGCCTCTTGCTTGGTATAATGCTACAGCTTTAGAGGACGCAGCAGGCATGGGCCTTGCCGCTGAGGTTCTTAGCCTCATGAGAATATCCAGATCAGATTCTCTTGGCTCCTTCTTAGAGCCAGTGATGCAAGACACTTCCTGCTCATCTTGTCGGGACGGTTTTACAAGTTGCCTGCCATCCTGAGAAAGTCTACAAAACGATGCCAGACCTCATGCCAGCTTCCCAAGCCTTGACTCTCAGTGCTCCCTCAACAGGATTCTGGAAGAATCTCCCAAACAAGTCGCAATGCCCTCTGGACCCTGTGCAGGCATGAGACTCAAGAGCATTGGCTCCCACCCCTGGTGGAGGGAACACTGCTGGGGCTGGGATCTTGCCTGGTTGCTCCGCCTGCACCCAAGACAACCATAATTAAAATGTCCTTCATTGAACTTGGAAAGCCTTCAAAGCTGACAACTCCTTATGTGTACCCGGAAAGGCCTGGGAGTGTGCCAGGGCATTGCTCGGGAGGGACGCTGATTTGGAAGCATTTACCTGATGAGAGACTGACAGCAGCTCCTGGTAGCCGAGCTTTCCCTCCTGCCTCTGCTGTGAAGGTGGACCCATCCAACAGTCAAATGCCTGACTCTGGACAGGAGCGGACCTATTTATTGCCATGCAAGGGACTCTGCACTTTTGAATTGTGGGTCATGGGCTTGGATTTAGGGGTTAGAGCTGGGAGAAGTCTTGGAAGTCACCTAGAGATGACACTGCCATTTTGCAGATGAGGAAACCGTCCAATCAAAATGGACCAAGGACTTGCCCAAAGCCTCACAGCAAAACCATAGGCCCCCGCACTAACCCCAGAGTCCCTGTGCTGTCTTAAGGATCATATAGTTGTAAGCAATCATCTGGTTTTCAGTATTTCTTCTTTTAAAATGCCTGGGGCCATGCCCAGCAGTCTGTTTCACTGCAGCGTTTACACAGGGCTGCCGGGCTTTCCTGGTGGATGAGCTGGGCGGTTCATGAGCCAGAACCACTCAGCAGCATGTCAGTGTGCTTCCTGGGGAGCTGGTAGCAGGGGCTCCGGGCCCTACTTCAGGGCTGCTTTCTGGCATATGGCTGATCCCCTCCTCACTCCTCCTCCCTGCATTGCTCCTGCGCAAGAAGCAAAGGTGAGGGGCTGGGTATGGCTCGTCCTGGCCCCTCTAAGGTGGATCTCGGTGGTTTCTAGATGTGACAGCACCCTTAGTGGATGAGGGAGCTCCCGGCAAGCAGGCTGCCGCGCAGCCCCACACGGAGATCCCAGAAGGAACCACAGGTGAGGGTAAGCCCCAGAGACCCCCAGGCAGTCAAGGCCCTGCTGGGTGCCCCAGCTGACCTGTGACAGAAGTGAGGGAGCTTTGCGTGTTTATCCTCCTGTGGGGCAGGAACATGGGTGGATTCTGGCTCCTGGGAATCTTGGGTTGTGAGTAGCTCGATGCCTTGGTGCTCAGTTACCTCCCTGGCTGCCTGCCAGCCTCTCAGAGCATTTAGGGCCTTCTGGACTTCTAGATGCTCCTCATCTTGCCTCAGTCAGCGCGTCAGTTCCAGAGACTTCTCTGCAGGGTTTTCTGGGGCAGGTGGTGGCAGACCCGTGCCTTCTTGACACCTGAGGTCAGTCCACCCTCCTGCTCAGACTGCCCAGCACAGGGTCACCTCCCAAGGGGTGGACCCCAAGATCACCTGAGCGCACAGAGGGTGCAGATGACTGGACCACACCTTTTGGTGATCTTAATGAGGTGGTCCCAGAGGAGCTCAGACATGCAATCTAGCATCCAGTTCTGGGACTCTGTCTCCTTTTCAAACGTATTCATGTAGAACAGGCATGACGAGAATGCCTTGTCAACATGGGTGATGGGGAATCAATCAGACAGGGCGCCGGGCTCAAGGCTGCAGTCACCCAAGAGTGGCTCAGCCCACCAGGCCCTAGGAAACGCCTGCACAGCCTGGAGCTCCTGGAGTCATTTCCTTCATGTCTTCTTCACTGCACTTACGTAAAGATGCCAGCCATTGGTTTGGTGATTTGGAGGGTGCCCAGTTGCCCAACAAGAAATGCAGAAGAGGCCTAGCCAGGATTTCACCAGCAGTGGAGAGTAGAGAAGATGTGGCCAGAAAAGAGTTTCCTTTCCCTCCTAAAGATGGTACTCCCTGCAGCTACTGGGGAAGCCTGCAGCATTCTCTAGGGCTCTGTGTGTTGAGAGCAGCCCCACCCTGGCCCCTTCTGAGTGCATTTCTGCTTTGTGACTTGATCCGTGAAGTCCCCTGAGATGGGCAGAGGGGATGTCCTCGAAGCTGGGGCAGAGCCTCATCCTTGAACGTGAAGGACGTTTGAAGACTGTGGCATGATCACAGGATGAGATCACAGGGAACTTGAGTTTCTCTCCTCCTCTCCCTTCACAGTTATTTCACTGAGGGAAATCCCTCCCCTGCCCAGAATGAAAACTCTAGCCAACTCTTGACTTTTCCATCACTCCAAAGTAGTTGAAAGTACATTAGTCTCCACAGTGGCAAAACAGTGTGCAAAAGCTAAATAATTAGAACAGCCAGTCCCATGTGACAGTCAAAGCTTCTAACTCCATTCAAAGTTGCAGCCATTCCCCTCGAGGGCTGGCAGGGAGGGGAGGGGTAAGAGAAACAGGAAGGTTCTTACTGAGTTGGTCCTGGTGTGAGCTGCGTCACACTCCCTGCAGAGGTTTCAAGGAGACTCTCTCTCTCTCTGTCTCCATGGGGACCTTATTTGAATTCTTCTACTCTTACCCCAGCCTGCCATCTCCAGCTATCCTCCCCTGAAGAGCCCTTCTGCTGCGCTGGATTCTGGTGGCCATGTCATCTCCTCGGCCCCGTGGGAGTCTGAAGATCTGGCTGCAGCCTCACCTCTGAGGTCCTGCTAGTTGCCACCTCTTAAACATGATCTGAGGCTCCCATGCACTCTGACCTGTGCCCACATGGGGCCCACGGGAAACACGCTGGCAAGCAAACTGTGGGTGTGCAGACGGTTCTCAGGGCTGCAGCACCTGTCCTTTGCTCTGCCCCCAAAGCAAGGCCAGCCCATCTTCCATCCTCTAGTGTTCCTTGGTGGGGCCCTGACCACAGTCCACCAGGTCCCTAACCAGAGGGGACACACACCAGGTGTCCTCAATGTATTGCCTTGAAACAGTTGTGCTGGGACTGTGATGGGGGGTGGCCATGTAGCCACCCCCACCACCCCCAAGCCACTCTCTCCAAGGAAATCCTCCTAAAGATCCCTTTACATCCTCCATGTGGTGGGGAGGTTCTAGAGTTGGGTGCATGTGTCTTCAGCTACTGACAATGCAGACCTTAGTTGGCACCTCGCTCTGGCCTATCCTGTTTGCTGTTCTTGGCGCTCCAGTGAAACTCCCCATGGGCCATCCAGTTGGGGTGCAGTGTGGCCACCCCCTTGCAGGTTCCTGCCTTGCTGGAGAGCACAGGGCCCTCCTGGCTCTTGTAAAACACTCCCCATGGTACAGAGAGGCCAGCAGTGATGTGAGGCCCAACCTCCCTCCATGGTGTTCCCAAGCAGCTCCCTTTCTGGGGTCAAGGGGTGGCAAAGACAGTGCAGCGTCCAATTTCTGACTCAAGCCGGGCCTGGCTATCGCAGCTCTGCACTGTGTGTGACAGCAAGGCAACTCACCCAGTGCCGTGGCAGTGACCGTGTCCGAGGAAGCCTCCTCACACCCTCTGTCTCAAGGACTCTGGCATTTAGCTGGACTTGCTGTAGCTCTGAGCCTTTCTGCCATTGCCATCACCTTGTCAGAAACTCAGGCCGAATCTGCACTCAGAGTTGTGCCCAGGCAGTTGAGCCAACACTTGCTCAGCGATATTGTCACATGACAAGGCACTGTCACCACTGGGCATCGTGGGTAGCGCAGTGTCGGCTGGATGGACCCGGAGGGTGTCTGTGTCATGCTAGTGCTAGTGATGGGAGCCCCGTGAGCCCATTGCCCGCCCTCCCATGCCCTCAGCAGCTGCCTGGGGACAGCCAATGGCCTGGGTGTTTCTGAGGCTACCACATGGCTTCCAGGAAACTCGAGAACCTTTCTCTCCCTTGCCTACACTCTTCACACAGGCCTGTGCTGGCCAGCGGTGGGGATCCGGCATTCCTATCTTAGGTGCAGAGAGTGACTGACTCATTGCAGGCCTGGGAGATAAGACTGATGGCCCAGCCAGCAAGATGTATGGATTTCTCAGAGGCAGTGGCCTCTGTCATTGTCCTCAGGAAATGCTGGTGATTCTGGTGGCCTGAGGTCAATGCATGTCAACGTGGCCAACTTGCCTTATAAACTTTTTTTCTGGACAATTGCGTGCACTGTCCTGTAACAGTGTCCTGTTGTTTATGATGCAGAAATAGGTGTTTTTAAAGCCTATTGATTTTGGTACTATTAATGTGGTCAGGAACTTTCTCAGTCTTTCTTGTTTGGGGTGAGCTGTGGCTTCCTAAACAGGAACCCAAGACACCCCCAAAAGCTGCTCACCAGCACTGCCAGCCTCCCTCTTACCAAGTAGCACCCGTTCAGGACATTCTGCGAAAGGCATTTGCCCAGAAGTTGGGAGGAAGGAAATGTAACATTTTGGGGCACCTACCATATGCCAGGCACCAGGCTAAACGTGTTCACACAAATTCTCTTACTAACCCTCACCATCCTTCTACAAGACAAACTAGTATCTTCATCTTGGGGTTCAAGATGAGGAAATGGAGGCTCAGAGAGGTTGAATGAATGCCGGTGCCTGGATATGAACCCCATCTGCCTGACTCCGCAACCCAGGCAAAGTCTTTCCTTGAACTTCCCAGCAGCCACTGCTTAGACACAGCCTCCACAACCATGGCTCAGCAGCAAATTGCTTCTCTGACCTCACTCAGCCTGTGTGTCCTTGTTGAGTGAGGCATTCAGGACCCTGGTCCCAAAGTGGAGAAAGTCTTTCCTACTAGGTCATAGCTACACCTGCATGTGGGTGCTGTGCCTTTTGTTTAGTGAACTTTTATCACCAGCATCCTCAGCAATGACATTTGCAGAGAAGCCAGAGCTGAGGCACCTTGGTATTCTTGGGATGTGACTTTCCTGAATGTTTAAGGGAAAATGCCCGAAGGTACAGAGAGCTTGGTTTCTAGTAAACAATAACTGTCTTGCTTTTACCCCCCTTCATTTGCTGACACATACACCAGCTGAAGAAGCAGGCATTGGAGACACCCCCAGCCTGGAAGACGAAGCTGCTGGTCACGTGACCCAAGGTCAGTGAACTGGAATTGCCTGCCATGACTTGGGGGTTGGGGGGAGGGACATGGGGTGGGCTCTGCCCTGAAAAGATCATTTGGACCTGAGCTCTAATTCACAAGTCCAGGAGATTTTAGGGAGTTGGTTCTTATCAAAGGTTGGCTACTCAGATATAGAAAGAGCCCTAGTGGTTTTTTTCTAATACCATTTCTGGGTAATTCCTAAGGCATTTAGTGTTCTGAAAGATGCTAGCCTTGTCCAGCCTGGGAGTTGAGAATGAATGTCTAACAGAAACTCTAGGCCGGGCCTGGTGGCTCACGCCTCTAATCCCAGCACTATGGGAGACCCAGGTGGGCAGATCACCTGAGGTCAGGAGTTTGAGACCAGCCTGGCCAACATGTGAAATCCTGTCTCACTACAAATAAAAAAATTAGCCGGGTGTGGTGGTAGGTGCCTATAATCCCAGCTACTCAGGAGGCTGAGGCAGGACAATCGCTCGAACCCAGGAGGTGGACGTTGCAGTGAGCCGAGATCGCATCATTGCACTCCAGCCTGGGCAACAAAAGCAAAACTCCGTCTCAAAAAAAAAAAAGAAACTCAAATATGTGTGACAGGCGATTCTCACTGCAGGCTGCCCTGTGGCTGATCCAGGAGCAAGGCCTTAACCATGTCATCCCCAAGCGATTGCTTGTAAACTTTCTTCTGTGCAGCCTTCAACCCTTATTATGATTTTCTTCTCAGGAACCAAACTGCTGTATTCAAGAAAGGCAGCTTTGTGTAATCATTTATCATAAATATCTTAAGAAAAATCCTAGAGATTCCTAATTTTAGGAAATGGGAGACCTATGGTACTGATATAATGTGGGCTGGGCTTGTTTTCTGTCATTTGCTAGATAAATGAACTTGAGAGCCTACTGTAAAATGTGGAAGCTTCTAGATTGCAGAAGGGCTGGAAAGACACTGTTCTTTTCTCCCGAGTGATGGGATCTGTCCAGTATTTAGAGCTGCCTCTGAGGCCATCTGATTCTAGGAGACTCTGCCTCGTTGAGGATATTTTGAGGCCTAACTACACATTCCTGCCCCCAGAGAGGTCACAGCCTATAGCAGGCTGATGTTTCTCATGTCACATGGCACAGAAAGGCACATTTTCGTTCTCAGGCTAACAAAGAGCTTCAAAAACTATTAGAAGGGACAGTGGCTATAAGAGAAGAACCTCAGTCAATGTGTGAAATTAACTAGGAACCTGGCTCCTGTTTCTTTTAGGTCATGTTTTTCAGCTTAGGTAAAACTAGAGGCTTTGATAAAGCATGACCTCTAGAAATCATTGCTTTTCATAAATGGAAGTGGGTTTGAGTTTTTTCTACTGATTGTTAGTGCAGGTGATGTCTACATGCCCCCAGAACATATTCCATGCAACAAAAAAAGCCCAGGTCACCGTCTTTGCTGGGAACTTGACTTTTGTGCTCACTGAATTTTAAGCTTTCTGACAGCAGCCTGGAATCATGGAGGGATAAAGTACCTATTAGTAAGATGGAAAAAGGTGTTTCAGGTTGGAGCTGCAGTCTGTTGAGAGTAAGCTATGGGAAGGCCTGTATACGAGGGGTGGACTTTTCTTCTGTAAGTGTCCAGAGACCAGGCCTCCTGAAGAGGGCATGGGGGCTTAACTTACCTGGACTACTGTGTTTACAATACTCATTTATCTTGAACTCCTCCTAACCCCTGAGAATTGCTACATTTAGTATTTGCTGAGTACTTCCTAGCATCCTAGGGAATCAATAGAACATTCTCCCAACCAGGCTGGGTGCGGTGGCTCATGTCTGTAATCCCAGCACTTTGGGAGGCCAAGGTAGGCAGATCCCTTGAGGCCAGGAGTGCAAGACTAGCCTGGCTGACATGGTGAAACCCCGTCTTTACTAAAAATACAAAAGTTAGCCAGGCATGGTGGTACACACCTGTAATCCCAGCTACATGGGAGGAGTAGGAGGCAGGAGAATTGCTTGAACCTGGGAGGTGGAGGTTGCTGTGAGCCGAGATCATGCCACTGCACTCCAGCCTGGGCGACAGAGTGAGTGAGACTCTGTTTAAAAAAAAAAAAAAAAAGAACATTCTCCTAACCTGGCTTCTTCCTCCAGGGGTGTAATTAATCATGTCAGTTTCCTCATTGATACACACACACACACACTACAATCCTGTATCCATTACTTTTCAAGGTACATTTACTATTTACGTTTGGGGTCCTTGTCTCTTTTTTAATAGTGTTTCTTAAAGTCTTGTATTATATCAGAGTACAGTAACATCCCAGTCAAGAGCACTCTAGTAAGCTCTAGGAGGAAAGCGACTTCCGGAAGGCAGTGGAGACCTGTCCTGTTGGGGCAGCATAGGGGCAGCCCCTGCCTCTGGTCAGTTCTGGCGCTCAGGCTCAGGGTTGCCTCTGGGCTGTTCTTCCCAGAGACTGACAAAGGGCTCCCATAAGGCACCTGCAGAGCCTGTGAGAAGCTGAAGTCAATGTTTTCCTGACACCAGTTGATCTGTGCAGGATCCATTGATTTAACCACCTGCTGTGTGGCATGCACTGTGGTCGATGCCAGGAACAGGAATTGGAGGGGCCCATGAGCATGGCCAGTATCACAGGCTGGAGGTGCTGCTGCGCTCTGACCGGGCCTCTTGGGGATGAGCCCATGTCAACCACCTTGCCTCCGATGGGGTCGGGCCCACAGGTTACCTTTGTGTGTCCATGACCACACCTTCCTCCCCGACCTCATCCAAATCTCTTTCTTTTCCAAGCCCCTGAATCCTTCAGGGCTGCAGGTTTTGTTTAAAGCAGAGCTGGTGAGTTGCATAGGTTGTTGCATTGGGACTAGATGGGGTGTTCAAAGAGTTGGGAGTTAAAAAACATAAAGGGTATTTATTAGGAGAACCAAGGAGTGTAATTCTCCTGTTCTTAATATGCGGCCAGGTTAATGAATGTCACGTGAATGAACCAGAAAAAAATGAAGTGTGCCCTTGATCAGCTGGGTTGGTGTGCAGCAAGCTGTGTGACCAGGGGACAGCAGTGGTCCTGAGGGCCGTCACTGTCTGCCGTGCAGAGCCCTTCCTCCCACGGGGGCCTACCTCACCTGTGCCAAGGGCTTGTCTGTGGTCAGTGACCTGGATAGATCTGAATGGGGCTTCTTTTTCGAGGAGTCTTATGGCAGGTCTCTCAGTAAAGACTCCATTCTTGATGATCACACATTTTGGATTTTCCAAATCTGTCAGAGAATGGGCTTGAGGCGGGGTTTGTGGGCACTAGTTTCACTGGTTTCATTTACCAAAAAGGGGAGCAGAAGTCAAGTATGGTGGCTCATCCCTGTAATCCCAGAGGCAAGAGAATTGCTTGAGCCCAGGAGTTCGAGACCAGCCTGAGCAACATAAGGAGACCCCGTCTCCACAAAAATGAAAAATAACATTTTAGTCAGACGTGGTGGCATGCATCTGTGGTCCCAGCTGCTTGGGAGGGTGAGATGGGAGGGTTGTTTGAGCCCTGGAGTTAAAGTTGCAATGAGCTGTGATTGCACCACTGCACTCTAGCCTGGGTGACAGAACGAGACCCTGTCTCAAAAAAAAAAAAAAAGAAAGAAAGAAAGGAAAAAAAAAACTCATGCCTGTAATCCCAGCACTTTGGGGACCGGGGTGGGCAGATCACGAGGTCAGGAGATCAAGACTATCCTGGCCAACATGGTGAAACCCCGTTTCTACTAAAAATACAAAAATTAGCCAGGTGTGGTGGCACGTGCCTGTAATCCCAGTTACTCGGGAGGCTGAGGCAGGAGAATCGCTTGAACCAGGGAGTCAGAGGTTGCAGTGAGCTGAGATCGTGCCACTGTACTCCAGCCTGGGCGACAGAGTGAGACTCTGTCTCAAACCAAAAAAAAGGGGTGGGGGGCGGGGGCAGGAGAACAGTGAGAGGTAGGGAGAGGAAAGGGGATTCTCGCTACACCCAAACCAGATACCATCTAGAGGCTAGAATCTTTGGGAGGCTCAAATTCCCTAGAAAGCAGGAGAAGCTTCTGTAGCCCTCCCGCTTTCCCAGTAGATTAAGCCCAGGGCGGCTCCAGATGTGTGACATGCTCTGTGCCCAACCAGAGCCCATCATAGGCAGAGGAATAACACCCACACCAGAAGGGCCCTCGGAGGTCACCACGTCCAAGAACCCTCTTTACAGATGAGGAAACTGAGGCCCAGAGAGGGGAGAGCCACCTAGCGAGCTGGTGGCGGCTAGACCAGGAGAGCTGTCATTCCAAGCAAGCAAAGGCAACGAGACGAGCCCAGAGCTGTGCTCCCATCTCTTTGTTAGGGGGCCTGGGATGCCCTCTCAGTGTCATTTTGTCCAGGATGATGCTCCCTCTCTTAAGCGATTAATGCGCCCTTGCTAACCTTTTGCTATCGCTGCCTCTTCAAACCAGAGGAGTTGAGAGTTCCGGGCCGGCAGAGGAAGGCGCCTGAAAGGCCCCTGGCCAATGAGATTAGCGCCCACGTCCAGCCTGGACCCTGCGGAGAGGCCTCTGGGGTCTCTGGGCCGTGCCTCGGGGAGAAAGAGCCAGAAGCTCCCGTCCCGCTGACCGCGAGCCTTCCTCAGCACCGTCCCGTTTGCCCAGCGCCTCCTCCAACAGGAGGCCCTCAGGAGCCCTCCCTGGAGTGGGGACAAAAAGGCGGGGACTGGGCCGAGAAGGGTCCGGCCTTTCCGAAGCCCGCCACCACTGCGTATCTCCACACAGAGCCTGAAAGTGGTAAGGTGGTCCAGGAAGGCTTCCTCCGAGAGCCAGGCCCCCCAGGTCTGAGCCACCAGCTCATGTCCGGCATGCCTGGGGCTCCCCTCCTGCCTGAGGGCCCCAGAGAGGCCACACGCCAACCTTCGGGGACAGGACCTGAGGACACAGAGGGCGGCCGCCACGCCCCTGAGCTGCTCAAGCACCAGCTTCTAGGAGACCTGCACCAGGAGGGGCCGCCGCTGAAGGGGGCAGGGGGCAAAGAGAGGCCGGGGAGCAAGGAGGAGGTGGATGAAGACCGCGACGTCGATGAGTCCTCCCCCCAAGACTCCCCTCCCTCCAAGGCCTCCCCAGCCCAAGATGGGCGGCCTCCCCAGACAGCCGCCAGAGAAGCCACCAGCATCCCAGGCTTCCCAGCGGAGGGTGCCATCCCCCTCCCTGTGGATTTCCTCTCCAAAGTTTCCACAGAGATCCCAGCCTCAGAGCCCGACGGGCCCAGTGTAGGGCGGGCCAAAGGGCAGGATGCCCCCCTGGAGTTCACGTTTCACGTGGAAATCACACCCAACGTGCAGAAGGAGCAGGCGCACTCGGAGGAGCATTTGGGAAGGGCTGCATTTCCAGGGGCCCCTGGAGAGGGGCCAGAGGCCCGGGGCCCCTCTTTGGGAGAGGACACAAAAGAGGCTGACCTTCCAGAGCCCTCTGAAAAGCAGCCTGCTGCTGCTCCGCGGGGGAAGCCCGTCAGCCGGGTCCCTCAACTCAAAGGTCTGTGTCTTGAGCTTCTTCGCTCCTTCCCTGGGGACCTCCCAGGCCTCCCAGGCTGCGGGCACTGCCACTGAGCTTCCAGGCCTCCCGACTCCTGCTGCTTCTGACGTTCCTAGGACGCCACTAAATCGACACCTGGGTGCAGCTGCTCCACTCCCTCGGCCTCCTCCCGTGCTCAGGCTGTGGCCGCACGCGCCCCTCACGCTTGCCCGCCACTCTGCATGTCACCAGCACCCCCGCTCCGTGCTACCCACCTTGTTTGACTCTCTGGCCACTTGATTTGTCCACAACGGCCCATCAGCCCACAGGAGGTTTGGTGGGTGCCTTCCACCGACAGGATGACGGGTGCCCTCATGGTGTCTAGAACTCTCCAACCCTCCCATGTAGGCATAAGCAGCCCCACTTTGCAGATGAGGAAACGGAGGCTCAGAGAAGTACAGTAACTTGCCGAAGGCCAATGAGTAGTAAGTGACAGAGCCAGGTTTGGGATCCAGGTAGGTTGTCTCTGAAAGACACGCCTGTCCTGCATCCCACAACGCCTCCCAGGAGGTGCTGGAGTGTGGACGCCTAACACAGAGATGTGCAGGGCACACACAGCAGGTGACACACACAGCATCCAGAGGTGGCCCAGAGCTCATGCTGTGCCTTTGGCCCAGTGCCCTGCCCCCACCCACTCTGCCTTGTGGCAGGAAGACAAGGAGCAGACACAAGATCTCCCTGGTCCACATGCCACCACCTCCCTCTGCAGAGGACAAGGGGATCCTCATGCTGGCATTGGAGGGGGTTGAGCAGGGCCCACCTTGAGCCCTCAGGAGCACGACCACAGCAGCCCTGCAGGGAGGGATTGGTGGGAGGAGAGTCCCAAGTATCAGGGAGAGGAGAGTTGGTGTCCCACAGGAGACCTCAGAGCCACAAGGCGAGCTTGTTCATAAATTTGGGACCCTTAGCATTTCACAGTTATTTGCAGAGCCCAGAAATGGATGTTACTGAAGCTCACAGTTGCAAGCATCTGTTAAATTTTTATTAGATTTTACTTTTAGGGAAAACTTTGAAATGCTATAAAGAAGCCTGTGTTTAAAAGTTAAGACAGAGGCTGGGGGCGATGGCTCACGCCTGTAATCTCAGCACTTTGGGAGGCCAAGGCAGGTGGATCATTTGAGGTTAGGAGTTCGAGACCAGCCTGGCCAACATGGTGAGACCCTGTCTCTACTAAAATTACAAAAAATTAGCTGGGCGTGGTGGCGGGCACCTGTAGTCCCAGCTACTGGGGAGGCTGAAGCAGGATAAGTGCTTGAACCCAGGAGGCAGAGGTTACAGTGAGCCAAGATCACACCACTGTACCCTAAGCCTGGGCGACAGAGTGAGACTCTGTCTCAAAAAATAAAATAAAATAAAGTTAAGAGAGAAAAAAATATATCCTATATCCTTTGTTAAATTCCAAAACAGTAGGGGACAAATAACTGACTTGACAGGTTACTACAATATTTCCTGAAATGATGTTTTCTTGAATACTGGCCTACTAGAGGTTCATAGGTGTGTTTGGATTAAAAAAGAGTTCCATGGCCCAGTGACTGGGGGAAAAAAATAAAAGACTAAAGTAAGTTAAACAGGCTTTTCTGCTGCAGGACTTGTCAGAGCCTTTAATGTACTAATGGCCATTGTGACCCTCTGAGAAGGTCACAGAGTGGGTTTCCCAAACTTACTTGATTCTACCTGCTAACATTTCCTGGAGGAAGTTTGGGAAATGCCGATTTAGCAGATTCTTTTGTTGTGCCGTGGATGGTGCTGGTTGATGTGGGCAAAACAAAGAACACGTGAGTCAGATCCGCCTGGGGCTCTTACTAAAGTGCAGGTTCCCAGGTGCCACTTTAGGCTTACAGACCCAGTTGTGGGGTAAGCCTGGGAGTCTTTTAGCAGGTGATTCTGCCACATAGTATAGTTGGAAAACCTCTGGGCATACTCATTGCTGGTCCCTCTAGAAATCCAGGTGACAATAGCCAATGAGAAGCTCCAAGAGACCCAGTTGTCCATGGGGTAGAGGGAATGTGATATTGAAACCAAAGAAGAAAATCTATGATCAGTTTTCAGCAGTGACTGTCAAGAGAAGGAGAAGGGTGAGTTAGCGCTGATGCTGGCTGACAGGTCAGCGGGTTGGTTTCACCAAGGAGTGTGATGAAGGCTGATGTTGTCTGTGGGAATGTATGATGGTAACTGGTTTGTAGCTAATTTGGGGAAGCAGTGAGAATTCGTGCCCTTTGAAGACCAGTAAGTGGCAAGAAACCCACCAGGCCTGGCTCAGGGCTGGGCTGGGCTTGGCTCGTCTCAGAGCAGCTGGGGCTGGTGGCCAAAGCCACCATTAGTGAGGGGCAGGCCCTGGGGGTACAACCAGCAACTAGGGGACAAAGACAACCCTGCCAGCCTCTCCTATTCTGGAGGCGTGTGACCAGAAATGGAGATGGGTTGGTCAGCATAAGATGGCCAGGAAGGTGGAAATCAGGACTGCTGGCAATCTAGCCACATGGGCAGGGGAGCCGGGTGGTTCCAGGCAGTTTCCAAGGCCAAGAGGGTGAGCAGGCACCTCACAGGGAATCAGGGCCAAGCCTGGCTGCAGTGTGGAGACAATGCACCCACCCCCATCCTTGGATCTTGCAGGAGGCTGGGTCCTCACTGAGCTACCAACATCCATGGCCCTGAGGCTTTTAAAACACCCATCCATGGAGTGGGGCTGGTCCCAGTGGGGTGAGGCTGACCCTGGCAGAAACAGGGCAGGAGCCTGTGGGTTAGGGAGACTGCACCTTCCTTAGATAGCCTCCATGCCATCATGTCCCCGTGACAGTTTCTGCTGCGTCCCCTCTGCATGGTCCCACCCTCGGCCAGCCTGCTGCCCCCTCTTGCCAGGTTGCGCTAATCAGTGACCCCAGTGTGCTGTGTTGATACTAACAATGCGAGGCCTAGCAGATTCAAGGGAAAAGAGAACCAACTGGGTTTCCACCAGACCCAACTAAACAAACATGGACCTATCCCAGAGAAATCCAGCTTCACCACAGCTGGCTTTCTGTGAACAGTGAAAATGGAGTGTGACAAGCATTCTTATTTTATATTTTATCAGCTCGCATGGTCAGTAAAAGCAAAGACGGGACTGGAAGCGATGACAAAAAAGCCAAGGTAAGCTGACGATGCCACGGAGCTCTGCAGCTGGTCAAGTTTACAGAGAAGCTGTGCTTTATGTCTGATTCATTCTCATATATAATGTGGGGAGTATTTGTCACTAAAGTACAGCTGTCATTTAAAGTGCTTTGTATTTTGGGGCAGGCTTTTAAAAAGTCCAGCATTTATTAGTTTTGATACTTACCCCAGGGAAGAGCAGTTGGCAGGTTCATGAAGTCATGCTCCTAATTCCAGCTTTCTTAGTGTACTTTCAGTGAGACCCTGACAGTAAATGAAGGTGTGTTTGAAAACCAAACCCAGGACAGTAAATGAAGGTGTGTTTGAAAACCAGCCCTAGGACAGTAAATGAAGCCATCTTCTCACTGCATAAACTGCACCCAGATCTTCGCCCATCCTTCTCAGTATTTCACTTCACCCATTGTTTACTGTCTCAATGACTGGGGAAATGTCTGGGGAAATGCTCCCGTAATTGCACAGTGGCGTTTTTCCTGGAAAATCCCACCATGGCTCTAGATAAGACCTATTTTTCTTAAAGGTATCTAAAATTTCCAGCATAAATTCTGTCTGAAACACCTGAATTTTAATCAGTACTGGAGCCCGGAGGGCATCTCCAGTTGCCACATAGCTCTGAGCATTCAGTGGTGTGTTGAGGGCTGCTCCCGGAAGTGCCTGCAGAGTCAGGGCTCCCCAGCCTCATCTAGTGAGGCAGTGGAAGGGCCTGTGGGGATTTGGAGAGCTGGCCTGGGTCTCTGAAGTGATAGTGACAGCTGCTTGTCAATCACGGTGCACATTTAGTGCTGGGGGCAGGGGGCAGGGAATACCAGCCTCATGCATGCATGCATTCATTTGTTCCTTCCTTCATTCATTCATTCAGTACACATGGGTACAACATCCCTGCCCTGGAGTTGCCCAGAGTCTAGGGAGGGGAAAGATCTATTACCCTGGGCCTCGGCCAGCTGGGGAGTGCTGCTGGTGGAGAGGGGCCGTGTGCAGCGAGGGAAGGAGGAGTCGTCAATACCCCCACCCCAGCTTTGCTTTCTTGTCATCAGCCCCAGGGCCCCAGCCTGTGTCCCTCCTCTCCCATTGCTACTTCATCTCCTGGGTCCTCCTTACCAAGCCTGACCACACAGAGGGCCTTGGCCGCTTCCATGGGGAATTGGAAAGCAATAAGATAGCATCCCCTAGAAGCCCAGTGAAGTCTGGGACAGGACCCTTCTCTGAGCTCTGACTTGCTCTTGGAAACACTTCGAGGCTTAGCCTCCCCACTTTGTTTCCCGAGAGTGTGACCTGTTCCCCTCCAAACACCCCCTTCTCCTCCAGGGCCATGCCCACCCGTCAAAATCCCCCACGGGCAGGACGAACTGTGGGTGTCAGTCACCATCTATCCTGCATCCTGGTTCCAGGGCCCCCCCCAGCCCCGCCTCCATAGGGACAGGCGTGCAGACACCCGTCCCTGGCTGCTTCCTCTTGTGGAATGGGTTCAAAAGTAAGCAGTGTTGTTTACACTGACAAACTGAAAAAAAAAGAAAAAGAGATAACATTGGAGGCTTGGCACAGTGGCTCATGCCTGTAATCCCAGCACTTTGGGAGGCTAAGGTGGGAGGATGTCCCCAGCCCAAGAGTTCTAGACCAGCCTGGGCAACATAGCAAGACCCCATCTCAAAAAAAAAATTTAATTGGCCAGGCAGAGGTGGGAGGATCACTTGAACCCAAAGGGTGGAGGCTGCAGTGAGCCGTGATGGCACCACTGCACTCCAGCCAGGGCAACAGAGGGAGACCCTGTCTCTAAAACAAACAAACAAACAAACAAACAAAAGAGTTAACATTGGCCAGATTAGGATTCACCAGATAGTGTTAATATTAGTTTGATTTGAGACTTTAATCAGAAAGCACATGTGTGGTGGGGGTGGGTGTAACCTAAGTCAGGTAGAATCTTTCCAACTTGGGGGGGGCACACTCCTGATTGTAGCCATATGAGTCTGTCAGTGTGGTGGAAGAGGCCATGGGTTAATGGGCAGGTAAAAAAGCACCTTGCCTGGAATTGAGTAGAAAGTAAGGCCCTTCAGACCCCGTGACACACTTGGGGACATTTTCTTGAGTAACATCCTAAGATTCATGTACCTTGATGATCTCCATCAACTTACTCATGTGAAGCACCTTTAAACCAGTCGTCTCCAAATTCAGGGGCACAGTAACATCCAACAGGCTGGAGAAAGAACGTACTAGAACTTCCATTCCTTTTTCATGTCCTCTTCTAAAAGCTTTGTCAGGGCCAGGCGCGGTGGCTCACGCCTGTAATCCCAGCACTTTGGGAGGCCGAGACGGGTGGATCACGAGGTCAGGAGATCGAGACCATCCTGGCTAACACAGTGAAACCCCATCTCTACTAAAAATACAAAAAAACGAGCCGGGCGTGGTGGTGGGCGCCTGTAGTCCCAGCTACTCGGGAGGCTGAGGCAGGAGAATGGCGTGAACCCAGGAGGCAGAGCTTGCAGTGAGCCGAGATTGCACCACTGCAGTCCAGCCTGGGCGACAGAGCGAGACTCCGTCTCAAAAAAGAAAAAGAAAAAGAAAAAGAACTGTGATTGGGGAGGACGGTCACTTTCCTGTTCTTACTGATCAGAAGGGATATTAAGGGTACCTGATTCAAACAGCCTGGAGATCACTGCTTTCAACCATTACCTGCCTTATTTATTTTTAGTTACTGTCCTTTTTTCAGTTTGTTTCCCTCCTCCATGTGCTGACTTTTATTTTGATTTTATTTATGTTTATGTTTAAGACATCCACACGTTCCTCTGCTAAAACCTTGAAAAATAGGCCTTGCCTTAGCCCCAAACACCCCACTCCTGGTAGCTCAGACCCTCTGATCCAACCCTCCAGCCCTGCTGTGTGCCCAGAGCCACCTTCCTCTCCTAAATACGTCTCTTCTGTCACTTCCCGAACTGGCAGTTCTGGAGCAAAGGAGATGAAACTCAAGGTAAGGAAACCACCTTTGAAAAGAACCAGGCTGCTCTGCTGTGGTTTGCAAATGTGGGGTTTGTTTATTTGTTTTTTAGCCTCAAAGACCTTTCTTCAAATGAGTTCTGGCATAGAAGCACCGTGTAAAATAGTTAGAATTCTGGGCAAAGGGGAAAAGAGAGCTGGGGGCCATCCCTCTCAGCACCCCACAGGCTCTCATAGCAGCAGCTCCTAAGACACCTGGTGGGACCTTGGTTTCGAAATCGCTACTCTAAGGCTGGGCACGGTGGCTCACACCTGTAATCCCAGCTCTTTAGGAGGCCGAGGAGGGTGGATCACCTGAGATCAGGAGTTCGAGACCAGCCTGGCTAACATGGCAAAACCCTGTCTCTACTAAAAATACAAAAATTAGCCGGGCGTGGTGGTATGCGTGGTGGTAATCGCAGCTACTCGGGAGGCTGAGGCACAAGGATTGCTTGAACCCCAGAGGCAGAGGTTGTAGTTAGCTCCAGCTTGGGCGACAGAGCAAGACCCTGTCGCAAAAATTGTTTAAAAAACAAACCCAAAATTGCTACTCTCATTGGGTTCCTTTGCCCATTCCTGATTTTGGCAAGAGAAATGCTTCCAGATTGCCCTGATCTGGGTAGGACAGCATCACGCCATAGCAACACTGCCCCGTGAGCTCACTGCCCCCTCAACTAGCTTGTGGTCCTTGGTTAATGTCAGTTTCTTTTTTGAGTTTGTGTTATGTCTAAGGGTCATCTGCTGGGTAACGGAACCCAGGGACTGCCCTAGTCCCTAGACTGTGCCATGCCCGACTCTGCCAGCTTTGTCAGTGATGCTGGTGCTCGCCTCCTCGGGTGCTCGCCTGGTCTGAGCACACCCAAGGAGTTCTTGAGGCCTTAGGGTTGTTTGCGAGAGAATGAAAGAACACGACCTAGCTCTCTTTAGCATCCTTGGTCAGGTTCAACACTGCCCCCAGGGGCCTCTGGTGGAGCCAACCACCATCAGCCAAATAAATCCATAATTAGAGTCAGAAAATGGATGTCTGCATATGTGTAGTGCACTAATGTCCTGCCGATGATTGACATGGAGTGGAGAGTGACCTGATCATTGCTGTGAGCTCTGCTGGCCTTGGCACAACTCATGCTGATAACTAATGCACACAGTTCCTCTGGGAGGAAATGTCCTCAGGGAACTTGGAGTTTGGGTGGGGATGTGGGTTTGTGTGCCCAGCAAGCCCTTGTGGTTGTAGCAGACACTAGTGGCATCTAGGAGGCAAAGGGTCACCCCAGTCTTAGCCACGTTTTGAGTCAAGGTGGCGGAGTGGGGCTGGTGTTGACTCTTGGTGGCAGTAACTTTTCCCAATGGTGAAAAACCCCTCTATCATGTTTCATTTACAGGGGGCTGATGGTAAAACGAAGATCGCCACACCGCGGGGAGCAGCCCCTCCAGGCCAGAAGGGCCAGGCCAACGCCACCAGGATTCCAGCAAAAACCCCGCCCGCTCCAAAGACACCACCCAGCTCTGGTAAGAAGAACGTTCTCTTGAATCTTAGAGGAAGCTGAAGCTCTCAGAGGTACAGCCTTCATTTTAGGAGGCCTTAGGCCACTGAGAATGAATAACCCCTGGCAGCTGGTCAGCAGCTTGCAGTTTACTAAGCACTGGAGTCTTCATTGCCTTCTCAGTCCTTTTGATTTCTGAGGCAAATGTTGAATCCCTACCTTTTTTTTTTTTTTTCTTTTGAGACAGAGTTTCGCTTTTGTTATCCAGGCCGGAGTGCAGTGGTGTGATCTCAGCTCACTGCATCCTCCACCTCCCAGGTTCAAGCGATTCTCCTACCTCAGCCTCCCTAGTAGCTGGGATTACAGGCACCTGCCACTATGCCCGGCTAATTTTTTGTATTTTTAGTAGAGACAGGGTTTCACCATGTTGGCCAGGCTGGTCTCGAACGCCTGACCTCAGGTGATCCACCTGCCTCGGCCTCCCAAAGTGCTGGGATTACAGGCATGAGCCACCACTCCCAGCCTGAATCCTCACTTTTTATCAATGAAGAAATTGAGGCTGATTCTGCAGCATGATAAAAAAAAATACAGAAAAAGGAAAAAAAAGAAAGAAATCGAGCCTCTGAGAGTTTGCTTGACTGAGTCTAACCAGCTCATTTTAAACCCGAGGAAAATGCAGTCACATGACTACTAAGTGGCAGCTCTCGGAGCCTCTCTGGCCCCAAGTCCAGGGTTCCATAGAGGCAGCCCCAGCATGGCATGTTTTCAGTCCCCAAATGAGACTCTGGAGACAAATGTCTCTGGAGACAGAGCAGCAGCCTGGATAAGTCACAATGGGTGACGTCACTCAGGGCTCAACCCCTGGGCAGCTTAACTTGCTAGGGACGTTAGGAGTCTGCTGCAAAACCTGAGGGTCTTAGCTGAGCAGTCACAGGCTGGGCCCGTTGCCCTGGGCTCCTGTGAGTAAAACCCAGTCAATTTTGAGTACCCAGTAAGGCATCCATTGAGTTATTTTGCAGCCAGGAGTGCTATTAAGAACAGTCGCGGCTGGGCGTGGTGGCTCATGCCTGTAATCCCAGCACTTTGGGAGGCCAAGGTGGGCGGATCACCTGAGGTCAGGAGTTCGAGACCAGCTTGGCCAACATGGCAAAACCCCGTCTCTAATAAAAATACAAAATAATTAGCTGGGCGTGGTGGCGGGCGCCTGTAATCCCAGCTTCTCAGGAGGGTGAGGAAGGAGAATCACTTGAACCCAGGAGGCAGAGGTTGCAGTGAGCTGAGATCGCACCATTGCACTCCAGCCTGGATGACAAAAGTGAGATTCCTTCTCAAAAAAAAAAAAAAAAAAACAGTCGTCCTCTTTGGGGATTAGGGACAGCCTGCCTGCCTGCCCGAGCACTTCTCTCTTCCATTGCCCCAGTGAAGTATTCCAGGCCCCTGGGTTTAGACTCTGCACCATGTAGGGGTGTCTGACCTGCACTTGCTCCTTGGTGGCACGGGCAGCCTATGGCACTTGCTGCGGGCTGTGACCAAAGCCTGGCCTGGATCTTGGATCTTGGTGACTCTGCTTCTCCCTGGCCTGAGGGAGCTGCCCAGAGCCTGCCCACCACCTGCTGCGTGTCTTTGCGGTGGCATTTCTCGCACACATGCCGTGCAGTGGCACCCCCAAGGATGGCCATTCACTAAGGCCCATTGTTTTTGTCTTTTCGCTTCGTGTTTTCTGGCCTGGTGTTTTTCTCATATACATGTGATCCAGGGATAATTCCCAGAATTTTGACAGGATTTTAAGTAGCGTTTGGATCCTGCTGTTTTTTTTTCACTTAACATCGGGCCAGTTGACTCACACTCTGTTTTTTGTTGTTGTTTTTTTGAGACGGAGTCTCACTGTGTCACCCAGGCTGAAGTGCAGTGGCACAATCTTGGCATACTGCAACCTCTGCTTCCCAAATTCAAGCAGTTTTCCTGCCTCAGCCTCCTGAGTAGCTGGGACTACAGGCACAGGCCACCACGCCCTGCTAATTTTTGTATTTTTAGTAAAGACAGGGTTTCACCATTTTGGCCAGCCTAGTCTCGAACTCCTGACCTCAAGTGATCCGCCCACCTCGGCCTCCCAAAGTGCTGGGATTACAGGGGACTCACACTTTGTAACAACCTGAAACAACGTGATGCATTTCCCTTTGGGTCTTACCTGCTCTTCGGTGGCTGCCTGCAGGTGGAGAGACCCTCCCCCTTGGGCCCCTCGACCTTGTTTCAGAATGGGGCCCCTGCTGGGCCAGCTGTGGGTGCCTGCCACGTGAAGGACTCATTAAGGCCCTGTTTAAGCCTGATGATAATAAGGCTTTCGTGGATTTTTCTCTTTAAGCGACTAAGCAAGTCCAGAGAAGACCACCCCCTGCAGGGCCCAGATCTGAGAGAGGTACTCGGGAGCCTACTTCGCTGGGAGCAGCCTCCCTTTGCGTGTGTGGCCATTCACTGGCTTGTGTTTCTAGAGCCGGGAGGACCCTTTTCTGCAATGCAGGGTTCACACAGGGTTCGCAGCCTGAAGATGGAGCAGTCCGAATTCTCTTCCCTGTGCAGTTTGCGCAGCTGTGTTTGTCTGATGGGCTTTCTAATCCTGTGTGCTCTCCTTGACTTCAGGGACAATGGCATTACAGGCATGAGCCACCATGCCTGGCTGTCTCCCTATGTTTCAGATGAAGACATAGGCTTAAGGAGGTCAGGTGACTTGCCCACGACCACTCTGTAAATAAGAGGCATGAAAAGTATTTGGAGCCACCACCACCAAGCCCACTGGTCACCCTGGGTCTCTGAAGTCAGGGAGGCAGGAGGATGGGAGGTCTGAGGAGGCAGAGAGGCTGAGCCTGGAGGCCCTGGAGGCCGAGGCCCCATCTGTTGTTTCCTTATGTGGAAAATAAGAGGCTTCGTTTGTCCTATTGCCACAGAGCGTACTACTTCAGGAACATCCAAGACATGGAAATCCGCAGGGCACGGTGGCTCACGTCTATAATCCCGGCACTTTGGGAGGTTGAGGTGGGAGAATCGCTTGAGGCCAGAAGTTCAAGACCAGCCTGAGCAACATAGTCAGACCCCGTCTCTATAAAAAACATTATTTTTAAAAAAGACATGGAAGTCAAATTCTAAAAACTGGTGCTGGCTGGGTGCGGTGGCTCATGCCTATAATCCCAGCACTTTGGGAGGCCGAGGCGGGTGGATCACCTGAGGTCAGGAGTTCAAGACCAGCCTGGCCAACATGGTAAAACCTCTACTAAAGAAATCTTTACTGAAAATACAAAAATCCAGTCTCTACTAAAATAAGTCTCTACTAAAAATACAAAAATTAGCCAGGCGTGGTGCTGCACACCTGTAATATCAGCTACTCGGGAGGCTGAGGCAGGAGACTCGCTTGATCCCATGCAGCGGAGGTTGCAGTGAGCCGAGATCACGCCATTGCACTCCAGCCTGGGCATCAGAATAAGACTCCGTCTCAAAAAAAAAACCACAAAAAAACAAAACAACAACAAAAGAAAACTAGTGCTTATTCGTCACTGGCCAAGCTGCCCATTGGCTACATGGGTGCTTCAAAGAGCTGCCCTTCTCCAGGTCTGGCCAGCAGGTATGTGTTACAGCAAATGCCTGGGGCAGCGGCAGGGGCATTGCTGCGGGAAGCTTCTGGACTTGCAGGAAAGCTAAGTTCTCAGACTGCAGGGGAGCTAAGCACACCTCGGCACAGGGTGAGGCCTGCGGTTCTCAGACTTCAGTCTTTGTGGAGCTTGAGAAAAATGAGGCTTTGCAGGTCCCACCCCTAGAGATTCTGCTCTATCCACTCTTGAAGGGGATCGAGAAATTTGCATTTTGCAACTCCCACTTTCCTCCTTGAAAGCTCCGGAGATTCTGACGCAGGGTTCCGTGGGCCACACTTTGGAAAATACAGACCCATGAGATAGAATACCAGACTGTTGAAGTGTAACGGGGGCCTGGGAAGTGCAGTAACAGAAGCAAGTTTGAGGGTAAAGGACACCCAGAGGAGGGAGGGACAGCATCTGCATGGAGAGGAGAAGAGACCCCCCAGCAGCTTCCAGGGTGTTGGAAGGGTGCGCTAGTAACTGCTATGCATGGCAGGTGGGGAACTGTACGTCAGGGCACAGCAGCATGAAGCGGTATGGCTCGTGTGGACAGCTAGGGACAGGCAGGCGTGGAGCAGGCATCCTGTTCTGAAGGCCAAATCCCACAGAGGAGCCAGGGTGCTGGCAGGAGCCCTGAACTAGCCGAACAGCTGAACAGCTGAACATTCACCCTGTGGGGAAAGGGTCAGAAGCGTCCAGGCTTGAGGGCACAGCTGGGTCTCGTCACTGCATCACCCTTATTTAGGATAAAGGCCCTGAAGAATTGTATTAGAGGTTGGCAAAGCATATCTACCACCTCCTGGAGCCACGCTGGCCGCAGGGATTATAATTATTTCCATTTTCAAATTAAGGCCTCTGAGCTCAGAGAGGGGAAGTTACTTGTCTGAGGCCACACAGCTTGTTGGAGCCCATCTCTTGACCCAAAGACTGTGGAGCCGAGTTGGCCACCTCTCTGGGAGCGGGTATTGGATGGTGGTTGATGGTTTTCCATTGCTTTCCTGGGAAAGGGGTGTCTCTGTCCCTAAGCAAAAAGGCAGGGAGGAAGAGATGCTTCCCCAGGGCAGCCGTCTGCTGTAGCTGCGCTTCCAACCTGGCTTCCACCTGCCTAACCCAGTGGTGAGCCTGGGAATGGACCCACGGGACAGGCAGCCCCCAGGGCCTTTTCTGACCCCACCCACTCGAGTCCTGGCTTCACTCCCTTCCTTCCTTCCCAGGTGAACCTCCAAAATCAGGGGATCGCAGCGGCTACAGCAGCCCCGGCTCCCCAGGCACTCCCGGCAGCCGCTCCCGCACCCCGTCCCTTCCAACCCCACCCACCCGGGAGCCCAAGAAGGTGGCAGTGGTCCGTACTCCACCCAAGTCGCCGTCTTCCGCCAAGAGCCGCCTGCAGACAGCCCCCGTGCCCATGCCAGACCTGAAGAATGTCAAGTCCAAGATCGGCTCCACTGAGAACCTGAAGCACCAGCCGGGAGGCGGGAAGGTGAGAGTGGCTGGCTGCGCGTGGAGGTGTGGGGGGCTGCGCCTGGAGGGGTAGGGCTGTGCCTGGAAGGGTAGGGCTGCGCCTGGAGGTGCGCGGTTGAGCGTGGAGTCGTGGGACTGTGCATGGAGGTGTGGGGCTCCCCGCACCTGAGCACCCCCGCATAACACCCCAGTCCCCTCTGGACCCTCTTCAAGGAAGTTCAGTTCTTTATTGGGCTCTCCACTACACTGTGAGTGCCCTCCTCAGGCGAGAGAACGTTCTGGCTCTTCTCTTGCCCCTTCAGCCCCTGTTAATCGGACAGAGATGGCAGGGCTGTGTCTCCACGGCCGGAGGCTCTCATAGTCAGGGCACCCACAGCGGTTCCCCACCTGCCTTCTGGGCAGAATACACTGCCACCCATAGGTCAGCATCTCCACTCGTGGGCCATCTGCTTAGGTTGGGTTCCTCTGGATTCTGGGGAGATTGGGGGTTCTGTTTTGATCAGCTGATTCTTCTGGGAGCAAGTGGGTGCTCGCGAGCTCTCCAGCTTCCTAAAGGTGGAGAAGCACAGACTTCGGGGGCCTGGCCTGGATCCCTTTCCCCATTCCTGTCCCTGTGCCCCTCGTCTGGGTGCGTTAGGGCTGACATACAAAGCACCACAGTGAAAGAACAGCAGTATGCCTCCTCACTAGCCAGGTGTGGGCGGGTGGGTTTCTTCCAAGGCCTCTCTGTGGCCGTGGGTAGCCACCTCTGTCCTGCACCGCTGCAGTCTTCCCTCTGTGTGTGCTCCTGGTAGCTCTGCGCATGCTCATCTTCTTATAAGAACACCATGGCAGCTGGGCGTAGTGGCTCACGCCTATAATCCCAGCACTTTGGGAGGCTGAGGCAGGCAGATCACGAGGTCAGGAGTTCGAGACCAACCTGACCAACAGGGTGAAACCTCGTCTCTACTAAAAATACAAAAATACCTGGGCGTGGTGGTGGTGCGCGCCTATAATCCCAGCTACTCAGGAGGCTGAGGCAGGAGAATCGCTTGAACCCAGGAGGCAGAGGTTGCAGTGAGCCGAGATAGTGCCACTGCACTCCAGTTTGAGCAACAGAGCGAGACTCTGTCTCAAAACAAAATAAAACAAACCAAAAAAACCCACCATGGCTTAGGGCCCAGCCTGATGACCTCATTTTTCACTTAGTCACCTCTCTAAAGGCCCTGTCTCCAAATAGAGTCACATTCTAAGGTACGGGGGTGTTGGGGAGGGGGGTTAGGGCTTCAACATGTGAATTTGCGGGGACCACAATTCAGCCCAGGACCCCGCTCCCGCCACCCAGCACTGGGGAGCTGGGGAAGGGTGAAGAGGAGGCTGGGGGTGAGAAGGACCACAGCTCACTCTGAGGCTGCAGATGTGCTGGGCCTTCTGGGCACTGGGCCTCGGGGAGCTAGGGGGCTTTCTGGAACCCTGGGCCTGCGTGTCAGCTTGCCTCCCCCACGCAGGCGCTCTCCACACCATTGAAGTTCTTATCACTTGGGTCTGAGCCTGGGGCATTTGGACGGAGGGTGGCCACCAGTGCACATGGGCACCTTGCCTCAAACCCTGCCACCTCCCCCCACCCAGGATCCCCCCTGCCCCCGAACAAGCTTGTGAGTGCAGTGTCACATCCCATCGGGATGGAAATGGACGGTCGGGTTAAAAGGGACGCATGTGTAGACCCTGCCTCTGTGCATCAGGCCTCTTTTGAGAGTCCCTGCGTGCCAGGCGGTGCACAGAGGTGGAGAAGACTCGGCTGTGCCCCAGAGCACCTCCTCTCATCGAGGAAAGGACAGACAGTGGCTCCCCTGTGGCTGTGGGGACAAGGGCAGAGCTCCCTGGAACACAGGAGGGAGGGAAGGAAGAGAACATCTCAGAATCTCCCTCCTGATGGCAAACGATCCGGGTTAAATTAAGGTCCGGCCTTTTCCTGCTCAGGCATGTGGAGCTTGTAGTGGAAGAGGCTCTCTGGACCCTCATCCACCACAGTGGCCTGGTTAGAGACCTTGGGGAAATAACTCACAGGTGACCCAGGGCCTCTGTCCTGTACCGCAGCTGAGGGAAACTGTCCTGCGCTTCCACTGGGGACAATGCGCTCCCTCGTCTCCAGACTTTCCAGTCCTCATTCGGTTCTCGAAAGTCGCCTCCAGAAGCCCCATCTTGGGACCACCGTGACTTTCATTCTCCAGGGTGCCTGGCCTTGGTGCTGCCCAAGACCCCAGAGGGGCCCTCACTGGCCTTTCCTGCCTTTTCTCCCATTGCCCACCCATGCACCCCCATCCTGCTCCAGCACCCAGACTGCCATCCAGGATCTCCTCAAGTCACATAACAAGCAGCACCCACAAGGTGCTCCCTTCCCCCTAGCCTGAATCTGCTGCTCCCCGTCTGGGGTTCCCCGCCCATGCACCTCTGGGGGCCCCTGGGTTCTGCCATACCCTGCCCTGTGTCCCATGGTGGGGAATGTCCTTCTCTCCTTATCTCTTCCCTTCCCTTAAATCCAAGTTCAGTTGCCATCTCCTCCAGGAAGTCTTCCTGGATTCCCCTCTCTCTTCTTAAAGCCCCTGTAAACTCTGACCACACTGAGCATGTGTCTGCTGCTCCCTAGTCTGGGCCATGAGTGAGGGTGGAGGCCAAGTCTCATGCATTTTTGCAGCCCCCACAAGACTGTGCAGGTGGCCGGCCCTCATTGAATGCGGGGTTAATTTAACTCAGCCTCTGTGTGAGTGGATGATTCAGGTTGCCAGAGACAGAACCCTCAGCTTAGCATGGGAAGTAGCTTCCCTGTTGACCCTGAGTTCATCTGAGGTTGGCTTGGAAGGTGTGGGCACCATTTGGCCCAGTTCTTACAGCTCTGAAGAGAGCAGCAGGAATGGGGCTGAGCAGGGAAGACAACTTTCCATTGAAGGCCCCTTTCAGGGCCAGAACTGTCCCTCCCACCCTGCAGCTGCCCTGCCTCTGCCCATGAGGGGTGAGAGTCAGGCGACCTCATGCCAAGTGTAGAAAGGGGCAGATGGGAGCCCCAGGTTATGACGTCACCATGCTGGGTGGAGGCAGCACGTCCAAATCTACTAAAGGGTTAAAGGAGAAAGGGTGACTTGACTTTTCTTGAGATATTTTGGGGGACGAAGTGTGGAAAAGTGGCAGAGGACACAGTCACAGCCTCCCTTAAATGCCAGGAAAGCCTAGAAAAATTGTCTGAAACTAAACCTCAGCCATAACAAAGACCAACACATGAATCTCCAGGAAAAAAGAAAAAGAAAAATGTCATACAGGGTCCATGCACAAGAGCCTTTAAAATGACCCGCTGAAGGGTGTCAGGCCTCCTCCTCCTGGACTGGCCTGAAGGCTCCACGAGCTTTTGCTGAGACCTTTGGGTCCCTGTGGCCTCATGTAGTACCCAGTATGCAGTAAGTGCTCAATAAATGTTTGGCTACAAAAGAGGCAAAGCTGGCGGAGTCTGAAGAATCCCTCAACCGTGCCGGAACAGATGCTAACACCAAAGGGAAAAGAGCAGGAGCCAAGTCACGTTTGGGAACCTGCAGAGGCTGAAAACTGCCGCAGATTGCTGCAAATCATTGGGGGAAAAACGGAAAACGTCTGTTTTCCCCTTTGTGCTTTTCTCTGTTTTCTTCTTTGTGCTTTTCTCTGTTTTCAGGATTTGCTACAGTGAACATAGATTGCTTTGGGGCCCCAAATGGAATTATTTTGAAAGGAAAATGCAGATAATCAGGTGGCCGCACTGGAGCACCAGCTGGGTAGGGGTAGAGATTGCAGGCAAGGAGGAGGAGCTGGGTGGGGTGCCAGGCAGGAAGAGCCCGTAGGCCCCGCCGATCTTGTGGGAGTCGTGGGTGGCAGTGTTCCCTCCAGACTGTAAAAGGGAGCACCTGGCGGGAAGAGGGAATTCTTTTAAACATCATTCCAGTGCCCGAGCCTCCTGGACCTGTTGTCATCTTGAGGTGGGCCTCCCCTGGGTGACTCTAGTGTGCAGCCTGGCTGAGACTCAGTGGCCCTGGGTTCTTACTGCTGACACCTACCCTCAACCTCAACCACTGCGGCCTCCTGTGCACCCTGATCCAGTGGCTCATTTTCCACTTTCAGTCCCAGCTCTATCCCTATTTGCAGTTTCCAAGTGCCTGGTCCTCAGTCAGCTCAGACCCAGCCAGGCCAGCCCCTGGTTCCCACATCCCCTTTGCCAAGCTCATCCCCGCCCTGTTTGGCCTGCGGGAGTGGGAGTGTGTCCAGACACAGAGACAAAGGACCAGCTTTTAAAACATTTTGTTGGGGCCAGGTGTGGTGGCTCACACCTAATCCCAACACCTGGGGAGGCCAAGGCAGAAGGATCACTTGAGTCCAGGAGTTCAAGACCAGCCTGGGCAACATAGGGAGACCCTGTCTCTACAATTTTTTTTTTAATTAGCTGGGCCTGTTGGCACTCTCCTGTAGTTCCAGCTACTCTAGAGGCTGAGGTGGGAGGACTGCTTGAGCCTGGGAGGTCAGGGCTGCAATGAGCCATGTTCACACCACTGAACGCCAGCCTGGGCGAGACCCTGTATCAAAAAAGTAAAGTAAAATGAATCCTGTACGTTATATTAAGGTGCCCCAAATTGTACTTAGAAGGATTTCATAGTTTTAAATACTTTTGTTATTTAAAAAATTAAATGACTGCAGCATATAAATTAGGTTCTTAATGGAGGGGAAAAAGAGTACAAGAAAAGAAATAAGAATCTAGAAACAAAGATAAGAGCAGAAATAAACCAGAAAACACAACCTTGCACTCCTAACTTAAAAAAAAAAATGAAGAAAACACAACCAGTAAAACAACATATAACAGCATTAAGAGCTGGCTCCTGGCTGGGCGCGGTGGCGCATGCCTGTAATCCCAACACTTTGGGAGGCCGATGCTGGAGGATCACTTGAGACCAGGAGTTCAAGGTTGCAGTGAGCTATGATCATACCACTACACCCTAGCCTGGGCAACACAGTGAGACTGAGACTCTATTAAAAAAAAAATGCTGGTTCCTTCCTTATTTCATTCCTTTATTCATTCATTCAGACAACATTTATGGGGCACTTCTGAGCACCAGGCTCTGTGCTAAGAGCTTTTGCCCCCAGGGTCCAGGCCAGGGGACAGGGGCAGGTGAGCAGAGAAACAGGGCCAGTCACAGCAGCAGGAGGAATGTAGGATGGAGAGCTTGGCCAGGCAAGGACATGCAGGGGGAGCAGCCTGCACAAGTCAGCAAGCCAGAGAAGACAGGCAGACCCTTGTTTGGGACCTGTTCAGTGGCCTTTGAAAGGACAGCCCCCACCCGGAGTGCTGGGTGCAGGAGCTGAAGGAGGATAGTGGAACACTGCAACGTGGAGCTCTTCAGAGCAAAAGCAAAATAAACAACTGGAGGCAGCTGGGGCAGCAGAGGGTGTGTGTTCAGCACTAAGGGGTGTGAAGCTTGAGCGCTAGGAGAGTTCACACTGGCAGAAGAGAGGTTGGGGCAGCTGCAAGCCTCTGGACATCGCCCGACAGGACAGAGGGTGGTGGACGGTGGCCCTGAAGAGAGGCTCAGTTCAGCTGGCAGTGGCCGTGGGAGTGCTGAAGCAGGCAGGCTGTCGGCATCTGCTGGGGACGGTTAAGCAGGGGTGAGGGCCCAGCCTCAGCAGCCCTTCTTGGGGGGTCGCTGGGAAACATAGAGGAGAACTGAAGAAGCAGGGAGTCCCAGGGTCCATGCAGGGCGAGAGAGAAGTTGCTCATGTGGGGCCCAGGCTGCAGGATCAGGAGAACTGGGGACCCTGTGACTGCCAGCGGGGAGAAGGGGGTGTGCAGGATCATGCCCAGGGAAGGGCCCAGGGGCCCAAGCATGGGGGGGCCTGGTTGGCTCTGAGAAGATGGAGCTAAAGTCACTTTCTCGGAGGATGTCCAGGCCAATAGTTGGGATGTGAAGACGTGAAGCAGCACAGAGCCTGGAAGCCCAGGATGGACAGAAACCTACCTGAGCAGTGGGGCTTTGAAAGCCTTGGGGCGGGGGGTGCAATATTCAAGATGGCCACAAGATGGCAATAGAATGCTGTAACTTTCTTGGTTCTGGGCCGCAGCCTGGGTGGCTGCTTCCTTCCCTGTGTGTATTGATTTGTTTCTCTTTTTTGAGACAGAGTCTTGCTGGGTTGCCCAGGCTGGAGTGCAGTGGTGCGATCATAGCTCACTGCAGCCTTGAAGTCCTGAGCTCAAGAGATCCTTCCACCTCAGCCTCCTGAGTAGTTGGGACCACAGGCTTGCACCACAGTGCCCAACTAATTTCTTATATTTTTTGTAGAGATGGGGTTTCACTGTGTCGCCCAGGATGGTCTTGAACTCCTGGGCTCAAGTGATCCTCCTGCCTCAGCCTCGCAAATTGCTGGGATTACAGGTGTGAGCCACCATGCCCGACCTTCTCTTTTTAAGGGCGTGTGTGTGTGTGTGTGTGTGTGGGCGCACTCTCGTCTTCACCTTCCCCCAGCCTTGCTCTGTCTCTACCCAGTCACCTCTGCCCATCTCTCCGATCTGTTTCTCTCTCCTTTTACCCCTCTTTCCTCCCTCCTCATACACCACTGACCATTATAGAGAACTGAGTATTCTAAAAATACATTTTATTTATTTATTTTGAGACAGAGTCTCACTCTGTCACCCAGGCTGGAGTGCAGTGGTGCAATCTCGGCTCACTGCAACCTCCGCCTCCCAGGTTGAAGCAACTCTCCTGCCTCAGCCTCCCTAGTAGCTGGGATTACAAGCACACACCACCATGCCTAGCAAATTTTTATATTTTTAGTAGAGGAGGGGTGTCACCATGTTTGCCAAGCTGGTCTCAAACTCCTGGCCTCAGGTGATCTGCCTACCTTGGTCTCCCAAAGTGCTGGGATTACAGGTGTGAGCCACCACGCCTGCCCTTAAAAATACATTATATTTAATAGCAAAGCCCCAGTTGTCACTTTAAAAAGCATCTATGTAGAACATTTATGTGGAATAAATACAGTGAATTTGTACGTGGAATCGTTTGCCTCTCCTCAATCAGGGCCAGGGATGCAGGTGAGCTTGGGCTGAGATGTCAGACCCCACAGTAAGTGGGGGGCAGAGCCAGGCTGGGACCCTCCTCTAGGACAGCTCTGTAACTCTGAGACCCTCCAGGCATCTTTTCCTGTACCTCAGTGCTTCTGAAAAATCTGTGTGAATCAAATCATTTTAAAGGAGCTTGGGTTCATCACTGTTTAAAGGACAGTGTAAATAATTCTGAAGGTGACTCTACCCTGTTATTTGATCTCTTCTTTGGCCAGCTGACTTAACAGGACATAGACAGGTTTTCCTGTGTCAGTTCCTAAGCTGATCACCTTGGACTTGAAGAGGAGGCTTGTGTGGGCATCCAGTGCCCACCCCGGGTTAAACTCCCAGCAGAGTATTGCACTGGGCTTGCTGAGCCTGGTGAGGCAAAGCACAGCACAGCGAGCACCAGGCAGTGCTGGAGACAGGCCAAGTCTGGGCCAGCCTGGGAGCCAACTGTGAGGCACGGACGGGGCTGTGGGGCTGTGGGGCTGCAGGCTTGGGGCCAGGGAGGGAGGGCTGGGCTCTTTGGAACAGCCTTGAGAGAACTGAACCCAAACAAAACCAGATCAAGGTCTAGTGAGAGCTTAGGGCTGCTTTGGGTGCTCCAGGAAATTGATTAAACCAAGTGGACACACACCCCCAGCCCCACCTCACCACAGCCTCTCCTTCAGGGTCAAACTCTGACCACAGACATTTCTCCCCTGACTAGGAGTTCCCTGGATCAAAATTGGGAGCTTGCAACACATCGTTCTCTCCCTTGATGGTTTTTGTCAGTGTCTATCCAGAGCTGAAGTGTAATATATATGTTACTGTAGCTGAGAAATTAAATTTCAGGATTCTGATTTCATAATGACAACCATTCCTCTTTTCTCTCCCTTCTGTAAATCTAAGATTCTATAAACGGTGTTGACTTAATGTGACAATTGGCAGTAGTTCAGGTCTGCTTTGTAAATACCCTTGTGTCTATTGTAAAATCTCACAAAGGCTTGTTGCCTTTTTTGTGGGGTTAGAACAAGAAAAAGCCACATGGAAAAAAAATTTCTTTTTTGTTTTTTTGTTTGCTTGTTTTTTTGAGACAGAGTTTCACTCTGTCGCCCAGGCTGGAGTGCAGTGGTGCGATCTCCGCCCACTGCAAGCTCCACCTCCCGGGTTCATGCTATTCTCCTGTCTCAGCCTCCCAAGTAGCTGGGACTGCAGGTGCCCGCCACCACACCTGGCTAATTTTTTTGTATTTTTAGTAGAGACGGGGTTTCACCGTGTTAGCCAGGATGGTCTCAATCTCCTGACCTCGTCATCTGCCTGCCTCGGCCTCCCAAAGTGCTGAGATTACAGGCGTGAGCCACCGTGCCCGGCCAGAAAAAAACATTTCTAAGTATGTGGCAGATACTGAATTATTGCTTAATGTCCTTTGATTCATTTGTTTAATTTCTTTAATGGATTAGTACAGAAAACAAAGTTCTCTTCCTTGAAAAACTGGTAAGTTTTCTTTGTCAGATAAGGAGAGTTAAATAACCCATGACATTTCCCTTTTTGCCTCGGCTTCCAGGAAGCTCAAAGTTAAATGTAATGATCACTCTTGTAATTATCAGTGTTGATGCCCTTCCCTTCTTCTAATGTTACTCTTTACATTTTCCTGCTTTATTATTGTGTGTGTTTTCTAATTCTAAGCTGTTCCCACTCCTTTCTGAAAGCAGGCAAATCTTCTAAGCCTTATCCACTGAAAAGTTATGAATAAAAAATGATCGTCAAGCCTACAGGTGCTGAGGCTACTCCAGAGGCTGAGGCCAGAGGACCACTTGAGCCCAGGAATTTGAGACCTGGGCTGGGCAGCATAGCAAGACTCTATCTCCATTAAAACTATTTTTTTTTATTTAAAAAATAATCCGCAAAGAAGGAGTTTATGTGGGATTCCTTAAAATCGGAGGGTGGCATGAATTGATTCAAAGACTTGTGCAGAGGGCGACAGTGACTCCTTGAGAAGCAGTGTGAGAAAGCCTGTCCCACCTCCTTCCGCAGCTCCAGCCTGGGCTGAGGCACTGTCACAGTGTCTCCTTGCTGGCAGGAGAGAATTTCAACATTCACCAAAAAGTAGTATTGTTTTTATTAGGTTTATGAGGCTGTAGCCTTGAGGACAGCCCAGGACAACTTTGTTGTCACATAGATAGCCTGTGGCTACAAACTCTGAGATCTAGATTCTTCTGTGGCTGCTTCTGACCTGAGAAAGTTGCGGAACCTCAGCGAGCCTCACATGGCCTCCTTGTCCTTAACGTGGGGACGGTGGGCAAGAAAGGTGATGTGGCACTAGAGATTTATCCATCTCTAAAGGAGGAGTGGATTGTACATTGAAACACCAGAGAAGGAATTACAAAGGAAGAATTTGAGTATCTAAAAATGTAGGTCAGGCGCTCCTGTGTTGATTGCAGGGCTATTCACAATAGCCAAGATTTGGAAGCAACCCAAGTGTCCATCAACAGACAAATGGATAAAGAAAATGTGGTGCATATACACAATGGAATACTATTCAGCCATGAAAAAGAATGAGAATCTGTCATTTGAAACAACATGGATGGAACTGGAGGACATTATGTTAAGTGAAATAAGCCAGACAGAAGGACAGACTTCACATGTTCTCACACATTTGTGGGAGCTAAAAATTAAACTCATGGAGATAGAGAGTAGAAGGATGGTTACCAGAGGCTGAGGAGGGTGGAGGGGAGCAGGGAGAAAGTAGGGATGGTTAATGGGTACAAAAACGTAGTTAGCATGCATAGATCTAGTATTGGATAGCACAGCAGGGTGACGACAGCCAACAGTAATTTATAGTACATTTAAAAACAACTAAAAGAGTGTAATTGGACTGGCTAACATGGTGAAACCCCGTCTCTACTAAAAATACAAAAATTAGCTGGGCATGGTGGCTCACGCCTGTAATCCCAGCACTTTGGGAGGCCGAGGCGGGCCGATCACGAGGTCAGGAGATCGAGACCATCCTAGCTAACATGGTGAAACCCCGTCTCTACTACAAATACAAAAAAAAGAAAAAATTAGCCGGGCATGGTGGTGGGCGCCTGTAGTCCCAGCTACTCGGGAGGCTGAGGCAGGAGAATGGCGTGAACCCGGGAGGCGGAGCTTGCAGTGAGCCGAGATCGCGCCACTGCACTCCAGCCTGGGCGACAAGGCAAGATTCTATCTCAAAAAAATAAAAATAAAATAAAATAAAATAATAAAATAAAATAAAATAAAATAAAATAAATAAAATAAAATAAAATGTATAATTGGAATGTTTATAACACAAGAAATGATAAATGCTTGAGGTGATAGATACCCCATTCACCGTGATGTGATTATTGCACAATGTATGTCTGTATCTAAATATCTCATGTACCCCACAAGTATATACACCTACTATGTACCCATATAAATTTAAAATTAAAAAATTATAAAACAAAAATAAATAAGTAAATTAAAATGTAGGCTGGACACCGTGGTTCACGCCTGTAATCCCAGTGCTTTGTGAGGCTGAGGTGAGAGAATCACTTGAGCCCAGGAGTTTGAGACCGGCCTGGGTGACATAGCGAGACCCCATCATCACAAAGAATTTTTAAAAATTAGCTGGGCGTGGTAGCACATACCGGTAGTTCCAGCTACTTGGGAGACCGAGGCAGGAGGATTGCTTGAGCCCAGGAGTTTAAGGCTGCAGTGAGCTACGATGGCGCCACTGCATTCCAGCCTGGGTGACAGAGTGAGAGCTTGTCTCTATTTTAAAAATAATAAAAAGAATAAATAAAAATAAATTAAAATGTAAATATGTGCATGTTAGAAAAAATACACCCATCAGCAAAAAGGGGGTAAAGGAGCGATTTCAGTCATAATTGGAGAGATGCAGAATAAGCCAGCAATGCAGTTTCTTTTATTTTGGTCAAAAAAAATAAGCAAAACAATGTTGTAAACACCCAGTGCTGGCAGCAATGTGGTGAGGCTGGCTCTCTCACCAGGGCTCACAGGGAAAACTCATGCAACCCTTTTAGAAAGCCATGTGGAGAGTTGTACCGAGAGGTTTTAGAATATTTATAACTTTGACCCAGAAATTCTATTCTAGGACTCTGTGTTATGAAAATAACCCATCATATGGAAAAAGCTCCTTTCAGAAAGAGGTTCATGGGAGGCTGTTTGTATTTTTTTTTTCTTTGCATCAAATCCAGCTCCTGCAGGACTGTTTGTATTATTGAAGTACAAAGTGGAATCAATACAAATGTTGGATAGCAGGGGAACAATATTCACAAAATGGAATGGGACATAGTATTAAACATAGTGCTTCTGATGACCGTAGACCATAGACAATGCTTAGGATATGATATCACTTCTTTTGTTGTTTTTTGTATTTTGAGACGAAGTCTCATTCTGTCACCCAGGCTGGAGTTCAGTGGCGCCATCTCAGCTCACTGCAACCTCCATCTCCCGGGTTCAAGCTATTCTCCTTCCTCAACCTCCCGAGTAGCTGGGTTGCGCACCACCATGCCTGGCTAACTTTTGTATTTTTAGTACAGACGGGGTTTCACCACGTTGGCCAGGCTGCTCTTGAACTCCTGACGTCAGGTGATCCACCAGCCTTGACCTCCCAAAGTGCTAGGATTACAGGAGCCACTGTACCCAGCCTAGGATATGATATCACTTCTTAGAGCAAGATACAAAATTGCATGTGCACAATAATTCTACCAAGTATAGGTATACAGGGGTAGTTATATATAAATGAGACTTCAAGGAAATACAACAAAATGCAATCGTGATTGTGTTAGGGTGGTAAGAAAACGGTTTTTGCTTTGATGAGCTCTGTTTTTTAAAATCGTTATATTTTCTAATAAAAATACATAGTCTTTTGAAGGAACATAAAAGATTATGAAGAAATGAGTTAGATATTGATTCCTATTGAAGATTCAGACAAGTAAAATTAAGGGGAAAAAAAACGGGATGAACCAGAAGTCAGGCTGGAGTTCCAACCCCAGATCCGACAGCCCAGGCTGATGGGGCCTCCAGGGCAGTGGTTTCCACCCAGCATTCTCAAAAGAGCCACTGAGGTCTCAGTGCCATTTTCAAGATTTCGGAAGCGGCCTGGGCACGGCTGGTCCTTCACTGGGATCACCACTTGGCAATTATTTACACCTGAGACGAATAAAAACCAGAGTGCTGAGATTACAGGCATGGTGGCTTACGCTTGTAATCGGCTTTGGGAAGCCGAGGTGGGCTGATTGCTTGAGCCCAGGAGTTTCAAACTATCCTGGACAACATAGCATGACCTCGTCTCTACAAAAAATACAAAAAATTTGCCAGGTGTGGTGGCATGTGCCTGTGGTCCCAGCTACTTGGGAGGCTGAAGTAGGAGAATCCCCTGAGCCCTGGGAAGTCGAGGCTGCACTGAGCCGTGATGGTGTCACTGCACTCCAGCCTGGGTGACAAAGTGAGACCCTATCTCACAAAGAAAAAAAACAAAACAAAAAACCCAAAGCACACTGTTTCCACTGTTTCCAGAGTTCCTGAGAGGAAAGGTCACCGGGTGAGGAAGACGTTCTCACTGATCTGGCAGAGAAAATGTCCAGTTTTTCCAACTCCCTAAACCATGGTTTTCTATTTCATAGTTCTTAGGCAAATTGGTAAAAATCATTTCTCATCAAAACGCTGATATTTTCACACCTCCCTGGTGTCTGCAGAAAGAACCTTCCAGAAATGCAGTCGTGGGAGACCCATCCAGGCCACCCCTGCTTATGGAAGAGCTGAGAAAAAGCCCCACGGGAGCATTTGCTCAGCTTCCGTTACGCACCTAGTGGCATTGTGGGTGGGAGAGGGCTGGTGGGTGGATGGAAGGAGAAGGCACAGCCCCCCCTTGCAGGGACAGAGCCCTCGTACAGAAGGGACACCCCACATTTGTCTTCCCCACAAAGCGGCCTGTGTCCTGCCTACGGGGTCAGGGCTTCTCAAACCTGGCTGTGTGTCAGAATCACCAGGGGAACTTTTCAAAACTAGAGAGACTGAAGCCAGACTCCTAGATTCTAATTCTAGGTCAGGGCTAGGGGCTGAGATTGTAAAAATCCACAGGTGATTCTGATGCCCGGCAGGCTTGAGAACAGCCGCAGGGAGTTCTCTGGGAATGTGCCGGTGGGTCTAGCCAGGTGTGAGTGGAGATGCCGGGGAACTTCCTATTACTCACTCGTCAGTGTGGCCGAACACATTTTTCACTTGACCTCAGGCTGGTGAACGCTCCCCTCTGGGGTTCAGGCCTCACGATGCCATCCTTTTGTGAAGTGAGGACCTGCAATCCCAGCTTCGTAAAGCCCGCTGGAAATCACTCACACTTCTGGGATGCCTTCAGAGCAGCCCTCTATCCCTTCAGCTCCCCTGGGATGTGACTCAACCTCCCGTCACTCCCCAGACTGCCTCTGCCAAGTCCGAAAGTGGAGGCATCCTTGCGAGCAAGTAGGCGGGTCCAGGGTGGCGCATGTCACTCATCGAAAGTGGAGGCGTCCTTGCGAGCAAGCAGGCGGGTCCAGGGTGGCGTGTCACTCATCCTTTTTTCTGGCTACCAAAGGTGCAGATAATTAATAAGAAGCTGGATCTTAGCAACGTCCAGTCCAAGTGTGGCTCAAAGGATAATATCAAACACGTCCCGGGAGGCGGCAGTGTGAGTACCTTCACACGTCCCATGCGCCGTGCTGTGGCTTGAATTATTAGGAAGTGGTGTGAGTGCGTACACTTGCGAGACACTGCATAGAATAAATCCTTCTTGGGCTCTCAGGATCTGGCTGCGACCTCTGGGTGAATGTAGCCCGGCTCCCCACATTCCCCCACACGGTCCACTGTTCCCAGAAGCCCCTTCCTCATATTCTAGGAGGGGGTGTCCCAGCATTTCTGGGTCCCCCAGCCTGCGCAGGCTGTGTGGACAGAATAGGGCAGATGACGGACCCTCTCTCCGGACCCTGCCTGGGAAGCTGAGAATACCCATCAAAGTCTCCTTCCACTCATGCCCAGCCCTGTCCCCAGGAGCCCCATAGCCCATTGGAAGTTGGGCTGAAGGTGGTGGCACCTGAGACTGGGCTGCCGCCTCCTCCCCCGACACCTGGGCAGGTTGACGTTGAGTGGCTCCACTGTGGACAGGTGACCCGTTTGTTCTGATGAGCGGACACCAAGGTCTTACTGTCCTGCTCAGCTGCTGCTCCTACACGTTCAAGGCAGGAGCCGATTCCTAAGCCTCCAGCTTATGCTTAGCCTGCGCCACCCTCTGGCAGAGACTCCAGATGCAAAGAGCCAAACCAAAGTGCGACAGGTCCCTCTGCCCAGCGTTGAGGTGTGGCAGAGAAATGCTGCTTTTGGCCCTTTTAGATTTGGCTGCCTCTTGCCAGGAGTGGTGGCTCGTGCCTGTAATTCCAGCACTTTGGGAGACTAAGGCGGGAGGTTCGCTTGAGCCCAGGAGTTCAAGACCAGCCTGGGCAACAATGAGACCCCTGTGTCTACAAAAAGAATTAAAATTAGCCAGGTGTGGTGGCACGCACCTGTAGTCCCAGCTACTTGGGAGGCTGAGGTGGGAGGATTGCCTGAGTCCGGGAGGCGGAAGTTGCAAGGAGCCATGATCGCGCCACTGCACTTCAACCTAGGCAACAGAGTGAGACTTTGTCTCAAAAAACAATCATATAATAATTTTAAAATAAATAGATTTGGCTTCCTCTAAATGTCCCCGGGGACTCCGTGCATCTTCTGTGGAGTGTCTCCGTGAGATTCGGGACTCAGATCCTCAAGTGCAACTGACCCACCCGATAAGCTGAGGCTTCATCATCCCCTGGCCGGTCTATGTCGACTGGGCACCCGAGGCTCCTCTCCCACCAGCTCTCTTGGTCAGCTGAAAGCAAACTGTTAACACCCTGGGGAGCTGGACGTATGAGACCCTTGGGGTGGGAGGCGTTGATTTTTGAGAGCAATCACCTGGCCCTGGCTGGCAGTACCGGGACACTGCTGTGGCTCCGGGGTGGGCTGTCTCCAGAAAATGCCTGGCCTGAGGCAGCCACCCGCATCCAGCCCAGAGGGTTTATTCTTGCAATGTGCTGCTGCTTCCTGCCCTGAGCACCTGGATCCCGGCTTCTGCCCTGAGGCCCCTTGAGTCCCACAGGTAGCAAGCGCTTGCCCTGCGGCTGCTGCATGGGGCTAACTAACGCTTCCTCACCAGTGTCTGCTAAGTGTCTCCTCTGTCTCCCACGCCCTGCTCTCCTGTCCCCCCAGTTTGTCTGCTGTGAGGGGACAGAAGAGGTGTGTGCCGCCCCCACCCCTGCCCGGGCCCTTGTTCCTGGGATTGCTGTTTTCAGCTGTTTGAGCTTTGATCCTGGTTCTCTGGCTTCCTCAAAGTGAGCTCGGCCAGAGGAGGAAGGCCATGTGCTTTCTGGTTGAAGTCAAGTCTGGTGCCCTGGTGGAGGCTGTGCTGCTGAGGCGGAGCTGGGGAGAGAGTGCACACGGGCTGCGTGGCCAACCCCTCTGGGTAGCTGATGCCCAAAGACGCTGCAGTGCCCAGGACATCTGGGACCTCCCTGGGGCCCGCCCGTGTGTCCCGCGCTGTGTTCATCTGCGGGCTAGCCTGTGACCCGCGCTGTGCTCGTCTGCGGGCTAGCCTGTGTCCCGCGCTCTGCTTGTCTGCGGTCTAGCCTGTGACCTGGCAGAGAGCCACCAGATGTCCCGGGCTGAGCACTGCCCTCTGAGCACCTTCACAGGAAGCCCTTCTCCTGGTGAGAAGAGATGCCAGCCCCTGGCATCTGGGGGCACTGGATCCCTGGCCTGAGCCCTAGCCTCTCCCCAGCCTGGGGGCCCCTTCCCAGCAGGCTGGCCCTGCTCCTTCTCTACCTGGGACCCTTCTGCCTCCTGGCTGGACCCTGGAAGCTCTGCAGGGCCTGCTGTCCCCCTCCCTGCCCTCCAGGTATCCTGACCACCGGCCCTGGCTCCCACTGCCATCCACTCCTCTCCTTTCTGGCCGTTCCCTGGTCCCTGTCCCAGCCCCCCTCCCCCTCTCACGAGTTACCTCACCCAGGCCAGAGGGAAGAGGGAAGGAGGCCCTGGTCATACCAGCACGTCCTCCCACCTCCCTCGGCCCTGGTCCACCCCCTCAGTGCTGGCCTCAGAGCACAGCTCTCTCCAAGCCAGGCCGCGCGCCATCCATCCTCCCTGTCCCCCAACGTCCTTGCCACAGATCATGTCCGCCCTGACACACATGGGTCTCAGCCATCTCTGCCCCAGTTAACTCCCCATCCATAAAGAGCACATGCCAGCTGACACCAAAATAATTCGGGATGGTTCCAGTTTAGACCTAAGTGGAAGGAGAAACCACCACCTGCCCTGCACCTTGTTTTTTGGTGACCTTGATAAACCATCTTCAGCCATGAAGCCAGCTGTCTCCCAGGAAGCTCCAGGGCGGTGCTTCCTCGGGAGCTGACTGATAGGTGGGAGGTGGCTGCCCCCTTGCACCCTCAGGTGACCCCACACAAGGCCACTGCTGGAGGCCCTGGGGACTCCAGGAATGTCAATCAGTGACCTGCCCCCCAGGCCCCACACAGCCATGGCTGCATAGAGGCCTGCCTCCAAGGGACCTGTCTGTCTGCCACTGTGGAGTCCCTACAGCGTGCCCCCCACAGGGGAGCTGGTTCTTTGACTGAGATCAGCTGGCAGCTCAGGGTCATCATTCCCAGAGGGAGCGGTGCCCTGGAGGCCACAGGCCTCCTCATGTGTGTCTGCGTCCGCTCGAGCTTACTGAGACACTAAATCTGTTGGTTTCTGCTGTGCCACCTACCCACCCTGTTGGTGTTGCTTTGTTCCTATTGCTAAAGACAGGAATGTCCAGGACACTGAGTGTGCAGGTGCCTGCTGGTTCTCACGTCCGAGCTGCTGAACTCCGCTGGGTCCTGCTTACTGATGGTCTTTGCTCTAGTGCTTTCCAGGGTCCGTGGAAGCTTTTCCTGGAATAAAGCCCACGCATCGACCCTCACAGCGCCTCCCCTCTTTGAGGCCCAGCAGATACCCCACTCCTGCCTTTCCAGCAAGATTTTTCAGATGCTGTGCATACTCATCATATTGATCACTTTTTTCTTCATGCCTGATTGTGATCTGTCAATTTCATGTCAGGAAAGGGAGTGACATTTTTACACTTAAGCGTTTGCTGAGCAAATGTCTGGGTCTTGCACAATGACAATGGGTCCCTGTTTTTCCCAGAGGCTCTTTTGTTCTGCAGGGATTGAAGACACTCCAGTCCCACAGTCCCCAGCTCCCCTGGGGCAGGGTTGGCAGAATTTCGACAACACATTTTTCCACCCTGACTAGGATGTGCTCCTCATGGCAGCTGGGAACCACTGTCCAATAAGGGCCTGGGCTTACACAGCTGCTTCTCATTGAGTTACACCCTTAATAAAATAATCCCATTTTATCCTTTTTGTCTCTCTGTCTTCCTCTCTCTCTGCCTTTCCTCTTCTCTCTCCTCCTCTCTCATCTCCAGGTGCAAATAGTCTACAAACCAGTTGACCTGAGCAAGGTGACCTCCAAGTGTGGCTCATTAGGCAACATCCATCATAAACCAGGTAGCCCTGTGGAAGGTGAGGGTTGGGACGGGAGGGTGCAGGGGGTGGAGGAGTCCTGGTGAGGCTGGAACTGCTCCAGACTTCAGAAGGGGCTGGAAAGGATATTTTAGGTAGACCTACATCAAGGAAAGTGTTGAGTGTGAAACTTGCGGGAGCCCAGGAGGCGTGGTGGCTCCAGCTCGCTCCTGCCCAGGCCATGCTGCCCAAGACAAGGTGAGGCGGGAGTGAAGTGAAATAAGGCAGGCACAGAAAGAAAGCACATATTCTCGGCCGGGCGCTGTGGCTCACGCCTGTAATTCCAGCACTTTGGGAGGCCAAGGTGGGTGGATCATGAGGTCAGGAGATTGAGACCATCCTGGCTAACACAGTGAAACCCCGTCTCTACTAAAAATACAAAAAATTAGCCGGGCGTGGTGGTGGGCGCCTGTAGTCCCAGCTACTCCGGAGGCTGAGGCAGGAAAATGGCGTGAACCCGGAAGGCGGAGCTTGCAGTGAGCGGAGTGAGCAGAGATCGCGCCACTGCACTCCAGCCTGGGCGACAGAGCGAGACTCCGTCTCAAAAAAAAAAAGCACATGTTCTCGCTTCTTTGTGGGATCCAGGAGATAGAGAATAGAAGGATGGTTACCAGAGGCTGGGAAGGGTAGTGAGGGGATGGTGGGGGGATGGTCAATGGGTACAAAAAAAATAGAATAAGACCTAGTATTTGATAGTGCAACAGGGTGACTATAGTCAATAATAATTTAATTGTACATTTAAAAATAACTAAAAGATAGCCGGGTGCAGTGGCTTACGTCTGTAATCCCAGTACTTTGGGAGGCTGAGGTGGGCGTTTGAGACCAGCCTGGCCAACATGGTGAAACCCCATCTCTACTAAAAATACAAAAATTAGCCAGGCATGGTGGCGGGCGCCTGTAATCCCAGCTACTCGGGAGGCTGAGGCAGGAGAATCACTTGAACCTGGGAGGCAGAGGTTGCAGTGAGCCGAGATCTTGCCACTGCACTCCAGCCTGGGTGACAGTGAAACTCCGTCTCAAAAATAAAAATAAAAATACAGCTGGGCACGGTGGCTCACGCCTGTAATCCCAGCACTTTGGGAGGCCGAGGCGAGCGGATCACAAGGTCAGGAGATATAGACCATCCTGGCTAACACGGTGAAACCCGGTCTCTACTAAAAATACAAAAAATTAGCCAGGCGTGGTGGCAGGTGCCTATAGTCCCAGCTACTCACAAGGCTGAGGCAGGAGAATGGCATGAACCTGGGAGGCGGAGCTTGCAGTGAGCCGAGATTGTGCCACTGCACTCCAGCCTGGGCGAGAGAGTGAGACTCCGTCTCAAAACAAAAACAAAAACAAAAACAAAAACAAACACACAACAAAAACCTAAAAGAATATAAATGGATTGTTTGTAACACAAAGGACAAATGTTTGAGGGGATGGATACCCCATTTTCCATGATGTGATTATTATACATTGTGTGTCTGTATCAAAACATCTCATGAGCCCCATAAATATATACACCTAACTATGTACCCACAAAAATTAAAAAAATATATTTTTTAAGGTGAAGAGGGAGGCGAGATGCTGGCCTTAACCCCTAACCCGTTGTTCTCCCTGCAAGCTGTCCACAGGGCCTCTCAGACTCGAGGTTCAGCTATATGGATGCATGAGCTTGGTCCCCAGCCAACATGGGAGACACTTCACCATCGGCAGCAGCTACAGCACAGGAACCCTGGGTCACTGCCATGTCCCCTCTGTGACTTTGTTTAAACAGAAAATGATGCTCTGGGCCGGCTGTGGTGGCCCACACCTATAATCCCAGCACCTTGGGAGGCGGGGGTGGGCAGATTGCCTGAGGTCAGGAGTTGGAGATCAGCCTGGCCGACATGGCGAAACCCCATGTCTACTAAAAATACAAAAACTAGCCAGGCATGGTGGCACATGCCTGTAATCCCAGCTACTTGGGAGGCTGAAGCAGGAGAATCACTTGAACCCAGGAGGCAGAGGCTGAGTGAGCCAAGATCGTGCCAATGCACTCCAGCTTGGGTGAGGGAGTGAGACTCCGTCTCAAAAAAAAAAAAAAAGAAAGAAAAAGAAAAGAAAGTGATCCTACTGGAACCATGCTTACTCCCCTCCCCACCTCACACTGTGTAGAAATTAGTGCTGTCGGCCAGGCGCGGTGGCTCATGCCTGTAATCGCAGCACTTTGGGAGGCCAAGGCAGGCGGATCACGAGGTCAGGAGATCAAGACCATCCTGGCTAACACAGTGAAACCCTGTCTCTACTAAAAATACAAAAAATTAGCCGGGCATGGTGGCAGGCACCTGTAGTCCCAACTACTTGGGAGGCTGAGGCAGGAGAATGGCATGAACCTGGGAGGCGGAGCTTGCAGTGAGCCAAGATCGCGCCACTGCATACCAGCCTAGGTGACAGAGTGAGACTCAGCAAAAAAAGAAAGAAAGAAAGAAAGAAATCAGTGCTGTCTATACTTCTTTCTGCAGTGATGGAAATATTCTGTATCTGTGCTGTCCAGTATAGTAGCCACTAGCTACATGTGGCACTTGAAACATGGCTGGTACAGTTGAGGAAGAGTGGCTGCCATATCGGACGACACAGCTATAGATTCTGTCACCCCACCCCGAGAGTCCAGAGCGGGGACTTCTGCCTTAGGCCCTATTCAGGGCTGATTTTTACTTGAACCCTTACTGTGGGAAGAGAAGGCCATGAGAAGTTCAGTCTAGAATGTGACTCCTTATTTTCTGGCTCCCTTGGACACTTTGTGGGATTTAGTCTCCCTGTGGAAAGTATTCCACAAGTGGTGCCACCACCCCAGCTGTGAGAGCAGCTGGGAGCTGCTTTTGTCATCTTTCCCTGGAAAGTCCTGTGGGCTGTCTCTTCCTCATGCCTTGTCCCATGCTTGGGCATGGTGTCAAGCGTCAGGAGGGAGAAAGGGTCCTTATTTATTTATTTAGAGAGGGACCCTTCTTCTGTTCCCAGGCTGGAGTGCAGTGGTGCGATCTCGGCTCACTGCAACCTCCGCCTCCTGGGTTCAAGTGATTCTCCTGCCTCAGCCTCCTGAGTAGCTGAGATTACAGGCACATGCCAACATGCCTGGCTAATTTTTTTTTTTTTTTTTTTTTTTTTTTTTTGAGATGGAGTTGTACTCTCATTGCCCAGGCTGGAATGTAATGGCACAATCTCGGCTCACTGCAACCTCCACCTCCTGGATTCAAGCAATTCTCCTGTCTCAGCTTCCCAAGTAGCTGGGATTACAGGTGCCCGCCACCATGCTCAACTAATTTTTGTATTTTTTTTTTAGTAGAGACGAGGTTTCACCATGTTGGTCAGACTGGTCTCAAACTCCTGACCTCAGGTGATCCACCTGCCTCGGCCTCCCAAAGTGCTAGGATTACAGGCATGAGCCACCACGCCCGGCCTGAAAGGGTTCTTATTTAGTGTGCATTTTGACATTCAATTTAATTCCAAGGTCTTGTGGGGTCATGGTTTACAGGATGTTGATATAGAAAAGACTTCACTTAATGGGCCGGGCGCAGTGGCTCATGCCTGTAATCCCAGCACTTTGGGAGGCCGAGGCAGGCAGATCAGGAGGTCAGGAGATTGAGACCATCCTGGCTAACACAGTGAAACCCCATCTCTACTGAAAATACAAAAAATTAGCTGGGCGTGGTGGCAGGCACCTGTAGTCCCAGCCACTCGGTTGGCTGAGGCAGGAGAATGGCATGAACCCGGGAGGCGGAGCTTGCAGTGAGCAGAGACCATGCCACTGCACTCCAGCCTGGGCGACAGAGCAAGACTCTGTCTCAAGAAAAAAAAAAAAAAAACAGACTTTACTTACTGGAAGCCAACCAATGTATATTTAGAGTAATTTTTCCTGGGCTGAGCTGTCATTTACTTTTGCAGTATCTCAAGAAGAAGAGTTTACAGTGTAAATATTTGATGCACACTTTGATTATATAGATGAAGCAAACTATTTTCAAGAGCTTTGCAAGGACTTACTTGTATCCAAACACCATTCTAAAGGAGTCTTACCTACTTCTAAAGGCTGGTCTCTACTTGGAACCACTTGCTTGGCCCTGGTTCAAGTCCTGCTGCAAACCTGGAAGTCCTGTCATTGTCTTCTTCCCTCCAGAGCAGTGGCACCCAATCTAATTTTTGCTGTGCCCCAGCAGCCCCTGGCACTTTGCCCTGTAGACTGCAGACCTCATGTAATGTATGTTAAGTCCACAGAACCACAGAAGATGATGGCAAGATGCTCTTGTGTGTGTTGTGTTCTAGGAGGTGGCCAGGTGGAAGTAAAATCTGAGAAGCTTGACTTCAAGGACAGAGTCCAGTCGAAGATTGGGTCCCTGGACAATATCACCCACGTCCCTGGCGGAGGAAATAAAAAGGTAAAGGGGGTAGGGTGGGTTGGATGCTGCCCTTGGGTATATGGGCATTAATCAAGTTGAGTGGACAAAGGCTGGTCCAGTTCCCAGAGGAGGAAAACAGAGGCTTCTGTGTTGACTGGCTGGATGTGGGCCCTCAGCAGCATCCAGTGGGTCTCCACTGCCTGTCTCAATCACCTGGAGCTTTAGCACGTTTCACACCTGGGCCCCAACCTGGAGAGGCTGACCAATGGGTCTCAGGGGCAGCTCGGTTGCTGGAGTTTTTGTTTTTATTTATTTTTATGTATTTAAGGCAGGGTCTCTGTATTAGTCCATTCTCACACTGCTAATAAAGACATACCCAAGACTGGGTAATTTATAAAGGAAAGAGGTTTAATGGACTCACAGTTCCACATGGCTGGGGAGGCCTCAAAATCATGGCGGAAGGCAAAGGAGAAGCAAAGGCATTTCTTACATGGCGACAGGCAAGAGAGCGTGTGCAGGGGAACTCCCATTTATAAAACCATCAGACCTCATGAGATTTATTCACTATCATGAGAACAGCATGGGAAAGACCCGCCCCCATGATTCAGTTACCTCCCACTGGGTCCCTCCCATGACACATGGAATTATGGGAGCTACAATTCAAGATGAGATTTGGGTGGGGACACAGCCAAACCATATCAGTCTCCCTCTGTCATCCAGGCTGGAGTGCACTGGCATGATCTCGGCTCACTGCAGCCTCTACCTCCCTGGGTCAGGTGATCTTCCCACCTCAGCCTCCCAGGTAGCTGGAACTACAGGTACCTGCCACTATGCCTGGCTAAATATTTTGTATTTCCTGTGGAGACGAGGTTTTGCCACGTTGCCCAGGCTGGTCTTGAACTCCTGAGGTCAAGCAATATGCCCACCTCGGCCTCCCAAGGTGCTGGGATTACAGGTGTGAGCCACAGTGCTCGGCCTAAGTCACTGCAGTTTTTAAAGCTCCCAGGTGATTCTTCAGTGCAGTCAAAAGTGAGAACTGGCTGGGTGCGGTGGCTCATGCCTGTAATCCCAGCACCTTGGGAGGCGAAGGTGGGCAGATGGCTTGAGGTCAGGAGTTCAAGACCAGCCTGGCCAACATGGTAAAACCCCATCTCTACTAAAAATACAAAAGTTAGCTGGGTGTGGTGGTGCGTGCCTGTAATCCCAGCTACTTGGGAGGCTGAGGCATGAGAATTGCTTGAACCCAGGGGACAGAGGTTGTAGTGAGCCGAGATCGTGCCACTGCACTCCAGCCTGGGCAACAGAGTGAGATTCCATCTCACAAAAAAAAAAAAAAAAGCGAGAACCACTGTCCTAGGCCCTGATGTTTGCAGGCAACTAAAAAAGGAAGTGGACATCCCCAGTCAGCTGTGGCGCACCAAGAACAAGTCATGGGAACATAACCTAATTTTCTAAATGGGTTACTAGGCACTTAGAGCAAAACAATGATGCCGAAATCCTGATTTCAGCAAAGCCTCTGCCTGCCTGTCTTGGAAGTATCCACATGAGGCTGCTGGGGCCTTGGTGTCCCCAGCAGTTTCTAGTCTCTAGGTCTTGCTGTGGGTGTCTGTGCAGTGAGGGTGTGTGTGGCGCTGGGTGAGCTCTGTCTAGGCCTGGCACAGGATGCGGTCTGGTAGCTGCTGCTTCTCTTCTGCAGAAGCGCAGCCAAGCACCCTCTGGGGTTTCAGGCCCACACCCAGCCTGAAGTTCTGGGAGTGGCTCACTTTCCAACCTTCAGGGTCTCCCAGCAGCTGACTGGGGAGTGGTGGAGGGAAAAGGGATTGTATTAGTCCGTTTTCACGCCGCTGATGAAGACATACCCGATACTGGGCAGTCTAAAAGATAGAGGTCTGATGGACTCACAGTTCCACGTGACTGGGGAGGCCTGACAATCATGGTGGAAGGTGAAAGGCTTGTCTCACACGGTGGCAGACAAGAGAAAAGAGCTTGTGCAGGGGAACTCCCCTTTATAAAACCATCAGATCTCGGGAGACTTATTCACTATCATGAGAACAGCACGGGAAAGACCCTCCTCTATGATTCAATTACCTCCCACCAGGTCCCTCCCACAACATGTAGGAATTGTGGGAACTACAATTCAAGATGACATTTGGGTGGGGACACAGCCAAACCATATCAGGGCGTCCCAGAAAGGGTATAGGGTCTGAGACCCAAGTCAGCATGAGAAAGTATGCTTCTCATGGTGGCCCAGTTGGGTGGAAGTGGCAGCCGGGCCGTCTTTCCACCAGGCCACTCAAGTAGCAGCTGAGAGACCCCTGCCCTGGCCAGTCCCCGCCCTCCCCTCTTGCCACTGCCTCTGGTTCTGAACAGATGGGCACCCTCATCTTGTATTTGTGATTAATGTCTAACAATGTAGTTTTGTGAGAAGGGTTTGCTGATACAGCCTTGCTGCAGATGCTGCGAACTGTGGCCTGGGGCAGACCTTACCTCCAGACACGCCCTGAGGCAGGGGAGGGCACTGGCCCGTAGCTGGCCGAGAGCTCTCGGGTTGCGCGACAGGGATACTTTTCAGCGGCTGGGTCGCTATCCAAAGTGAGAAAACGAGGAGGGACCAGGAGGCTGTCCGCCTCAAGAGATGTGGGGGCCAGGTCCAGTTATCTGGGGAAGCAGTAAGCTTCTCTGCTGTTTCTAACCCCAGGCCTCCCCTGGTCTAAGGCAGGGCCTCCCAGCCTCGGGGCACTTTAAAGATATCTGGGCCTGGCCCCATCCCCACAGTCTGACTGAGTGGGTCTGGATAGGGCCTGAGCATTGGTGATTTCCTGGGTGAAAGGAGGCCCCTCACAGTCTCTGGAAGCTTCTCTGTGTTAGGAAAAGCTCTGGGCTTGACTCTGCTTTGAAAGTCAAGATCCGCAAATCCTCTCAGCCTCAGTTTCTCCTTCAGCAAGATGAAATGGAAATGCTGTACCTACGTCCCGGGGTGGTTGTGAGACCCAAAAAAGACAATGTTCTGGAAGGTTCCTGGTGCGTTGCAGTCCTCTAAGAACCTGAGTTAGAGCCACGCTGAGTCTCAGCTTCTTGGCTCCTTCTGTTTCAAACTCGTCCATGTGATAGCTCAGGAAGGGTAGGCAGGGCCCTGCCCCCTACTCAGAAAACACCATCCTGGTCCTGGGGATCCCCGCAGCATTAGTCCCCTGTTTTCCCAGTGTATTGAGAAAAATTGCTAACAAGCAGTGGGGCACACCACCAGCCTCCTGGGTTCCTTTCAGTTTGGGGATTTTTGGACATTCCCAGGAATGTCTTAAAAAACACTTCAAAAAACATTAACATAAATATTTTTATCAAAGCCTGTATTAAATGGTCTTTCAAGAAAATACAGTAACAGGTCAGGCATGGTGGCTCATGCCTGTAACCCCAGCACTTTGGGAGGCCAAGGCAGGCAGATCACCTGAAATCAGGAGTTCAAGACCAACCTGGCCAACACAGCCAAATCCCATCTCTACAAAAAATACAAAAATTAGCTGGGTGTGGTGGCACACACCTGTAGTCCCAGCTACTTGGGAGGCCGAGGCAGGAGAATTGCTTGATCCCGGAGGCGGAGGTTGCAGTGAGCTGAGATCGTGCCACTGCACTCCAGCGTGGGTGACAAGGTGAATCTTTGTCTCAAAAAAAAAAAAAAAAAAAAGATAAAATACAGTATACAGTAATAGAGAACAATCCTTTTTTCAAAGTAGTGACCCCAAATGAACAAAATATGCATCTAGCTTAAATGCGAACCTGGTTTTCTCTACGCCCATTCAAGCCCCTGCAATAGGGGCCCTTCACCCCGCATCCATGGACTCCTAAAATTATATGGAAAATGGCTGTGTGTGAGTGTGGATGGACATGTGCACACATATTTTTGGCTTTACCAGATGCTCAAAGAGCCTAGGACCCAAAAAGGGCTGAGAATGACCGTGTCGGCCACTTCAGGGTCATCAGGAATTGCTGTGCACTGCTCACTTCTCCAGTGAACACTTTCTGCTTCTGTGTTTCCTGGTATCCTTTGGGACTCCTGGCTAGGTCATGTGTTTCTCTACTTTCAAAAGGGCTTCAGCCAGGCACGATGGCATGAGCCTGTAGTCCCAGTTGCTCTGGAGGTTAAGGTGGGAAGATTGCTTGAGCCCAGGAATTTGAGGCCAGCCTGGGCAAGTAGATAGGTAGATGATTGATAGATAGATAGATAGATAAATAGATGGATAGATAAGTCGCTAGACAGTCATCCATCCACCCATCCACACATAAAAAGGCCTTTGTCATGTCATGTTTTGTGGCCCACCTGCCAGTGTTGCCCACAGTTGCTGCCCCTCCAAACTCATCAGTCACTGGCAAACAGGAGGAATGTGTGGCTCATGTCTGGGCATCAGTGGCTGTGGGAGACATCCTTGATCTTCTCCAGCTTCTCCTTCCACATTTTCCTTTGCAATCTGGCAATATCTATTAAAATAAAATGTGCATGCCTTTTGACCTAAGAGCTTCACTTCTAGGACCCACTTACACGTGTGTGACATGATGTTCATACGGGTTTATTTATCTGAGGTTGTTCATACACACCATTGCCTGTAATCACTAAAGGCGGGAGCAGCCTACACATCCATCCACAGAGGAGTAGATGCCTTTTGGTACATCCGTGGCGACGGAATACTAAGCAGCCTGTGTATCTATACACTCACACGTGTTTGTTTATGTGTGGAATATCTCTGGAGGGTACACAAGAAACTTAAAATGATCACTGTCTCTGGGGAGGGTACCTGGGTGCCTGGGAGGCAGGTCAGGGAAGGAGTGGGCACAGGTATTACCAATTGGAAGACAATAAAAACAACAGCTCCTGGCCAGGCGCAGTGGCTCACGCCTGTAATGGCAGCACTCTGAGAGGCTGAGGCGGGCAGATTGCTTGCGTCCAGGAGTTCAAGACCAGCCTGGGCAACATAGCAAAACCCCGTTTCTATTAAAAATACAAAAAATTAGCCAGGTGTGGTGGCATGCACCTGTAATCCCAGCTACTCGGGAGGCTGAGGTGGGAGAATCACCTGAGCCTGGGAGGTCAAGGCTGCAGTGAGGTGAGATTGTGCCACCGCACTCTAGCCTGGGCGATAGAGCAAGACCCTGTCTCAAAAACAAACAAAAAACAGTCCCTGGCACTCTGGGCCAGGCCTGGCAGGGCAGTTGGCAGGGCTGGTCTTTCTCTGGCACTTCATCTCACCCTCCCTCCCTTCCTCTTCTTGCAGATTGAAACCCACAAGCTGACCTTCCGCGAGAACGCCAAAGCCAAGACAGACCACGGGGCGGAGATCGTGTACAAGTCGCCAGTGGTGTCTGGGGACACGTCTCCACGGCATCTCAGCAATGTCTCCTCCACCGGCAGCATCGACATGGTAGACTCGCCCCAGCTCGCCACGCTAGCTGACGAGGTGTCTGCCTCCCTGGCCAAGCAGGGTTTGTGATCAGGCCCCTGGGGCGGTCAATAATTGTGGAGAGGAGAGAATGAGAGAGTGTGGAAAAAAAAAGAATAATGACCCGGCCCCCGCCCTCTGCCCCCAGCTGCTCCTCGCAGTTCGGTTAATTGGTTAATCACTTAACCTGCTTTTGTCACTCGGCTTTGGCTCGGGACTTCAAAATCAGTGATGGGAGTAAGAGCAAATTTCATCTTTCCAAATTGATGGGTGGGCTAGTAATAAAATATTTAAAAAAAAACATTCAAAAACATGGCCACATCCAACATTTCCTCAGGCAATTCCTTTTGATTCTTTTTTCTTCCCCCTCCATGTAGAAGAGGGAGAAGGAGAGGCTCTGAAAGCTGCTTCTGGGGGATTTCAAGGGACTGGGGGTGCCAACCACCTCTGGCCCTGTTGTGGGGGTGTCACAGAGGCAGTGGCAGCAACAAAGGATTTGAAACTTGGTGTGTTCGTGGAGCCACAGGCAGACGATGTCAACCTTGTGTGAGTGTGACGGGGGTTGGGGTGGGGCGGGAGGCCACGGGGGAGGCCGAGGCAGGGGCTGGGCAGAGGGGAGAGGAAGCACAAGAAGTGGGAGTGGGAGAGGAAGCCACGTGCTGGAGAGTAGACATCCCCCTCCTTGCCGCTGGGAGAGCCAAGGCCTATGCCACCTGCAGCGTCTGAGCGGCCGCCTGTCCTTGGTGGCCGGGGGTGGGGGCCTGCTGTGGGTCAGTGTGCCACCCTCTGCAGGGCAGCCTGTGGGAGAAGGGACAGCGGGTAAAAAGAGAAGGCAAGCTGGCAGGAGGGTGGCACTTCGTGGATGACCTCCTTAGAAAAGACTGACCTTGATGTCTTGAGAGCGCTGGCCTCTTCCTCCCTCCCTGCAGGGTAGGGGGCCTGAGTTGAGGGGCTTCCCTCTGCTCCACAGAAACCCTGTTTTATTGAGTTCTGAAGGTTGGAACTGCTGCCATGATTTTGGCCACTTTGCAGACCTGGGACTTTAGGGCTAACCAGTTCTCTTTGTAAGGACTTGTGCCTCTTGGGAGACGTCCACCCGTTTCCAAGCCTGGGCCACTGGCATCTCTGGAGTGTGTGGGGGTCTGGGAGGCAGGTCCCGAGCCCCCTGTCCTTCCCACGGCCACTGCAGTCACCCCGTCTGCGCCGCTGTGCTGTTGTCTGCCGTGAGAGCCCAATCACTGCCTATACCCCTCATCACACGTCACAATGTCCCGAATTCCCAGCCTCACCACCCCTTCTCAGTAATGACCCTGGTTGGTTGCAGGAGGTACCTACTCCATACTGAGGGTGAAATTAAGGGAAGGCAAAGTCCAGGCACAAGAGTGGGACCCCAGCCTCTCACTCTCAGTTCCACTCATCCAACTGGGACCCTCACCACGAATCTCATGATCTGATTCGGTTCCCTGTCTCCTCCTCCCGTCACAGATGTGAGCCAGGGCACTGCTCAGCTGTGACCCTAGGTGTTTCTGCCTTGTTGACATGGAGAGAGCCCTTTCCCCTGAGAAGGCCTGGCCCCTTCCTGTGCTGAGCCCACAGCAGCAGGCTGGGTGTCTTGGTTGTCAGTGGTGGCACCAGGATGGAAGGGCAAGGCACCCAGGGCAGGCCCACAGTCCCGCTGTCCCCCACTTGCACCCTAGCTTGTAGCTGCCAACCTCCCAGACAGCCCAGCCCGCTGCTCAGCTCCACATGCATAGTATCAGCCCTCCACACCCGACAAAGGGGAACACACCCCCTTGGAAATGGTTCTTTTCCCCCAGTCCCAGCTGGAAGCCATGCTGTCTGTTCTGCTGGAGCAGCTGAACATATACATAGATGTTGCCCTGCCCTCCCCATCTGCACCCTGTTGAGTTGTAGTTGGATTTGTCTGTTTATGCTTGGATTCACCAGAGTGACTATGATAGTGAAAAGAAAAAAAAAAAAAAAAAAGGACGCATGTATCTTGAAATGCTTGTAAAGAGGTTTCTAACCCACCCTCACGAGGTGTCTCTCACCCCCACACTGGGACTCGTGTGGCCTGTGTGGTGCCACCCTGCTGGGGCCTCCCAAGTTTTGAAAGGCTTTCCTCAGCACCTGGGACCCAACAGAGACCAGCTTCTAGCAGCTAAGGAGGCCGTTCAGCTGTGACGAAGGCCTGAAGCACAGGATTAGGACTGAAGCGATGATGTCCCCTTCCCTACTTCCCCTTGGGGCTCCCTGTGTCAGGGCACAGACTAGGTCTTGTGGCTGGTCTGGCTTGCGGCGCGAGGATGGTTCTCTCTGGTCATAGCCCGAAGTCTCATGGCAGTCCCAAAGGAGGCTTACAACTCCTGCATCACAAGAAAAAGGAAGCCACTGCCAGCTGGGGGGATCTGCAGCTCCCAGAAGCTCCGTGAGCCTCAGCCACCCCTCAGACTGGGTTCCTCTCCAAGCTCGCCCTCTGGAGGGGCAGCGCAGCCTCCCACCAAGGGCCCTGCGACCACAGCAGGGATTGGGATGAATTGCCTGTCCTGGATCTGCTCTAGAGGCCCAAGCTGCCTGCCTGAGGAAGGATGACTTGACAAGTCAGGAGACACTGTTCCCAAAGCCTTGACCAGAGCACCTCAGCCCGCTGACCTTGCACAAACTCCATCTGCTGCCATGAGAAAAGGGAAGCCGCCTTTGCAAAACATTGCTGCCTAAAGAAACTCAGCAGCCTCAGGCCCAATTCTGCCACTTCTGGTTTGGGTACAGTTAAAGGCAACCCTGAGGGACTTGGCAGTAGAAATCCAGGGCCTCCCCTGGGGCTGGCAGCTTCGTGTGCAGCTAGAGCTTTACCTGAAAGGAAGTCTCTGGGCCCAGAACTCTCCACCAAGAGCCTCCCTGCCGTTCGCTGAGTCCCAGCAATTCTCCTAAGTTGAAGGGATCTGAGAAGGAGAAGGAAATGTGGGGTAGATTTGGTGGTGGTTAGAGATATGCCCCCCTCATTACTGCCAACAGTTTCGGCTGCATTTCTTCACGCACCTCGGTTCCTCTTCCTGAAGTTCTTGTGCCCTGCTCTTCAGCACCATGGGCCTTCTTATACGGAAGGCTCTGGGATCTCCCCCTTGTGGGGCAGGCTCTTGGGGCCAGCCTAAGATCATGGTTTAGGGTGATCAGTGCTGGCAGATAAATTGAAAAGGCACGCTGGCTTGTGATCTTAAATGAGGACAATCCCCCCAGGGCTGGGCACTCCTCCCCTCCCCTCACTTCTCCCACCTGCAGAGCCAGTGTCCTTGGGTGGGCTAGATAGGATATACTGTATGCCGGCTCCTTCAAGCTGCTGACTCACTTTATCAATAGTTCCATTTAAATTGACTTCAGTGGTGAGACTGTATCCTGTTTGCTATTGCTTGTTGTGCTATGGGGGGAGGGGGGAGGAATGTGTAAGATAGTTAACATGGGCAAAGGGAGATCTTGGGGTGCAGCACTTAAACTGCCTCGTAACCCTTTTCATGATTTCAACCACATTTGCTAGAGGGAGGGAGCAGCCACGGAGTTAGAGGCCCTTGGGGTTTCTCTTTTCCACTGACAGGCTTTCCCAGGCAGCTGGCTAGTTCATTCCCTCCCCAGCCAGGTGCAGGCGTAGGAATATGGACATCTGGTTGCTTTGGCCTGCTGCCCTCTTTCAGGGGTCCTAAGCCCACAATCATGCCTCCCTAAGACCTTGGCATCCTTCCCTCTAAGCCGTTGGCACCTCTGTGCCACCTCTCACACTGGCTCCAGACACACAGCCTGTGCTTTTGGAGCTGAGATCACTCGCTTCACCCTCCTCATCTTTGTTCTCCAAGTAAAGCCACGAGGTCGGGGCGAGGGCAGAGGTGATCACCTGCGTGTCCCATCTACAGACCTGCAGCTTCATAAAACTTCTGATTTCTCTTCAGCTTTGAAAAGGGTTACCCTGGGCACTGGCCTAGAGCCTCACCTCCTAATAGACTTAGCCCCATGAGTTTGCCATGTTGAGCAGGACTATTTCTGGCACTTGCAAGTCCCATGATTTCTTCGGTAATTCTGAGGGTGGGGGGAGGGACATGAAATCATCTTAGCTTAGCTTTCTGTCTGTGAATGTCTATATAGTGTATTGTGTGTTTTAACAAATGATTTACACTGACTGTTGCTGTAAAAGTGAATTTGGAAATAAAGTTATTACTCTGATTAAATAAGGTCTCCATTCATGGATTCCAAGGACAAGAAAGTCATATAGAATGTCTATTTTTTAAGTTCTTTCCCACGCACCCTTAGATAATTTAGCTCAGAACAGGAAATGATAGTATTAATAAAAGCTGGACATCAGGATTAACAGCTCTCTCTGGGGCCCTGAAGGTGAGAGTTCTCAGACTTGCTCATTTGCAGTTGCTTCTTTGTGATGCTGGCAAACCATCCTAGTCCCATTCAAAGGGCAATACAAAGCCTTGTGGCTGACCTCACGATGCAGCACTCAGTTTGCAAGACCGGCACCAGTGTATGCAAACCTGAGAAGGTTGGGGATGAGGATATGGGATCTTTCATCCCTGGAAATTTAGTCCAGAGGCCTGGGGCTGGAGCAGAACACCAAGCCAATCAGCTTAATGAATGGCTTAGATTCCTGCTAGGTTTGCAGAGCTGCCTTCTTTCCTTTGGTACCTTATTATAGATTGAGGAGTATTTCTGCTAAACCAAGATAGGGATAACCAGATAGCATCTTCATAGCAATGCCACAAAGGAAAACAAAAACAAAACAGTAATCCATCATATTATTCCTTAGTAACTATGCCAAGGTCATGATACTGAATCCTTAGATTGTTTCAAAATACTACTTTTCTTTGCTCTTCCTGATGTGTTTGCCACCGCAGGCAGATGTTTAAGTAAAACAGATTTTAACTGCAGCTACAAAAGCAGCAACAGGCCAGCAAAAGAGAAGTGCTATCTCAGAGAGCATGGCTTTCAGAGCCACAAGAGACAGCCTCACTGGCTGTTTCAGCTTGACTGCCATGCAAAGAAGAGAGCAGAGGGAGAACCAGCCCCACCCACTTATTCATCTTGTACAAAAAAAAAGCACCTACCAGCCTAGGCTACATAGTGAGACACTATCTCCACAAAAAACCCACGAAAACTAGCTGGGTATGGTGGCACATGCCTACAGTCCCAGCTACTGGTAAGGCTGTGGTGGGAGGATCTCTTGAGGCCAGGAAGGAGATCCAGGCTGCAGTGAGCCAAGATTGCACCACTGCACTCCAGTCTGGACAATCGAGCAAGATCCCATCTCAAACAATAAAAAAAAAAAGCGTGTAACCTCCTCAGAAGAAAGATGTTATAATCTCAGGCAGCAGGCAAGAACCAATCCAGGCTCTAAGCAAATTATGTATCTCACTGACCCCACCAAACCTCAGAAAAATTTAACAGTGAGAAGCAAAATCTCCTTTAAAGAGCAACTTAGAACAGATAGAAAATATCATACAGCTGACTTCACTAGAGAGAAAGTGCATCAACTGCTTTCACTCAACAAAAAGAAAAAAGAGATGATCAATGCAGATCCCCTCTCCTCCTGGCAGCCCTTACCCTCAGTGAAAAGCCACCACCATTCTCTCTCTGGTGGCCATCAGATCAACCTGCGGCGTTCCCACAAGACAGAATGGAGATTTTCCAAGGTATAGAGCAAGTCAGAGTACCCCAAAGAACGGCGGCAGAGAGCCAGCTCCGAAACTGCCAACACTACCATGCATACACAGTTCAGTAAGTCAAGAAAGGCCTGGTACACAGCATTCTGTAACTTTTTTTTTTATTTTTTTCAATTTTTCCTTCTTTTTTTTTTTTAAGCACTAGTCTGTGCTTTGCGAACAGAATCAAGACATTAACAAAGATCAGCTTCTCTGAAGAAAAGCATTTCTATAGAACAAAGACAGCTACATGTTTCGCTGCCATTACACAGCTCCAAAGCAGGAAAAGAAAATATTTACAAAATACAAGGTTTTTTTTTTCCATTTTTTGTTTTTGTTTTTTTTTTCAATGCTAAAAGGGTTATTCAGAATTTTCAACCTTATAAATAGAAGAAGCACTTTATGCATAGGGATATGGTGCATTATTGTATTTTTTTTTAAAGAAACAATGACAAACCCTTTAACTTGCAAACAGAAAAAAAAATCACTAATGTTGAAAATTGTGAAAAAACCCCAACCATTAAGCAGTTGTCTACTATTTTTATACGATTACAAAATGGCCAAAAAAAAAGAGTCTTCTCCCCCCTCCCCCTTTTTGGTGATGTGATCATACAGGAGACAGGCACAAGGTTAACAGAGAAGGGTGAAGGGGGAACAATGGGAACCACAGCTAGGACCAGACAATGTTCCACAGGCAAGGGGAGCGTGAAAGACCAAGAGTGGAACTAACACCGACAGGGATCTGGATGTGAAGGAAACATGGCAAAGTGAATCAGAGGGAAAAAAAAAAAAAATCACACAGGGAGATGGCTGCTCACTTCCCACAACCCCCAGTTTGCAGGGGAGTGGGAATAGAGGTTAAGTAGTCCTAACCCTACCTTCAAAGATCAGGATAGGTGGTAAAAATATTCCAAGTGGAAGGACGGGTTGTGGGTGTGTACATGGCATGGGAGAGCAGACAGGGAAGGGTACCAAGGGGCATGAGGAGGGGAACCTGAGCAGCCACAGCCAGGTTACTGCAGTGAAAGAGTCAAAACAGAGAAGACCAAATGCAGATGAAACAAAAAATCAGTCTCTTAAGTTCTGGGTGAGAAAGGAAAGGTGTTCTGCCAGCTGAGCACTCGGGGAGAGCAGCTGGCAGTTATGGCAGAGAGGCTCTGGTGGGGATGTTCCAGCACGAAAAACCAAGGGGACCCAGCCAGGAGGGCCACAGCAGAGCCAAGCCACAGATGGGAGGGGAGGGGGTAAGAGTCCAGAGCACCCTGCCCCATTCCACCCTAGCTCAAGAAGGCCATGCTAAACTGTAGCCCGCCAGGCTGTTCTGCCCTGCCCACAGGTGTGAGGGAGGGGGTGGTCATCTAAGATCAGTAAGTCCAGTGATTCAACAGTGCAGAGGATGTGCCAGGACCAGGCCAGCAGGGTCTCATCCTGAACTTCTGTTTGCCAACGGGAGGAAGTGCTCAGGTGTGTGACAAGAAAACATGGAAACAAAAACAAAACAAAAATTAAAACAAGAAAAAAAAATACCAAAGTAGGATCTAAATTCCTTAAGTTCACTAAAAACTGTGAAAATTTCCGGCATATGATGTTTGAATATCAAACGCAGAGATTTCTGAAGCTTTAATGCCAATAGTTAGTGAGTCTGTTTAGATGGCTGTCTCCCGCTCATCTGTGAGTCGGGCGCTGAGCTGTGGCTGCTGCCACCAGATGCCGACTCTTGAGGGGGACAATGGGAGGCGAGGTGGGCGCTGCCTCTGTCTCCCGGCCAGTCTTGCTGCCTGAGGTGCGTCGAGTGCAGCGGGCTGCTCGCTCCTGTGCATCCAGCTGGTCCTCACACTCCGCCTGGGGACTGTGCGCCAGGGGGAAGGTCCGCCGCTCCCAGGGCTGGACAGACTGTAGGCAGACAAGTTGCTCTTTGAGGACCCAGTCCCAGCCAGCCTGCTTCCTGCTCCAAGGCCCTGCCACAAACCTTGTGGCCTGGAGCCTAGGACCAGTCTATCTAGTGTTCCTGCGACAGTCTGGGAACACCCCTCCTAGGGTATACCCAGACAACTGTATTGATCATTTAGCAGTGATCAATACAGTTCCACTGAACGTTGAGGAGATCAATTTAAGTGCAGCCCTTTGTCCCTTCAAAAGGGGGAGGGGATGGCTAGGTCCCTCTTCAGCAGATGCTGCCCCTTCCTGGTTCCATCCCCCAACCATGCCAACCCCACCCAAAGGCTGCGTCCCTTACCTGTTCATCCAGCCCCAGCTCTGGTGTGGAACAACGGGTATCCTCACTGGCTAAGTGTCGCGGAGTGTCCCGAGCCACAGGGGTGAGGGGTGCTGAGTGCAGTTCCGGGCTAATGGGGCTCCTAGGGGACTGACCATGGGAGTATTCTGACAAAGAGTGGCTACTGCTGACATCAGGGGAGGCAGGCTGGGGGGTGGAGGGGTTGGCACTGCCCAGCTGGGGGGTTGTCCGGCCGTCTGATGACCTGTAGGACCTGCACACCAAGGAATGCAAATCTGAGTGCCTGGGAAATGTTTACTTATGGGGGTAGAGGGCATGAAAAAAGCATCCCCACTGGAGGAGTTGAGGCAAACAAACACCAACAGATTTTCCTTAGGATCCAGCAACTCCCATTTCTTCCCACTATTCTCTGGAGGGGTAGGTATACAACATTTACCATCCCAAGAAAAAAGCATGGCTGAACAATGCCAGGTGAGTCCATAGCAAAGTGCCTAGTGAATTCAGGAGGTTAGGGAGATTCGTGTAGACTTTGAAAACTGTAGTCAAAGAAAAAAAAGTAAAAGTAAGAGCTCCCAAAACTTTCTACTTGAGAATCCCGAGGGTTTCTGCCACTGTTAACAATAAATGGAGACAGGGTAGTGATGGACGTTAAGGGGGGGCAGTTTCTTCAAGTGGCATCACAAAGCCACTGTCCAAAGGAAGGTTAACTTGTAGCGAGGCCTTCCAAGCTCCCCGGGTTGAATCACCATGACCCCCCAACTGTCTTCCAAATGCCACAGATCATGGGAATTCAGAATTACATAGTGACTTCTCAGCAAGGATCTAGCACTTGGCTCCTTATATCTCCACTAGTTCCATGTATCTCCACTAGTTCCAACAAACACCAAGGAAATTCTGAGCTATTTGCCACTGCCAGTAGATGAGTATGATGAGCAACCAAGAGGCAGTAGCAATTCCATGGACTCAAGTAGGGCCCAAACTCCCTGTCCACCCTCTCTCCACAGGCCCTGGGGACCCAAGCCTGCCCCATCACCTGCTGCCCCGCCGCTGGGGTGGCACACTCGTGGTCCACAGCCACCGTGCCCTCTCCATCTCCTCACATTTGGCATGCAGGGCGGCGAAGGCTGCGTCGGATAGGTCCTCAATCTGCAATAGAGCAGCTTCATCGATCCCCTCTTTTCTCCAGGAGTTAAGAACCAGTCCCACCCCATTCTAGGTTCTTCCCGGTCACGACAGGAATACAAGGAGCTTGCACTTCACACCCACAAGTCTTCAGGCCATTTAGGGTGTGTGCACTCATATGTATGTGTGCATGTGTACACACGTGTTCTTCTAACAGAAGAACCAGGCCATTACCTCTTCATTCTCCTCATCAGGACTCCCCTTCAGAGACTGAAGATCAACCTCCCGCCAGCTGCAAAACCAAGAACAGACAATCATGAGATGGCAAGCAGGCTAAAACTGGGGGCAGGGTCAAAGTGTCCATGCAAGGATGAGAATCCTGCACCTGTGGGTGACACTGCTCTCTGCCGGGTAGGCTCTGCCCTATCACAGCTCAGTCTCCCTACCCTGTCAAGGCCTGTGAAATTGGCCACCTACTCAAATGCCCAAGAAGGCCAGAAATGAGAGAAGCGGCCTAGGGTAAGGCTGAGGCTGAGAGACTGTGACAAACACAAGAAAAGAAACCTGTTTAAAGAGGACCACCACTGTTCAGGACCAGCTGATTGCTCCCATATGGAAATGCATACCCAGGGTTGCCTAATCTTCTGTTTGGCAACAAAAGCTGGAAACAAAGATTTTTATGTGAAATCCTGCTTTGATGTTGACAACAAATTCAGTATTTTAAAACATACTGTATGTGTTGACAAAACCGGTCTCTAGACCAGTAAGTGAATGGCCTACCAGGCTGTGACTGCTGGTTCGTTTGGTGTATTCCTATAATGGAATGAGAGAGAACTATATACAGAAATAATTTCGTTCTTATCAGATAAGAATTTCTCTTAATGAGAAGACAGAACCAAAGACTAGGGCCCAACTCTTGGTCAGAAGAGAAGAGGGAAAAAGGGCAATAGCAGGAAGAATGGGGAGAGGAGCCAACTATTCTGAGCTTCTACCTGGGCGTAAGGATTTCCTTGTATTGCAGTTTCTCTACGCGAGTTGTTGCAGCAACAGACATTGGGATGACAATGTTGTTAATATCAAATGAGCTCTCTCCCCTTCTCCTCCTTACTGGCTGCTGCTGTAAGATAAAAATTAAGTTTAAAAGGAAGGTACAATTTTACAGACATCAAATCATTCATCTAAGAGTTAAAGCAGGATCACCAATAACCAAGCATCTGGGTCCTTGGGTTGAAGCTGAGTAATGACCATAGCAGCTGCTCCCACCTAGGAGTCAGTCTCCAACAGCAAAAAACCTCACGGAGAAATACCAGGTGGTCATGAGGAGTTAGTCCCATTCATAAGTCCCACTGGTCACCCTCTTCCTTCAAGGGCTCATGCGTAAATTTCATAGGGGTGGGTACCTGGGATCTTAACTGTTGGGGTTCCTACTCTATATACACCTCTATTAACCTCCTCTCCTTTTACAATCTTTATTTCCTTCCTTTATCCCCGTTTATGACTTAAGACTCATAGTGGCCCCTCCCCTAAAAGCAATGCTTGAAAGCTTATGCTGAAAGAGGCCCAAAGGATAGGCCCATCTCAATACATCATCTAACCTTGGTTGTCATGAATGCACCTCCTTCTCAAAGATCTGAACTCTTCAGCTAAATCTGCACCCACCATCTGCCCAGTCTTTATGTGATTTCCCCTCTTTTGATGATTCTTGGGGAAAGAGCTGAGAGCTTTCTAGCTGTATCAAAGGAGATGAATGGAGGGAAACTAAAGAGGAGAACCTGACTATACCTCACATTCCTGGTGAAAGGAAATTTGCTTCTATAGGAAATAGTTGAGAAGACCAAACTCTTGGAAAAATAAGACTTCCAAGGATCGAATATCAGAGGCAGAGGTAAGCATCTACAGTAGCTGGGAGACTAGGGAACTAAATGGCTTAGTCTCTTGGATGGAGGAAGAAGTCTACTAGCTGCTGCTGCCCAGATAGTTAATACCCTATCCTGAAACAGAGACTAGCAACTGAGCTGTGAGAGGCCAGAAGGAAACAGTGGCATAACAAACACGCTGCCATGGCAACAAAACAGCTGGAAAACACCTAAGAGGCTGCATTTATACCTAAACCACCAAGTGTGGTCAGTCCACAGGGAAGGGGTTGGAGGAGTAAGAAGTCCCCTATAACTAACCCCTCTATCCTCTGTTCCTGGACGGTGAGATACCCTTTATTCATCCTATCATCTTAGGACATTCTCAGAGAATGTTAAAAGTCAGCACTTCCTGGGCCAGAGTTTCAGTCACTGTCATTTATAACTTCAGATGACCACAATGCCCTTTTCACTTCAATTTCTTTCTCTATCAAATCAGATGACTGCCATTGACCTCAGAAATTTAGGATATCTGGTTAACCAAAATGGTTAAACAGACTTTTGGGGATCTTGCCTGAGTTCTGTAGCTGAGGATTAGTGATCTCATACCCAGAGACCTCTGCCACTGCCAGATCTGTGCTGAAATTATACATCCCACTACAAGAAATGCATCTTAAGAAAGCCTCAAGAGAGACAGCCTTCCCAGTATCTTGGTCAAGAATAAATGTGAAACTGCTGGCAGAAACAGGTATACACTTTCCCTGAAACTTCTTGGGCTTGTTGTTAGTACCTTCGAGAAAAAGATACTGGAGCAGGTTGTGGGATGGTTCAACGGGCTCTTATCTCATCCTCTGCCTAGACACACCCCCTATTATGTTAGCTACTCATTAGGTCTAAATTAACTACTATCTCCTATTTAGAGCCAGAGATAGAGAGCAGGTGATGAGAATAAAACTGGTTCCCAAACTTGGTTGTATATCAGAAGCAACATTAAGGAGTATTTTTTAAAAAAAAAAAAAAGGTTCTAGGACTCCCCCCCGCTCTTTTATAAAATCAGAATTTTGTTTGTTTGTTTGTTTAAGAGATGAGGTCTCACTATGTTGTCCAGGCTGGACTCAATCTCCTGGGCTGAAGAGATCTTCCTGAGTAGCTGGAGCTACAGGCATGCAATATCACAGCCAGCAACAAATCAGATCTTTAGAAGTGTCTGGTTGGTTGGTTTTGTTTTTTAAAGCTGCTGAGGTGATTCTGATGCAGCTACTGGCTTTTGGGAAGCACTGACAAAAACACTCGCTCTCCTCCCTACCTTTCTCCAGTGTCCTCTGGCTTCTTTACTTGATTTCAAGGAGAGCTGGCCCTTTGTATCCATGGGTTCAACCAATTGTGGATTGAAAATATTTGGGGGAAAAAAATTGTGTCTGTACTGAAAAGGTACAGATTTTTCTTTTCATTATTCTCTAAACAATACAGCATACTATTTTTATAGCATTTACATTGCATTAGGTATTATCAGTAATCTGGAGATGATTTAAAGTATATGGGATTTAAAGCATACACATAGGTTATATGCAAATACTATGCCATTTTATATTAGGGACATGAGCAACAATAGCTTTTGCTATCTATGGGAGGTCCTGGAACCAATCCCCACTGCAGATACTGCAGATACTGAGAGCCTGCTGTTATCTGGCCTATCTTCTTTCTTTTTTTTTTTTTGAGACGAAGTCTTGCTGCGACGCCCAGGCTTGAGTGCAATGGCTTGATCTCCGCTCACTGGAACCTCCGCTTCCCAGTTCAAGTGATTCTCCTGCCTCAGAGTAGCTGGAACTATAGGCACATGCCACCACGCCCAGTTAATTTTTGTATTTTTAGTAGGGATAGGGTTTCACCTTATTGGCCAGGATGGTCTCGAACTCCTGACCTCAAGTGATCCACCCGCCTCAGCCGCCTCCCCAAGTGCTGGGATTATAGGTGAGCGCCACTGTGCCTGGCCTATCTTCTTTTACATAAATCCAGAGTCTTTGAAAAAACTTGGCAATGAGAGAGCCTCAGGGGTTAGCATAGTGCTATACACAAAATTTTTACTCAATAAATGGTAAAAATTTCAAGTGATCCAGGCCTAAGTTAACATTCTCCAGACACAGAAATATTGAAGTGCTCACCAAGTCCTGAATCTCTGAGTTCAGATTTTCTATCAGAATTAGTTTAGACTCTTTTTTATAAATACTTTGGTTATCTGAAACCCTTTGCTGCTGGATAACTGAGTATGTGAGGGACACTACACACCTATTTAGATAAAATTTGTGGGTTACGGGGGTAAAGAAAGTCGAAGAGCAAAGAGACCATTTGGAAAAGATTGATTTGTAACAGCAAAGAGAGAACAATGTGAATTCCTACCTGATCACAGGAGCCTAGTGAGTCCATTTTATGAGCTTGGAAGTTTCCTGATCTAGGCTCTGAAGGAACTTCCTAAGTTGCCTCTGCAATACCCTCACCCAGGCTTAGCCTGTGTAGTGTAATGGTAAAAGAGCTGGCTCTACAGTCAGGCTGCCTGAGTTTGAATCATAATTATAACCCTCACAAGTTGCCTTGACAGTTTTCATGCATATAAAATGAAATCCACAGTACCAACCTACATCTCAAAAGGCATTATAACATGTAACACATGTAAATCACTGATCACTGGTATGTAGTAAGTGTTCAATAAACATTACAGTTGCAGACTTTTACATTTACCATTACATTACATTGTAATTATTATACAAAAAGGACCCTTTGAGTAGGTCCATAGCAGCTACAGGTATGTATGTTCCAAGAGGGCACACTTGAGGAATTAAAATATTAGAATGAAATTAAAGGAAATGTGTCTGGAATAGCTGTGCAAACTGCTTCCAGATGGAGTGTGGTATCGTAAAATCTGGTGTGTGCATGCCAAATGTCCTGCCATGGGGGCCTGCTGGATCTGTAATTCTGCTCTGTATACCTAAAAAGCATGGACTCTGCCTTCTCCCTTCCCTTCTCTTCTGGTACCCTCACGCCTAGTGTTTATTCTTAGTACTTCACCTCCACTCACCCAGAGAGTAAAACCAAGGAAATCAAACACTGCTTCCAACGCCCATGGGAATCTCCCCTCTACCCACCCCTCCTCTCTTGTTCACTTCTTGGGCCAACAGGATTAGGGCCACGGAACTGTTGAGTCCTGTGTGAAACTTAGTCCAACAGATCTTGAATAGTCACAGATCACCTTAAGAGTTTGTCCCTGCATCAAGCTTTCTATGGATGGCTCAGCATAAATCCATCTCTGCTATGAAAAACAACTCAAGAAAAACAACAGAAGGTCAAGTACCATGACTTTGACTTAAAAATGGTACAGACATACATACATATGTCATGATGAGCTGAGATCCTATAAATGCCCTGGGCTTTATAACCCACCCTCACACTGTCCTCTGGAGCCACTTGAGTGAGCTGTGACCTGCAGAGGGGGTGTCCGGCCAACCCCACACAGGTACTTACCGATGTGCTGGCTGTAACCTGTGAGCTAGAGCTGGCGGGTGCAGGGGAATCTGAGGAGGTGGAGAGCTGTCGCACCAAGGGACTGTGTGGAGGATGGTGGGTGGCTGCCAAGTAGCTCGAACTGCTCATGTCTGTGTGATGCTTCAACACTGCAGAAGTCAACAGAAAAGAGAGAAATACATGGCTATCTTAACCAGCGTTACTTCTAACACAAGCTTGGAATGGCAGCAATACATACTAAAGGCAAAAATGTTTTCTATGCCTAGAGGATAAAAAGGTGAAGCACACTAGCTGTGGGAAGTAGGGGCAGGGCAGAGGTTGCTGTAGCAGTTAAGAAGTGACCTCCATTTAGAAGCAGTAGCGTCCCTCTACTCTGCTTTCCTAGAAAGTGAAGGACAAAGCTGGGGGTAATTAAGAGAAGCCTAGGCTGCCCCAGAAAGCCCTGAGCAGGTGCAGTTGCAGGTAGAGGTGCCATGGGCCTGGCCCTACCTTCACTTCTCTCAGATGAATGGTCTCGCAATCTCATTTTGCTGTGGTTTGGGTCATGCACGGGTGGTGGTGGGTTGAGCAAGCGCTCTGCTTTTGGCGCTGTCACTCGCTCCACCATGGGCACGGCCCCCACATCGTCTAAGTGCTGCCTGTGGGTCCTGTCAGGCCGGGTTTGGTGATGGGACAGCTCTGAAGAGGGGAACAGAAAAAGAGCTGTGAAATATGTCCTCTCAAATATTTTCTTATTCGAGTTCCAAGCTCTCGAGTTCTCTCTAGGCCAACGCCGTATACCCAGGGCAGCAGGACAGTCCTTCAGGACTGAAGTTTCTAGTAATTTGCACAATGGCTAGGATAGGCACAGGGAGCCCAGAACCAGAGAAACATGTCACCAGGATACAGAAGACACCTGCCCGTAGATGAACTCAATGCCATGCCATTGCTGGCTGTTCACTGAGCATTTTGGGTCTTGCTCCAAGATCCATGGTGTCTAGAATAGCTCCCGAAGTCCATCTGAGAGCATCCAAGACAAGCAGAAGCAGTCACTGTGAGCTGAATTTTTTATCGGTCAACTGCCTCTCCCAACCCCAACATGCATGCAAACTACAAATTTGAGAATATAAAAGGAATGAAAAGTCACTGATACTCTGGGGGACTTCCCGGCTCCCTGACACTTACTGGCTGTTGTTAGGAAGGAGCTGACCAATTTGTGCCTGTCCTTACGAGCTGAATCTGGCAGACTGCCCGGCATGGGTGCTCTGTGCTTAAGCGATAACTTTTTGGGAGGTTTGATTTTGTCAAAAGGCTTGTTCTGCCACTGAGATTTCAGCATGCTCTGGAAATGCAGGCTTGTGGGAACATCTGCAAGAAACATAAAATGCTACAGGTTAGTCCAAACACCTGGCCTCTCTAGTGTTCAAGACCTACACTCCATCCTCCTTTAATTTGCCCAGTGGCCTGACACTTGGCAGGGCAAGTGCTGTCATATGGAAGATCTGTTTACGTGAACATTACTGAAGGTCATTCTTCTATTTGCAAGCAGGTCACTTTAGCTTTTTACTTTCAAGTCCCAAAGGGAAACAAAACAAGACACCTTTTTGGTTTGGTTGATGGAGTTTTTGTTCTTGTATCCTTGTTTGTTGAATTTACTGGTTTGAAAACATCCTGTTTCTATTCTAGAGATTTAAAAACATATTTAAGCCTACTTCTTTTCTATCAATATAAAGTTAATCAGGATGCAATTATTCAACAATATTCATTATCTATGTTATCAGGCACTGTACTGAGTACTACATACTCTCTCCAAATAAGAACTACATACCATTCTCTCTTTCCTTCCTCTGTGGCTCCGCCAATTCCCATCATGAGATTATCGGGGATTTTTAGCTGACTGGTTAATGTTCAATATCACAAATCAACATCTTTTGGACTGAATTTTTTATGCTGTTTCTTATCTTTCCATTTTCTTAGATTTTTCCCAAGAATATATCCTTGAGCAATTCCTTTAGAAAAGGAATTTCTAGATTTAAACCATTTTCCTCTCAAACATTTAAAGCTATTCAATTCTTCCGTGTATTCTAATATCCAGTGCTATATTTAAGAGGGAATCGGATTCTTTCTTACTTGTAGGTGGTCTGGTTTTTGCCTTTTAAGCTTCTGCAAAAAACAACAACAAACTTGTGGTATTACACTGACTCTACAGATCAATTTGGGGACAACTTCCATGTGTTCCACCACCAATACTGAATCTTTCAATCGACTGACGTGGTATCTCTCTCTCCATCTATTTACGTTTGTCTTGATTTTCTCTTGACAGCGTTTAGTTATTGTTGACATACCGGTCTTAAATACAATTTGTTAAGTTTATTCCTAAGAATTAATGTTTTCTGATGGGCAGAAGTTGGAAGAGTTTGCAGGGTTCAGAAGAAGACAGGAAGATGAGGGAAAGTCTGGAACTTCTTAGAGATTTGTTAAATGGTTTTGACCAAAATACTGATAGAAATACGGGCAGTGAAGGCCAGGCTGACAAAAGTCTCAGATGGAAATGATTAAAGATAGTACCTTTTAAAATTTCAACTTCAGTTCTTCATTACTAGTATATAGAAGTACAATAAACTGCTATATAATGACCTTGTAGCCTGTGAAACTACTTCGTTATAGACTTTTTCTTGTTTATTCAGTAGGATTTTCTATAGACATAAGTACATCATCTACAAATGGAGACTGTTTTACCTTTTCTTTCCAATCTGTATTCCTTTTTTACTTCTTGCCTATTACTCTGACTGGAACCTCTGGTGCTGATGTACAACTTTTAGATTTTCCTTTTCATGTTTTCAATATTCTGACATTTCACCACCATGGATAGCGGTGTGAGTCTGTTTTCAAGCTTCTGCAAAGCTTTCCAGGGATATTCAAATCTAAAAGCCAGCACATTTTTCCTCACCTCCCAGTTCCTCCTGGGAATCGGTAACCACTTGGGGCATGCTCAGAAGTTCCCGCCAGAGTCCCTATCCACTGCTTCAGAATAGAATGAAACACCACTACTTCAAGGAAGAAGGCTCTGGTGGGGTGAGAGGACAGGAAAGGAAAATCTAACCTAGCTATTCCAAAATGAGTCCAAATTTATCACCCAGACAAATGCCCAGGTCCTATCACTACTCCTTCTGCCCTTTAATTCTGGGTCAAAAACCTCCTGTAATCAGTTCCCACCTCACAGCAACTTACTCCTGGCATGTGCTTTGGGCTATCTTTCTATTTATTTCTTCACAGTTATCTTGTCTTTATCCATCTTTCAAAAATAATTACAAATTCCAGTCACTGATAGCATGTCTTCTAGAACTATTAGAAATTTATTTTGTGTGTGTGTGTGTGTGTGTGTGTGTGTGTGTATATTTTTTTTTTTTTGAGACGGAGTCTTGCTGTCGCCCAGGCTGGAGTGCAGTGGTACCATCTCGGCTCACTGCAAGCTCCGCTTCCCAGGTTCATGCCATTCTCCTGCCTCAGCCTCCTGAGTAGGTGGGACTACAGGCACCCGCCACCTCGCCCGGCTAGTTTTCTGTATTTTCAGTAGAGACGGGGTTTCACTGTGTTAGCCAGGATGGTCTCGATCTCGACCTCGTGATCCACCTGCCTCGGCCTCCCAAAGTGCTGGGATTACAGGCGTGAGCCACTGCACCCGGCCTGTTTAATATATTTTCTAAAAGCTTATGGGGTTTTGGGTCCCATAGAGCACAGAGGATATGCTCAATCTGAACTGAGGATAAGAAGGCAGGGAAGAGACGTCTAAATTAACATTACTGAACCCATTATTATCTGCCAGGCACTGTGTGTTTATCATCATGCGTGTGCCACTTAATCTTTGTAACAGTTCCATGAGGCAAACACAATTATGCTTATTTTAAAGATAGGGAACAGGTGCAGAAAGGTACATTAACTATGTCCAAGGTTACATAGTTTAATGAGTAACAACCAACTTTCAAACTCAAGATTATACAACCCTAAAGCCCATACTCTTAGACAATATACCTTGAGGCTACTCACTGATCCAGAGGATGGAGAGGATTCTGTAGTAAAGTCAATTATTTCTCAAATTACTCCCAAGAAATAGACAGTACAAAATATTTTCCAAGCCAGTTCTGCAGAGTAAAAGAAATTTAGCCACTCCTGCCTATGGTATAGATGATGAATTTCATGACACTGAATGTTATGCCTTCGAGGACTGAATGTTAGGCCTTCCAGGACTGGAATAAAAATCTGAGTTGGGGAAAAAAAAAAAAAAAAAAAGCTAACATTCTCAGGGATGATTTTTCCCAGTGGGTAAGCACCCTCAGCTCCATGATTGCTGGGCTTTATGACAGTGAAACAAATTAGGAAAACTATTAAAGTTTTAATGAAAACAAACATTTGCTACCTGTCCAAGTGTAAAAACACAGTCTCTGAGGACAGTGCTGTCTTCTCAAACATTTTTCATAATCACTCTTTTCCACACTTAAAAACTCAGCTATACCAAATCCTAGGAAATAAAGCATTGTCTAGAAGCATTCGGCCCTGTAAAACAATCTGAAAGCTGGGCTGAGCTGGAATGTATAAAAGAGGCTCAAGAAAGGAGACGAGGTCACTTCTGCCCATCCCACAATACCCCTTTGTCAGCAGAAGAGTTACTCCCACTTGGCAAAGGCTGTGTATGTTTTGTATATATATGTAATGGAACTCCAAAAAACATAGATTTTATTTTTTCCTTTTATTTTCCCCCATCGTTCTCCCAAATCTGAAAATGAAGCCAGGAAAAAAAAAAGGGACAGGGATATGAGAGACCTGGTTATAGTGAAAACAGCAATGACTAGAAACAAGTAGGCCTGGATTCAGGTCCTGGTTCTATCTCGAGTAGAAGGAGAAAGCAAGAACAAATCATTCAGCTGGGCTTTAGTTCCACCTGTGAAATGAGGCAGTGGGGCTAGATCAGGGCTGGCAACATTCTAGCATTCATTCTCTAACCCTCCTGTTGTACTGGAGGTACAAACACAGCTGTCTTTCCTGTTGTACTGGAGACCTCAGATTCTTCCCAAACAATACATTAAATAACTCCAGACAGTTACTGTCAATTCATTTGAATAGGCACAAGAAAGGACATCTATTTGTTACTGCTAGATTATATGACTGCTATGAGTCTCTCAACTCTAAAATGTTTAGTCAATGACTCTTCAACTGGAACTCCACTCCTAAACCCTTCCCCTCAACTAAATGCTCTTAAGTGCAAGTTGGCACATTGTAGAACCCAAGTCATGGAACACTACCTTGTACTCTCCAGTTGACGTATTAAGCGGAATCAAGAGCGATTCCTCTTTAAACCCAGTATAAACAGTTTAAGGAACTCCAGCTGCTAGACTTTGTTAGAAGTTTGCTGTGTTGCCTTTTAATTGCTTCCATGTTAAGAGTGAACAGGAACCCAGTTAGATCCCCCAGTCAGTAAAAAAAAAAAAAAAAGATATCTTAGGAATTGCTGGTTGAGTTCATATACTAACTAGTAAGTGATAATACCTAGGTTCTGTGAAGAGTTAAAAATCTAAAATAGACTGGATACGGGACCTGAAAGTAAGCAAAAAAAGGGATATGAAATGGAAGAGAACACACCAGAGATCCATTCAGCTAGAGGTCTCCTACATTCCATACCCACATAGGTAAACTGCTATTTTCAGAGAAGAGGGTGCTGATCCTTATCAGGTAAATAACAGGAAAATAAGACGAATTACTAATGTCATCCTTAAGTTACTGTTTCCTCAAACAAAATGAAAGATGAATGAGAAGACCCTGACTTCAGGATGACTAGGGTCTGACATTCCACGATTCACCTGGCTGTCTGGCTCCTTACTTTCCACCATTTTCTCAGGCGCACTTTTTCCGGGTGTTTTGTAATGCTCACTTCTTCCTCCTGCTGGGAAGTTGCTGTAGCCTCATGTGCAGGGTTTGGCAAGCTCTCTCAAAATACCACAGATCTTCATGGCCAGCAGGTGGTGCTCTTATTAAGCCCCTTTTATAAAGTTAACAAGCTTTTCTCCAAGGTTATATATCCTCTACATTTCCAACTAAGGATTAACTGGATTTGATTACTTGAGGTGATAAAACAAAGCCCCCTTCCTGCTGGAATACTAACAGGTTATTATACCCTAGTCTCTCCACCTTCCACAGCCAGGCGTAGAGTTGGCTATAACACAGTCCCTCAATTTCTATCACCCACACACACTTAATGAGAGGGGCTGAGGTACAGTCAAGGTGCGAGGCACAACTCCAGGATGAAAAGCAGCAGTTGGTTGTTATTCTAACAAACTACACAAACTGGTTAGGAAACAGCACTAAAACTACTTAAAAAAATATCTGTCCTATGGGGCCAGAAAACAGCTAAGTATCACATTCAAACAATTTTCTGCCTTTATGTCTGGTATAAATGTAACTATATGGAATCAATGAATCAAAATCATTTTTAACCTTGTTATGAAAAAAAAAAAAGTTGGAAATCCTGCCACTTTAAAACATCTTCTAGAGAAGAGGTTGTAAGGGTGGCCCAGTAGTAAAATCTACCACACAAATGTTTGACCTACACAGTCGTATGCCAAGCTGCTAGCCTTCACTGTTATTTACTGCTATACAATGATGTACAGGGAATCCCAAGACTTCAGGGGGTGTGTTATTTACACGGGATATTATGTGAATGGTGCCCTTTGGAGTTGGCTATCTCTGCACCCATGGGAATCTTCTGATTTCCAAATGGACTGCATTCTGAATGTGGCAGTTGTTTGGGTCAAAGCAAAATTATTCCAACAGGAATAATATTAGACATGGTAATCAGGTCTTCAGGTCAACCAACTGAGGTGTAATTAATCTACAGGCAAATACAGTAGTTAATAGAGCCTACATGTAAAAATATATATATATCTCCACAGTCTCATAAGGAGAATTTAATGACCAACTTTTTCGTCCAAACCCCAGGGCCATAGCTAGAAGCTCTTCGTGTGTGTGTGAGACATAGACAGAAAAACAAATAGGATTAGATGCAGGAAAATAAAAACCATAAAGACCAGAAAAGGGGGAGTGTTCCCTATCTTTCTTTCCATTCCCCCTCATTGCTGCCTGTAGTTGCTCTGAATGATGGTGTGGGAGGTGTAAGGTATGCGGCAGGGCAGCATTCATGTCAGATCTATAGTGTCCTGCAGTCAGCAGGACAGAAAATGTTCAAGGGAAATGGAACCTCTTAGTAGAGATGCTGAATGATGGAACAGGAGCTGAGAGACACACAGTCTGGGTATATCTGAGGGTGGGGGAGGTTATTTGCAACTGTATGTGGTAATGCTGTTGACAAAGAAATGACTGTTCTGTTTAGCAGGTGATATCCAATGAGTGTGCTTAAGTGTCCGGGCTTCCTGTCCTTCTTCAAGTATGAGACTATACAATTCAACACAGTAATTCAGAGAGTAACCCAACAAACATTCCTAAGTCTTCCTAGTGGCGCTGTCTGTAGCCAGAATCCCAAAAAGGGTAAAAATCTGACTCCTCTTAATAATCTGTCTGGAAAGGAACTTGAAATATAGTAAAAGGAAGGACAGGCATCAGATAATCTGGGTCTGAACTGTGAAGGCATTCAAACCCATTAGCCATTTAGTTTTAGATAAGCCACAACCTTACCAAGCCTGTTCCTTGAGCACTAACACTGAAGTAACACCTTACAAAATTTCTGGGCCGGGCATGGTGGCTCATGCCTATAATCCCAGCACTTTAGGAAGCCAAGATGGGTAGATCGCTTGGGCCCAAGAGTTTGAGACCAGCATGGGCAACACGGGGAAACCTCTTCTCTACTAAAAATGCAAAAAATTAGCCAGGCATGGTGGTGTGCACCTGTAGTCCCAGCTACCCACTGAAGTGGGAGAATCACCTGATCCTGGGAGGCCGATGCTGCAATGAGCCAAAAACCACACCACTGCATTCTAGCCTGAGTGACAGAGTGAGACTCTGTCAAAAAAAAAAAAAAAAAAAAAAAAAAAAGCCAGGTGCGGTGGCTCATGCTTGTAATCCCAGCACTTTGGGAGGCCAAGACGGGTGGATCACGAGGTCAGGAGTTCAAGACCCTCCTGGCCAATATGGTGAAACCCCCATCTCTACTAAAAGTACAAAAATTAGCCGGGCGTGGTGGCGCGTGCCTGTAGTCCCAGCTACTCAGGAGGCTGAGGCAGGAGAATTGCTTGAACTTGGGAGGCGGAGGTTGCAGTGACCCGAGATTGCACGACTGCACTCCAGCCTGGGTGACAGAGCAAAACTGTCTCAAAAGTAAAAAAAAAAAAAAAAAAAGAATTTTGAAAGCAGCATATGAGACAAATATGAGAAGAGTACTACAAACTTTAAAATGCTATACAAATAGTAACTGCAGTTACATGGGCTACATAAATCCAATGGCAAGGGAAGGTAAAAGTCAGTGACTCTGGAATCTGAAGCACAGAGGAAAATGTTTTAGTGTTTTCCACTCATTGTGTTCAAGTTTATTTATTGCTCCACCAGCTCCTGACTATCCATGTGTTCCAGGTTTTCTGTTTCCTTTCTCTTACAAGAAATCACATGGCCACAGGAATATTACACCACATCCTTATCACAGCTAGGGGGTTTTGGTAACAAAAGCCAAAAATCCCGGTATCTACTGGATTTAGGTGGCCAGAAATGCAATCATTTGAAGAACAGATGCAGAACAGGGGATTATAGTTATCTAATGTTTGATCAACTGTCAATTAGAAGGATTCTCTCTAGGACAAGGGTTAGCAATGATTGTTTTTATAAATAAACTTTTGTTGCAACACAATCAGGTTCATTTGTTCACATATTGTCTATGGCTGCTTTTGTGCTACAATGACAGGGTTGAGCAGTTGTGACATGAACTGACATCAATTATATGGCCTGCAAAGCCTAAGATATTTACCATATGGCCCTTGAAGAAAAAGTTCAGGCCGGGCGTGGTGGTTTACACCTGTAATCCCAGCACTTTGAGAGGCCAAGATGGGTGGATCACTTGAGCTCAGTTCAAAACCAGCCTGGGCAATATAGCAAGACCCCATCTTTGTAGGGGGCGGGAGGCGGGGAAGCAGGTTGTGGTGGTGCACACTTGTAGTCCCAGATACTTAGGAGGCTGAAGTGGGAGGACTGTTTAGAGCCCAGGAAGTCAAGGTTGCAGTGAGCTGTGATCACTCCACTGAACTCCAGCTTAGGGCACCGAGCAAGACCCTGTATCTAAAAAATAAAAATTAAAAAAAAAAAAAAAACAAAAAAAAAACTTACAGACTACCTGGGAGATATTATGAAGAACAGCATGGAGCCCTTATCCTCAGGGAGATTACATCCCATCCCTTCCCCACTCCCCCCGCCACCAAGACAGGGTCTCACTACCGTTCCCCAGGCTGCAGTGCATTGGCTCAATCATGGCTCACTGCGGCCAAGACTTCCTGGGCTCAGCTGATCCTCCCACCTCAGCCTGCTGAGTAGCTGGGACGACAGGCGTGTGCCACCACGCCCAGTTAATTCTTGTGTTTTTAGTAGAGATAGGGTTTTGCCATGTTGCCCATGCTGGTCTCAAACTTCTGACCTCAGATGATGAACCCGCCACGGCCTCCAAAAGTGCCAGGATTACAGGTGTGAGCCACTGTGCCTGGTCCCTAAAATTTAAATAACAGAAAGCAAATACACAAACAGCCATAACATAATTCATTAACATATTGATAAAACACAATAGGGTAGGTGCAGTGGCTCCTGACTGTAATCCCAGCACTTTAGGGAGGCCGAGGCGGGTGGATCACCTGAGGTCAGGAGTTGGAGACCAGCCTGGCCAACATGGTAAAACCCCATCTCTACTAAAAATACAAAAAAATTAGCCAGGCGTGGTGGCATACGACTGTAGTCCCAGCTACTTGGGAGGCTGAGACAAAACTGCTTGAACCCAGGAGGTGGGGGCTGCAGTGAGCCAACATCACACCACTGCACTACAGCCTGGGCAACAAAAGCGAGACTCTGTCTCAAAACAAAACAACAACAAAAACAAAAACCCACCAGTGATTTGAGAGGAAATTCCTACCTTCTGTAGGCTGGGCACAGATCATGAGATTACGTGAAAATTCAATGAAACCAATCCAGATTATGAAAGCGCTGGCTTCCATCTAGAATAGTGGTTTCAAAATGTCTTTGCTCATGCACCCCCATTTGATATGTGATTTTTAAAAAATCATAATTTCAGATAGTTGTAAAGATTATATTTGAATACTACATAATGCTTTAAAAACATTTTTATCAAAACTTTGGCATGTAAATATATTTAGCTTCATTAATTGAAAAAAAAAACTTCTTTTAAACTTATTTAGCTAATCAGACTTTAGATATTAACTCAGTATTTATTCTAAGACAGACAAGGAATAGGACCATGTAACTGAGCTCAGACCCATCCCAGCCACTCGAAGAGTTAGAGGGAAATCTCTTAGTTGCAATCTTTTAGTGGTACCCTCTGGTTTGGTAGATCTGTTGCAGTCTTTTTGGAGAATTCTAAGAGAAGACTTGGTTGATAGGAGTTCCTGAGTTATCTCTATTTTATTTTTAAAATTCAAAACTTTTTTGCTTAATACCTGGGAGATTCTCCTTCAGGTGCTGAGAACTCTTAGAAATGATCTCTTTATTTGTTGTCCCCACCATCCAAGACCTTTTTTTTTTTTTTTTTTTTTTTTTGAGACAGTCTTGCTCTGTCGCCCGAGCTGGAGTGCAGTGGCATGATCTTGACTCACTGCGACCTCTGGCCTCCAGGTTCAAGCGATTCTCCTCCCAAATAACTGGGATTACAGACATATGCCACCACGCCCTGCTAATTTTTGTATTTTTAGTAGAGAAGGGGTTTCACCATGTTGGCCAGGCTGGTCTCGAACTCCTGATCTCATGATCCGCCCGTCTTGGCCTCCCAAAGTGCTGGGATTACAAGCGTGAGCCACCACACCTGGTCTCGAACTCCTGACCTCAAGTGATCTGCCTGCCTTGGTCTCCCAAAGTGACGGGATTAAAGACGTGGGCCACGACACCGAGCCTCAAGATTTTTACACTCTGGGGCAAGACCCATAGTGGGACTCAATATGGCCAAAAGGAATGCTCTTCTTTTGTCAAGTGGGAGAGGTACAGGTATGGGAAGGGAGGTGGGAAAGGAGGGCTGTCAGACACAGAGATTTAACAGGGAGGCAAACTTTAGAAAGACAGTACAAGCTAACAACGAAGATTTGTGCTTATCTACACCCTGCAAAGCTGTCGCGTTACCACATAAATGCCAGTATGAAGATATTCTCCTAGAACACTGCCGTCCATCCTACATTATATCATGGCACGCACAGACAAAACTTTTTTTTTTTTTTGAGACAGAGTCTTGCTCTGTTATCCAGGCTAGAGTGCAATGGTGCAATCTTGGCTCACTGCAACCTCTGCCTCCCAGGTTCAAGCAATTCTCCTGCCTTAGCCTCCCAAGTAGCTGGGATTACAGACAGGCACAACCACGACTGGCTAATTTTTTATATTTAGTAGAGACGGTGGTTTCACCATGTTGGTCAGGCTGGTCTAGAACTCCTGACCTCAGGTGATCCGTCCACCTCAGCCTCCCAAAGTGCTGGGATTACAGGCGTGACCCACCACGCCTGGCCCAGACAAAACATTTTTAAAGATATACTAAGCGTATTTTGGACCAGATTACTGTGGCTAGAGGCAACTGAGCCCAGATCCCTCCTAGCTACTTGAAGAGTTAGAAGGAAATCTCATATTAAGTTGCAACCTTTTAGTGGCACCTTCTGGTTTGGTGGATCTGTTACAGTCTTTTTGCAAAATTCTAAGAGAAGACTTGGTTGACGAAAGTTGTACCTTGAAAGTATCTGAGTTGTAACTGCACCTTGGCTGATTTTCTTTCACCTAGAAGTCTCTCAAGTTTCTTTCATTAGACTTTCTAGTCTGTGGTCTTTCTTACCATCTGGAAATGCTAGAACAGGATGAACACAAGAGTCCAACTGGGAAAGACGTTCCAACAGAGGGGCTTCATAGTGAATTTCGGGAGGCATGGTGTTGATGCTGCCTGAACCACACAGTGCGCAGGAGGGATTCACATCACAGCCAGGGCGGATTGTGCTGTTCCGGTGAACCTGTGAAAAAAGCCAAACAAAACTGACAATTCAGCATCTGATAAAAAGCCAGCTACCCATTTGTTATCCCCATTTGTTATTGAGAAGTTAGCTCCCCATTTGTTATTGCGAAGACCTTTCTAGATACTTGTGTGACACTACTAAAAGGATGTTTGATTAGTTTGTTAAAAGATTTCCATTTGTCTAACACACTGACCTTCAAAGTGGGTAAGGAAACTTGCTTCCTTTTCATTGATGAAATCTAACTACTTGAAGCTCTAAGTGCTTACCTAGGTATCAAACTTCTGACAGTTTAAAAAGATACTAAAACTGTGCTTTCTGAGAACACTTTATAAACTCTGCATGCTTTCACGACCTTGATGGTCCGCTAAGACGAACAGTTGGTTCTTGATTCCCAGGTGGGACATTACTTGCTTTCTTCAGCAAATTTATCCACCTAGGAGCCTTCAATTACCAACCACACCTCTTCTCTTCTTTTCACACCTCTTCTTCAAAAGACTTTCAGGTGGTCTCAAGCCAGGTGGCAAGCTTCCCTGAAGCTTGTAACTTAAAAGTAACTTATTAACTACTCTTTAACCTGGCCTAAAATCCACTGTTACAAAGCTCATACCTAAGTAATAAAATAACATTTTGTACAGCAAATGCTCACTTTCATAGTCTTCATGTTAGATTAATTCCAAAGGGTAGAAATTATTTCCACTGAACTTCCTTTGTGCACATGTGGGCAGAATAATTGATAACCTCTCCAGGTAAGTCCAAAGTTAAATATGAACTAATTTAAGTCTTCAAAAGATTGAATTCTGTATAAAAACTGAACATCTACAATTTTATACTTTGAGCAAATTTCAGGTCATGCTGAATGCAGGATCCCTACATTCTAGTGTTAGGATGAACAAGTCTGGCATTTGCCAAAGCCTAACTCATAAAGTCACCTGGACACACAGCCCCAGAAAAAGAAACTTGCATGTTGAATGGCACTATAAGAAGGCATCCTAGGTGCAAGCTCAGTAGTAGAACAAAGACAAAAAGCATCAAAACTCTACTAGCAAAAACTCTAACATTTACTAGAGCTCCATTTATTTTCAGCAGAGACATCTCGAAAGCCTTTTATGGATTTGTGTAAGAGAAAGATATACATAAGAACAATGTGGTCTTTATCAACATTCCCCCGACATTCTATTGTAACCACATAGAGAGGTGGCACGCAAATAAAGTCTTTTAAAGGTTAGACTGGGCAAATCACACAGAACTAGAAGCCACTGAAAGGGAGTGATACCAACTAGGCATGCTACTTTTGTGTAGACAATATTAACTGGTATTGTTTTGGGAAAAAAAAAATCCCTGTATCTATGTAATCAGAGCTGGCTTTCTGGAGAGGATGACATTTTGAGGTAAAGAGAAATGAGTAGGTAGAGATGAAAATGAGATCACACAGTGGGTGAGTGGGAGGATTTAGGAAAATTGGTTAGGATCCAAAAATTACACTGAAACTTTCAATATTCAAAAGAGATTATCTCACTCCAGTAGGTATAGCAAATAAAAAATAAAAAGAGAGAGACTAGAAACCAACCCATGACATCAACTAGCTCTCCATATGGGACATTTAACAACACTACATTTTATGGCTAGAGTGTATCACTTAAGTCAAAGTCAATATTGGGAGGCCAAGGCGGGTGGATCACTTGAGGTCAGGAGTTTGAGACTAGCCTGGCCAACATGGTGAAACCCCGACTCTACTGAAAATAGAAACGTCAGCTGGGTGTGGTGGTGGGAGCCTGTAATCTCAGCTACTCGGGAGGCTGAGGCAGGAGAATCGCTTGAATCTGGGAGGCAGAGGTTGCAGTGAGCTGAGATCACACCACTGCACTCCAGCCTGGGCGACAGAATGAGACTAAGTCCAAAGACAAGCAAACAAACAAAAAAACAAAACAACAACAATAAAAAAATTCAATAGATGTGGCTAGGCGTGGTGGCTCACAACTGTAATCCCAAAACTTTGAGGTGGGAGAGAGGATTGCTTGAAGCCAGGAGTCTGAGACTAGCCTGGGCAACACAGTAAGACTCCATCTCTTAAAATAAAATTTAAAATTAAAAAAAAAAAAAAAAAAAATTTAGCCCAGCATGGTATTGCATGCCTTTAGTCCCAGCTACTCAGGAGGCTGAGGGAGAAGAATCGCTTAAGCCCAGGAGTTCAGGTTATAGTGAGCCATGATTGCACCACTGCACTGCAGCCTGGGAAAAAGAGTAAGATCCTGTCTCCAAAAAAAAAAAAAAAAAAAAAAAAAAAAAAAAAAAAAAAAAGGCTGCGCATGGTGGCTCACGCCTGTAATCCCAGTACTTTGGGAGGCCAAGGTGGGTGGATAACCTGAGGTCAGGAGTTCGAGACCAGCCTGGCCAACATGGTGAAACCCCGTCTCTACTAAAAATACAAAAAACTGGGCATGGTGGTGGGCACCTGTAATCCCAGCTACTGGAGAGGCTGGTAAGAGAATCACTTGAACCTGGGAGGCAGAGGTTGCAGTGAGCTGAGATTGCACCACTGCACTCCAGCCTGGGGAACAAGAGCAAAACTCCGTCTCCAAAAAAATTTAAAAATTTAAAAAAATAAAATAAAGGGTAGAAATTCTACTTATAACTTGACAAAAGGGTAATGTGCACACATGTAACTTAAACAGTAATCTCACTTTTAAATTAAAAACTGTAAAGTACTAATAGAACCCGAGGAGTATATAAAAATATATTTAATACTTATTTTTTTTTTGAGACAAGAGTCTTGCTCTGTCACCCAGGCTGGAGTGCAGTGGCGCAAGTCTGCCTTCCAGGTTCACACCATTCTCCTGCCTCAGCCTCTCAAGTAGCTGGGACTACAGGCGCCCACCACCACACCCAGCTAATATTTTTGTATTTTTTTAGTAGAGACAGGGTTTCACCATTGTTAGCCAGGATGGTCTTGATCTCCTGACCTCGTGATCTGCCCGCCTCGGCCTCCCAAATGCTGGGATTATAGGCATGAGCCACCGCACCCGGCCAAAGATATATTTAATACTTATTAAAGGATACATTTTGGAAAATTTTTGAAAGAAAACTTGAATTCATACCCATGTTGCACAAATCCACACCAAGAATCTATCCTGCAGACAAACTTAAGTGTACACACGCACACGCTCTTCCACTGAAACAAGATGCCAAATCATCTGCATGAATTCATTTAAGTTAAAAAACAACAAGAACACATACAATATTGTGTTTTACAATAAGAAAACAAATTTTTAAAAATATCACAACAGATGGTGTGCATGTGTAGCCCTAGCTATTTGGGAGGCTGAGGTGGCTCACTTGAGCCCAGGAGTGAGGAGCTATAGTGATCATGTCCACTGCACTCCAGGCCTGGGAGACAGAGTGAGTCAGTCTCTTAAAAGAAAAAAAAAACAAGGATCTCCTGGGCTCAAGAGATTCTTCTGCCTTAGCCTACCAAGTAGCTGGGATTGCAGGCATGCACCACCACGCCCAGCTAATCTTTTATATTTTTAGTAGAGACGGGGTTTCACCACGTTGGCCAGGCTGGTCTCAAACTCCTGACCTCAGATGATCCACCCGTATCAGCTTCCCAAAGTGCTGGGATTACAGGCGTGAGCCATCGCGACCGGTCCCAGTCATGAAATCCTATTGGCAGAATCCAACCACTTCATACCACCTCAACTACACTCAATCTAGTCCAAGTCACTATCTTTTCTCAAATGGGTTTCTTCAAGCCTCCTAACTGATCCTCCTCCTACTGGTTCTTACTTCCAAATCAATCAACACAGTAATCAGTGTAAATCTTGTTTTAAAATCTCAATCACATCATACCAACCTCATAATCTTCCAAATGACTTCTCATCTCACGAGGAATAGAAACCAAACTTCTTGCATGGTTCCCACAAGGTCCTATAGTATTTGTCGCCTCTATCCCCTCTCTCTGACTTCACCTCATTTTTTTGTTACTCTCCTAGCTGACACTACCAGTTACTCTGATTTCCTTGCTATATTTCTCCAAGATAGCAGGCAACCTTCCAGATCACAGGCCTCTGCACTTGGCTCTTCAACCACTAATTCCATGGTCATTCTCTCACATCGTGTCTTTTTCTTTAAATGTCAGTATTCAAAGTAACTTTTTTTTTTTTTTTGAGATGGAGTCTCGCTGTCGCCCAGGCTGGAGTGCAGTGGTGGGATCTCAGCTCACTGCAAGCTCCGCCTCCTAGCTTCATGCCATTCTCCTATCTCAGCCTCCCGAGTAGCTGGGACTATAGGCGCCCGCCACAACACCTGACTAATGTTTGTATTTTTTGTAGAGACAGGGTTTCACGGTGTTAGCCAGGATGGTCTCGATCTCCTGACCTCGTGATCCGCCTGCCTCAGCTTCCCAAAGTGCTGGGATTACAGACGTGAGCCACCGTGTCCGGCCCAAAGTAAGTTTTATTTAGAAATACAAGTGAAAGGCCAGGCGCGGTGGCTCACGCCTGTATTCCCAGCACTTTGGGAAGCCAAGGCAGGTGGATCACCTGAGGTTAGGAGTTCAAGACCAGCCTGACCAACATGGTGAAACCTCGTCTCTACTAAAAATACAAAAAATTAGCCGGGCATGGTGGCGGGCGCCTGTAATCCCAGCTACTCGGGAGGCTGAGGCAGAAGAATCGCTTGAACCCAGGAGGCAGACGTTACAGTGAGCTGAGATCGCACCACTGCACTCCAGCCTGGGCGACAAGAGCAAAACTCCCTCTCAAAAAAAAAAAAAAGTGAAAAAAGATTATATTCTTGACTGTAACAACAAAAAATGCCCTGGAATAAGTTTAACAAGAAATTTAAGCACAAAGCTTAAAGATATTGATATTCTACAAATTAATGCAGAATCTTAATAGACTTGAGGGGGGAGGGGAGACAAGGCAAAGGGGATTTAAACAAATAATCTAAAAGATACAACTGAAAGAATGTAAGGAACCATTCCCCAAAATTTCTGATAAGCAAAAATACAGGGGAGTGATCTGGCCTATTACATGTTTTATAGTTACAGTAATTAAAATAATCTGCCCTCGGTTAAGAAACAGAAAATTTAAATAAAAACAAAAATTGACCAAAGTATATATGACAGTTTATTGTTTAACTAAAATAATACTTTTAAATCAGTTTAAAAAAACAAAAGGAGGTATTACTTTTTCAACAAATGAATCAGGAAAACCAAGAGGTCATACAGAAGAAAACGGCTGCATTTCTGCCTCACACCAAAATTAATTCTAAATAAAGATTTATTCATTTTCATTTTATTTTATTTTTTTGATACAGAGTCTCGCTCTGTTGCCCAGGCTAGAGTGCAATGGTGCGATCTCGGCTCACTGCAACCTCCATCTCCGGGTTCAAGTGATTCTCCTGCCTTAGCCTCCCAAGTAGGTGGGATTACAGGCACCCACCACCAAGCCTGGCTAATTTCTGTATTTTTAGTAGAGACGGGGGTTTCGCCATGCTGGCAAGGTTGGTCTCAAACTCCTGACCTCAGGTAATCCACCCACCTTGGCCTCCCAAAGTGCTAGAATAACAAGTGTGAGCCACCGTGCCTGGCCCCAAATAAAGATTTAAATATAAAAACAAATATTATACTCAAATCTAAAAAAAAAAAAATTGTGAAGCAATATATAGTGGTTAACAGTATGAGCTGTGGAGCCAGACTGCCTGGGTTTGAACCTTGACTCCGCCACTTACTAGCTGTGTGGCCTTAAGACAAGTTACTGTGTCTTCATCTTTACTAACAGGAGAGTACCTGATAGAGTTGTTTTAAAGATAAATAACTCACAACAGTATCTGGCTCTCGACTCTTAATCACTTTTGTAAAACCGTAAGTATAGCTACTGATAGAACATTTACCATCAAACTTGATAGAACATTTACCATCAAAGATCTTGATTTCAAAATTCTAGCTTCTTAACACTGTATAATATGATCATTGATAAGTCACATGACATCCTTAAATTTTCTCACTTGTTAAAAAGGACTAATAATACCAATTTCATGGGAGTGTAGGAAAGATCAAATGACTCTGTAACTGTTAAAACATTACACAAATGTTAGCTAAATTAGTATACCGCATGATTTCTCAACAGCTGGCACTTCTTTGTTGTGGGGCACAGTCCTGTGCACTGTAGATATCTAGCAGCATCTCTGTCCTCATGGTGCATGTGCCTCCCTACTCCCCCAATTTGTGAAAATGAGTAATTACTACAGATATTGCCAAATGTCTCCTGTGAGGACAAAATCACTGAGAACCATGAGGTTCAAATTACGGTCATCCCGTCTAGAAAAATTCAAAGCACAGGCTCCCATTAAATATTAGTGGTGAGTCACAGTAAACATAAGACTCAGTAAAAAAGGAAAACAAAAAAAATAAAAATTAATAGTAAGAACAAAGCTCTCAAAGACTATTGTCAAGAACAAGCCTGAAGAGAGCTTCCCCTACCAAAGATCAGATAACGTTAGCATCATAAAGAAAAGACTACAATGGCTTGAAATACCTCAAATATGTTTCAATCAATGACTCACAGCCCCTTCATGAAAAACTTCAGTGACTGTCCTTAGAGGATAGTAGAAAACTAATTTGTTATTTTGAAAATTGGTAAATAAAAAAAAACAACAAATCATGCTTTCTTCTGTACAAACTGTACCTCAGGGTAAACAAATAGTTGAAAAGGACAATTTTCCCTTTATAAACATATTCTATCTAGCTAATAAAAGAAAAACAGAAATGATACAAGTAGAATATCACCATTCTTCAGCTTCCAATTTAACAATGGGTCCAGGCAATGATCACCAGTGGTTGATAACAAACAGTTTAGTCATTACGTGTCTTCTGATACAAGCATAAGGCGGCCACCTTGTGTTTTCTCACGAAACTAAAACTGGACTTATTCACGTTTCTACTAGTTTTCAAGAAAAACAAGGGACAGAAAAACATCACTGTTTTTTAAATGCACTAAAAATAAGATGGATTAATAAATGGAAGGATGATTGTATGCTAAAATGTTAGTGGTAGAACCTAGGGAGTAGCTACATAGGTGTTCACTGTAAAATTCATTCAACTTCGTATCTGAATAATTTCATAACAAAATTTGGAAAAGAAAACAGTGACACCACAGGACTTCTGCTTCTAGCAGAGTAATAGTGATCAGATTTACCTTTCAGTCATAAACCAGAAAACTGGACAACAGGCAGTATAACACTGAGAAATAAATGGGGTGGTCTCTAAGACTGCCCTGGTTTTCCGTCTGGAAGTACATTCTAGACTGCAGGGCAGGGAGAGGATCTGAAGCAGAGTATAATAGCTTCACTGAGTTGAGGAAGCAAATTCTCACTAGATCAGAATTCAGAGACTAAGGAAACTGAAAATTGCAAGGCAAAATTCTTGAGAGGAGGAAGCTTTACAGAAAAAGAGCCCCAGAAATCTTCATAAGATCCCCCTGAGTGTTTGCTAAATATTAAAAGGTGCATGTAAAGGGTGAAACTATCAGGCCAGGCAAGAGCAACTAGGCAGCTGTGAGCTGAAATGGTTTCCACAGCTAACACAAGCCTGAGAGGCTTTTAAACTGTGACCAGCCAAAGTTGCATAGAGAATTCAAGACAGAAGATCCTGCTTTAGTTGTGGAGCTAGACTACTAAGGTGGCCAACTCCTCACCTGACCTAACAAATGACAAGGAATTTACCTGCCAGCAAAACAAAGCCTCTTTAAAGGAAGATGGCACAATCCACATGCTACAAGCAGGGAAAATTATTAATTGGATTTTCAGCTTAAAACATAAATAAAACATTGTTAGATATGCCAAGAGGCAAGAAAATACTACTATAGGGATAAAATTTTTAAAAGAAAGTAGGCTGTGGGAAACTAAGGTATCAGATAAATGAAGTTTTCTCAACAAATAAATCACCTATATGGATAGCTTGTATCAAACCAACACTCTCACTAATTGGAAAAGCCAGATTTAAAACACACACACACACACACACACACACACACACACTCTCTCTCTCTCTCTCTCTCTCTCTCTCTCTCTCTCTCTCTCTCTCTCAAAACATAAGAAAAATGCTGACATAATGACAATATTGAAAGCTAAGATTCCAGAGAGGAAAAGAACCTGGCCAACATGGCGAAAACCCATCTCTACTAAAAACACAAAAATTAGCTAGGCATGGTGGCACGTGTCTGTAATCTCAGCTACTTGCTGAGGCAGGAGAATCGCTTGAACCTGGGAGATGGAGGTTTCAGTGAGCCAAGGATGTGCCACTGCACTCCAGCCTGGGCAACAGAGCGAGACTCCATCTCGGAAAAAAAAAAAAAGAAAGAAAGAAAAAAAAAAGAGCAGAGCTTTTGGTACTCTTGTAGGGCTGAATGGATAACACTAGAGACTTGAAATGTCAAATTATCAATAAAAAGAGGACAGGGAACTAAGCATGACACACTTCCAAGTACCACCCTCCCAAAGAAAAAGCTGAAGTTGTGAATGGTAGGAGGCTACAAAGCTAAGTGGAAAGTCTCTGAAAAGGGCAGAGATGTTTCTGGCAGTCTCGTGAGGAGACTAGAATTAGATCTCAGGATATGCTAAGAGGAAAGGAGGCTGGGCACAGTGGCTCACACCTGTAATCCCAGCACTTTGGGAGGCTGAGGCGGGCAGACCACCTAAGGTCAGGAGTTCGAAACCAGCTTGGCCAACATGGTGAAACCCCGTCTCTACTAAAAATACAAAAATTAGCTGGGCATGGTAGCACGCGCCTGTAGTCCCAGCTACTTGGAAGGCTGAGGCAGGAAGGAGAATCATATGAACCCGGGAGGCAGACGTTGCAGTGAGCCAAGATCATGCCATTGCACTTCAGCCTGGGTGACAGAGCGAGGCGAGGCTCTGACTCCAAAAAAAAAAAAAAAAAAAAGAGAGAGAGAGAGAGAGAAAAGGAAACTGATCAACACATGTTCTCAGCTGGAACTAAGAGAGAGAAACAGACTGTTATCTTTTTGAGACAGAGTCTAGCTCTGCTGCCCAGACTGGAGTGCAGTAGCTTGATCTTGACTCACTGCAACCTCTGCCTCCCAGCTTCAAACCATTCACCTGCCTCAGCCACCTGTGTAGCTGCCACCACAGCTGGCTTTTTTATTTTTGAGATGAAGAGATTGCACCACTGCACTCCAGCCTGGCGACAGAGCGAGACTCCATCTTGGGGGAGGGGAGGGGGACAAAAAACAAACAACAACAACAAAAAATCAGCCTGTGCAACACAGTGAGACCTGCATCTCAATAAAATAATGAGATAAAATACTTGATACACGAAGAAATTCCCACGTTCCCTTAATTAATACTGCAATGCTATCAATTCTCTTTGAAGGAATTCCCAAGAAATACTCAATTTAATACTTATGAAGGAATTAATACCAAAGTAAAACTCTATTCACCATTTTCTGTTAATCATAGCATATTCGTCCAAAACACTAAAAGAATTCTTTTGGCTCAAGGACAGGTTATAATCATTTGCTTTTGCTTTGCATTTGATATTCGTTATCTAACTCATCCACTGTTAACATGTGGAAAGATTTTCAAAGGTTTGGCAACTCTATCACAATCAAGCATATCCCACAACTGGCTCTTGAAGATCCATCAGAGTGAAGAAACAAAACGTGTAAGCTTCTATTTTATCTCAGTCTTTCAAAATTTATTTTGTATGTGTTTTATAATGTATATATAAAACACCGTCATAACAGTTTAGAGGTAACTGTTCCAAGCACAGAGTGATTTCTGAGTATTCTTTTAGTAGCTTTATGTCCTAAGGTACAATTTTCTACATGGCATGCTTGCTCCTTTCCAAATGTCTAACTAGTATGAAAAAGTTGGTTGGGCCTCCAAGGTCTATTGCACTCTGTCAAGGAAGAACGTATCAAATTATTAACTTTTAATACTGACTCATATTCTAGTTCATTAGTCCTCAACCATGGTGTCATGAAACTGGATTTAAATAGGTGGAATCAAAACTAGGAGGCCTAGAATCATATATTAACACCTTTATTTACCCTGATGTCTACAGGAAACCTGGTCATAGCCATGAGAGAATGCCCTGTACAAAAATGTCACTCTTCAAGTGTGATACAATGGGAAGAAGAGGAGGACTACTCGGAATTCTATGGAAGCCAGCTTTAAAATTTGGCCCAGAGCAATCCCCCCTATGACAACAAGGACTACAAAATTCTAAAATGATGCCAGTACACTGCCAATTTGTTAGGAAATTGCTACTTTTTAAAAAATTGAAAGAAATGCTATTAAGGGCAATAAAAATTTCAAGGGTATGTTAGTAATAAATGTAGCCATTACCTATTCTACTGGTTATTAGTACAAAAAAACCCAGCCTTTTCAACCATTCATTTCCAAACACTGATGGTTTCCACTGCCAGACTATACACAAGTTTCTAATGGTCCACAGTAAATTGAGAATGAGAACAATGCAGTAAATTATTAATAAAACTACATTCTTTTCTTTTTTAAAAAAATACTATTTGTCTTATGGTTTAATTATAAACATAATTTTACTTAAAAAATAAAAAGCAACCTTATTTGAAAATTGGCTGGTACCAATTTTATTTTAATAACTTTATTGATCTGAAATCTTAGTACGTTTAGGTTAAGTTATAAACACCTACTTCACTTAGGCACTGGGCCAGGAAAAGAACATAATGGCATATAAGAACTTTCCACTGGAGTGCTTCTTCATTCACTTAGATAATTACTAACATCCACCATACTAGACCCCTAAAGTGATGAAACACACAATAAATAGCAATATAGGCTATTCAGTAATTACAACTAGTAATTCCGTCATTTTATAATAAAATTATGATTTAGGAAGTACTCCATGTTCTCCATGAGCCTTACTCTGATATTCACTTACCACACCCTAGTGGTTATTCCTTAGATTACATTTAAAATATTCCACATTCAGAGTTGTAGAGGCCTTAGACTATTATCTCCTCCAGGATTACTACTGTTAGTCTGTCTTTCCACCTCCAGTCTCTTGTGCCAATCCATCCCAAACATAATAGTTACAGATTGGCCGGGCGCGGTGGCTCACGCCTGTAATCCCAGCACTTTGGGAGGCCAAGGCGGATGGATCAGCTGAAGTCAGGAGTTCGAGACCAGCCTGGCCAACATGGTGAAACCTTGTCTCTACTAAAAATACAAATATTAGCCAGGCGTCGTCGTGGGTGCCTGTGATCCCAGCTACTCAGGAGGCTGAGGCAGGAAAATTGCTTGAACCCGGGAGGCGGAGGCTGCAGTGAGCTGAGATTGTGCCATTGCACTCCAGCCTGGGTGACAGATCAAGACTCCGACTCAAAAAAAAAAAAAAAAAACAAACAAACAAAAAAAAAAAAAAAACATGTTACAGCAGATTTACCTCCCCCAAAATAGCTTACAACACTTCTCTGCTCAAAAATTTAAAACTTATAGACTGAAACCCAAATCATCAGTTTGGGCATTCAAGGCTTCCTATTTATTTACTGATAGATCTCATTTCTCTTTATTCCCAACGAGTTTAACTTACTGAACACTTTGTTTTAGTCATTGATTTTAAGAAGTACAAGTGATATAACAACAGCTTTTTTTTTTTTTTTTTTTTTTTAGATGGACTCTCACTCTCTCACCAGGCTGGAGTGCTGTGGCGAGATCTCAGCTCACTGCAACCTCTGACTTCTTGGTTCAAGCGATTCTCCTGCCCCAGCCTCTCGAGTAGCTGGGATTACAGGCACGTGCCACCACGCCCAGCTAATTTTTGTATTTTTAGTAGAGATGGGGTTTCATCATGTTGGCCAGGGTGGTCTTGATCTCCTGACCTCATGATCTGCCCCACCTTGGCCTCCCAAAGTGCTGGGATTACAGGCATGAGCCACTGTGCCTGGCCAGCCTTTTTAAGGGCAAAAGAGTTACTGCACTAAACGTGCATCTCAATTTTAAGATATATTCCAGCCATAATTCAACTAAGCTGATAGCCCTTTAAAAACACAGTAATTGGGCTGGGTGTGGTGGCTCACGCCTGTAATCCCAGCACTTTGGGAGGCCGAGGCGGGTGGATCACTTGAGGTCAGGAGTTCGAGACCAGTCTGGCCAACACGGTGAAACCTCATCTCTACTAAAAATACAAAAAATAGCTGGGCGTGGTGGCGTATGCCTGTAACCCCAGCTACTCGGGAGAATGAGGCAGGAGAATCGCTTGAACCCGGGAGGAGGAGGTTGCAGTGAGCCGAGATCGCACCATTGCACTCCAGCCTGAGCAACAGAGCAAGACTCCATCTCAAAGAAAAAACAAAACAAAACAAAACCTCAATGAGTTCCCTCAAGTATGTTTTATTTGGTTCTGGAATGCAGTAGAGATCATTTAAGATGCAGGTAAGGAAAAAATATTAATCACTTGCTTTGTGTGTTCTGTACTCTGTACTCACAATAACTGTGAACTCACTGTCATGTAACAATATTAGAACATAATTTACCTGTTAACTTCTTTGCTGTCATTAGAAAGTAAGCTCCATGAAGATAAGGGCTTTGTTTTCCTTACCAATGCAACCTGGCTGCCCTGAATAATACGGTGGGCATTCAAAAATGCTGTTGAATAAATCTGTCTGGAAAACCGAGCAATTCAAGATGACAGAAGACAAGATGCTTGCTCATCAGCAAATACCACTGAGGTCATGTCATGAGTGAGGAGCCATGTGAGACACAGAAAGCAACCTAGACAGAAGGAATGGGGTGTGTCTCTAACTCTGGAAGAACTCCAGCTTTCTGCTAGATCTAGTACATGGTATATTTCCCAAAGTCAACTAATTTCTCTGTCTTATTTTTCATGCAGCTTACTTTTGTGTCAGGATGATTCTGTTTTAGAAAGTGGCATTGGAACAAAAGGATATTTAGTTTTATGCCTATCTCTTGCCTAAGCTACCTTTTATAATTTTATATGTACATTCAAAACTACATTCGTTCTTAGGCATGGATCAGAAGAAGGTTGGCTACTTCACATATTAAAAAACAAAATCCAGGAGGCCACCACATACTTCAGAAAATTTTTATACGACTCCTGATGTCATGCCATAGTGGCTGGTAAACTGCCAAAACAGAGGAAGGGTGCTTTATTTTCATGAGGTGGCGGTTTTTTTTTTTTTTTTAAAATGTAAAAGCATTCTGTGTTAAATTCATCAAGGAATTGACAAAAAGCTATTTTCCTACACTTGACAGTAATATACTGTTTTCTGACATTCCTGTTATCAACTCCTCTGAAAATCTTTTAGAGATATACGACTATTAGTAAAAAAAAAAAAAAAAAACAAAAAAAAACTGAGACTGAAATGTCAATATGAAAACCCTGCCAAATACCTTATTCTTATCTATTTCTGCTATTTTGATATTTCAGGTAGAGTCCGAGGAATAGACAGGAAGAAATGGTATCGCCTGACAGTCAATTCTACAATTCTTTTCTTTAAAGAGAACATGGCAAACTTACACAGTACAACTGCATACTAGAATAAAACAAGGAAAGTACTGAAAATTCACCATGCAAATACTAATTGTTCCAGCAATTCTCTCATCTCCCTTATTTGTCATTAGCAAATATGTTGCTAGTGGCTCTCTTAAGAAAAATTCCCATTCTCTGCTCTCTTTTACAGCAACATTCTTTGAAAATGTTATCTACAATGGTTCCCTCAATTCCTTCTGTGGCCTTGTCTCCTGAAACCACTCCAACCATGCTTTAATTCACCTTTCTCCCTCTACCAAAACTGCTCACCAATGTCTGCAACAACCCCACCCCACTAAATTCAATGGTCTCAATTCTCAGCCTTCATCTTACTGATCCTGTCTGTAACAACTGACACAGACAATCCCTCCTCCTCCTCCCTCTCCAAAACACTTTCTCCCCTTGCCTTTCACATACCACACTCTCTTGGTTTTTCTTCTACTTTATTCGTCACTCCCTTCCCAATCCTTTCCTCATCTTTCACAGGAATGAGGAGGAATACCTAAGCTCTGGAATACATCAAAGGGCTAATCCATATACCTCTTCTTTATCTGAGCTCTCCAGCACTCTCTATTCCCTCCTCTATTGCATTTCTCTCTCCAGGATTTTTTTTAATTAATTAATTTTTTATTATTATTATACTTTAAGTTTTAGGGTACATGTGCACAACGTGCAGGTTAGTTACATATGTATACGTGTGTTTTTTTTGTTTGTTTTTTTGTTTTTTTAAAAGACAGAGTCTCAATCACTCTGTCATCCAGGCTGGAGTGCAGTGGCACAACCATGGTTCACTGCAGTGTCAACCTGGTGGGCTCAAATGATCCTCCCGCCTCAGCCTCCTGAGCAAATGGACTACACACGCTCGCCCACAGCAGGCTTTTTTTTTTTTTAAAGATATGGGGTCTCACTATGTTGCCCAGACTGGTCTCAAACTCCTGAACGCAAGTGATCCTCCTTCCTCAGCCTCCCAAAGTGCCAGGATTACAGGTATGAGCCACTGTGCCTAGCCTCTCTCCAAGATTTAATGCTATAGGACACACTGCAGAGTTCATTTATTATTTTCTTTCTCTTAACAACTAGAATATTTCATAGGGTAAGCACTTTTGTCTGTTTTGTTTAGTGTTGTATACCCAGTGACTAGACAGATTTAGCTCGTTGCAGGAAGCCAATAAATATTTGTTGAAAGAATGAATGAACAACAACAAAAGTGGTAACAATAACAGCCACTTTGTACGAGGAACTTATCAACCAGACATCCCAATAAGCATGTTACATATATTTCATTGAACCCTCAAACAACCCTATGAGATCTCTGAGGCTTTGGAGAGGAGTGGAAGTCAGGGTGGTTAACATGCACCAAATTACCAAACTACTAAGTGGTAGTACCATGATTCAAACCCAAGGTTATCATCTTCAAAGATAATGCTCTTAATTCCTGCACAGTACCAATTTTACTGGAATATTATTATCTCATTAGTTTTGGAATAAAGGCAACTGCTATTTGAAGAGTCAGCAATCTAAAATTCCCTACAGTTGTGAATTAATCTCCATTTCCTTTGTGAAGACAAACTTTTTTTTAGTAATATCAATTTAAAAACTTTAGTGAAGATTCCTTTTTTTCTCAGGCAGGGTCTCACTCTGTCACCCAAGCTTAAGTACAGTGGCACAAATACAGCTCAAAGCAGCCTCAACCTTATGGGTTCAAGCAATCCTGCCTCGGCCTCCTGAATAGCTGGGACTACAGGTGTGCACCACCATGCTTAATTTTTAAATACTTTGTAGAGATGAAGGTCTCACTATATTTTCCAGGCTGGTATTCAATTCCTAGGCTCAAGCAATCCTCCCGCCTTGGCCTCCCGAAGTGTTGGGATTACAGGCATGAGCCACTGCACATGGCCAAGATTCTTTTTTAGGGCAAAGGATTCTATACTGCCATTTTCAGTGATAACAGTGAAGGTGAGAGGGCACACTATTCTCCTTCAAAGTGTTAAGGGCAGTACTTAAACTTTCAGTCTCTCCCATTTCTATTAAAAAGCTCAAGACAGTGGTTTTCAAAACTAGCTGCAGAGTCACCGAGGAGCTTTGTGTTTTCTGAAAACAAGATTCCAACATCCAACTCCAGAGCAAACAGGGCCCAGGAACCTAGTATTTTATAAAGCTCCCCAGAAGACCTTGGTGGTTAGCCAAGTTTAGAAAACACCAAAGTTGGCAAGAGACTAACTCTATCTGAGCATCTGGCTCACTGCTTGACAATGACCAACTCTCATCTGTACCGACCTTCTTGGAAAGAGGAACGATGCTGTTGGGTCGAACAAGCCTCCGCTTCTTACAGCTCAGTACAGGACGTGTCCGGGCTGCCACACAGGTGCCATCAGATGATGAAGAGACGAGATTCAGTCGTTGCTTCTTATGTAATTGTTCCTCAGCATCAGAGCTGTCACCTGGAATGTGGTCTGCCAAGACAGGCTGAAGACTATACAAGGGGAAGGAAGAGTATTCTCAGAACACACAAAGAAACAAAATAAATAAACAACAAGAAAACACAAAGAAACAAAGCCTCTTATACTAGTTCAACCTCTATTTGCTAATGTTCAGACACAAAGAAGCATTCTAGAGCAGAAGCAGGTCTCCTCTTGATGTCTGTTAATCTACCTGTGTGTGCTTATGTGTAAGGTTCTTGGTGCACATTAACTACATCATGTCTGAAAGATAAAAGTCAATAAATAAACTCAAGTTCTAGTGATTGAGTTCTCCTCTACATCAAACACACGAGTAAATAAAGTCTAGAGAACTACAGTTGGTTAGAAAATGATGAATTTTGCAAATGTTAATGGGCTTCCTTAGAATCAGTTCTATGAAACCCGAATTTTAAGGGTGTTGTACACATCATTCACTTGTACAGAATCTCCCTGAATCTTTTGTTTTCTCCCTTGAATCTTCATAAATACAGATTTACAAACATAGCCCTTGGAGATCTAATCTGTCCTAAGCAGAGGAGGTTAATATAAGCACTTCTGAGGAATTCCTGCAAGATTAAAACAATAATAATTCACAGTAACTGTAGTGTCTTTTATTTTACTCCATGCCCACTCCATTTTAGTAGGTAAAAGGAAAATATACAATTAATTAAAATGCACTGCTTCATTATACAGTGAAGATTAAAAATGTTACTAAGTGATAAGGCTTCCGCTTCTTTAAACCAGGGTCAGTCCTGGCTAAAGAGAACTAAGAGCTCCAAAACACCTTTACAAGTCTACTAAGTGTAGGAAGTAGAAGAGCTAAAACTTACGTGTTAATAACTCCATTGACAGGTCTGAGTGCTCCACATGATTTGGTAGACAGTGACTCTGAAATATGACCAATAATAGGGGCACCATGGTTTTCCAATGGCTGAGAAACAGACTCAATCTGATTAAGAAAAAGGAAAAAAGAAATTAACATGTACCCAAGCGCACCCCTGCCTGAAAAGCACCACCACTTCATTTGCACAAAGCACCTAAAACTTCTGATGATCAATTTGAAAAACACAACTTGAATGACTGAAGAAAAAGAAAATAAGAGAATCAGTGGTCAGGTATGATGGCTCGCAACTATAATTGCAGCACTTTGGGAGGCCAAGGCAGGAGGATCGCTTGAGACCAGGAGTTTTGAGACCAGCCTGGGCAACACAGCGAGACCTCATCTCTAATTAAAAAGAGAGAGAGAGAGGTTGACAGAGAGAAGGAGAATATTATATTAGCTTTTGCTTTGGGGGGAAGAGGGATGAGGAATCCAAATGTACAGACTAAAAGTAAGTACCTATTGACAGGAAAATGACCTCAATAATTCTATGGAACAGAAGCTTAGCAAAACAATTACACAGTAACATAAGCTTTCAACTAATGATCAAGAAGGATATACTAACATCAGTATCAAGATGACTAAGAGGAAATTTAAATGTAGTTAATATCTGCTTAACTCTAACAGAGTATGCTAGAAGCTTGTTTTCTAAAAACTATGCTTTGTTTAAAAATATACACACAGGCCGGGGATGGTGGCTCATGACTGTAACCCCAGTATTTTGAGAGGCAAAGGTAGGAGGATCTCTTGAGCCCAGGGGTTCAAGACCAGCCTGGGCAACATGACAAAACCCCATCTCTACAACAAAAAAATACAAAATTAGCCGGGCATGGTGGTGCGTGCATGTAGTCCCAGCTACTCAGGAGGCTGAGGTGGGAGGAGGATCACCTGAGCCAGGAGGCAGAGGCTGCAGTGAGCCATGATCATGCCACTGCACTCCAGCCTGGGTGACAGAGTGAGACCCTGTCTCAATGAATAAATAAATAAATAAACACACACACACATTTTTCCCTGACAGAAAACAAAGTTAATAAAATCTCAATGAATCTAATTATCTGATGCTATCAGATACTAACTATTGTCTTTAGAGTATTCAAATCAAATATGTTTAGAATATAAAATGAAATAACAGATGAGAAAGAATAGAAAAAGTGTGATTTGCAGTATTCAAAACAAATTATATATTTACTAGGCTCAAAACGGATAGGAACAGTATGAATGCCAGTCATATAGCACCTCTGAGGTATAGGCAATAAAGCAACAGATGCAGCTATCCCTCAGTTCTAGCAATTGTTGAACTATCCCAGAAAGGCTATGGGTCTTTGACTCCTTACTTTATTTTTTTGAGATGAAGTCTCGCTATCCCGCCCAAGCTGGAGTGCAGTGGCATGATAGCAGCTCACCGTAGCCTCCACCTCCCTGGTTCAAGCGATTCTCCTGCTTTGGCCTCCTGAGTAGCTGGGATTACAGGCACACACTACCATGCTCATGTAATTTTTGTATTTTTAGTAGAGATGGGGTTTCACCATGTTGGCCAGGCTGTTCTTGAACTTCTGACCTCAACTGATCTGCCCTCCTCGGCCTCCCAAAATGCTGGGATTATAGGCGTGTGAGCCACCACACCTAACCTGTCTCCTTACACTTGAACTGACTCTGGGGCACGCTGAAGTTCTCTTTCCTATAAAAGCTTTCAAGGTAAATATTCCTATAAATGCTTCCTACAAATGCTTTCAAGGTAAATATTTTGAGGCTGAAATTCTACTTTTCAATACTGATTTCTTTTGTCTTTATACCCCCAAGGATAAAACACCAAAGGACTGAACCTGAAAGTAGTCCTAGACAAGCATCAAAAAGAACAGACTGAGGCTGGGTGTGGTGGCTCATGCCTGTAATCCCAGCACTTTGGGAGGCTGAAGCAGGCAGATCACCTGAGGTCAGGAGTTCGAGACCAACCTAGCCAACATGGTAAAATCCCATTTCTACTAAAAATACAAAATTAGTTGGGCATGGTGGCGCCTGTCTGTAATCCCAGCTCCTCCGGGAGGCTGAGGCACAAGAATCACTTGAACCCAGGAAGTGGAGGTTGCAGTGAGCCAAATCACGCCACTGCACTGCAGCCTGGGAAAGAGAGAGAGAGAGACTGTCTCCAAAACAAAACAAAACAAAAAACAAACAAAAACAAAAAACAGATTGGGAAGATAATCTAAAAGTTTTAATACAAATTATCCTAAAATACAGATCAAACTATATACACAGACAAGTCATATAAGTATGCTACAATGAGTGAACACCGAGAAAAGGCTGTCTTTTTTGTTGGATATCCTGTACATCTACTAAGATATCACAAACATCTTGAACAATTGTCAATGCTATCAAAAATTACAGTAAATCTGGCATAGACACATTGCCTTAAGCTCTATGCAGATTTCCCTTGGAAAGCAACACGGTATTAAGCAGCAAGAGCTATAAGGATATTCCTATCTTCTGACAAAATATTCTAACCAATTTTTAAAAATCTACCCTAAAGGAGTAACTCAACAAACACAGCCCCAAAAATCTTATTCACAAAGGTGGTCACTGCAATGATATCTATCAATAATCTAAATGTTGTAAGCATTATAACTATAGTTATCAGTTGTGGTACACCAAATCAAAATATTAAAAAGAATCATAAAGGATATTTCTTCTCTTATGGAAGAAGAGATTTCAAGAGAAAAAAATAATAGTTTAATATAGTTGTAGTGACTAAAAATATACATACACAGATAACAACAAGACAAAGAGTGTTACAGTTGTAAAACTATTCTGAAATTTTCTTTACATTTTAGGTAATAGTTTTATATTAAAAAGAAACCCCCATAAAACCAAATACCCTCCTGAATGCTAGTAAGGATTTACTACACAGGGGAAACCTCAAAAAGGCTAAACAAATATGGTATGACAAAGAACAAGAAAAATCAAAAGAATTTAAGATTCAGGTTGGTATTAACTAACAGATGTATAACTTCAGGCATGTTATAGGTATTCTAGATTTCAGAAGTTCTGGTTTAGATGAAAAAGTTTCCTTTCAATAGAAAAATGCTGTTTAAAAATGCTGTTTGTTTTTATTTCGGCATTAAATTATGGCAGTGATTTGATTTATATATGGTATATATAATTTATATGGTATATTTGATTTATATATGGTATATATAATTTATATGGTAGTGCCTTCACGTGTTCTAGAAGGTACTACGTTTAAGTAACGGGTTGACTGACTCTCCATTTGATTAAGTTTTTCTGGTAGGGATTATGAGATTTAACTGCAAGAACACTTGTCAAGATAAAATGTTGCCATTCTCTAACAAAGTCTCATTTCAAAACATTTATCTTTCTTATACAAAGTCTAAAGAAGAATATGTCAAGTAAAATCACCAGTAATGTCACGATCCATATAGCTAACTACTACTGCTATAACAGCCTGTCTTGTTTCTCATGTCTGCAGGTGTATATATTTAAATGCTATTCAGCTTTAACATGAATGTTATTGATTTTCTTATAGAAACCTGAATCTTCCTGGAGTAATTCAGCCCCCAAATCAAAATTGAAGTCAACAGGCAACACATTATTAACATGGAAATGTTGTCAAGAACATAGAGGTATACAGAGGTCAAGAGCATAAACATCAGAAAGGGACTGTGGCTGGCCTGCATTCCCAGCCACAAAAAAGAAAGCACTGGATACTCAGGAAGGATCTACTTAAGATCTTGGGAAATTCTGTAATCAAGCTAGTATCCAACAGCAGGCATTTGGACATGTCCTGCAACCCATCATCAATGCAAAGAGCTTAAAATATTAATCCCAATCACAGTGTTCCATTTGGAAAAAGAAAAACATAACACACAAACACATGTAATTTCACCTAGCTCCTTAAATGCAGGCACTCTCCCTTGAGAAAAAATGAACATTTCCTATCCTGCAGTCTAAAAGGCTGCAAATGCAGAGGATAAACATTAACAAACACTTAAGAAATATTAAATCCGCATACTAATTTCAGCTTATTACTACTGCAGTGGTTTACATCATTAGTGTTTTTAGAAAACTAAAGCATGACTGAGATATCTGCTATCCAATAGGCAACTGCAAAAAGGATGAAAGAACTTAAGACTCTCCTACCTAGAAAATAAGGATTATCACTGAAGCTTCCATTTGAATTTTATTTGATGTTGAGATGAACTCAGGGTTTATGCATCCCACAGCCAGAAAGAAAGAGTAGAAAAGCTAAAGTGGTAGACAGAGTGCCTCTGTAATCCCCTCCTCTCCAAAGCAGGGCCCTAGGGGATTATCTTTTGGAGTAATCTTACAGTTAAAGGTAGCAAGGAGGGTTGCTGAATTGCTCCCCCCACCCCTCCCCCCGCCCCGATTGAAAGGGCCAGGTGTACAGCATAAAATTACTAACATAGCAATGAGATTCAAATTTGTTATTCACATAAAGCAGGCATCTCATTCATTACTCCACTCTGGGCCAGATCAAGTAAGCGTGACAAAGAGGCCTTGAATGAAAAGCTAAAACTAAATAGTTTTTACGGGGGTCGTTTTTTCTAGGGTCTAAGAACCAATGTCTACTAGATTTGTTTCACCAAAAAGTAGAGAGGGTTAAGGGGTAAAAACAGAGAGCCACACACTTAAAAGCACACAATAAAATTAAACTCTACCTGCAAATATGTATTTTTACTTTATTCAATTAATGCCATGTCACACCTGCTTGCAATGTCATTTTTTAAATGTATCACATTCGTTTGGCTAGAAAAGTCAACAGTTCAGTTTTGGTTAGTTATTCCCTTTCTGACAAACATTAAAATGGAAAGAAAATGCTAACTGGGTGACAGGAATTTAACTTATTCCTGGGTTAAAATAGTTTTTGACTTTGTATGATTGATTTCATGTCTCAAGCCCACCCCACCCCCATTTCAATGATACTGAGCATAGTTTCGCTTAAATTCACCAAAATATTGCTGGCCTATAAATAGTATACTAGCCATTTCCATTAGCTAGCACCATGGCCATAAAATTGTACTAAACAAGAAGTGGAATGTTCTGAAAATTCCATTTTCACTAAGTTATTGCCTAGGCTTTAATTTCTGCCTATGTGGGGCTATGTGCCTCACTTTCCGGCTTCTGCAGGTTGAGGATAAAAGAAAATCTATAAAATTACATTATAACAATTTTGAACTCATTTTTTTAAAGTTTTGATTAGCATAATGCTGTTACTAATCCAATGGTTCCTAAGCCTAAGATTTATGTTTACCAACACTTGAAAATAACTATCTAGAATTTAAAGAAATATAGCAAATGCAAAAATGCATCTTAAATTCTTATTGTTCAACTTATTTATCCATAGCCCAATTTATTATAAAAGACCTAACTTGTCAGTGTTTTCTAACACTGTGGGTCAAATATTTCTTGGCCAATATCTGTCCCTTTACCTTCTATCCCAAAACCCTTGTCAGGCCAATGAACTACTCACTGTCCCTAGAGACTGCAAAACTTCAAAGAAAGGAAGAGTATTCCTACTTACACCAATGGAATGAAGATGTATCTTGGACTGTGTAAAAAGAAACAGCAATAGCTTACATTTTTAGCATGCCTTTCTTCTGAGAAAGCATTAGCTCTTCACTTAATAGTACACTTGTTTTTCTCATCACTTCTGTAAAGTAGGATGAGCAAGGAAAGGGTAAAGGAGCAGGATCATTTTACAAACAGAAACTAACACACAAATAATGTGTTACTTGTTAATTGCCATAGAAGCAATGTTTTTCGCTAAACAAAACCCTCCTTAACGTCAAATCTAGTATTTTAAAAAATATTTATCCAAGAAGGAGATTTTAAAAAATATATACATGTGTCTGCTCATCGGTGCAAAAAAATACAGGAAAGATAAGCCAAAACGTACTGAAATTGCTAACCTACAGGACGTTGAGTGAGAAAAGGATATAAAGAAGAATGTATAGCTTTTTTAGAACCACAGTAATGTTTCCCATACAAAAATAAAAATTAACAATGCGGGGTGGGGAAAACAGGGAAGGCTAGAATTGAATACTGTAGTAACAAATGAACCTAACTGTATTACAAAACAACATAACCATACTGAAAGATTTGGTGGAAGGAAATAACTAACCTACGTAACTTCAGAAAACTGTATTTTGACTGCATAACAGTTAACATACTGTACAAAAATATTGTACTCTAGTTAGCAAATGTGTTTTTCACAGGGGTACTAGATGACAACTGTGAGACTATACGGGTACTAGGATTAAACGAGTATCAATAAGGAAGGGGGAAGGCTGCTGTGTTGAACTGGTATGAACTTACGGTTTTTTATATATATATACAGGTTAAGTAGATACAGAAATATAGATGTGTGTGTATGCACCTGTGAGCATAGATACATATGTTTCCTTGCTTTGCCTTTTGAGACATCCTAGAAGCAGTGACACTTACGAAGTAACAATGAGCACAACTAGTACTCAGATTTTAGTTCCTAATAAAAGGAACCTGAGCTGAAGTAGGCAAAATACAAGAGGAACCTGGAACATCTAGTATTAGAAAGTATTTCAAAATATAAGCGGTACATGCTAAAAGGACACAGGAGCCAATCTGAAAGAGCGCCCAATACCCAAAGTTGAGATAACTGGAGCAACTGTATAAACAGTAATAGGTTATAATCCATTAAATAAAATAAATATCCATGGGACCATCCTGATATTCACAACTGAGTCAATGAATGAGTAAATAAATGAGGGGGGAAGACACCTCTTCCTAACAGAATTCCATTTAATGCAGGTAGGAAGTAGAACAACCACCCTTTAGTAAACAACACAGCAATAATTGCTGTAGGAAAAAGTCATCAGTGAACAATAAAATTATGAGTAAAAATATAATGAGCAACAGAATATTTACATAGTGTCTCCCTATAAGACAGTCATTTATTCCAGCCAGGGCAAAATGGCAAAACCTTGTCACTACAAAAAACATAAAAATGTGCCAGGCATGGTGGCACATGCCTGTGATCCCAGCTACTTGGGAGGCTGAGAGATGGGAGGATAGCTGAGCCAGGGAGGTGAAGGCTGGAGTGGTGATTGCGACACTGCACTCCAGCCTGGGTGACAAAGTGAGACCCTATCTCTAAATAAATAAATAAATAAATAAATAAATAAATAAATAAATAAATATTGTCAGTTATTACAAAGGGAAAAATGCTAATTTTACAGAGGAGAAAGCTGTCAGGCACCACCTTAACCAAGGGAACAAACCTATCATCACTATTAGAAAGACAAGTCAAAATCATGAACCCCCTGTGGTGTAGAGAAGGGTACAGTATCTTCTGTGGCATTCCTGTAAAACAATGCGTAACCTCTAATAATGAGAAAACACCAATTTGTGGAACGCTATACAAAATAACTGACCAGAAATCTTGTATCCAAGTAATGAAATACAAAAACTGAGAACTCTCACATATTGAAGGACATTTAGAGATGCAAAAACTAAAAGCAATGATAGATTCTGGACAACAGAAAGGACATTAATAAGAAAACTAATAATACAGAAATTCAAATAAAGTATGTCTATTACTTTGTATAAGTTCAATGTTAATTTCAATGTTAATTTCGTGGTTCTGATAATTAACGATTATTGTGACAAGATGTGTTAAGATTAGAGAAAGCTCCGTACGGAGACTCTGTACTACTATTTCAACACACACACACTCTCTCTTTCTTTCTGACACAATCTCGCTGTTGACCAGGCTGGAATGCAGTGGCACAATCTTGGCTCATTGCAACCTCTGCCTCCTGGGTTCAAGTGATTCTTGTGCCTCAGCCTCCCGAGTAGCTGGGATTACAGGCGCACACCACCACACCTGGCTAATTTTTGTATTTTTAGTAGAGACGGGGTTTCACCATGTTGGCCAGGCTGGTCTCAAATTTCTGTCCTCAGGTGATCTGCCCACCTCTGCCTCCCAAAGTGCTGGGATTTTAGGTCACCGTGCCCAGCCTAAAATCATATTTTAAAAGAATGAAGAAAAAATGTATCTAGCATTAATAAAACAAACTTCATTCATACATAAATCTGTACAGTCTACAGGTTCCTATCAGTTACAGTACTCACTTAAGATAAATATAGAATCCATTCTGAATTGGCCAAAATATCCAACACTCCATCACAGAAAAGTATTTGCAGTTACCTGATAATGCCAGGCTCTTTCAAGCCTATGCTGCATTACACATTACTCCCTACACCATGCTTCAGCAAGTCCATAAGACTCAGAAAAAAGTCCATCCTTCCCTAGGAAACTACCTTTACTGACTCCCTCCAGCACTCCCATTTTATGCTTGTTGGAAGAACAAGAAGCACTCAAGAAAAGATAGATACCTGGTTCTACTTAGTCTTTCAGACACAAAGTGCAGTCTGGAACAATGACAATTAGCTTTTACTAACTTTCATTATCTATCAAACATTGTTAAAAGCAAATTATAAATTTTAAATTAACTTTGTAAGAAGGCTAGAAATCAGGTAGTAGGAGGAGAGTGTGACTCCTCCAATTTGGTTCTTGTTTTTAAAAATTGTTTTGGCTACTGGCCAGGTGCAGTGGCTCACGCCTGTAATCCCAGCACTTTGGGAGGCCGAGGCAGGCGGATCACTTGAGGTCAGGAGTTCAAGACTAGCCTGGCCAACATGGTGAAACCCCCGTCTCCACTAAAAATACAAAAACTAGCTGGGTGTGGTGGCACACGCCTGTAATCCCAGCTACTCGGGAGGCTGAGGCAGAAGAATCACTTGAACCCAGGAGGTGGAGGTTGCAGTGAGCCCAGATCACACCACAGAACTCCAGCCCGAGTGACAGGGAGAGACTTCATCTCAAAAAAAAAAAAAAAAAAAATTGTTTTGGCTCTTGAAAATACTTAACATTTCCATACATACTTGAAAATCAATGTTCAATTGTTACCAAAAACAACACAACATAAACCAAAAAATCTTGCTGGGATTTTTCACTGGGTTTGCATTGAATCATTGTGTCTAACATTGACTCTTCTAACACATAAATACAGCATACATCTCCGTTCACTTATGTAATCTTTTTCAGAAGTTTTATGGTTTCAGCAATAAAGTCATTAACGTCTTTTGTTAGATTTATTCCTAAGTATTTTATGTTTCTTGATACTACCGCAAATGGAACTGTTTCTCCGGGTTATTTTTCAGTTGTTTGCTCTAATAAATAAAAATAGAATTGACTTTTATATATTGACCCCGTACCTGGAGACCTTGGCTAAATCTCTAATTCTCACAGGTTTAGGGAATTCCATGGGGTTTCTAAGTATCATATCTTCAAATACAAGCAGTTTTGCCCTACCTTTTCCAATTTCCATGCCTTTAATTGCTTTTTTCTTGCAATATTGCATTAGCCAAGACAGAGTACAATGTTTTTGTTTGTTTGAGGCAGGGTCTCACCCCGTCGCCCAGGCTCAAGTACAGTAGCATGATCTCAGCTCAGTGCAACCTCCACCACCTGGGCTCAAGCAATTCTCCCACCTCAGCTTCCAGAGTAGTGAGGACTACAGGTGCACGCCCCCACACCAGGCTCATTTTTGTATTTTTTTGTAGAGATGGGGTTTCGTCAGGTTGCTGGAGCTGGTCTTGAACTCTGAGGCTCAAGCGACCCGCCCACCTTGGCCTCCCAGAGTGCTGGGATTACAGGCATGAGCCACTGTGCCCAGCTTACAATATTTTTAGGATATATTTTTTTCCTAATTGTAGACCAACAAAACAAGCACTTTCACCAAGTAGTGTGATGTTAGGCGTTAGGTTTTTTTCCTAATTTTTAAACAGCATCACAGCTCAGGAATAAGGTCTTCACCTTTGATTTTCACGATTTTTACTACAATGTTGTGATTCTCATGGTTATTATTCTTGAAGTTTCATGATTTTTTTATTTTATTTTTGAGACGGAGTCTCACTCTGTTGCCCAGGCTGCAGTGCAGTGCCATGATCTCGGCTCACTGCAACCTCTGTCTCCTGAGTTCAAGCGATTCTCCTGCTTCAGCCTCCCGAGTAGCTGGGATTACAGGTGTCTGCCACCACGCTTGGATAATTTTTGTATTTTTAGTAGAGATAGGGTTTCACCATGTTGGCCAGACTGGTCTCAAACTTCTGACCTCAGGTGATCCACCCACCTCGGCCTCCCAAAGTACTGGGATTACAGGCATGAGCCACCGTGCTCGGCCTAAAGTTTCATACATTTGTAAACTGACTGTTTAAATTCAAAAATCCAGTCATTAAGTTCCTCAATTTTTTTCCATCTTTTTTTTTCTTTTTCCTCATGACTAAGAATCATATTCTCATGTTTATTCATATGTATGGTAATTTTCTATTATATACAGACAATGTATGCAATACATTATAGAGACTCTGAATTTAGTTAGCTTTTCCTAAAGAGTGTTGATTTTTGTTCTAGCAGGCATACTACTACTACCTGGTTACCTTCATTTTGTGGAGCTAGTTTTGTTTTTATAAAAGCATAGTGGAGTCTATTTTGGTTCCCTCCTTAATCCTATGGTGAATGCCTTCGTCCTGGGAAACATTCTTTAACTCTTTAAGTGTGAGCCTTTATTGGTTTCAATCAAAGCCCTCAGGTTTTTGCCAAGTCTAGTTGGAATTCGAACTCCAAATTCTGCCTTCCCTGCATTAGGCAATGATGATCTTCTCTGCTCAGCTCTTTCAGCCTTCCAATTACTGCTTTCCACTATGCCCTATAAAATCTTCCCTAAACATGTGCAGGTCAGGGGTGAGCACAAAGATCTGAAAGGGGCTCAAATAGATTGTGGGCCTATGCCCCTCCCCATCTCCCATAGCTCCCTCTTTGCCACTATTCCCCTCCTTCAATTTCTACCTACTTGGCAGCCCTGAACTCCATCCTCTGATAATATACAAACAAGCCCATGAAGCAGTGACTATTGAATTCTAGAAGCTCTGGGGCACATGGACTGAGAATGCTCTCATCTCTTCCTGGCAATACTTTCTGTCTGAAATTTTGCTGACATTGTTGAGTAATTTACCTAGTAATATGCACAGGTTCCAAGCTTGCCCTTCTTTGCTCATTACTTTTTCTTAAGCAGGGGAAAGCAAGCTTCTATTTGAAGAGAGAGAATGAGAAGGTGGGGAAGATAAGAGGCATGTTTCAATACACTAGAGAACAACTCTCAACCGCTTTTTACATGCTCTCTTTCCAAGGGCACACCCTCTTTGTTCAAAAGGAGTCTTAAATTTCACAGAAGCATTTATCTGTACACACGACTTATCGGCAGCTACCAAGCTAGAGGCCCGTTAAGTTTTCTCTCCCTCAGCTAGCCTTACACCTTTAAAACTGCCTTTGAGTCAGAAGTCAGAATGAAGAGGTTAAAATAAAAAAAGAGGCATTTTTCTAGGCATTCCTCCTTAGGTCTTCCCTTTCTCTAACCCACTACTCTGTGGTATAAAAACAGTACCCACTTCCCTAACCCAGAAAATATTCCTTGATTTGCTCCATGACTCAAAAAAGGTTCACCCATGAATTCAGTCTCCAGTTCTTTTGCTCATAGGTTGGGTCCTTTTAGAACAACTTAGTTCAATAATATCTGTACTGTATTCAAGACCCAAGCAGATATATACTGGTTCTGTCAATAAACAATCATCCTGTTTGGAAATAAAGCAAAAAGACTATGTATCCTTGCAGTGTACCACTGGGACATTACCTAACAAGCCCACCCAGGAAACATCTGACTCTCCATAAATTATTTAACTTTGTTTTACCTACTATCTATAATTGATTAGGGCCCAGAAGTCTTACTGGATGTTTATTTTAGAACGCTGACAAGTTAAAGTTGGTTTGCATCTTGTTGAAAACAATGTCCAAAGTTACAGCTTTATTGTTCTATAGGATATTAATAACTTTTGTATGCTACTGAGTAATCATATTCCTGCATTCTTCCTTTTTATCTGGTATTAAAATACTGTTAACAGTTTGGCCACCATCATGATTCCCTTGTTATTCAGTAAATCACTATATATTTAGGAATTATGTCTAGGCTGGTGCAGTGGTTCACACCTGTAATCCCAGCAGTTTTGGAGGCCAAGGCCAGCGGATTGCTTGTGCTGAGGAGTTTGAGACCAGCCTGGGCAACTTGGTAAAACCCCATCTCTACAAACAATACAAAAATTAGCCAGACATGGTGGCACATGCCTGTAGTCCCAGCTACTTGGGAAGCTGAGGTGGGAGGATCACTTGAACCTGAGAGGTAGAGGCTGCAGTGAGCCAAGGTCGCACCACTGCACTCCAGCCTGGGTGACAGAATAAGACCCTGTCTAAAAAGATGGAAAGAAAGAGAGAAAAAGAAGAGAGAGGGGAGAGAGAGACAGAGAGAGAGAGAAAGAAAAAGAAAAGAATTATATCTAATGTTTTGAAACTATATTTTGACAATTCTAAAGACGCTGATTTTTTTGTTAATTCCAGCTGAGTTTCAGAAATGAGAATAAAAAAATTAAACATAACAGAAAATACCTCTGACATTATTATTTTTAAACTACAAGTCTTCAAATATATTTTTGGGTAATAAACAAGCACAGTCCAGGAGTTTGAGGCTGAAGTGAGCTATGATTGTGCGATTACACTCCAGCCTGGGTGACAGAGCAAGAGCCTGTCTTAAAAAAAAAAAAAAAAAAAAAAAAGGAATAAATACACCTACCTCCATTTGGGGAAAAAATTAACAAAATGGAAAACAGGCTGGTTACATGTGGGTATGAAAACCTACAGTTGCCCTCTGTCCCGGGCAACCTAATTTTTTTTTTTAAGCAAAACTGAGAAAAGTCACTTTCCTAAAATTTAAAACAAAACAAAACAAAAAAACCTGGGGAACAAACAAGCAAAGTTAAATACTGCCTTCTTATACAGAAAAACTTTGCCTGGCAATTGACATACGCACAGCTTTGCAAATATTTGGCATTTTAAAAATTTAAGTCAATAGCTTTTAAGAAACATATGCTCTGCGCCCATTCTACTAATAATAAACAATGGAAATGTATTGTCCCTGCTCCCCCCACCCCACCCCCCAACCCCTGTCTTCTCTTAATACTTTCTGAACGCTTTTCAGAAAGCATGGATATATTCATAAAGGGTAGATAATTCACGAAAACAGGGAAGGGGTAATCTCTCCTTGACAAAATAGTGACAGTGTATACTTAGTTGTTTTCATTATTTATTTTACTCAATCCAAAAAGCATTCTATTGCACAATGTTGAAACTAGTATGGCCAACACAAAGGGAAAGATGGTCTTGACCTTCAAGAATCTTACAATTTAATACACACACAGGAATCTTACAATTTAACACACAAGTAAATGAATGAAGGGTAGGGAAAGGACCAAGCTCCTAAAGAGTGTGTGTGTACAAGTGAATCTGTATAAACTGTCTCACAATCACTGTGGATTTTTTAAGACAATGAGGATTAGTAACACAATGGAGGACTGTTATGCCCTGTCCTTCAGAAGTGCTGAGGTAAGAGAAAACATGACTACAGGGAGATTACTCAAAAAAGTTTGGAATCCCTAAATTCTATATACAAATATATAAGTATCTACATAGAACTTACTCCCCTATCACATATGCCTCATGTTTCATGTTTCCTGTACCCATACCACCAATGTATCTATGTTTCCTTTCTCACTTAACAATTTTTACCCTGATTAGACCATTCACTAAAAGTTTCATTAATAACTTAAAAAAGATCTGTAAACAGCATGCAATGAACTTATATTATAGACTTAAATAGTGGCAAAACTTGGCATTCTGCTCTTTAATTTATTCAAAACTACTTTCCAGTTAAGAACTATCAATCTTCTAGTGTCTTCACATTTATCTCTAGCAACAGTGGCTGGCTTTCAAAATTAGGTGAGAGATCTTTCCAAGATCTAAACATCTCCAATATCTGCCTCAGAGAAAATTTAGTTTCCACCACATCATGCGTTCCTGCTAACAATGATTAAAATAAATAAAAGAACTATAAGGTTGGTTTATTTGCGGATACAAGAACAGCTTGCTTAACTCACCATTTAAAAAGCCATCACTTCACACTAGCTTTATTATCTGAAGCATAATCAAAATAATAAACTACGGTTGTGGGACTTTGGAATTTCTAATTAAGTTATGGAGACTTAAATCAAGAAATATGAATATTCATAAAACCCAGTAACCTTTTAGGCAAAGTAAAAAAGTGAAAAGAACAAGTGCTCTTGGAATTCAGAAAGAAAATTAACTATGGTATTGAGAGAAACCAGGAAAGAGAAGGAATCACAGTAGAGCTAGGATACAGAAGGAAACAGAAAATGACAGTTTAATGCTCATTATAGAATAACAGTGAATCACCCACAGAGACCATTTTCAGTGTTCTTGTGAATTTAACCTCTAGTCTAACCTTTTAATGAAAAGGCTATAATATATTAGAGTGGCCCAGAAAGGTGACCTTATGTCTCAGGTGTCAGAGCCACACCCAGGTCTCCTGATTCCCAATGATACTCCCTAAAGCCTTACTTGCTCTGGCTGTAGTGTTTTGAGAATTGGAGCTGCTTTTAATCCTATGGTCAGCTACACAGCTGCAGGATGGGCCCTAGATTCCCTATTCAGGAATTCAGATCTTAAAACACCAAAAGTGATAAAAGTAGATACAGTTCCCCTTCTTCAGCCAATGCAAGGATCCTAGTTACAGAGAAAAAACGGTGTGCCAAGACAACACCCTTAATTCTCACGCATTTCCCCCTTTCTATCTTTTATACTTACCAATTTATCAGTCCCATGATCTGTCTTCACCTCAGAACTAAGTGGAAGAAATAAGTCTGTTGTATGCTCTGGGGGAGGTACCTCCCCAAGAACTATCAACCCCTGCAGGATAGAGAGGAGAAAAATAGCATAAGTGAGCAGTATAAACTTCAAATTTAATTTAGGAGTTAAGTCTCAAAAGGACTGTTGGTGTACTAGAGGCCCCCTCTTCCTCACCCTATGGTTCAGAAACAAACTACAGCAGCAGCAGCTTTGTTTTCCCAAAGAGCTATTTCAACAAGCAGCAGACCCAGGCTCCCCTCTCTGCCACTTGACTGCTCTGACCTACATGGCTCATCAGCCATTTAGCATCTTTATTCATATCTTTCAGATATGAAATCTTTACCAGATTATGGCATTTATACCATATTACTAGACTCCACTAGATTAACAGCAGCAATGCAGTTTTTGTAGCCAACAAATGCAGTTTATGACTTACTAAGCTGAAAATGCTACTATTCTTAATCATGTACTCCACCAACTATACCTGCACAAACAAAACTGAATGAAACAAATGTGGAACAGTCCCCTACAATTTATGAGAAACCAAGAGCTTCTTAAAAGCTGGCCCAAAGGAACCTGCTTTTTTCATAAGCATAAATATTACTTCAGATTAAGTTCCTGCTTGACAATTTCAAATTCAGACCTTTGGAAATTCATTCCAGGAAACAATTTACATAAAAAGAAATTAAAAATGAACCCACAAGTCCTCCCCATTGTACATATAATGAGCCAGGATGGGTAAAGGCAGAAGGTATCTTATTATTAAAAAAACAAAATACTACATATGAATCCCACCATGTATACCAGAAGAGGTGACAAAAATAAGGCTATGACACTATATAACCGAAAGACTGGGATGCAAGTGATCAGGGTTCCCAATCTCTTTCTCTGGTCTAAAAAATAGAGATCTAACTAGATTAAGAAGCTCTTAATGGAAATTTATTATCAGAATCACCTGGGGAACCTTATCAAACTATACTGGCTTAGGTCCAACATCTACTCAGTACCTCTGGGGGTGGGGCCAGGTAGTCTACCTTTTTATGGGGGAAGGGAGGCAGGACATGGTGGGTACATGGAGGTGGGTGTCTCTCTCCTCCCCCACCCCGCCAACCCCACTATGTTACCGAGGCTGATCTCAAACTCCTGGGCTCCAGCAATCCTCCCACCTCAGCCTCTGGAGTAGCTGGGATGACAGGTGCCTACCACCATGCCCAGAGGTGGATATTCTACTATTCTTTAAAAGCTCCCCTGGTAAGTCCTAAACTTGTAAAGTTGAAAAACACTAGACTTGATTAGTTTGGGCTCAAAGAACATCCTAAAGTATAGATTTGGGGGACTAGGGATTGTGACTATTAGTCTTAGCTCTCTAGGCCATACGACAGACTCTTATGAGCCACTAAACCAGATGATCCATCCCTGGGGTCCTTGTAACTAAAAAACCAATATGAAATACAAGCTGCAGAAAAGGGGAAAACATTAAGAAAGAAAAATGGAATTTTATTTCAGTTTTTAAAAAAGAAGTATGTATCTCTTTTTCTCTTGAAGCAAAAGAAGCACTGCCTCCCTATTCTGGAATATGACTACACTTAGCCCGTATCAAAAATGAATTGGAGGGTCCCGGAATGGCGGCTCACACCTGTAATCCCAGCACTTTGGGAAGCTGAGGCGGGTGGATCACCTGAGGTCGTCAGGAGTTCAAGATCAGCCTGGCCAACATGGTGAAACCCCATCTTTACTAAAAATACAAAAATTGCCCAGGCGTCGTGGCACATGCCCATAGTCCCAGCTACTCGGAAGGCTGAAGAAGGAGAATCGCTTGAACTCAGGAGGCAGAGGTTGCAATGAGCCAAGATCACACCATTGCACACCAGCCTGGGCGACAGACCAAGGCTCTATCTCCAACAACAACAACAACAACAACAAAAATGAATTGGAGGCTGGGTGTGGTAGATCACACCTGTAATCCTAGCACTTGGGGAGGTTGAGGTTAGGAGTGCGAGACCAGCCTGGCCGACACAGTGAAACAACGTCTCCAGTAAAAATACAAAAAATAGCTGGGCGTGGTGGTGAGCCCCTGTAATCCCAGCTACTTGGGAGGCTGAGGCAGGAGAATCGCTTGAACCTGGGAGGTGTAGGTTGCAGTGAGCCAAGACTGTGCCATTGCACTCCAGTCTGGGCAACGAGAGCGAAACTCCACCTCAAAATTTTAAAAATTAAAAAAAAAAAAAAAAAAAAAAAAAAAGAATTGGAGTCTCCTCAGAAACAAGAGAAAGGCCATTAACTAGTAAGCAAGAAACATTAACCCTAGCCTTTAAAATGAGGTTTCTCTGGTTAAAGAACTTCTGCTTCAAAATATTTTCTTCCCTAAATCAAAAGCATAAGATATACCTTACAAACTTTATCACATCCAAATAAAAACTATTTGCAAAAGACAGTTATCTTGTACACCACTGCCTTCTCAAAACGTTGTATTCAACAGATATTCCCTACTTAAGGGCCCAAACTGTCTTCCTGCTTCCTGTACAAAGCATGCCAAAAATCATTTTATTATTCAAATTTTCCCATAACCGGTTCCTAAGAACTTTTTTAAAGATCAATTTCCAACTACTTTCCCCAAATATTTGTTAGTGTTATACCAATCTCATCATCTCCTAGACAAATGTTTCAATGAATGTGAAGCTGTTGCTGCTGCTGGAGGTAAGGGTTATTAGTCAGTAGAAGGTTAAAAAAAACTGAATTAAAGGTTAACACATGAGCTGTTCATCTTTATTTATACTCATTTTTATATTTTATCAGTCCAAATTGCCGTTCGTCCTTCCAAAGAGATTTTCAACAAGTCCCACCTCCTTCCAAGAAAATGTCCCGGGTTAATGAGTTCCTACTTGCTTTATCCACACTGCCAGACCTCCTAAAGCACGGTGATTGTATCTTACTTTCTGTGTATTTAAATCTCATTTCCAGAGCATTCATAATCTTATGCCACATTATTTATTTCACTTATTATTGCCTCAGTTTCTTGTTTGTTGAGACAGGGTCAAGCTCTGTCACCTGTGCTGGAGTGCAGTGGTGTGGTCACGAATCACTGTAACCTCCCCCTCCCGGGCTCAAGTGATCCTCCCACCTCAACCCCATAAATAGCTGGGATAACAGGTGCATGCCACCACATCCAGCTAATTTTTGTATTTTTTTGGTAGAGATGGGGTTTCACCAAGTTGCTCAGGCTGGTCTCGAACTCTTGGACTCAAGTAATGCACTTGCCTCAAACTCCCAAAGTGCTGGGATAACAGGTGCAAGCCACCACACCCAGCTAATTGTTCTATTTTTTGGTAGAGATGGACTTTCACCATGTTGCCAAGGCTCGTCTCAAACTCCTAGACTCAAGCAATCCACCTGCCTCGGCCTCTCAAAGTGCTGGGATTACATGTGCAAGCCGCTGCACCCAGCCTTTAATTGTTAACTAATGTTAGTTTATTGAAGATGTGGACAAAATACAAATATATTTAAATGACCCATGTCCCTTAGCAGAGTCATACACCAAGAAAATAAATGCATAGCAAATATTTGTTGAGTTGTATAATTTTTTTCCTAACAGGAAAATATTAACTTTATAATAATTATAGCCAGAAGATAAATAAATCTAACAATTAGATATAAAATTACTCCTTCAATTTTTCTTTTTCAGTTATATGAAAGTAAGGACGCAGTCAGTATTTTCCAAAGGGAAGAATTTTTCCTTAAACTACAGAATAATTTCTAAATACAACCCTCAGATAGATTATGAAGACATCTCCTAAGAGAGTATAATAAAACTTGGTAGGGACCATCTATTCATCGACATAATTTTATAGACCCACAGAGGATGTAGGTCAAAGCTTATGTCTCTACAGGCCAATACATGGCAGAACTGGGGCAAAAGTCTGCATCTAACTAATATTTCATTCCTCTTTTGTTCAGTTAATTAAATCATTTATCCGCTCATCAGCATTTGTTAGGTACTAAGGATACAAGAAAAAATGAGAGACCTATCCCTCTCCCCTAACCCATCCTTCAAAGTGCTTATTACGTTCTAATACTGCGGCAAAGAAAAACAATGTAAATAGGTAAATGTTATGTACTACATTAGAAGGTATTAAATGCTAGAGAGAACAAAATATAGGATAGTGAGGGGATTAAGAAGTGGAAATGGTGGGGTTGGTCGTGACGGCTCATGCCTGTAATTCCAGCACTTTGGGAAGCCAATGGAGGAGGACTGCTTGAGGCCAGGAGTTCAGGACCAGCCTGGGCGACGTGGCAAAACCCTGTCTCCACAAAAACAATAATAATAAAAATTAGCCTGGTGTAATATCACACCTGTAGTTCCAGATATTCAGGAGGATCACTTAAGCCCAGGAGAGAGAGAGAGATACAAGTGGGAGGGGGTACTACAGGCGCATACCACCACGCCTGGCTAGTTTTTTGTATTTTTAGTAGAGAAGGGGTTTCACCATGTTGCCAAGGCTGGTTGCAAACTCTTGGGGCCAAGAGATCTACCCGCCCTGGCCTCCCAAAGTGCCGGGTTGCAGGCATGAGCCACTGTGCCCCTGCTTGAATGTTTATTTGAAGACAGAATCAACCAGCTATGCCAATGTGCTTACAAGATAGGAGGGAAAAGAGTCAGAGACACTGCCAAGGTTTCTAGCTTCCACAACCAGAAGAATGGAACTCTTCTTCATTTGTTCAGAGGACATTTGAATACACATTAGTTTTAATTAAACCTATTTTTGAAAATATGTGCTCAAGTGTTACACTGAAGCAACCAACAATCATCCATACACTGTCCATTGCCCCCAAGATATGTAAGTTCACTATGGCATTCAAAACCAAACACTGGATCCTCTAATTTAATACTGTACCTCACACCAAAAAGGATGAAAACAGCTAAAAAGAGGCTGAGCAAATAAAAAGCATCCAAGTAGGTAAGAGTCATTCATGCAGGTAGCATCTATTGAGTGGCTACCACGTGCAAGGTAGTGTGAAAACACAGTAATAAAATAAAAACAGATTCTACCATAAGGAGCTTATGTTCATCTAGCCTTGAACAGACAAAGAGACAAAGTATTATGACAGTACTATAACAGAAGTTGAGAGAAGGTGATGTCAGAGCAGAAAAGAGCCTAACTGAAGAGACTGATGAAAGTGAGGCTTTACAGAGGAGGTCTACATAATTACTTAACATTCCCCAAAATATATTTAATATATTTTGAGCTATACTTATTCATTAACTATACACTTAATGACTTTGCCCTTTTCTGTATACAATGTTTCATATGCCACAATAACACTTATTTCGGATAAAGTTTACTCATGTTTAATAACCATGAAAAGAAAGGTTAGCATTAGCTGAGAAAACTTCATAATGTTCTACTCCACACCTGTCATGCTACCCCAACATGGGCTTCCCTAACATTCCAGGTTTAAACTGGGTCAGTGTTGAATAGCTGTGCCATTAGCCTGGTGGCAATAAACTTAGGGCTGCTGTACTATGAAATAGCAACCGGTAGAAGCCGAAGAAAAAGGTCAAGAGTCTCCTTTTCCTTCGCCATGTCCCGAGTCAGAGCCAGGATCATGCTTAGGCTGCACAGGCCTAGAAAACTCCAAGAGTGAAGCAAGCTTCTGCTTTACACAAGGACCAAAGGAACTGGAATGGGTCACAGTTACATGCAGCCTTAATACCTCCTAAGTGACTCCTCTGTGGATGAACCCTCTCTCAACTGTATTTGCAATACAGCTAACAGGCAATTTCACATACTTCCTTACATCACTCTATCAGGTCAATCTTCCCTATGCATCTCAAGACAAACCAGTGACCCCACTGCAGACCAGTTCCACAAGAATCACCCTGGGCTACCTGGAAAAGATAAGTTGTCTAAAGTGCTTTAAAAAACCCTATTAAGATGAGAACTTCAACAGCTTTATGAAAATTTTGAAGAGAAAGGTGTTATAAGCTTCTGCAGTTCCCATTCAACTCCTTCCCTATTCAAAAGTTTCAATGCTCTTCCACCTCCCATCCTCAATAACATTTCCATCCTCAGCTACAGCTGTGTAATCTCAAAGAGTAGTCAGAAGAGGAGATTTTAAAAAACAACGTAAGAGTCAAGCCAGTGCTTCTGGGAGGCCAAGGCAAGGAGGATCACTTGAGGTCAAGAGTTTGAGACCAGCCTGGACAACACAGCGAGACCCCATCCTTTAAAATAAAAAAAACCCTTTAACAATTAGCTAAGCATGGTGGGACTTGCCTATGGTCCCAGCTACTTGTACTTGCAAGGCTAAGGTAGGAGGATAGCTTGAGCCCAGGAGTTTCAGGTTACAAAGAACTATGATCTGGCCATTGCACCTCAGCCTGGGCAACAGAGCAAGACCCTGCCTCTTAAAAACTGCTTAGTCCCTATTCTTTCCCCTCATTTACCAGGTGTGAAATTTCAACAAACATGTTTCAGTGAAATGATGAAAAGGACACAACAGCAAAGTATGTTAGAAAAAAAATGCTTTGGAATCAGATAAAAAGTCCTGAGTTTAAATTTAGCTCTGCCTTTTACAAGCCTCTGAAGATTTATTCTGATCATTAAACGAACATACATGAGTAAACCTTTAATTAGTATACACTCAAGGTACGTATATTGTTTTCGTTTCTCCTTCTAAAGCATGGAAGAGTTTCTTTTTAAAAAACAAGCTGACAAACTATGAAAATTAAAAGAGTACAACAGCATGCAGAAGTAGTACAGAGGAGTTCCTAGAAGTTATATTCTTTCTCCAGAGAGCAATATTATTCCCAAAAGGGACTCTACTCACTTCACAGCTTGGAAGGTAATACCTACCTTCTGACAGAACAGAAACTGGTGTCTGGATCCTAGAATCACCTAGCAGTAGTCACAAATACTTTTTTTTTTTTTGGTAATACGCCACTTAAATAAAATTAATGTTAATAAGCAACAAAGTAAATCCTTAAAAAGAAAAGCCCCACCATCCCTCCAATCTCCCACCCGAAGACAAATTATAACTCAACAGCCTATCACCAAGATTCAGCCTATCACCTAGGTTCATCTCAAAAAAAAAAAAAAGACCTGTGCAACCCAGGAAGTGCTGGGAAATCTTGGTGCAGCATGGAAAATATGAACACCAACCCACTTAACCAAAACACATAGGAAAAACTTTCTTCCATTTCAGTAACTAAAAAAAAAACCCAAGCACTTAAAGTGATTACTAACTTGAGCAATAGCTCTGCACTCACTTGGATGTGTAACCATGAACAAACTACTTGACTGCTCTGATCTTCCATTGTTTATCTTGAAAATCGTGAATGAGAGTAAAATGCTTAGCACAGTGCCTGACATATCACAAGTGCTCAAAAACTTCTATTAATTATAGTGTTACATAAAGACTAAATGCATGTGAATATATCATTGGGGGAAAATTCCATGGCTTGTTAGAGCAAGTTGAATATTGTCTCTTCCAAATTTATGTTCACCCAGAACCTGTGAATATGACCTTGTTTAGAAAAAGGGTCTTTGCAGATGTAATCAAGTTATGAAGAGCCATTTAGTGTGGGCTCTAAATTCAATATGACTGGTGTCCTCCTGACATGGAAATCTACACAGATGCAAAGAGAAAGATGGTCATATGAAGATGGAGGCAGCAACTGCAGTGATGTAGCTACAGGCCAAGAACACCAAGGACTAGCACAATATCAGAAGCTGGAAAAAGACAAGGAAGGATTCTTCCCTAGAGCCTCCATAGAGACCATGGCCCTTTTGACACCATAATTTCAGACTTCTGGCCTCCAGAACGGTGAGAGAACACATTTCTGATTTTTTAAGCCATCCCATTTGTGATAGTTTGTTATGACAGTCTAGGAAACTAATCCATTTGTTGAAAAAGAAATGTATAAATACGACACGTAAAGCTGTGAATTTTCTTGATGCATTACTTATTGGAACTATCAACCTAGTTTTATTCTTCCTATCGGAACTCTGAGAAGTAAAAGATTATCTATGATGTTGTATTTTACAGACCAAGAATCTGAAGCTCAGAAATGTTAAGTGACTTTTCTTCTCAAGGTTCATGTAAGCAGCTGGTAGCAAAGCCACGATTAGAAACAAAAATTTACCAAGTCCAAGTATGGTGCTTAATACAATACGCTTTGAATGATGAAACTCTTGGATAAGCAACATACATTCATGTGCCAAATAGCATTATGGTCAATGACAGACCACATATACAATGATGGTCTTATAAGATTTTAATACAGCTGAAGAATACCTGTTTTAGCACAAAGCACTACTCCTGTGTTTGTGGTGATGCTGGTGTAAAGAAACCTACAGTGCTGCTATTAGAAGTATACCACATACAATTATGTACACTAAGAATATAATAGCTGATAATAAAAGCTATGTTACTGTTACACTTATTTCTTATGATAATAAAAAGTGTTATGTATTTACTATACTATACTTTTAATCGTTATTTTAGAGAGTACTTCTACTCATTAAAAGAAGTGAACTGTGAAACAGCCTCCAGCAGGTCCTTCTGTTGGCACTGTCACAGGCAATGAAAGCTCCGTGTGTGTTGTTGGCCCTGAAAACCTAACAGTGTAACAAGATGTGAAGGTGGAAGACAGTAATACCGACAAACCTGACCCCATGTGGGCCTACGTTCATGTGTGTGTTTGTGTCTTAGTTTTTAGCAAAACAGTTTAAAAAATAAAACTTTCATTTTAAAATGGAAAGTTTTAAAGATAGAAAAAAGCTTGTAGAATAAGGTGTGAAGAAAATATTTTTGTACAATTACAATGTATTTGTGTTTTAGGCTAAGTGTTATTACAAAAGAGTCAAAAAGTTTTAAAAACTTAAAAGTTTATAAAGCAAAAAGTTATAGTAAGCTAAGGTTAATTTATTATTGAAAAAAATATTTAAAATAAATGTAGTGTAGCCTCGGTGTACAGTATTTATAAAGTTTATAGTAGTGTACAGTCATGTCCCAGGCTTTTCAATTTCAGTTACCCTTCACCCACCGACTCACCCAGAGCAACTTCCAGTCCTGCAAGCTCCATTCATGGTAAGTGCCCTATACAGGTGTACCATTTTTATCTTTTCTACTACATTTTTACTGTATTTTTTCTATGTTTAGGTATGTTTAAATACATAAATCTTTACCACTAATTGCCTACAGTATTCAGTATAGTAGCATGATGTACTGGTTTATACCCTAGGAGCAATAGGCTATATACCATATTGTCTAAGTGAATAGCAGGCCATACCACCTCAGCTTGTATGTATTAAGTATGTATATATGTAAGTATGTATGTATGTATGTATATGAGACAGAGACTCGCTCTGCTTTGCCCAGGCTGGAGTGCAGTGTCGCGATCTCAGCTCACTGCACCCTGTCTCCCAGGTTCAAGTGATTCTCCTGTCTCAGCCTCCCGAGTAGCTGGGATTACAGGCACCCGCCACCACACCTGGCTAATTTTTTTGTATTTTTCATAGAGACAGGGGTTTCACCATGTTGGCCAGGCTAGTCTCGAACTCCTCACCTCAGGTGACCCACCCACCTTGGACTCCCATGCCTCGGCCTCCCAAAGTGCTGAGATTACAGGCGTGAGCCACTGCGCACGGCCCTCAGCTTGAATTTAAGTGCACTTTATGATGTTCACGCACCAATGAAATCACCTAACAACACATTTCTCAGTTTCCCTTTTGTTAAGCAATGTGTGATGGTATATACAAAACTCCAGATTATTTTCCAGATATTTAGAAATACTTTTCAGATATTTTGATATTTTGAAAGTTTCTGAAAATTGCTCTGTCATTACTTCTGAGTGATGAGCTGAAGAATAAAGCATGAACCAAATGAGGTGAGTATCTTCTTATACACAGCTAGTGAGACTATAAACTGACACTGCCAAAATACTTCTCTGAAGAATGCATTAAGAACATAAAAGAGCATTCATACCTTTGACTGAGATAAAGATATTTATCATGGCATATTTAATTTAAATAACAAATGTAACTTAAATAGTCAACAAAGAAAGCCAATAGCATGCAGCCATTAAAAATGTTTTCCAAAAACCAACTGGGAAATATTCAGGGCACATACGTAACATGACTGTATTTGAACAAATTACTTATGTGCTAGGAAAATGTACCATAATGTTGGTAGCGAGATAATTTTGAGCTGTTGGGTTGTTTTTTTTTTTTTGGGGGGGGGGGGGGAGGGTGGGTGTCTTTTATACTTCTATGTCATTTCAGTTTCCTGAGAATTGATACACAGTATTTCATCAATTCTAAGAGGTACTCTCCCCACATGTCAACAACTTTTAAATCAAGATGCATTTTACAATTTCTGTTATGCCCTGGTTTAACTGAAATAATTTCTTTGTCGTACTTAAAACAATGGTACATCTTACAATCAATAGCATCTTAAGTTCTATGAAATGTAGCAGTTTTATAACAAGGAACTAAGATGATATAACATATACACATATATAAACCCACATATATATTTATGAATGTATATAAAAAGATGAAGCAGCACTTATGACTACTATTATACTAATCTCAGTTGTTACTAAGAGACTCTAGTTCTCAAATATAGAAAATCCCACTTAACTACTGGCTATAAAAACCTAGAAACAGACACTGAAGAGGTGTCTCTGATAGAGAAAGACTGTGTTTTTCTCCTCAGTACAGGCATATCCAGTCACCTCCTAGTTATTCTTAGTCATCATTCCAGTTCAAGTTCTACAAATCTCACTTTAAAATTTCCTTTGTGAAGACTTGGGAAAGCAAAATATGCACCAAATCTAGAATGTTTATTAGTTTTGTTCCAGCTAATTTTTAAATAAGTAAATCAGGATTTAATTTGTATGCTACCCTAAGGGAACAAACTAGTAAGAATAAAAAAGTGAGCCCTCTGGACTGTGTCCTCAATTAAAGTATGCTCTATTGAACTTTTAGGGGGAGGGGGAATATATATATATATATGTATCTCCAATCTGGAAAGAAGCTATAAGTCCGCAGTGACATTTTTAGAATAAAAGTTTAAATGATTAGATAGCCCACAGAACTTTCACTTCAAACCCTGATCATTCTGTTCATTTTATCAGTTGATCAACCTTCAACTTTTGGCCTACTAATTTAATGGATACTGTTCACAGGAAAGCCATTTTCTTAAGGCTTTGACTAGTACTAAGGTCAAAAAGGCATTTTGACCCTTATTTTTAGTAGCAATAGACTTTTTCTAGACATGGGTCTACATAAAGATAGAGCTCAGCCACACCAAGCTAATATAAAAAATACTTTGCAAGAATGTAAGCTTCATGAAGGTAGGATTTTTGAGAACACTGCTGAGACACAGTAAGCACTTAAAATAATGGTACATCTTACCATCAGTAGCATCTTAAGTTCTATGAAATGTGGCAGTTTTATAACAGGGAACTAACAAATATAAATCTAACAAATATGACAGTTAACATCAATGGCTTGCTTGCATTATTCAGTCTGTTTTCCTTGTTTCCTGTTAGCTCAGATACCCACACAGTTTTGTTCTAAATACACGTTCAGTTAAACATTATATTCTAATAGTGTTTTCCTTTTTATGAGACAGGCCTTTCTTAGTTGTCCAGGCTGGAGTGTGGTGGCACAATCTTGGCTCACTGCAACCTCCACTTCGTGGGCTCAAGCGATACTCCCACTTCAGCCTCCTAAGTAGCTGGGACTACAGGCACATGCTATCATGCTCAACTAATTTTTGTAATTTTTGTAAAGACAAGGTCTCACTATGTTGCCCAGGCTGGTCTCGAACTCCTGAGCTCAAATGATCCTCCTGCCTTGGCCTCCCAAAGTGCTGGGATCACAAGAGTGAGCCACCACGCGCAGCCACATCAGGTTCTTAAATTAAACCACTATATCAGGTCATTAAACCATTTACTTTGCAATAGTTAAGAAGAGGGTTATGGGGGTTACGAGGTGGGAGGGGATGTGAGAAAAGCGATATTGATAGTTTTCGGCAGCATTTAAAAACATCAGATACTTATCCCTTACCTTATTAGCACGTATCTGTTTGTAAATGTCTGTTTGCTGACGAATTCGATATTCCAAGTCAGAAACATGAGCCTGAAGCCAGTTCCAGCGGCTGACAATAGCTGCCCGGTCTGCAGCCCATTTCCATTCTGACCTGCGTCTCCTAAAAGGAAATAAACTGAGTGAAATCCAAGAGTAGCAGTAATATCTATACCAGATTGGGGGGTGGGGAGTGGAATTTAACTTTTAAAGGCCCTTGCAGAGACTAACTCTAGTGTCAAGAAAAACCCAAGAGAGAGACAAGACACCTCCCGCTCATCAGGATGCACATGGATATAAACTTCCAAATAGGTATTTCCCAAATTAAGTGGAACTGCGTTCTAGCATCCTGATCCTGTGGCACACAGTTTCTCTGAAATCCCTTTAATTTCTCTGGGACAATAAAATTATTGTCCATGCCAAAATAAAACATACATTAAGAATAATCTATACAGGAAATCCAACTGACACTAAGAATTATTAAAACTAATAAAGAATTCAGCAAAAGTGTTCAGTAAAGAATATTTAAAAACTAATAAAGTAGAAAATATCATTAAGTACCATTCATAACACCAACAAAACTAATGATATATTAAATATCTTTACAGAGAAAATAACGCCTGAAAGCATGAAGATCTATACAAATGGTAGGACACATTTTTTTAGGATGGCGATTCTCATGAACATCTATAAATTCAAAGAAATTCCAATCAAATTGCCTACAGTATTTTTAATGAAAGCTGAGAAACAGATCTAAAAGTTCACATGGAATAAAGGACCAACAGCAAGAAATTTGCAAGAAGGCATGATGCAAATACACATTACCAGACAGCCAGATTTGCTGCAAAACTATAGAGAGCCTCAAAACGTAGAACTAGATACATAAAAGATAACGGGAAATTTTTAAAAAATCAGATCAGTGCAGAAACGATCAAACTACTCAATAAATAGTACTAAACTGGCCAGTTCTTTAAAGGAAAAAGTAAAATTAGTTCCCTTCTTCATGATATAATTACAAAATTTTGGCATTTCAAATTGCTAAATATGAACAGCCAAACTTAAAAGAATATCTTCGGGACTTAGAGCAGGGAGCATTTCTTAGATAATACACAAAGATTTCACCTACTTTTCAACATACAATAGAAAATCTAATAAAGTTAAAAGGCCAACTACATTTTGGTGGAAGATATCTAACACATATAACTGACGATTAAACATCAGAATATGTAACAGAACTCTCAGAAATAGGATAAAAGAAAAAAAGACAATCTTAACAGAAATAGGAAATTCACATAAAAGGCAAATAATAAATATATAAAAATGTGTCATCTCGTTAAAATTTGGTTAAAATATAAATATTAGGTAAAACATTAAGATGCTGTTTGAAATCTGGATGGGAAAACGCACAGTCTCATAAAGCCAACAGGTGGTGAGAAATGGAAAAGAGCAATTAATATATTGCTGGTAACAGTTAAAATTGGAACCACCATTTTTGAAAAATAATTTGAAAATACTTAGCGAGGTGTAAAATGTGCATACCCAACCATCATGATACTGTATTTTTTTTTTTTTTTTCCTGAGAGGCAGGGTCTCACACTCTATCATTGAGGCTGGATTGTGGTGGTGCAATCACAGCTCACTGTAACCTAGAGTTCCTTTGCTTAAGCTATCCTCCCACCTCAGTCTCCCAAGCAGCTAGGATCAGGAGCATACTACATACCTGGCTTTTTTTTCTTTTTTTTTTTTTTTTTTTTTGAGATGGAGTTTCTTTCACTCTGGTTGCCCAGGCTGGAGTGCAATGGCGCAATCTTGGCTCACCACCAACCTTCGCCTCCCAGGTTCAAGCGATTCTCCTGCCTCAGCCTCCCGAGCAGCTGGGATTACAGGCATGCGCCACCATGCCCGGCTAATTTTGTATTTTTAGTAGACACGGGGTTTCTCCATGTTGGTCAGGCTGGTCTCAAACTCCCAACCTCAGGGGATCCGCCCACCTCGACCTCCCAAAGTGCTGGGATTACAGGCACGAGCCACTGCACCCAGCCCTGACTAACTTTTTTTTGAGACGGAGTCTTGCTCTGTCGCCCGGGCTGGAGTCCAGTGGCATGATCTCGGCTCACTGCAAGCTCCGCCTCCCGGGTTTACGCCATTCTCCTGCCTCAGCCTCCGGAGTAACTGGGACTACAGGCGCCCACCACCACGCCTGGCTAATTTTTGTATTTTTAGTAGAGACGGGGTTTCACTGTGTTAGCCAGGATGGTCTCGATCTCCTGACCTCATGATCCACCCACCTCAGCCTCCCAAAGTGCTGGGATTACAGGCGTGAGCCACTGAGCCTAGCCCCACTGGCTAATTTTTAATAAAAAATGTTGTGGAGATGGGGTCTTGCTATGGTGTCCAGGTTGTTCTCTAACTCCTGACCTTTAGCCTCCCAAAGACACGAGCCACTATGCCCAGCCATGAAATTCTGTTTCTGAGAACATAAACTACACATTCCTCTGCATAAGGAAACAGGTTCACTGGAGGAGAGTCTGTAATAGATAAAAACTAATTATATTCTAATTCTGCTGAACTTGGTAAATAAACTATAATTTATTCATTTAATAGTTCTATAGTAATAAAAATAAACGACATCTGTATGTATCAACATGATTAAATCTAAGAACACAATGTTGAATGAAACAACTACAAAAAAACTAAACAAGATTAAGTACACACAAGTAGTGAAGGAATTTGATGAAATACTATCTAGCAATTTATTTACTGTATGTATCAACATGACCTAATCTCAACAATGGGGAATGCAAAAGCTGCACAAAAATAAACAAATAAACATTAATAAGGATTGTTACCAATACAGATAACTGATGAATATATTTTAAAATGCCTAAAACTGACATACAACAAATTTACAATCAAGCTCCTCATTATCTCTGGAAAGGGGATGGAGAAGTTGGATTTTAGCTCTACCTATAATGTTTGACTTCTCATGTAAAAAAACAAAGATGGAAATGTGACAACATTAACATTGTTTAAATATTACACTGGGGATACATGGTGTCTACTATATTCTGTAATCTAAATATTTCATAATCTACCACAAAACTATTTTCCCAGAAAGCAGCAGCAGTCACACAGCCCTCAGCCCCACTTCCCATCAGGATACACACACTCACTGCTAAAACTTATGACTATAGGTGAACTTGAACACAGTCTCCCATAGGGGCAAAATACAAAATGTCAAAAATAAAAAAGAACAAATCTGACCACGACAGAGTAAGACATGAATTAATACTTAATCATACCATAATAATTAAGACCAAGGGTAGTAATGGTATTTTAACTTTTGTATGGACCAAACATAAACCATTCAAACCAACCACTGTGATAATTATCAATTATGTCTCTTCTTTTAGAAAGAAAACATTTTACAGTTCCCTAATTTTGATGGAACCACTTCAAGATAAAAAGATACTTTTAAAGTACAGTTATCTGCTTCAATGTTGGCTGCAGGTCTAGCTCTACCCTAAATCCAGGAAATGATCTCAAGAGATCAATAAGAAACTAGGGATCATTCTTGAACAACAAAAATGCCCCCTACCCACAAAGAGACAAAACTAGTTAACCCTCGTATTTTATTCCCACCTTTCCTTACTTTTCAAGGCTTACCACCTTTCTATCCTGCAAAATCTTTTGGATTTATAGATTCCTTTCATTCCTAAAACTACCACCACACCAGGTCCCCATCTATCACCACTGGGCAACCCCAACAGCCTCCTTAGCTGCTCTTCCCAACACCAGTCAATCATACTACTTTTCCTCAATCAACTCCCCTCACACCTTTTTCATCCTGGCATTCTAATGTTTAAGGAACCATGCAGCTCCTTTGAAAATACAAAAGGAAAAGAAAATTACTTAAAACATTTTAGTTCGCAAGAACTTTGATAAATACACTTTTTCTTGGATATTAATGAAGGTCTTATGTCCCCTACACAGGTATTTACCTAAATAACAATACAAAGCGAGCCTCCTGATAATATGTTTTGGATAATATGGTTAATAAACTAATTAAAGAAAGGCAAGACAGCACTAAGGAATACTAACAATTCCCAATTTATGAACAAGTTTCATTTTACAAGTGTATCTGTGATGTGATGGTTTAGAACTCGAAGTGATTTCCAGGAGAAAGTTGTTACAACATTATTCTTCCATAATGCTGCTCAAACTCTCATCATCTCCAATGAAAAATGGAAAACCACAACTCAAGCGTCCAAGAAGTATCTTGTGTTCAAAATACCAGCAATATGAGCAGAAAGCTAAACTGTTATTAAGCATGAGAGGTGTACAGTTAACAAGTCTGGATAAGATATGAAGATGTTACCATACTCCAGTGGCAGAGCAGAGCACCACTAAACAGTAACACAAGAATAAGAGCTTCACATCTTTTGTTCCTTAACAAATACAAGCGGCCGGGCGCGGTGGCTCACGCTTGTAATCCCAGCACTTTGGGAGGCCGAGGCAGGCGGATCACGAGGTCAGGAGATCGAGACCATCCTGGCTAACACGGTGAAACCCCGTCTCTACTAAAAATACAAAAAAATTAGCCGGGCGTGATGGCGGGCGCCTGTAGTCCCAGCTACTCGGGAGGCTGAGGCAGGAGAATGGCGTGAACCCGGAAGGCGGAGCTTGCAGTGAGCCGAGATTGCGCCACTGCACTCTCGCCTGGGCCACAGAGCGAGACTCCGTCTCAAAAAAAAAAAAAACAAAACAAAAAAAAAACAAATACAAGCTATATAAACTCAGCTTATCAGAGGTAAAGATAGACTTCCTCCTCAATATTCGAAGTGTAAATTTATCACTCTGACAATTTACAGCTCAAAACAAGGGACACACATTGAACATTAGGGACATGTTTAATGTTATACCATACAGACTTCAGGAAAGAACACAGGACTAAGGTTGCAGAATAATACTTTAAATACAATGAGGACTTGGTTTCTAATATAGTCATTATCAATAATGAAGAAAATCACGTGGATTCTAACACTGATGAGTCAACTCATTCCTGATGCTTGTTTCTGTGCTATTAGTGAAATAACTGTTTTAACTATGTGCCTGAGTAGGACACTAGAATGCCTTAGAACGTTTGATTTTACCGTGTGCTTTATCCTAGTCCATACAAAAACATGTACTATATATACTGTAGTTATCACCTGAGTGGGAATTCTTTTCAACTCGTATTTTGCTCATTGCTTTTATAAACTTTTTATTGGTAAAAATGGCTTTGTCACCATGTGCTATACAAAAATTCATTAAAATGTTACATGATGAATTACTTTTTGGTTACCTAAATGCAGTATCAATATTTGCTTTTGTGACACCACATGAATAGTACACCTTAATGTTAACCAGCTATGTGCTAGTATTGGTTTACATAAGAAATATTTGTTGTATATAAATATTTCATTAGCTATGAACTTGTACTTTAATCGTTCTTTTTACACAGTTAGACTATTACCACAGAGAATTGAGAATGCTCTGTTGACTCTAAGAACATAGATCTTTCCTGTGTTTGTTTCACACTGCTTTTGAGCTAGGTAGTGAGTACCTGTGAATGGTTTTTTGTTGTTTTCTTCATGTGACTCAACAATTTTAAGACTTCTCATTGGTGAAATCTATGGTGAAACCCCATCTCTACTAAAAATAAAAAAAATTATCCAGACGTAGTCGCGCACGCCTGTAATCCCAGCTACATAGGAGGCTGAGGCAGGAGAATTGCTTGAATCCAGGAGGTGACGGAGGCTGCCGTGGGCCCAGACCACACGCCACTGCCCTTCAGCCTGTACAACAGAGTGAGACTCCCTCTCCCCAAAAAAAAAAAAAAAAAGCGCCCTCTATAAACACACTTAAACCATACAGTAAAAGTAATTAATTTTTTTCCTTGCAAATTCAGGGTTCAGCTTACATGTTGGCTAAAAATTAATTTTTGTTTTTAGTTCTTTAAAGTTATTAATAGTCAATGGGTTTAAAAGGGATTATCAATAGATCAACTCTTTTGTATTTATTAGATAAGTAGCACCAAAAGCTAGACATTGAACCACATGGAACACCACATGTTGACTACCAGGCCTAGTGCCTCTAATTAAGTCACCTAATTCTATTCTAAGATGGGAAATTTGTATGTCAATCCAGTAGAACAGGGCTGGTGGATTATGCTTCTCTTCCCTGATGTATTAACATAAATTTTTTTAAATCTCATTAAGGCAACAAACATGCCAGAAAAACCCGAATGGTGGTAATTTCAACTTTGATTCTGATTTCAGTCCCATCTCGATTCTTTCCTTTTAATGAAACAAAGGTTCTATTAGCCAACTAAAGTAAAATGACTGTTCACAGTGAGCTACACAGTGCTACATTCACACTGGTAGATAAATTGACAAAGGATTATGTGCTACTTCCAAGTGTGCAGGAAATCCTGAGACATCTAAGTTCTGAAATCTCCAGGTTATTTAGATAACTTTTAAAAACCAAAAGATTCAAATAAAACTGAGATCATCCCAGAGCGTACAATTGCCAGATTAACAGTTTTCAGGGTAAGAGTTAGGGTCACTGTGGGGCAGGAATGAGAAATCTTGAAATTGCTGAGTCACATGAAAAAAACAAAAACAAAAAACCACTCACAAGTACTCACTACCTAGCTCAAAAGCAGTGTGAAACAGAGGGAAGATCAGGAGACAAGTTCTCACTTTTACTTACTTTATGTGATCCTAAACATATAAATTGACCTCTGCAAATAAGAACAACATCTGCTTCACAAAGTTGTGATAGCCATACAATGATGTAATCCTAACTGCAACCTAAAATGTATGTATTAGATAAGAATAACAATTTAGTCAGCTGGGCACGGTGGCTCAGGCCTGTAATCCCAGCACTTTGGGAGGCCGAGGCAGGCAGATCACAAGATAAGGAGTCTGAGATCAGCCTGACTAACATAGTGAAACCCCGTCTCTACTAAAAATACAAAAAAAAATTAGCCGGGCTTAGTAGCACGCGCCTGTAATCCCAGCTACTCAGGAGGCTGAGGCAGGAGAATCGCTTGAACCCGGGAGGCAGAGGTTACAGTGAGTCGAGATCGTGCCACTGCTCTCCAGCCTGGGGGACAGAGCAAGACTCTGTCTACAAAAAAAAAAAAAAAAAAAAAAAAAGAAATAACAATTTAGTCATTATAACCATGGATTTAAATTCCGTATCAAAAAGGTACAAAAAAGGAAGAAAAACAGAATAAGATTAAAGAAAAACCTCTCAGATAAATTCAGGAAACAAGTGTTTTCAGTTAGCAACAAGCCATATTCTGAGAGTTTCTTGAGCTTTGAACTTTAGAGTCATCTAAAAGTTCCACTCTAAACAGAAAAATCAAAGTAGTCTATTAGAATAGACATTGCATTATCAGTGACATTACCACCAAATTTAAAAAGATGGAGGGGATAAAGCACAAGGAGAAAAAGAAGAGAACCAAACTGTCCAGAGTTAAATATCCCACATTTTAGTTGTAAAGTAAAACCCAGGAAAAAACTCGGATACATACTTCGTCTTAACCCATTCTCATCTGTCACATGACCTAGGTTGTGTCAGCTTTCTACAGATATCTGTAGTAATGTGGAACAAATGTACCAGAGCCAATACTTTTTTTTTTGAGATGGAATCTCGCTCTGTCACCCAGGCTGGAGTGCAGAGGCACGATCTCAGCTCACTGCAACCTCTGCCTCTCGGGTTCAAGTGATTTTCCTGCCTCAGCCTCCTGAGTAGCTGGGATTACAGGTGCCTGTCACCATGCCTGGCTAATTTTTGTGTTTTTAGTAGAGATGGGGTTTTGCCGTGTTGGCCAGGCTGGTCTCGAACTCCTGACCTCAAATGATCCGTCTGCCTCAGCCTCCCAAAGTGCTGCAGTTACAGGTGTGAGCCACAGCACCCAGCCCCAGAGCCAATTCTACCTAAACTGCCAATTCATCCTGACAGACCCTTGAAATTGAACACAGCACTTTTGTCTTACTACTTCAACTAGATTACCTCTAATATTTAAATGAAATTTGTGTAGTTTTGGTAGTTTATTTCAGCCAAGCATTTAGCCCACCATGAACTCACTCTATCCTTCTTCCTTCCATTTAACAAATATTTAAGCAACTATTAGTTACCAAGAATTAGACTAGGTTAGGGATGCAAAAACAAGAACTGTGGCTAAAGTTTACAATTTAATGGGGCAGATAGATGTTAATAATCAAATAATCATATAAAATATACGATAAGAGATCCTAACTATGTCAGATTTAGACTGGGGGATCTAGAAAGACTTGTGATATAAATATTTAAACAGACCTCCAAAGCATAAAATAGGACTTGGATGCACAAACTGGTAGGGCTTGGGGATGTGGAGCAGAAGACATTAGGTGGAACTGTGGTGTGTCACAAAGAAACGACATGTATACAATGGTTATGTGGTTAGAACTCCAACAGTGAACAACGAAAAGAATTCATTCAACTTGACAATGGATACAGGTAGGCAGGGCCAGGTCACACAGAACCTGGCAATCCATGTTAATCTTATAAAACAATATAAGCAATCCTCATCTTTCCTCATGCTCTTTTATTTATCTCAGACCCTGTTTGAATGAAAATTTACAAATACAAGCTAAAAGATAATAAACTCCCACAAAACCATCAACCAATTTCAACTATCAACTTTTGGCGAATCCTACCTCATCTATAACATCTATCTCCCATCCCTATGAATTATTTTTAAGCCAATTCCCAACATCACATCATCACCTCTAAATATTTCGGTATGTTTCCAAAATGTAAGGTCTTTTAAGAATATATACCAGTATATTTTATAATCTAAAAAACAATAATTCCTTAATGTTAAATATCCAGTTACTGGTTAAATTTCCTGGATTGTCTCAGTTTTCTCCAAATCAGAGTCAAATAAGATCCACACAATTCATTTACTTAATACATCACAAGCTCGTAACACGCTCCTCCTCATTTTCTTTCCTCACAATCTGTGGAAGAGACAGCACTATCTGTCCTTTAGAATTTCCTCCATTGTGGATTTTACTGACTGTGCCTTTAACACAAAGCCCATACTTCTAAACTTGATAATTTGACACCTCTAGGCTGGCCGTGCTGGCTCATGCCTGTAATCTCAGCACTTTGGGAGGCTGAGGTGGGTAGAGCATTTGAGATCAGGAGTTCAAGACCAGCCTGACCAACATGGTGAAACACTGTCTCTACTAAAAATACAAAAAAATTGGCCAGGCGTGGTGGCCTGGGCCTGTAGTTCCAGCTGCACGGGAGGCTGAGGCAGGAGAATTGCTTGAACCCAGGAGGCAGAGGTTGCAGTGAGCCAAGATCACGCCACTGCACTCTAGCCTGGGCGACAGAGTGAGACTCTGTCTCAAAAATAAACAAACAAACAAACAACCTTTAGTAGTTTGATACATTTCATTTTCTGTAGGTCAGCTGATAAATTTTTTTTGTACATTAAATTTTTACATGTTTAAGATTGAGATATGTTTTAAAATACACTCAATCTTTTAAAAATCATTTAAGGTACTTTAAACTCCTTTCAATACCCGTCAGTCAGATTTTTCATCAAACATGGTAAACATATACATATTATATACTCTGCCTAGCACAATAAAAGAAATGTAATTGTTTGTCATACCCTATGCAAATTTCCAACCAGAAAATACCCAGAAGCATCTTCTAACACTAAAACCCACGTCTCTCCAGGAAAGTTTTTCCTTGTGCATCGTACCTCACAATTCACTCTTTGTCCTCTTCAAGCTTAGTTGGATCCTCTTATTTTGTTATTTGTATGTGCTATTATTTCCAAGTCATGTCATATATATAACTGGTCTCCAACTAGATTATCCATGCCTCCTTATGGGAACTACCATGTGTTTTAACTGTAAGACAATTTTTAATGATGTCTGTGCACATGTAGTTTACAAGTAAATTTGCAAAAAATATAAACAATATGAGAGAGTTTTAGCTGATGCCTTATCCTGTTTAATTCTCAAATGTTTATATTTTAAAAACACTTAACTGAAGTATTCTAATGGAGGAAAAAATGGCATGACAAAGAAGTATGGAAATGGCTTACAGTTCTTGACTGGCTGTAGGACTGAACATGGAATTTGAGCATGAAGATTTTGAGCAAAATACTAGGCTACTTACTGTGTCTTTTTTCTTTTTTTTTTAGACAAAGTTTTGTTCTTATCGCCTAGGCTGGAGTGCAATGGTGCGATCTCGGCTCACTGCAACCTCTGCTTCCCAGGTTCAAGCGAATCTCCTGCCTCAGCCTCCCAAGTAGCTGGGATTACAGGTGCCCGTCACCACGCCTCGCTAATTTTTTGTATTTTTAGTAGAAACAAGGTTTCACTTGGACAGGCTGGTCTCAAACTCCTGACCTCAGGTGATCCACCCACCTCGGCTTCCCAAAGTGCTGGAATTACAGGCGTGAGCAACCGCACATGGCCTACTGTGTCTTCTTTAGAGAATAAGACTGTTATGTTTCAAGAATAAAGCAAATGACAAATAGTGAAAGGCTCTCAGTTATTCAAAGTACTGCCATTCCAGAGCAGCTCCTCCAGAGTGAATTAATTTTCTGTCTACTTTTCTTCCTTTCAAAAGTTAAACTGAGGTTAGAATGTTCAAATTCTGTATGTGATACTAATTTCTCTTTCAAAGAGATTGCTTGAGGCCGAGCATGGTGGCTCAGGCCTGTAATCCCAGCACTTTGGGAGGCTGAGGCGGGCAGATGACTTGAGGTCAGGAGTTCAAGACCAGCCTGACCAACATGGTGAAACCCCGTCTCTACTAAAAATACGAAAATTAGTAGGGAATGTGGTGGGTGCCTGTAATTCCAGCTACTTGGGAGGCTGAGGCAGAAGAATTACTTGAACCCTAGAGACAGACGCTGCAGTGAGTGAGATCACGCCATTGCACTCCAGACCAGGTGACAAGAGTGAAACCCTGTCTCAAAAAAACAAAAACAAAAAACCCCAAAATGATCACTCGAGCTCAGGACTTCGAGACCAGCCTGGGCAACAGGTGAAACCCCATGTCTCTACAAAAAAATACAAAAATTAGCCGGGAATGGTGGTGCAAGCCTAAGGTCCCAGCTACTCAGTAGGCTGAGGAGGGAGGATCGCTTGAGCCTGGGAGGTCAAGGCTGCAGTGAGTCGAGACTGCGCCACTGTACTCCAGCCTGGGCAGCACAGCAAGACCTTCACACACACACACACACACACACACACAGAGCAAGGCCTTGACACACACACACACACACACACACACACACACACACACACACCCCCCCAGAAGGGTGAAGGAGCAGAAAAGTACAGTGTATTGAGGCAGGGTCCCCCTTTCATCCCTACTACCCCAGTCCCACATATTCCACAGGGAGAACTTGCCTCCGGCTATCTCTAGAAGAATGAGAGAATTTTAATACTAAATCCAACAGAAAAACATCTTCTTTCTCACTTTGAAAATACGGTTTATTGGAAAAGAGTATGGTGTCTGGAGTCAGTGAACACTGAGTTCCAAATCCTGGCCCCACCACTTAGCTAGCTATTATCATTGAGCCCCCAGTCAGCTACTGAGAAATCAAACAAGTTCCAACGCACAATCTCCAGGAATAATGCTCCAACTTTAGTAAGTCTAAGAATTGCCTGAGAGAGTTAAGTCTCACGTACCTTTATGAAGAAAAAGCCTCTTAGTTATTATGTAAGATATCTATGAGACCATACTTTTTTTGTTTTGTTTTGTTTTTGAGATGGAGTCTCGCTCTTTCGCCCAGGCTGGAGTACAGTGGTGCGATCTCGGCTCACTGCAACCTCTGCCTCACGGGTTCAAGCAATTCTCCTGCCTCAGCCTCCCGAGTAGCTGGGATTACAGGCGTCCACCACCACACCTGGCTAATTTTTGTATTTTTAGTAGAGACGGGGTTTCACCATGTTGGCCAGGCTGGTCTCAAACTCCTGACCTCAGGTGATCTACCCACCTCGGTCTCCCAAAGTGCTGGGAATACAGGTGTGAGCCAATGCGCCCAGCTGAGACCATATTTTCAGAAATAGTCCTTAAAGACACTGAGGTTTAGCAACAGAACCCATCTTCAAGAAAATGAGTTGAACCAAAAATTAATTTGTTAATAAACTTACCAGTTCTTAAAAATAAATGTGGTAAAAAGGAACAAAACAAACAAAAAAGTGAATAAATAGAAGAAACCCTGGTACAGGCAAGGTGGTGTAGACTCTATTCTTTCTCCCAGCTCATCCCTGTTCTAAGCACAATTATAAATCCTGCAAATAACACAAGAGGCAATCAAAGGAAAACTCTGAAAGATAGAAAAGGGAAGGCAAACTAGTTAAAGGCCCCAGGACTAAAGGAACAACACAGTGACAAAAGCATCTAATAAACACTATCCAACCGAAAGAAGGTAACCCAAGTTTGGCATTTCCTGGCTTCCAAGAGAGCAACAAAGAGCATCTCAGACAGGCTCATTCCCTGCCTCCATATAAGGGAAGTATTTCCTTCAATACCAGGGAAGCACTGCAGCAACAGCAAGGGGGATGGATCAGGAGGTCTGCTAATAATAGGAAGCCAGAGGAAACGTTATTGCCCCATTTCTCTATTTCTTTTTACGGCAAATACTCATTATTCTAATTTGTCTCTTCTCACTGTTTCTTTAACACAGGGTTTCAACCCACTATTGCACCAAAGCTGCTGGTCAAGGTCACCAATGACCTCCACTGTACTAAATCCAATTTCCACATTTCAGTCCTTACCACCCTTGATCCATCACCAGTATCCAACAAAGGTGAGTACTCCCTCCTTCAAATACTTTCTCCACTTCTCTTTCAAGACATACTAACCTGGCTTTTCTATTGTCTTTTTGAATTCCTTGTAAGACTGCATATGCGAAATCACTAAATCTTCTTTCCTATACTTCCTTTCTAGGTGATCTTACCCAAACTCATGGCTTTAAGTATCCAACTATGTTTCTGACTCCCAAATTCCTACCTCGAGCTGAAATCGCTCCCCTCAACTCCAGATTCCTGTTTCTACCTGCCTACTCAACACTTCTATTTGAATGTCTAAAAAGTGTCTCAAACTTTACATGATCAAAATGAAGTTGATACTTTCCCCTCCCCAACTCCTATATGCCATCCCAAACCTGCTTCAACTAGATGGATCTGTTCAGGTCAAAAACCTCCATGTAATCCTTAATTTCAACCCCCCACCACCTCTATCTCTCTCATAAACACACTCAATTGGCAAATCTTATTGGCACTGTCTTCAAATATATCCAGTATTCAGCCACTTCTTGCCACTTCATTGTTAGTACTTTGGTTGAATCTTTCTAGATGAGTCCAAGAGCCTCTAAATGGGCTTCTAGCTCTCACCCTTGACCACTTTCAGGATATTATCATGAACATAGCAGCCAGCCTAATATTGTATAAAAGGATAAGTTCGATCATGTCACTCCTCTACCCAAAACCTAGCCTAGTTGTTTACCATCTCTAAAAACCCAAGTCCTGACAACGACCCTGTAAGGCCTCAAACAGAGAGCCTCTATCACCCAATCCCTGCTACCTCTCTGGCCTCATCTCCTGTTCTCCTCCTGGCTCATTCCATTCCAGTCACTGCTGTTTGCTGAACATGTTAGGCAAGCTGTCACCCACAGGACCTTTTATTTGCTATTCCTAAAGCAGATATCCTCACTTTCTTCAGGTCATTTCCTTACATGACACTTTATTAAGGCTTTCCCTTAACTGTCCTATAAAATTGCAACCCCTCTCCAAATACCCCCTACACACCTTTCTTTCCCGCTTCCTGGCTTTATTAATAGAACCTTCATGAAAATTATTTTTAATTATCTATCTTTCTTACTGTCTGTTTCCCCCACTAGAATCATATCCGGAAAACAGAGATTTTTGTCTTGTTCACCATAATATCTCTGGGTGCTTGGAACAATGCCTAGCAAATGGCAGGTACTCAAATATTTGTTCAAAGGGAAGGAAGGAAGCAGGAAGAGAGAGGGAATGAGGGTAACAGGCTGGAACTATGATCCTAACTTTTCCTTACAAAAGATTAAAACCAAAGTAATTCCAGACTGAAGCTAACCCCTTTTCTCATCTGGTGCCAACAGACCTCATAAAACTAACTCTGGCCTCCTCATAAAACTAACTCTGGCCTCTAATGCTGAAAGCGAGTCAAGCAATTATAGTCCACACTCTTAGTCCAAGTATACACAAACCAGGGAAAATAAAGCTATATTACAAAGTGAAAACTACTAACAAGATATTTGAGAGCTCTTCTTTTTTTGGAGATAGGATCTTGCACTGTCACCCGGGCTGAAGGGCAGTGATGCAATCATAGCTCACTATAGCCTCAATCACCTGAGCTCAAGCAACCACTCTCACCTCAGTCTCTGCAGTAGCTGGGACCTCAGATGTGCACCACCACGCCCAGCTAATTTTATTTTTTCATAGAAATGGAGCCTCACGATGTTGCCCAGGCTGGTCTCAAACTCCTAGGCTCAGGTGATTCTCCTGCCTCAGCCTTCCAAAATGTTGGGATTACAGGTGTGAGCCACTGCACCCAGTCTAATCCCAACCATACACAACTTGAATGGAAACTTGCTGAGGGTACTATAGATGTTCCAGAGTAAAAACGTTTCCGCTTTTACACATGGTAAAATACAAAATTCTCACATCTCAATTTCTATGCTTTTGCAAACCACTTACTAACAGAATCGTGAATTATATGATACGTGTAAGATAGTTAAGTTTTATTGGCAGATTTCGATTCTGCCACATCAAATTGAAAAATATTCTGTCATGTTCATCATTATATATTATATAAATTTGCCTCCCTCAAAAACCACACCCCCACCAAAAAAAAACCCTTAAGAAATAATTTTTAATGACATAGACCTCAAAGGTTGAGCTAGTTTTCAGTTAAAGAATGACTGAGGGCACAAAGGTGGACATTTTTACCATCCTAAAAATTGGAAGATATCACTCCCAGGGTGGCTGTGTGATTTCAATGACATAACATTTTTAAAGTCTAGCATTCCATTATAAGTGCTCAGTAAATGGGAAGTTGCTGCTGCTCTTACAAGCTTCTGACTACCATACCTGGTTGAACTAACTCAGTTACCACAAGGTACTCTATGCCCTTACATCTAATGACAAATATTTGTTTTGAAAAACGTATACTCCTTAAACACACTTGAGAAACAGGAACCAGAGACCCAAGTACATTTTGTTCTGAATCAAATTCCAGCATGCACAGCAAAGTGCATGTAGAGGGGTGAGAGGGTGACTAGGGAGACTGCTTCAATGGGAGATTATTCTGCAGTAGTGCCTTAACTGTAGAACAGTGATGATGATAAACTCATCCTAAATTTAGGACTACTGACAGGAACAAGTGACCACAGTAACTGTTCATCTTAAGTCGTAAAAAGCTTTCTGGCAATACTCATCTTCAAAAAAACCTAGCATGTAGGAAAAATCTTTTATGTGTTTGAATAAGGGTAATATAGTTAAAGCTAAAGGCTTAGATTTTTAACTGGTCTAATGAGAGAAAGCACAGTAGTCATATAATAAGAAGGTTTATGTTTTACTTCATTTTACTAGTGTTTCCTCATGAGAATTAAGTAACAGAAATTATAGGAATCACAAATGAAGTGCTTACTCCATGCAAAACACTGGTCTGGCACATTACAGATATTAATTCACGAAATCCTCATTAAAACCCTGTCAAGTGGGTATTATGATCATCACTGCCCCATTTTTATAATAAGGAAACTAAGACAATAAGGCTAAGTAACTTGTCTAAGGTCACACCACTAACAAGCAGAGCCAAGACTTGACATAGGTGCTCTGGGCCAGAGTTTTTGTTAACAGTTGGAATATACAAATTTACAAGTATTACTGCCAAATCAATTTTCTCAAAAATAAGTCAAAGTGGAGGAAGGGGGGAGATGACCCTCTGAATTCACTAAGGTTCTGTGAAAAGATGCTGAAACAAATAAAAAGAGTATTTGATTGTCAAATATATGCTATTTAGAAATACTAATGGAAAAGAATACTGTGGGCAAGAAAAGAATCACAAGTATTTGTGCTGAGTTCTGAAAGGAGAGAAATAAGGTTGGGGTGGGAGGTGGGGAAAGCAGGTCAAGCATGGAATAGAGCATGAATAAAAATGCACAGTCAGAAAAGTAAAAAGCTATGTCCTAGATACAAAGCAGTAGTAATAGGTAGAAATAGTATTACAAAAACAGCAGTGTCACTAGGTATCAGGCACTCAATGCATAACTAAAGAGAACATAAAAATAATTAAAACTATAGTGAAACAAATAACAAGAACATGTCATATTCCTGGTTGTGATAACTACCTATCATAATTGTAGTTTTTTTCCCTTAAATTATTAAGTTGGAGCAGTTATTTTACGTCTGATGCATTTCTTAAGCGGTTTTAAAGAAGGGCATAGAATATGTGATGATAAATTTGACACAATAATTTGAGTTCATGTGAATGAGTGTTCAAACATTGCCAAGAAAACACTGAAAGATAATTTTTAAAGATGGAGTTTCGCTCTGTCGTCCAGGCTGGAGTGCGATGGCGTGATCTCGGCTTACTGCAACCTCCGCCTCCCGGGCAAGCCATTCTCCTGCCTCAGCCTCGCAGGTAGCTAGGACTACAGGCATGTGCTGCCAAGCCCAGCTAATTTTTTGTATTTTTAGTAGAGATAGGGTTTCACCATGTTGGCCAGGCTGGTCTCAAACTCCTGACCTCAGATGATCCCCCTGCCTCCACCTCCCAAAGTGCTGGGATTACAGGCATGATCCACCGTGCCCAACCGAAAGAGAATATTAAGGAAGACTCTGCCCAACCAATTATTAAAATTGCCATTATACAACAAGTATAATCAATAGATACGGATGGTATTTGAACTAGACTAGACAAAGAGATCAGCAGACCACAAAATACAACATATACATCCAAGTATACATGGCAACGTAATATGCAAAGATGACATCTCAATTCTCAGAAGAAAGAACATTGTATTTAATTGTTGATATTGATATAACCAACTACACATTTGGGAAGAAAGGAGAGGGAATTCCTATCTTACACTACACACAAAAATAAATCTAAAGTGTGTTAAAGACTTTAGCATAATCACTGCATTGGGAGGCATTCTTAAAGAACAGAAGAAAAGCAGAAACCAGAAAAGTTTATTTTTTGGAAAATTAATTAAAAATTCTCATGCTCTCTGATCCACTTTTCAAGATTCGATCCCACAGAAACGAGAGCACCAATACAATAATGTTTACTATCAAGGTAACTGAAAGCAACTGTATTTCCCAAAGGAGAATGGCTGAGTATATTATTGTACACCTCTATAGGGAGTGTTATATAATCATTAAGAATGAAGACAGGCACGGTGGCTCACACCTATAATCCCAGGGCTTTGGGAGCCCAAGGTGGGTGGATTGCCTGAGGTCAGGAGTTCAAGACCAGCCTGACCAACATGGTGAAACCCCATCTCTACTAAAAAATAAAAAAATTAGCCAGGCATGATGGGGTGCACCTGTAGTCCTAGCTACTCAGGAGGCTGAGGTAAGAAAATCGCTTGAACCCAGGAGGTGAAGGTTGCAGTGAGCCAAGATCAAGTCATTGCACTCCAGCCTGGGTGAAAAGAGTGAAACTCTGTCTCAAAAAAAAAAAAAAAAAAAAAAAAAAAGAATCCAGACCGGGAGTGGTGGCTCACGCTTGTAATCTCAGCCCTTTGGGAGGCTGAGGCGAGCGGATCACCTGAGGTCAGGAATTCGAGACCGGCGTGGCCAACATGGTGAAACCCCATCTCTACTAAAAATACAAAAATTAGCCGGACATGGTGGTGTGTGCCTGTAGTATCAGCTACTCAGGAGGCTGAGGTGGGAGAATCGCTTGAACCTGGGAGGCAGAGGTTGTAGTGAGCCAAGATCACACTACTGCATTCCATCCTGGGTGAGAGTGAGACATTGTCTCCAAAAAACAAAACAAAACAAAACAAAAAACTGGGCAGATAAATTTTTTTTTTTTTTGAGATGGAGTGTCACTCTTGTTGCCCAGGCTGGAGTGCAATGGCACAATCTTGGCTCACTACAACCTCCGCCTCCCAAGTTCAAGTGATTCTCCTGCCTTAGCCTCTCGAGTAGGTGGGATTACAGGCATGCGCCATCACGCCGGGCTAATTTTGTATTTTTGGTAGAGACAGGGTTTCTCCATGTTGGTCAGGGTGGTCTTGAACTCCCGACCTCAGGTGACCCGCCCACCTTGGCCTCCCAAAGTGTTGGGATTACAGGCGTGAGCCACCAGGCCCGGCCGGGACAGATAATTTTAGACATCAATTTAAGTGGGAAGAAGACTACAAAGAATACAAAGAAACTAGCAATGCCTGAAGACATTTTTTGTTGTCACAACTGGGGGTGGGGGGATGGTACTTGGTAGAGGCCAGAGATGCCGCTAACCATACTACAACACAGGACAGTTTCCTACAAGAAAATGTCAGTAGAGCTGACACTAAGAAACCTTGCTGTATATGAACCACTGATAAGAATAAAATCTTAGCTTTCCAAGGTCAATCTTGCCTTTTAGCCCCATCATGGCCCCACGTGTTTGCAGGTTCTTTGGCTAAGCCACCAAATAGCTGTTATGGTCTGTTAACAATCAAATGAATGGCAAGGGAGAAGTTTAAGCCATGACCCAGCATTTAAAAAATAATGGAAAAGAATACAACAGAAAACTAAGAGTATGCAGCATGCAGAGTATGTGGGGAAAGTAATTTTTGTTAAAGTTAGGCATATGCAAGCCTTTGTGTCTCTCAAATTTACCTGTAGGTATAAGTGGGGCAAACTGTTTATCGCACGGTAGATCATGCTCAAAGAAAGTCATTCAAGATACTCCTCAGTTCTCTCATCCAAAAAACTCATGAGTTGGACTAAAAAAAAAACAAAAAAACCTACGAGGCACTTTCTTTATAAAATGTTAATGAATTTATGATCATCTGCATGAAGTCTACCCTGTATGTACAGATGTAACCTACATGGGAGGGGGTACAGTCCTTATAGGTAGACACCTGAAAGGCTCAATTCATTTCAGATGTTTCAAGAAAATTCCTTAGTCAATAACATTCACATAGACTTTGTAAGATCTTGATTAAGCCATGAGGCCAAATCTAAATCTAAATCACCCACTCAGAAAGTGCCAAAAACCTTAAAACCAAAAGAAACATTAGAGATTATCTATCTCTAAGCATCTCAATTTTTAAATGAGTAAAATGAGCCCAAAATGGGGCCCAAAGGATTAAATGATTTGCCCAGAGTCATAAGCCAAGTCAGACTGTCAAACCGTTAAAGCAAACTGATAAGAAAAAGATGCTCAGGGCCAGGCATGTTGGCTCACGCCTGTAATCCCAGCACAATGGGAGGCCGAGTAGGGCAGATCACAAGGTCACGAGTTCTAGACCAGCGTGGCCAATACGGTGAAACCCCGTCTCTACTAAAAATACAAAAATTAGCTGGGCATGGTGGCAGGCGCCTGTTGTCCCAGCTACTCGGGAGGCTGAGGCAGGAGAATCGCTTGAACCCAGGAGGCGGAGGTTGCAGTGAGCCAAGATCGCGCCATTGCACTCCAGCCTGGGCAACAGCGAGACTCCCTCTCAAACAAAAACAAAAACAAAAAAACTAAAACATCTAACTGAATCAGGCTGCTTAAGTATCAAAATAATCTTAAATATCTGAAGAGGAAGAAGGATAAAGATTCCCTAACATGCAGAACTAAAACTAGAAAAACTTTATTCTAATGTTCTTAGACTACTATCAAATTCTCCCTAGGACTTCTACATTGCTGATAACAGCTTACAATATTTTTCCCAGTTTAGTTAAGACCACATGTCAGTATTTTATTACAATCTTTCAAGCAAGAAAGAAGGTCTCTGATATACTAATTTAAAGACATATACACTCTTGATAGAGCTATATTAGGAAATGGCAATGGCTAATTCGTAAACTAGATTTTTAAAAAATGACAATATCTTGTTTAAAGTTATTAGACTATGACAGTCATCTGAGTGGGGAGGTAACTAGTTCCCCAGCAGAAGCCTTAATCCCATTAAGGTTTATCAGACAAGTGTATAACAGAAATGTTCATTTCTTCTCAGAAGGAGGTTATGAATTATATCACACGGATTCTGTTTAGATGAGGTTTAGAACAATTTTTCTTTTTAACAGTTTCTCCTTTTGATTTAGACACTCTCTAAAGATCTGTCCAGATTTAGGTCCATTTCACTGAAATTTTGTACTAAAGTCCACGAATTTTTTTCATTTTTTCTTTGGCAAACAGGTATTTTTGTAAACCCAAGTTTTATTTATTTATTTATTTTGAGATGGAGTTTCGCTCTTGTCATGCAGGCAGGAGTGCAATGCACAATCTTGGCTCACTGCAACCTCCACCTCCTGAGTTCAAGCGATTCTCCTGCCTCAGCCTCCCGTGTAGCTGGGATTACACGCGCCTGCCACCACACCCAGCTAATTTTTTTATTTTTAGTAGAGATGGGATTTTGCCATGTTGGCCAGGCTGGTCTCACACTGCTGACCTCAGGTGATCCACCCATCTCAGCCTCCCATAGTACTGGGACTACAGACGTGAGCCACCGTGTCCAGCCTGTAAAGCAAGAATTTTTAAAGAGCAAAAAGAAAGTGCAGATTTTCTGTCTCCTTACTACAGATGAGAAAATAGTATAAAGCTATCGAGTGTCAACAGTTCTATATTACCCCCGTCCCCACCCCCACTGTACTGCTCCTGAAAGCTAAACAGAAATCCCAAGGAAAGTATACATTCAAGGAACGAAGATAACTTTAGATATGTATTACATGATGCATATACGGGTTTTCAGTGAACTATATGTGATTTCAAACTAAATTAAAAACAAGGCTTTACTATGACATTATGAATGAAAAACAGTTTATTTATAGGATACTTTGACTCTACTCAAAAAGTATGCTTAAACAATCCAACAACTTTAGGAAAGCCAACCGATAAATCTTTGCAATCAGGCAGAAATACTAAGGCATTTAAAAAACATACCCAGACCGCTTTTAACATTTACCCCAGAGATCTCTAGGCTCATCACAGAGGGTAACCACAAAATGCTTAAGCTGCATACAGACATCAGGCAAATGCCACATAACTGCTGGACAGTAAGTTATCACCACAGTAGTTACCAATGTGACAAAGCAGAGGATAAGGAGCATTCAGAGTTGGAAACTACGGTGGAAACGTTTCCATTTATGGCACATTTTCTGATTGGTTTTATAACTCATGTTACTAACTATAGAATCATAGACGAGAAGAATCCCCGGAACCAAGCCTCTTATAAATAAGTCAACTGACCTGAAAAACTTACGACAGAGTGAAAACTAGACCCAACTTCAAACTGAGATAGGATTTTATACTTCACAAAAATTAAAGTTAGTTATTTAGATTTTATTAGAAATAGCTCAGCACGTAAAGTCCTCAAAGGAAACAGACATACAGTCAAAAAAAACCATTACTGCGGGGCGCAGTGGCTCACGCCTGTAATCCCAGCACTTTGGGAGGCCAAGGCAGGCGGATCACGAGGTCAGAGGATCAAGACCATCCTGGCTAACACGGTGAAACCCCGTCTCTACTAAAAACACAAAAAATTAGCCGGGCGTGGTGGTGCGTGCCTGTACTCCCATCTACTAGGCATGCTGAGGCAGGAGAATGGTGTGAACTCGGGACACGGAGCTTGCAGTGAGCCGAGATGGCACCAATGCACTCCAGCCTGGGCAACAGAGCGCGACTCCGTCTCAAAAAACAAAAACCAACAACAACAAAACATTATTAAACTATAATAATGTTTTCTATCAAGACACAAAATATTAAAAGTAGATCAGGAAGGAATAATAAGTCAATTCATTATCAACCTTGTGACTCTTCTGTCCAGCCTCTTCCAGAGGTTCCCTTTACTTTTAAGTGCAATGCAATCTTTAACCTTAACTCTAAAAACTCATTTAGAGTCCTCCAATTTCTTATCAGTTTTCCAATACAGCTCAAGAACTTTTCCATCAGTGAATAAAAGTTGCATTACTTTTCCCTTTCACAGCTTGTTGGCAGGGAATTATTTTAAATGTACAACAAAAATCTATAAATCTGTAGCTTCCAAAAGAGTGTTTGAAAATATATTTTAAATGGCAAAATAATCTCAGTAATCAACAGTAATACTGAAGTAATGTTTGAAAATTACATTTTTAGAAAGTATAAAGTTACATTTATTACAAGTGAAGAAAAAAATTTTTATGAGGGAATGTTTTTAAAAAGGGTTACAAATTCTTTGACACTTCTCCCAATGAGAGGCAGATTTCTGTCAATTCCCCCTCAAATCTGAGGGAGCTTGTGACCACTTTGGTCAACAGAATATGGTGGATGTGGTACTAGATGACTTTCCAGGACAGGTTATAAATGGGTATGCAGCTTCAACTGAGCACAGAGACTTCATGTTAAGAGATATTATAACCCTGAGAATTCCATGCTGAACAGCCATGTGCACACAGTACTTGACGAAGCAACCCAGCCAAGCAAAGCTTTCTAGCCATTCCTTAAAAGCTGCCAGACTTATGGGTGAAGAAACTATCTCACAAATTTGTGTATGGACTCTCCTTCCAGTAACGTAAATTCCAAGAGAGTAGGAATTCGTCTTTGTTTTATTCACTGATGTATCCACACCATTTTAATAGTTTCCTTTTATGTATGCAGTAAGCATTCAATAAAGGTCTGTTAAATAGATATTAGTGATGGTGGCAGTGGCAGGTGGAGAAGGGGATATCCTATTCATGAATAGTTCACAGCAGTAACCATGTGCATGCCTCGCAAAGCAGCCAAAGATTTTCAGAGAGTCTATCTAATTCCAATGAAAAGCCCAGGCTTTTAAAACGGTATTTTACAAAGACTGATGGATCTGACTAAAGAAATTTAAAACTTCTATCATTCAAAAACCATAAAAATTAAAACATAAATAAATAAAAAGCTAGGGAAAACAATTTGCATTTTAATTATGCTTTTAAAATGCAAAAAAACCCTTTCAAATAACTCAAAAAGACACAAAGATTTACAGATTTCTTTATATAAAAAAGTGACAAATAAATACAAAAGAAATACACTACTAAATCAACCAAATAAAATAATCCAAGAATGTCTTTTTTGTTTATTAAATTGGAAATTCTTTAAAAACTACTATCTGTTAGGCTTCAGAACACTGCTGACAAAACAGCAGTTTCATTCTGGAGAACATAACATTTCTCAAAAGCCTTAAAACTGTCATTATCCCATGACCACTCCCCACTACCCCCACCCCAGAAAAAGTCCACATCTAGAAATTTAACCTAAGGTAATAATCTGTGATATGAAGCAAGCTTTACACACAATGTTTTTAAACTCTTAGATAAAAGAGCACTAACTGAGGGTCATGTTCCCGACGTTAGTTTTATTTGCTTGTAGTTGGGTTTTCTTCGGCCTTCACAAGTGTGTCAAAAAAAATTCAGTAAGTTGCCAGCATTTTAAAATCTATTGCACACAAACACAAGATCTGCCAGCACTGGGTCTGCAAGCCTCTTAATGACTATTAGCTAAACAGTAGCCAATCCCTTCAGATGTGGCACATGATACACAGTTCAAAATCATCCCTAATCTGAAAGCTTGGTTCATTTACATTAGATGCTTTATCTTCTAAAGTTATCTCAGTTGGAAGCCCTACACTAGAGATCAAACTTTAAGCATGCAGGGCTTGCTAAACGCTGATTGGTGGGCCCCACCCCCAGAGTTTCCGACTCAGGACATCTGAAATGGGGTCCCAGAATTTACATTTCTAGCAGATTTCTAGGTGATGGTCCAAAGACTACACTTTGATGGTCTAGAGACCACATTTTGATGAACTTTCCTTGCTGAAGCCAGAGAGAGGCCTAGCATCCTTTGAATTACACAATTACAGGATACTTAAACAATATTGGAGATTCCATTAATGGGGGAGGGAGGCAAGGAAGAGTAGAAAAGCCGACGGATAAACAACCAATAGTCAGTGCACTGCTTCCCTCTATCAGAGGTGGAAAACCATTGCCCTACACTAAATTTAAGAATAATCCTAGATTAAGTTGCTAGTCCAAATTTTCTATTCTACATTCTTTCTCATGGGCCTTATCCATTTCTCAAGGTTTAATGACCTCTTCTACACTTCATGGATAAAATAACAGGGGTAAACAAAAATTGTGGTAAAAGATCCCACGTAGCTCCAATATTTTATGACTAACAAATGTGTATCACCAGCCTTAATATTTTCTACTGAATTTGCTTTCTCCAGCTGGATCCTATACATAGCAGCTTTTGCTGAATGCTTCCTTTGTTCCGGGCATTGTGCTACAACATTACATGACTTTTCATCATTTCATCATTATAACAACTCTATGAAACGGTGCCTACTATCCCCATACTACAGATGGAGAAAAAGAGGTCATTTGTCAAGGGGTTAGGTCATTTGTCAGAGAAGCAAGCACAGGTAAAATCTACATCTGTATACGGGTAATCTGGCTCCAGAGTCCTCAATTTTCTTTTTCTTTTTTTTTTTTTTGAGATGGGGAGTCTCGCTCAGTTGCCCAGGCGCAATCTTGGTTCACTGCAACCTCCGCTTCCCAGGTTCAACTGATCTCGTACCTCAGCCTCCCGGGTAGCTGGAATTACAGGTGCACGCCACCACGTCCAGCTAATTTTTGTATTTTTAGTAAAGACGAGGTTTCACCATGTTGGCCAGGCTGCTCTCAAACTCCTGACCTCAAGAGAGCTGCCCACCTCGGCCTCCCAAAGCGCTGGGGATACAGGCGTGAGCCACCACACCCGGCCCAGAGTCCTGAATTTTAACCACTACACTTCATCTAAAATTCAACTTGTACAAATTCCAATCTTTCATCTAAAACTAGCTCTTCCTCTAAACTTGCCTACTGTCAATGTTTTCACCTTCCTGCTCAGGCTGCCAGGCTCCAAATCACTAAGTTCCTACCATAATTAAGTCCTTCTACATTTCACATCTGTCTTTTTCTTTTTATTTCAATTGACCTAAATGTCCTTATTCACCCTTCACCTGGCCTCTAAAATGCCTAGTATTTCTGCTTCTAGTCTTACACCCAACGGTGCTCCTCACTCATTGCCTATGGGTCAAAGGCCAGCTTATTTAACATCAAATTCAATTTAAGACCTTACCTACCTCTTGGATCCATTTCTGTGGTTCCACAAACAGATTAAAAATTATACTTAAAACACACCAACACACATGCAGAGCTTTATTTCTGAAGAAGAAGAGAGAGGGGTGGAAAGGAAAAAACTTAAGAAACAATGTTCAATCTGAAAGTATCACTTCTAAGTGGAAGGCTACAAGGGATAATTAATAGCTACCAAAACTGAACACTGAAACATCACATCCCTCTTTCATGGAGCCATGTAAGTTAAAAAAGAATCTTAAACTGTTGAGGTATATCAACATAGACAAAATCTGAATGCCAAAGTGAGTTTCACTCTAGGATCAGGTTATCTGGCAGCTCCTGAAACAGGACAGTTTCAGGAACCCTGTACAAACCTCAGTGAAATGAAATAACTTCAAGCTGTTTGTTACAGGGGACTCTTGTGTCTTTTAGTCTAAGTAAAAGCAGCAATTTTCTACAATATATTTATATAAGCTGTGCATTTCCATGAAAGAAAGGAGGTCTACTGTGGATATATGCTTGGTATGAAATTATGTCAGAAACAAGTGGGAGCGAGGGGCAAGTCAACATGCTGTCACTAAATAAAAGACAGACCCCCAGAAATGACCTCAACAATCAAAGAAAACATGATAGTGTAAGTTAACATGATTAATTTTTTAAATTAATAGACTATATTTTAAAGTAATTTGAGGTTTAATGAACTGAGTAGACAGCAGAGTACCCATATACCCTCCCTTCCATTTCCTTTGCACATTTATTATACTTAATGAGCCAATACTTGCATATTCTTATTAACCAAAGTCCATTTACATCAAGGTTCGCTTTGTTTTGAATTTTGACAAATGTAAAACATGTACTTACCACGAAATTTTACAATATGCAATACCAAAAAATACAGCTAGATTCAAAGAGAGAATGTTTCAGCATCTCATTATCTTTATCACAGTAACATAAACTGAACTCCGATCTTCTCCCCTGCTCCCACCTAGTTTTCCCAGTCTTCCCATCTCAGTAAAGAGCAATACCTTCCATCCACTTGCTCAGACCAAAAATTCCTTCCTCTTTTATAACCCATACATCCAGCCCATCAGCAAATCCTACCTGCTCTAACTTCAAAATATATCCAGAATTGAACCTTAATTCTCACACTTTACCACCACCACTGGAACCCAAGACACCATTCTCTCACTAGGTTATTATAGTAGCCCCCTAACTCTTTTTTTTTTTTTTGCTTCTGTCCACAAACTAATCAGATCATGTCACTCCTCTACTCAAAGCAGGAACTGGCATTCTACCTTAGAGCAAGAGCTACAATCCTCACAACAGGCCTACTAGGTTCCACACAACCTGTCTCCACCTACCTCAGTTCCCTTTTCTGTCTATGACTTCACCTCCTGTGTCCTCTTCACCACTTGCTGTTGAAGCTACACTGGTTTGCTTGCCGGATTACTTCAGGCAGTCTCTGTCCTTAAAGTTTTGGCACTGGCTGTTCTTTTTGTCCAAAATATCTTCCACAAATGCTCACACAGCTGACTTCACATCCTGACACAAATATCACTTTCATAGTTAGGCCTTTTTCCCTGATGACCCTATTTATCACTGCATTGTTTTCCCCTGTACTCCTTATCCCTCTTACCTGCTTTATTTTTTTCTGCATAGCATTTGCTGCAACCAAATATATATTCTACTTTGTTATTTTATTGACCCCCCCACCCCACTAGAAAATAAATGCAGCAACTGAGGTTTCTGGCCTTAAAAAGCACTTAGTAATTATTTGTTGAATGAATAAACTATGGTGTACAGATTCTCCTCAACTTACAATGGGGGTTTTGTCCCAATAAACCCATCATAATTTGAAAATATCATAAGATGAAAATGCATTTAACGCACCTAACCTACTGAACATCAAAGCTTAGCTGGGCCTACCTTAACGTGCTCAGAACACATACATTATCCTACAGTTGGGCAAAATCATCTAACACAAAGCCTATTTTATAACAAAGCATGAATAACTCATTTACTGAAGACTGTACTGAAAGTGAAAACAACGGCTGTGGGTACTCAAAGTACAGTTTCCAGTTTTCACACGATAATAAAGTTGAAAAACCATAATTTGAACTATAGTAAGTTGGGGACCATCTGTCAAGGTTCCTAAAGGTGACATACAGGTGCTAGCAACTACAGTCTAAAAAAATAAAGCCCCAATTCTCAACAAATCAGTAACTGATTCTGGAAACACAGAAGTTCCTTTGACTCTCTTAAAGGCTTCAAGCCCCTCTATCAGAAAAAAATGTCTACAGTTTGAGGAGACTAGCCTGCTGCCTTCGGGATGTCCCCATCTGTTTTCTAGCCACTAACACAGCCACAAAGCATACCACACTTAGGAACAGATCTATGGGTAGGACACAAGCATATTTAGGCTGCTATCATAAAGATAAAGATGCATTCAGCCATAAATACTTAAACAAGTATTCATACTGGAAATATGAAACACTTTTAATCATATTCCTAACAAAAGTACCACGAGATTAACTGGCTGAGAAATAATGGGGGTGATCTCCTATCGACTACAAAAGTGGGTTAGAAACTGAAGTAATCTAACCTCATCAAGCAAGTAAAGCTTCACTTTACTGCACTTTGCAGATGCTGTTTTAAAAAAAAACAAATTCAATGTTTATGGCAACCCTGCATCAAGCAAGTCTATTAGCGTCATTCTTCCAACAGCGTGCACTCACTTCATGTCCATGTGACACATTTGGGTAATTCTCACAATATTTCAAATGTTTTCATTATCTGTTATGATGATCTGTGATCAGTGATCTCTGACACTGCCATTGTAATTTCTGGAGGTACCACGAACCGCACCCATAAAAGATGGAAAACTTAACTGATAAAAATGTGTGTTCTCACTACTCCACTGAATGGCCATTCCCCTGTCTCTCTCCCTCTCCTCTTGTTTCCCTATTCCCTGAAACACAACAATATTGAAATTAGGCCAATTAGTAACTCCTCAATGGCCTTTAAGTGTTCAAGTGGAAGAGTCTACAGCTCTCGCTTTAAATCAAAAGCTAGAAATAGACACTTGCGGATGTTTTCTGGTAAAATAGCTGAAAGAAAAGAATTTTTTTTAGAGACGGGGCGCAGTGGCTCATGCCTGTAATCCCAACACTTTGGGAGGCGGCGGCAGGCGGATCACCTGAGGTCAAGAGTTTGAGACCAGCCTGGCCAACATGGCGAAACCCCCTCTCTACTAAAAATACAAAAATTATGTGGGTGTGGCATTGCGCACTTGTAGTCCCAGCTACTCAGGAGGCTGAGGCAGGAGAATCACTTGAGCCCGGGAGGCAGAGGTTGCAGTGAGCCAAGATCGTGCCACCACACTCCAGCCTGGGCGGCAGAGCGAGACTCCATCTCAAAAAAGAAAAAGAATATATATTTTTTAAAAGCTAGAAGTGATTAAGCTTCTGAGAAAGGTATGTTGAAAGCCAACATAGGCTGAAAGTAAGGCCTCTTGTACCAGTTAGCAAACTTGTAAATGCAAAAGTTCTTGGAGAAAATTTAAAAAGTGCTACTCCAGTGAACACACAAATCGTAAGCAAGAGAAGCAGCTTTATTGCTGATATGGACAAAGTTTTAGTGGTCTGTATAGATCAAACCAGCCACAACATTCCATTAAACTGAAAGCCTAATCCAGAACAAGACCCTAATCCTCTTCAATTCCATGAAGACTGAGAGAGGTGAGGAAGCTGCAGAAGCAAAGTCTGAAGATGACGGAGGCTGCTTTACGAAGTTTAAGGAAATAAGCCATCTCCAATAACCTAAAAGTGCAAGGTGAAGCAACAAGTGCTGATGGAGAAGCTGTGGCAAGTTATCCAGAAGATCTAGCTAAGATCATCGATGAAGATGGCTCCATTAAACAACATGTCAGCAATGTAGAAAAAACAGCATTCTATTGGAAGACACAATCCAAAACTTTTGTGGCTAGAGAGTAGAAAGGAGAAATCCTGTCTTCAAAGAGAGGAGAATGCTTGACTTCAAAGCTTCAAAGGACAGCCTCTCTTGTTAGGAGCTAATGCAGCTGGTGATTTTAAGGTGAAGGCCAATGCTCCTTGACCATTCTGAAAATCTAAGGCCCTTAAGAATTACACTACATCAGCCAGGTGCAGTGGCTCATGCCTGTAATCCCAGCACTCTGGGAGGCCAAGGAGGGAGAACTGCTTGAGCCCAGTAGTTGGAGACCAGCCTGGGCAACACGGCAAGACCCCGTCTCTATAAAATAAAATAAAAACAAATTATGCTACATTTACTCTGCCTATGCTCTATAAATGAAACAACAAAGCCAGGATGTCAGAACATCTGTTGACAGCATGTTTTACTGAATATTTTAAGTCCACCATTGAGACCTCATGCTCAGAAAGATTCCTTTCAAAATACTGCTGCTCACTGACAATGCACCATTGCCGGAGAGGTCTGAAAGAGATGTACAAGGATATAAATCCTGTTATCATGCCTGTTAACACAACATCCATTGTGCAGCCCACAGATCAAGCAATAATTTCCACTTCTAAGCCTTATAATTTAAAAAATACATTCTGTAAGGCTATAGCTGCCATAGATAGTGATTCTTCTGATGAATCTGGGCAAAGTAAATTGAAAATTATTCTGGAAAGGATTCACCATTCTATTGAGTCACTCATGATTCATGGGAGGAGTTCAAAATATCAACCCCAACAGGAGTTTGGAAGAAGTTGACTCCGACTCTCATGGATAATCGAGAGGTTCAAGACATTGCTCGAAAAAGTAACTGCAGATGTGAAAAACACAGCAAGATAACCAGAATTAGAAATAGAGCCTGAAGATGTGACTGAACTGCAATCTCGTGATAAAACTGAAACAGATGCAAAGTTAAGTTGACTCTGACTCTCATGGATAACTGAGAGGTTCAAGACACAGGTCGAAAAAGTAACTGCAGATGAGGAAGAAACAGCAAGATAACTAGAATTAGAAATCGAGAATTAGAAGGAAAGAAAGGGAAGGAAAGAAAGGGAAGGGAAGGGAAGGGAGGGGAGGTAGGGAGGGAGGGAGGAGGGAGGGAGGAGGGAGGGAGGAGGGAGGGAGGGAGAGAGGGAGGGAGGGAGAGAGGGAGGGAGGGAGGGAGGGAAAGAAATTGCCACAGCTTCCCTAACCTTCAGCAGCCACTACCCTGGCTAGTCAGCAGCCATCAACATGGAGATAGGACCTTCCACCAGCAAAAAAGATTATGACTCACTTCATGAAGGCTCAGGTGATCGCTGGTATTTCTTTTAGCAATAAATATTTTAAAATTAAGGTAGTCCACTATTTATTATGACATAAGCCTACTGCATACTTAACAGACTACAGTATAGTGTAAATGTAACTTTTATATGCAATAGGAAACAGAAAAAGCCCATGTCTCTCACTTTAGTGTGATATTCACTTTATTGCAGTACTGTGGTCATCTGGAAATGAACCTGTGATATCTCTGAGGTATGGCTGTATTTTCATACAAATAAAGGCACTCCCCCTAAATCTAGAGTCTAGATCCCAAATACATCTGTCCATATAGGGGGTACCACTCCCAAGACCAAAGGGGTGTATGGCTCCTATCTCCAGCCGTACCAAATCATATATACAGTGTAATATCTGGTTACTCTTTATTCAGGACAGCTACATTCAAAGGAAACATAAAATGGGCAGAATAAGGACTCCTTGCTCATTAACAAAACAAAGCCAACTCTTATGTCAGAGTACCCTTTTGATCAATTAGTGTGATTATGTTCACTAGTAACAGATTCTACCATCATTGTTGTCCATTTCATTTCCATTCTCAAGCTTTAAAACCCCAAAAGGACAGAAAGAGATACTACAGGCTAGTATTAGTAATACTAAAAATAGTTACCTCTTATTGAAACCTGAAGGGCCTGGTACTTGACATATATCATTTTCTAATCTTTATATGAACTCAATAAAGCAAATATTGTTATTTCAACACTATTACATATTAGAGACTGAGCAATCTGGACAAAGTCACACAGCTTATCAGTACCAGTAGGAATTCAAACTCAGGTCTGACTCAACAGTCTGCATTCTTAAATATACCTCAATAAAGCTGTTGAAAAAGTAAAAGTCGGCCGGGCACAGTGTAATCCCAGCACACCTCAATAAAGCTGCTGAAAAAGTAAAAGTCGGCCGGGCACAGTGTAATCCCAGCACTTTGGGAGGCCGAGTCAGGCGGATCACCTGAGGTCAGGAGTTCGAGACCAGCCTGGCCAACGTGGTGAAATCTGGTCTCTACTAAAAATACAAAAATTAGCTGGGCGTGGTGATGGGCGCCTGTAATCCCAGCTACTCGGGAAGCTGAGACAGGAGAATCACTCGAACCCAGGAGGCGGAGGTTGCAGTGAGTCGAGATCGCGCCATTGCACTCCAGCCTGGGTGACAAGAGTAACTACGTCTCAAAAAAAAAGTAAAAGTCTCCATCTTTCCACTAGACCACACTGCTTTTCTCAATCTTTATGACAAACATGTAAGGCATATTGGGTTCTGGATAATATGTCAAGGAGATATACTATTTTGGAATATTTTGGCAAATAAAGGGGGGCTTTAAAACATGAAATTTTTTTTTCTTAATAAGAACTGTAATCTATTTCCCCAACTTCATTATTAAGTGAGTTTTAGGCCTAGGTCTTCCAGAACAGTTTCCTCCAAAACATACAGTGTAATATCTGGTTACTCTTTATGTGTGCATAAGAAATGTCACTGTGACAAATGTTATAAAGAAAAAATTTGATTACCCTAAAAACAAATACATAAACAGCCCGCAAGTTTAGCTCCTAAAGTAGGAAAGAATAATGTGAAAATGTTTCTGGCTGTACCACTCAACAAAAATTTGCCCGCCAATAAGGAATCCTTTCTTCAAAAATTGGTCATGATCATTAGCCAAACTGTAACCAGTAACATCCAGCTGGATTATGGAGCTAATAAAGAACAACAGAGGGGATCCACAGGAAATTCAACAGGTAATTTACAACTGGCTCTCTCATCAGACTGGCAGACTGGGTCTAATCCAAGGTCAGATGACATGGGGGATTATGGAAGCCAATAACAATCATATTTAAATAAATGTCCTTTACAGAACATCACCACTTTCCTCATAAAAAGTTCAAAGGACTATTTTCACCCCTCACAATTACAGTAAGGATAAGAAGCCCAAGCACAGCTTGAAGCAGCAAAATTTTCTGAAAAGGAATTGAATTCTGTGTTCTCTTCAGGATCTTCCTTTCCCAATAATGGGGGTATTAAATTTCACTTATAAATCAAACTGAAAGGGAAAAAAAGAACAATAAAAAATGAGCTGGAAAACCTACATTCATCATCTTCAAAACAACATCAAGTTAGAAACAGTTTTAAAGCAATGTTACAACTCCTTTAGAATCTGGCAGGTTTTCTGGTTTTTACCAGATCCCGCTCCGGCAACAACAAAAAAAGAAACAGTTTTAAACAGTTTTATGGGCGTGGTGGCTCACACCTGCAATCCCAACACTTTGGGAGGCCAAGGCGGACAGATTGCTTTTCAGCACAAGAGTCTGAGACCAGCCTGGGCAACATGGTAAAATTTTGCCTCTATAAAAAAATACCAAAAAATACCAGGCATGGTGGTGGCACACTCCTGTAGTCCCAGCTACTTGGGAGGCTGAGGTGGGAGGACTGCTTGAGCCCAGGACAGCAAGGGTGCAGTGAGCCGAGATTGCACCAATGCACTCCAGCCTGGGCAACAGAGCCAGACCCTGTCTCAAAAAAAAAAAAAGTTAAATGCTGATGACTGAATAGAACACAATTCTCTGTAAATTCTTCAATGTGATAAAGCATTTCCTACACCAGTTACCAGTGGCAGCACCTAATAAGACTTGAGAGCAACTTAATACTTCACCCTCATGTATGTATGAATTTAAAATAGAACATCACAATAACTACGAAGATACCCAAACACCCCTTCCCTAATTTTTTTTTTTGGTACAAACAAAGTCTCGCTATATTGCCCAGGTGGATCTCAAACTCCTGGGCTCAAGTGATGCTCCTGCCTGGGCTTTCCAAAGTGCTGGGGTTACAAGCGTGAACCACTGTGCCTGGTCGCTTCCCTAATTCTTAACATGTCCCACAAAAGATTCTGCTTGATCTTGGCCCCCACTATATCATCACTATCTCTAGTAAATAGACTCAAAGCCTCTGCTTTCTCTGTGGCTCTAGCCACACTGGCAGAGACCAAAGGAGAGTTCAATGATAGGCCCTCTCACAGAACCTTGTGCCTTACCATACTTGTCAGTTACAATTTTATTCACTCGATTCAAGCATTTTTTGGATGCCTCATATGTTTCAAGGTACCTTTGTTACAGCAGTGAACAAGGCAAAGCCCCTAACAGGAGGAAATTCACATTCCAGAGGTAAGAAGAGAATTAAAAAGCCAAAAAAAAGTGTGTGTATGCATATATATGTGCATAAGAAATGTCACTGTGACAAGTGTTATAAAGAAAAAAAACACAGTAAGAGGACAGAGAGTGAAGTTGTCCTTGTACAGTTGACAGTCAATAACACCTCTTTTAACAGTAGTAGAGACCTGAACAGGGTGAAGAACAGAGCCAAGCTGACAGGAGATCTGGATTAAAGCTTTCCAGGCAGAAGGAATCGAAAATAGGCGGGAATATACTTAGCTTGTTGAGCAAGGCAAACAGCATGGCTGGAGCACAGAGAGCCAAAAGAGAGGTGATAAAGACAACACCAATGAGGTAAATAAAAGCAGACAGAACTTGGATCCTCTAGAGCCTGCAGCTCACGATATGGAGTTTGAATTTTAGTCTACGTGTGACAGGAAGCCTTTGAAGAACTTTGAGGAGGGACACGGATGTGTTATCGACACACTATAAATGACCAGTAACTTCAGAAGCAAGGAGGCCAACTGGGAGGCTGCGAAGGTTGTCCAGGCAAAGGATGATAATAGCTTAGACTAGGGTGATGGTAGCAGTCAAATGAGGAATGTTATTTATTTTCAGAATGTAATCTGAAGGTGGAGCCAAGATTTGCCAATGGAATAGAATGTAGAGATGAAAAGAAAAAAAAATCTATTCATCTCTGCATCCCCTCAGAGAATGTACCTGACCACCATGAAAGCAAGGGCCATGTTTGTCCTATTCAGGTCCTTGAACAAAGGAACAGTGCAGTATGTTCTAGTTGAATTAATAAATGACCTGCTTCTTTCCCTACAGAATCACAATATTGGCATTTATTTTGGCTGGCAAATACTGGTACGATGTCAAGCATGGAAATTAAGCACCTTAGGAGAAGAAAAGGGAGTTAAATAAAAAAGAGATCCATGTTTCACTGAACTTGCAAATTCAACTCAAAGCACCACCTGTCTGAAAATGGAACGTATATATATAAAAAAACTGCTCATTAAGGAAAATAAATCACAGTATCTCAGCAACAGTGCTTTGTCGTGAGTTACAAGATTGGCTACACCATCTGACAGGATTACTTAAATTGACAAAGACCTGCCTCACCAAACACAGCTAGAGGTCCTTGGGTCCTTGTGGTACTGGTATCAGGAATCTGATAAATCAGTCAGAGTGTGGAGTGTTTTTAAAACACAGACAAAATATATTTAGCAAGCAAAGTCTGTTAAAGGGAAGATTGGAGATCACTTTAAAAATAATTCAAAGCCTACTCTAAGTATTTGCAAAATTGTAAGATTATATTTCTGTGCTTTTGAATAAGATTCAGATTGGACAGTCTCAACTCTCCCTTGTGGGAGAGGGTAGGGGTGGGGGTGGACCTGTTTTCTACTAAGAAATTTATAGGACTCTCCAAAAACAGAACTTAGGGCAGTACTCCTTAATAGTGACCATACATTAGAATCATCTAGGGAGGGCTGGGCACAGTGGCTCACACCTGTAATTCTAGCACTTTGGGAGGCCGACACAGGCAGATCATTTGAGCCCAGGACATCAAGACCAGCCCGGGCAACATGGTGAAATCCCATCTCTACTAAAAATACAAAAATTAGCCAGGTATGGTGGCATGTGCCTGTAGTCCCAGATGCTCAGGAGGCTGAGACGGGAGAATCACTTGTGCCCAGAAAGGTAGAGGGTGCAGTGAGCTGAGATGGTGCCACTGAACTCATGCCTGGGCAAAAGAATGAGATCCTGTCTCCAAAAAAAAAAAAAAAAAAAAAGGAATCAACTAGGGAGGCTTTTAAAACATGAATGCTGGAGACCCACACCAGATAAATTAAATCAAAATTTAATCGGGGGTGGGTCCTGGGATTTTCCCTTTAAGTGTTTCCCACGTGATCTGAATGTGCAGCCCAAGTTGAGAATCACCAATTTACAGCAATAAAGTTTAAAGTAGAGGATTTAAATAAAAGTCTTTTAAAGAAACAACACTTTCAGAAGTCAACAAACTTGAGCCTTCATGTTAACACGTGGGGGTCACAGTGGGCATTTTGGAGCACAGATAAAAGGACCTGCTTTGGAATTGTAAAAGGCTGTTTCATACATACAAACAGTTCAGGAAAGGATAGAACGAAAACAAAAACAAGAAACCTTGATTAACCCCACCACATTCCTTCCCAAGGGCTTGAATTTTTTAACCGAACACTACAATAGCAACAAACCTAGAGAGTCAGTTCAAGACGGCTTCTCCCTGTAATGCTGCCTTAGAACTCTACAGAACAGCAGTCACTGCTGCACAGCTAAATACATCTCCAGCCAAGGAAATCTAGACATAGAAGATAGAAAATAACATCCCAGTTTGTCCCTCCTCTTTCCCCTCCCTCATCACATATCAACAGCTAACTTTGAACACATCTGTGGTTCACTGTACCACTTACAGGGGTACAGAGGAATGAAATTACCAGTCCTCACTGTAAAATAAACACATTTCTTTAAGAAATTCTATAAAGCACAAGAGGAAAGCAAAACCTTAGTAAACTGACAAATGTTCCCATTCTCCCAGCACATGAAGAAGACTGCCACAGTCTTTTTCAATTACACTTTGAAACCCTCTGTCCTGGTTTTCAAGCACAAGCTGATCTTCACCTCATTATAGATACTCAAACTGCCACCCGTCTTATTTTTAAATATCAGAGAAGTGACAAAATTCTATCTATGATCAAGGATGTATTATAAAAGAGAAGAAATTTTGCCTGGTTTTTACATTTATTTAAGTCCCTTCTACAATGAATAAAAATGGTTGTTCAAATCAATGGGTGAATGGGAATACAAATAAAATATGGGTAGCATTTTAAGGCATGGTATTAAGGCTAACATGATGTCCATCTAACATCCAGTTTCTGAAAATCTGAAATCAGAACACAGGACCTTTTCATTTCAAATTTACATTAAAGTTCAGCTCACTGATTAAGCATTTCCCTCAATAAAATTACATTTGTCATACCTTAATTGTGCAAAAGCTGCAAACTGGTAAAAAACTTGAATGCCATGGCATGATTATTCAAAAATAACTGGTACACCCTATGCCTGAAACCTGAGTGCCTACTGTGAACCTGCCAAAATGATTACAATGACAACCCATCATCTTCATCACATGAATTACTGCAATGTGAACAGTATTCTGCTGAGCACTATACAGTAATCAAAAGACAAGCTCCACATCCTCAAGAAGCTTATAAATTTGACTGAGGAGATAGGGCTGATAGGCAAGATAGCAATAAAACACATAATAAGGGCCTAAATCATGCAGTACAAACTAAGTTTTGAATACCAGTTCCCAGCTTGCAGTCTCAGACATAGATAGCAACACCACCACCACCACCCTTGCCAAGCCAAGTAAGTAAAAAGTAAAATGAGTAGGCTAGGCACGGCGGCTCATGCCTGTAATCCCAGCACTTTGGGAGGCCGAGGCAGGTGGATCACAAACTCAAGAGATTGAGACCATCCTGGACAACATGGTGAAACTCTGTCTCTACTAAAAATACAAAAATTAACTGGGCATGACGGCGCGTGCCTGTAATCCCAACTACTCGGGAGGCTGAGGTAGGAGAATCACTTGAACCTGGAAGGCAGAGGTTGCAGTGAGTCAAGATCGTGCCATTGCACTCCTGCCTGGGCCAAAACAGCAAAACTCCATCTCAAAAAAAAAAAAGTAAAATGAGTATACAGGAGTCCTAAAAACTTGAGAAACCAAAGGAAGCAATTCATTTGGTCAAGAGAAAGGTCAGGGCAGTTTCAACCTTCCCATTTATTTAGCTGTGTGACTTTCAACAATTTACCCAACCCTTTAAAGGAAGATAGTACCTACTAATTACCATGAGAACCAAATGAGATAGTGTATATAATGCGCTTTGCACAATGCCTGGCACATAGTCTCAAATACTGCCTATTATCATTACTGTTAGAAACAGTAAAATCCTAGTGTTGGCAGGGGCCTTTCAATAATCCAATTTTCCAGTCGAATAGTTCTCAGGGTGTAGTTACCATCAGCATCATTTGGGAAATTGTTAGAAGCCCATACTCTAGGGCTCCACTCCAGACCCACTGAATCATAAATTATCAAATCTGCGCCCAGTAATCTGTGTTTTAACAGCACTCCAGGTAATTGTGATGACCATTAATGTTAGAGAATTGCTGCCCTAATTAAACCCTCTAATTTTACGTATAAAGAACATGGAGGCCAGGTTCAGTGGCTCTTGCCTGCAATCCCGACATTTTGGGAGGCCGAGGTGGGAGAACCACTTGAGTCCAGGAGTTTGAGACCACGTAATATAGTTAGACCCTGTCTCTGAAAAGAATACAAGAATTAGCTAGGCATGGTGGCATGTGCCTATAGTCCTAGCTGCTCGGGAGGCTGAGGCAGAAGGATCACTTGAGCCTGGGAGGTCGAGGCTGCAGTGAGCCATCATCATACCACTGGACTTCCAGCTTGGGCGACACAGCAAGACCGTGTCTCGAAAAAAACAAAAGTAAGCAGATGGAAACCTGAAGAGATAAAATAACCTGCTCAAAACCACAATCATGGAGACTGTTTGTTTAGGGTCCATTATATGCCAAGTACCAGGGTGACCACTTTTTACATTTTTAACATCAGGTCCTCACAACAGCCCAGCTGGGCCCCAATTAACAGAAGAAAAACTGAGGTTCAGGTGTGAGATGGATGGAGTAATTTGTCAAAGGCGGCTCAATTTTTAATGGGCAAAATTAACATTCAAATCCAAGTTGTATGTGATCCCAAACCCTTACTGAAACCAGGACCACTGAGTGTTCTGAGGGAACGATACCAAGCACACGCCCAGACTTCCCCACCCAAGGGCATCGTTCTTTTCATTCTATCATACCACCTTAGCTGCAATGATTTTACCATGAAACATAACCAGAAATTAGCACTTTAAAGCAACTCTCAGAAGACAGGTGGTAAACGATTCTTCACTCCAACTAGAAAGGAAAAAATGACAACATACTATGAAAAAAGCTATGAGGCAGGAAAAAGCACACGTCAAGGCATGGAGATACGGATATAGACTAGGTAATTTTGCAACCACATAAGTGAAAGAAAATTTGCTATCCAATCTTCCTATTCTCTACTCCCAAGAGCCTAGTGCTTTTGTATAGTTTTCAGCTCAGTAAAGTGCCTCCAGATTTATAAAAGCTCAATGACAATAACAAGGTATCTTTATTACAAAATAGTTGTTAAAAGTTTGATTCGAAAAATTTTAAGGAAACCTTTCAGGTAACTGAAAGTGGAGGGTAGGGGCGCGACTCATGAAGGAGTTTTTTAACCAAAGAAATGATATGATACATTTTTAAATGACCACTTCAGTTGCAATATAAAATAACAGATTTTGGAGGAAAATGTCAATACAAGGATATCAATTATCAATTATTAGGTTACTATATTGGTTCAAGGAGAGATGATGGTGGCTGTGGAGATGAGTGAAATCAACAGATCCAAGATATATTTTAGAGAGTATTGTAGAAGACTAGGAATGGGAGTGACCAGACAGGAATGAAGACTTCTAGACTTACTGCACACTGTCATGAGGAAGGATGGGGATGGAAGGGTACAGTGGAATAAGCTGGGTTTTAGCAGAAGGAATCAAGAGCCCCATTACAAACACATTAAATGGCCTGGCGTGGTGGCTCACGCCTGTACTCCCAGCACTTTGGGAGGCTGAGGCAGGCGGATCACCTGAGGTCAGGAGTTTGAGACCAGCCTGACCAACATTGAGAAACCTTGTCTCTACTAAAAATACAAAACTAGCTGAGCGTGGTGGCAGGTGCCTGTAATCCCAGCTACTGGGGAGGCTGAGGTGGGAGAATCGCTTGGACCCTGGAGGTGGAAGTTGCAGTGAGCTGAGGTCGCGCCACTGCACTACAGCCTGGGCAACAAGAACAAAACTCCATCTCAAAAAATAAAAAATAAATAAAAATAAACACATTAAACGTTTATAATGTATTTACAAGACTAACAATCAGATAAAGTCTGAACTTCAGAAAGGAGATAGAGCTGACCTGAAAATATAAATTACGAACTATTGTTATATGAATGTTACTTAAAAGACGAGGAGGCCAGGTGTGGTGGCTCATGCCTGTAATCCCAGCACTTTGGGAGGCCGAGGCAGGTGGATCACTTGAGGTCAGGAGTTCAAGACCAGCCTGGCCAACATGGCGAAACCCCACCTCTACCAAAAAAAAAATACAAAAATTAATCGAGCACGGTGGCATGCACCTGTCAGCCCAGCTACTCAGGAGGCTGAGGCAGGAGAATCACTTCAATCTGGAAGGCGGAAGCTGCAGTGAGCTAAGGTGGTGCCACTGCACTCCAGCCTGGGCAACAGAGTGAGACTCGGTCTCCAAAAAAAAAAGGGCAGAAGATGGGGCGGAAGAATAGAGATAGGAAAGAGGAGGATGTTGAGAACTAAACCCTGAGGTACTTTTAGTATTCAAAGTGTAGGGGGGTCTGGAAATCTTGTAGAGACCAGTAGGGGTTGGAGTATGACATCTTCCAATAATGAATTCTCGTTGCTGTCCCCTTATGGGTCTGGGTCTACCTGATAGTCTCTTCTGGAAGTCGGTATCACTTGTGCTTAATTTCTACTCTTTTGTGCCCTCTATACAGCCTCTACTACAAATCTTTTTTGAAGAAGCACAGGGAGAAATAACTTGGGGAAAAAAAAAAGCCTATCTTTTAGAAATAGATTCTGAAATATTTACAGATGAAATAATATGTTGTACAGAATTGGCTTCAAAATAGTCCAAGTAAGGGGTGGTCTAGATAAAAAAAAAAAGAACAGCTCTGAGTAGATGCCTGTTACAGTTGGGCAATGCACACATGGGAAGGTTCACTGCACTGGTCTCTCTGAATATTTCACAATAAAACATAAAACATAGTATGGAAGGTTGGCAAACACAAGTCCATGAGAAATCTCTCCATCTTACCCAGATTAACGAGAGATACAACCAAGGATCCACAGGTTTGATGCAGACATTCTAAAAGATTCAATTATACCAAGACTTTAAAGGTGACAGATTTTTTTCCCCTCAACTATACATTTTTTTTTTTTTTTTTTTGAGACAGAGTCTCAACTCTGTTGCCCAGACTGGAGTACGGAGCCATAATCATGGCTCATTTCAGCCTTGACTTTACTGGCTCAAGCGAGCCTCCCAAGTAGCTGGGACTACAGGCATGCCCCACCATGCCTGGCTTTTTTTTTTTTTTTTTTTTTTTTTTGGTAGCGACAGGGGCCTGCTATGTTGCCCAGGCTGGTCTCAACCTCCTGGGCTCAAGCCTCAGCCTCCCAAAAGTGCTGGATTATAGGTGTGAGCCACTGCACCTGGCCTATATTGCTATCTTAAAATGTCTCAGTGACCCAACAATTTGCCAAAGAGCATGTAGAGCAAACTAGGCTCTATTCAGCATTTCCATTTCTTAATGTATCTATTTGATTTCAATAAAATTTCATCATTTTGAAGATCTCTCCCATTAGCTTGGGAAACTACAGAAACATGCACATAACTACTGAGAAGGTATCAAGTGTTCCTACACTAGTTTAAAAAAATCATTCAACACCCACATAAATTCTGATATGCACTAGGCTGAACAGCTGTTAACCACTGAGAAGCTGGGCACTGCATCCTCTCCCTGGGTCAAAACTCTATATGCTAATCAAACAGGGTCATGTATTTGGGAAAATAATAATCCATGGTAAAAGTCACAAAAAGACCTTAATTTTAAAATGAGAATTCCTAATCTATACATTCTTTAAAAAATCTAGGGTATATAGGTTGATGTACCTTCCTTGATCAAAACTCTTACTTCTCTGAAGCCTGTCAGAGTATTTTCACCACAAGGCTTGGATTAGGTTTCATTTTACATATGCATGCACATGTTCACATACCCATAATCATCCTTCTTAGTAGTATATAGAGACGGACCATATCGTTACCCTCTTCTGCTCAAATAAATGTCTTCCCCTACAAATGCTAAGGAGTAAAATGATCCAGAAAAAGTAGAAATTTGGCATAATCAGCACTGACTTCCTCAACGGTAACATACATGACATAAACACATTAGGTAGACTGGATGCCCAAAGGCCAATCCAACCTCATGTCTTCCTGGCATTTCTCAGGCCTTTCTCGTCACCCACCCCACCTAGGTTCCACGTTTCCAAAAAAGTTCCATGAAGATTCAGGAAAAAACAAAAAGGGAGGAAAACTCATTTTATTAAATTTACATCATATCCTTCTTCCCAGGGTTCAAAATTAAATAAAACCAAAAGAAGAAAACCAGAAAGACAAAAGCACTTTTGTCCAAGGTGGCAAAACACAAGAGCAATTTAACTGCCATTATGAACCAACTTATACTAAAATAGTATTTCCTGGAATGTGTATAAATTAAAAAACAAAACAAAATGTTCATGGTTACTTTTACTTTCAGGGTTGGGAACTGAATCCCACAAACAGCAGCTAAACCTCAAAAAAATTGTAATTCCCTAATTATTTCCAGATTAAAACACTTCTCTTGAACACATGTTTCTGCTGTTCTTTGGGGTGAGTGTAGGGCACAGCTGGAGTACAGTATAACACAGAAACAGCAAGTGCACTAAGAGCATCAAATCCTTCCCCCCAAAATTGTTTATCTCTTCCAGACTCCTATTCACACTTATTCCCCTGACTTAATTTTAATTCTGCCTCTTGGCCCTCTTACCTTGTCCCTTTCTACCCTACTCACTTATTCTCTATTCATCCTCATTCTCTGAAATGATAGTCAAAATAATACTTCATGCTAAAGCATTTTCTTAAATATTTCCAGATATTCCAACTTGTTATGATCTCCCACTTCTTTAAACCAGAAGCTATTACTACTTTTAGAGTGCATACCTATTTCTGCCCCATATTTATCACATACAACTTACGTATGATTTAGTTAGCATCCTCAAACTTAGAAAATGATTCTCGCAGCCCAGCAAAAATCCTTACTATAGCAGCCAATCAATATCTATTGAAAAATACATGTACCCCCTCGATACAATTGTCATAAAAGTTTTCAGTGTGCACTTAATTTGATAATGTCACTTCCATCTTTCTGTTTTGAAAACTGTTTCGCCGGGCGCGGTAGCTCATGCCTGTAATCCCAGCACTTTGGGAGGCCAAGGCAGGCTGATCACAAGGTCAGGAGATCGAGATCATGGTGAAACCCCGTCTCTACTAAAAAAAAATACAAAAAATTGGCCAGGCGTGGTGGCGGGCGCCTGTAGTCCCAGCTACTCAGGAGGCTGAGGCAGGAGAATGGCGTGAACCCAGGAGGTGGAGCTTGCAGTGAGCCAAAATCACGCCACTGCACTCAGGTCTGGGCGACACAGCGAGACTCTGTCTCAAAAAAAAAAAAAAAAGAAAATTGTTTCATAAGAATGACTCATCCTTCAAAGGAAAAATTCAGATGAAAAGGTGTCTGCACTATGTAGTGTGTTAAAATTTGTTCTCAAGCCTCTCCAGCTACCCTCAGGAGTGAACAGTGGCAAACTGCAGCTTAGGCTAGTGAAGTGATCTGCCCTACACCATCAAGTTAGCCAAGAATAGAAGCCACATTTCCTGACTCCTGCCTTGACTCCTGATCTCTTTCCACACATGCAAATACAAGTTCAGCATCCCAAACCCAAGATCCAAAAAGTTCCCAAAATAGGAAACTTTCTGAGTGTCAACATGACACTCAAAGGTAATGTTTATTGAAGCATTTTGGGTTTCCAGATTTGGGATGTTCAACTGGTAAGTACAGCTGACCCTCTGTATTCATGGATTCAATCAATCAAACAGCAAAAATATTTAAAAAACAATGTCTGTACTGAATATGTACAGACTTTTTCTTCTCATTATTCCCTAAGCAATACAGTGTAACAACTATTTACATAGCATTTACACTGTATTAGGTGTTATAAGTAATCTAGAGATGACAAAGCATACAGGAGGATGTGCATAGGTTATACACAAATACTATCCCATCTTATATCAGGGATTTGAGCACTGTCAGATTTGGTATCCACGGAAGTTCGTGGAACAAGTCATCCAAGAATACTGAAGGATAACTGTATAATGCAAAGATTCCAAAATCCAAAACACCTCTGGTCCCAAACATTTCACATCAGAGAGACTCCACCTGTAATGGCTTTCAGTTCTGTAAATCAACAGCACATCTAGTTGTGTGAATACATACGTGGCTAAGGTTCAAAGTACTTTAAAAGTATTAAGTCCAAGACAAAGATGAGATAGTATTCCTCACCTGATCCAAGGGTCACACCTGACAGTAAGAACTGGAGTCAAAGGATCATCACTGTAACCCATCAACATAGGTACAGTTCACAATATTAGGAGAAGTCATGAAGTAACATACATACAGGACACACATAAATTTCACCTCTAACCAGGAATCCTGTGATAGAATTCATTAAACCTATTCTCACTCAACTACCCCCAGTGGCTTATGAATCAATCCTAAAGGCATCAGACACAAGACTATTACCATTACAAATTTCTAATCTGCTAAGAAGTCTTGAGTTTTAAGGAAGAAACTAGTGCCAATTCATTAAAAAGGAAGGCAGAAAAATGGAAAACCAGAAGTCTTTCATTGCTGCTCTATCCCCATAATCTAAAACAATACCTAGGACATCACAGGAAACCAATGTCTATTTACTAATGTCTATTTACCTCTTAGCCTTTATTAAAGTGAACTCATAGTATTGACATTATTTTCTCATCCTCACAGGGCATTTGACCACATTTTGGAACCAAGTTTAAAATCTTTCATAGGCCAAAAAAAAAAAAAAAGTATATAATGACTAACATGCTTTAAATACCATGACAAATATAATTAAATACTTGCTCTCACTGAATTCAAAATTTTTAGTTCCCTCAAGGTGAAGTTACTCATTTTCCATTATTTCTCTCTAACATCAATTTCTCCACCAGATTTCCTCCACCTGTGCCACTACTCACCCATCTAAATGTGCACATGTGTACTCAAGCATTCAATGAATTGCTTATTATGTACTACTCAGCACGAAGAAGCAGAGGAAACCCAGCCTTTGGAGTGATATGAACCTGACTCTACTTCTTGTTTTAACCAATTACTAAGCCTTGTGACCTCGGGAAGTCAATCATTATGTCTAGTACTCCTGTTGCCTAACTGTAAAAATGTGAAGGATTATTACGTACATAAAAGCATAATACCAAAAATAGGCACTAACTGATTGTTAGTTTCCGTCCCTCTCCTACAACAGCACCCTGACTTTGGAAACTAACCCTCCACGAACTGAAAGCATTCTCAGAATATACTGTCCTTAAAAAAAGAGGAAGGAATGAAGGGAAAGAAAAGAAAAGAAAAAGGAGAGAGGGAAGGGAAAAGGCAAAAATTTTTAAAAATACTTTTGGTCCTGGTTTACAGGCCACCACAATAATTCAAGTAAATTAGCATAATCCAGAGAGACAAAAACTTTTTCTATTTTTTACTACACCAAAAAAGCTCATAATAAAATTTCAAAGTATTAAAAAATAAATGAAAGTAATCCCTTCCCTTCCTCCATCCCAACCCATCCCATCCCTCAGAAATAATCACTGTTAGCACTCTGGTGTGCACATATACACATACACATACATACATATATATTTTTGTTGCCAAAATTTTACTGCAGATATCTGGAAAATAAAGAGTAGCATAAAGAAGAAAAATATGTAATCTATACAACCGGAAAAAATTTTAAGCTGCAAATAAGTTTCCACAACTAAATTTACATTGTAAAACACATGATGGGGAAAAAAAGGTCTTTACAATAAATATGGTACAAGGACAACTGAATATCCACTATCCACAGGCAAAATAAAATTGGATTCCTACCTCACACCATACAGAAAACTAACTTAAAGTCGATCAAAGCCCTACTTAAATGTAAGCATTGAAACTCCTGGAAAAAAGCATAGGAGTAAATTCTTCATGAACTTGGGTTAGGCAATGATTTCTTATGCTGTGACACAAAAAGCAAAAGAAACAAAAAAAAAACATAAATTGGACTATATCAAAATTTAAAACTTCTGTAAATAATAATCAAGAAAATGAGAATACAATCCACAGAATGGAAGAAAATATCTGAAAATCATCTATTTGACAAGACACTGGTCTCCAGAATATATACAAAAAACACAATTCAACAATTTTTAAAAACCAAATAACTTTAGAAATGAGCAAAGGATCTCCAAAGAAGATATACAAATGACCAATTAAGCACCTGAAACGATTATCAGCATCATTAGCCATTAGAGAAATTAAAATCAAAACCACAATGAGATACCACTTCACATTGACTAGCATGGCTATAATTAAAAAGACAATTAGAAGCATTGGCAAGAATGTGGAGAGAATGGAACCCACAAATATCGCTCATGGTAATACAAAATGGTAATATAAAATGGAAAACAGGCAGTTCCTCAAAAAGTTATACACAGGGCTACTTTATGTGTTAAATGCTGAGGATGCATAAAGGATCAGAAATTCAGATAAAGCATTCCCAGAACAGTGATTGATCCTGTTTGTTTAAAAAAAAAAAAAGACAATGTACTCAACAATTAACTAAAGTACTTGTATTTCTCTTTACAAAACTAAGTTATGTAAGAACTAAACATTTTAAATTGAAAATTGTTTATCTGGTTCTTTGAACTGAAAATCCTTTTATATTCCCACCTGTGAGTGTACACAACAAGGTGAAGCAAATGCATTAAACCCAGTAGGTCTCAGGACAGGAAGCATTTACACTCAGAGGCTATCCCACAGAGCAAAATCCACACTGAAGACTAAATCATTTCACAGAACCCTAGATTTAGATAAACTTGGAGACAGGAGAGCAGCTGAAGAGCCCTTCTCTTTCCTCAAGGTTGTCTACACATCTAAATCAACTTCACTGGGGGAGCATAGGGGCTGCTTAAGGGTCTAAGACAAATAAATTCTTCTATGCAATACTTTACATTTATTTACAAACGGTCTATCTTACACTAAGCTCAAAATATTCCACTGAGCTACTGCAGAAAATCTGGGTGCGAAATAAGAAAAGACAATCAGAGAGTGTATACTCATAAAAGGAATTAAAAAGAACAAAATGCCCAAGAATACAGTATCCTCACAAAAAATACCCTAAATGAATCTAGTAAAAATTTGGCAACCCATATTCTGGAAAGATATTCTTTACAAGTTAACCTGTATGTCTTATGCAACTTCCAAAGTCCCAAAGAAAGTAATACAAAATTAAGTGGTTTTGAGATACTAGTCAGCTTTTTCGGAAAGAGGGTTAGAGAGGACTTACTTCCTTGTATTATGAAACAAAAAACGCTCTGATGAATTAAAAGGGTAGTTTCTTTCTTTATTTCTCTTTTTTTCAGACAAGTCTCACTCTGCGTGCCCAGGCTGGAGTGCAGTGGCATGACCTTGGCTCACTGCAACCTCCACCTACCAGGTTCAAGCGATTCTCCAGCCTCAGCCTCCCGAGCAGCTGGGATTACAGGTGTGTGCCATCACACCTGGCTAATTTTTTTGTATTTTAGTAGAGCCAAGGTTTCACTATATTGGTAAAAGGGTAGTTTCCAAAAATAAAAACATGTACAAGGAAATTTAAAATTCTCCTATTAGTGTCTGGAAGGATGAAGAATTTCTACTATTTTAGGTTGAGAAAGAAAGCTAAAGGCAAAAGATCAACAGACAAAAATTTAAACAATTTATAATTTCTAACTTATCCAAGTTTGACTCCAATATTTTTACCAAAGGATAAATATCTCTGCTTCAAAGAATCATAAAAACATTACAACAGCCTGGCACAGTGGCTCATGCCTGTAATCACAGCACTTTGGGAGGCCAAGGCAGGAGGACTGCTTGAGTCCAGGAGTTTGAGACCAGCCTGGGCAACAGAGCAAAACCCCATCTCTACAAAGAAAAAAAAATTTTTTAATAAGGGGGGCATAAGGGTGCACTCCTGTGGTCCCAGCTACTTGTGAGGACCACTTGAGTCCTGGAGGTTGAAGCTGCAGCAAGCTACGACTATGCCACTGCACTCTAGCCTGGGCAACAGAGCAAGACTGCAGACTGTATCAAAACAAAACAAAACAAAACATTACAACATATGAGAATGTTCAACTTCACTAATACTTTCCCAATGCAAATTTAAGTAAAGATAGTATTTTTTATTTATCAGTTTAGCAAATATTTTTAAAGGATCCTCCATGCTAATTGGAGTGTGGTTAAACAAAAAACCTGCTTGTTACACTGCTGGTATGACTACAACTGGGAACCTTTTGGAAAGCAACCTAACAAGATATATCTGTAGTCTTCTGAATTGTTCACACTCTCTTTTATTCTTAGATTCATACAATATAAATAAATACAAAAAGCAAAGCCTATGTGCACAAACAGCAAGCATCAGAAAGTCCATGAAAAGAATAGTACAAGTATATAGTAAAGGAATTAACTTATACTTTGCTTTTCAAACTATGTTCAATCCAATAGATTTCTAAATATGGCAAGTTTCTAAAAATCCAACTCCTTAAGTACACTGTAAAGACATTTATGCACACAGCTAAAATATACTCAAACTAAGAAGTCCTCAAAGGCCGTAAGATACACTAAAAATATAATACCTCCCAGTGAAATAAAGGGAAAAGCAGAAGTCAGGTGAGAATATTTACATATATGTACCCATTCAGCAGTTCTGTAGAAGTCATTATCTTCTTTGGGAGGCCGAGGCAGGTGGATCACCTGAAGTCAGGAGTTCAAGACCAGCCTGGCCAACATGGTGAAACCCCGTCTCTACTAAATACACCAAAATTAGCCAGGTGTGGTGGCAGGCGCCTATAATCCCAGCTACTCAGAAAGCTGAGGCAGGAAAATCGCTTGAACCCGCGAGACAGAGGTTGCAGTGAGCTGAGATCACGCCATTGTGCTCCAGCCTGGGCAACAAGAGCAAAACTTCGTCTCAAAAAATAAATAAATAAATAAATAAAAAGGCCGGGCACAGTGGCTCACGCCTGTAATCCCAGCACTTTGGGAGGCCGAGACGGGTAGATCACGAGGTCAGGAGATTGAGGCCATCCTGGTTAACACGGTGAAACCCTGTCTCTAGTAAAAATACAAAAAATTAGCCGGGCGTTGTGGCGGGCGCCTGTAGTCCCAGCTACTCAGGAGGCTGAGGCAGGAGAATGGCGTGAACCCAGGAGGCAGAGCTTGCAGTGAGCCGAGATCACGCCACTGCCCTCCAGCCTGGGCGACAGAGCGAGACTCCATCTCAAAAAAAAAAAAAAAAAAAAAAAAAGAAGTTGTTATCTTCCCAGTAGAAGAGATGAGAAAATTTGAGGTCCAGATTGGTTGAGTGATATCCGAGGACCACAGAGCTAGTAAAATTATGGAGCTAGAACTTGAAGTCTGATTCCAAATCACATGTTTCCTATGCTACCCCAAACAAAGGGAGTATTTTCTACAGTGGCATTACAACAGACCAAGTAACAGCAGAGGTAAAACAAGTTTCACATGTCTGTGGCTCTTTGTTTTTTACAAGTTTTTATTACTTTGTCATGGGGGGGAAAACGAAAAATTATAATTAGGTCAAGGAAAGATATAACTATACTACTACTATCATTCTGAAGGAAGGGAAGGTATACCTTCTAAGTCCTGCATAGTTTAAAAATTCCCATTACTTGCGAGACCAGGTGAGACTGCACAGTTCTAGACTTCCTATCGTGTGCCAAAACTCTAGGGATAATCAAAAAATGTTTGTTGAATGAACGCTAATTTAAAATAGAAAAAGAAATTCCAGATTTCCTCCTCAGTACAAGAGGCCTGCAACAACAAACTTCTGAAATACCAGCAGTCTACTAATTGCATATTCAAATTTAAACCACAGAAAGTTGAATCAACTCTGCCAATTTCTGGGACTCTCTAAATGAACTCTTAATACAAAAATACATACTCAGGCTCAGCATTTTTTCTAATCATTTACAAAAGTAAAAGGACGTCAGGACAAGTTCTGGTGAAATTTTATAAACAGCCATGAATTGCAGCTGTAGACTGCCAGATACATAACCTGTATATGACAGGGGGTACCACGTGGAAATTAGAGACATCCCCCTTCACCAAAAAGATTATATCCAGGGGATACTACATAATAAAAAAAAAATCTGAAAAATGTAATGGGATTAAGATCCTTTAGAATAGGCTAGTAGTGATGATTTTGCTTTTTCAGTCCCCTCCTCACAAACAAATGATGATGACACTGCCCTTAGCTTTCTATGTGCAAAGACAGTATTAACCTTCCCAGGCCAAACTTACGACTACACCTTTTCCACACGAAATGCAAGGCATTTCTAACTCCCCAGATTACCTCACATTCGTTGGATGCCACACAATAGATTATAAAGTATCAAGATATATATTAATTTTTAAAAGTTCACCAGGAGTTGGATATTCTAAACTGGGTTTCTGATTCTTAACAGTGAGAATGAAGTCAAGCTCCTTATTTGGTGGTTAGAGGAGAGGATTTGGCCAGAAATAATTCTTTTAGGATTGACAGACAAGTACTACTTAAGTTCTATCATCTCATCCAAAAACTTGCTTCTTATATTCTGCTTTTAACCCGATCTACACAATGAAAAGCCACGGAGACTAGTTTTGCATGAAAGCAAAGGACTTTTCTAATATGACTTCAGAGCATGCCATGCTTTAAAGTCCATGTTCAACCACTTACTATCATTTTCCAACTCACTCTCTATGGGCCCATCCCATATTTCAACTACAGGTATACCTCCTGGCCCTTTCTATTTCATAAGCTTCTTTGGAAGACAAATCTACTGATTTATGCAATAAACTTTCTACCTCTACTTAACCAATTTGATAATTTAATAGCTGGAGATAATTCTAAATTCCCCAAACCTTAATCAAGAATTTTGGAAAAAAAGAGCTATCTAGAACAGTTATCTTCCTGAAAACACTGTTGTGCTAAACTGAAACACAGCCTTTTCTCAAGAGCTAAGCAGCTACTTGGGTCTACATTTTAATGCACTAAATAATTTTATAAGATCATGTTTGAAACCAAAAAACCCAAAAAGGATTGTCAAGCTAGGTCAGCTTACAAAACCCCTTCTGTTATGAACTAGGAAATCAAACAACAAAACATAAGCTCTAGGAAATGAGCATGGAGGTGCTCCATCCATACTAGCTTTTCCTTGTTTTTTTCTTGAGAGGAGTGACTCTCTGTCACCCAGGCTGGAGTGTAGTGATGCAATCCTGGTTCACTCCAACCTCCACCTCCTGAGTTCAAGGGATTCTCCTGCCTCAGCCTCCCGAGTAGCTGGGATTACAGGCGTCGACCATGACACTCAGCTATTTTTTGTATTTTTAGTAGAGACAGGGTTTCACCATGTTGGCTAGGCTGGTCTCAAATTCCTGACCTCAAGTGATCCTCCCACCTTGGCCCCCTCAAAGTGCTGGGATTACAGGTGTGAGCCACCGTGCCAGCCCATACTAGCTTTTCTGAAGCCTCTTTACTCATTCTTTTGTTCTCTACTCTAGCAGCTAAAGACATCTCCTAAAGAAACAACTAGTGTGCCTCCATACAACCCCTCAGTAAGCACTCAGTATTGAGACTAAACTGTGAAAAGCACTAAAATAAATGCATCATTCATCTATGACCTTCTGAGAATACCACCACCTCATATTTGAATAGACGTCTAGTTTTCATGAGAACTTTCACGCACTCATTTGATCCTCTTTAAAAACCACAGGAAACAGGGCAAGCCATCTTATCAGCTCTATTTACAGAGAGGGAAATCAATTTGAAAAGGTTACATAGCTTAATCAAGGTCACAAAGTGACTGACTGGCCAAGCTGGTACTCAGTCTTATGATAGTCCAGGGCTCTTTCCTCTACACTGATCCTAAATTGAAAAAAAAAATTTTTTTTGGACTGCTCCTGCAAGGTAGGGCTACCCCATAGGCAGAGAGTAGCTGAAAAATTCTGTATGTGTCTATCACAAGAAGTTGAGGCCGGGCGCGGTGGCTCACGCCTGTAATCCCAGCACTTTGGGAGGCCGAAGCCGGCGGATCACGAGGTCAGGAGATCGAGACCATCCCAGCTAAAACGGTGAAACCCCGTCTCTACTAAAAATACAAAAAATTAGCCGGGCGTAGTGGCGGGCGCCTGTAGTCCCAGCTACTTGGGAGGCTGAGGCAGGAGAATGGCGTGAACCCGGGAGGCGGAGCTTGCAGTGAGCCGAGATCCCGCCACTGCACTCCAGCCTGGGCGACAGAGCGAGACTCCGTCTCAAAAAAAAAAAAAAAAAAAAAAAAAGAAGTTGACAGGCCTAAAAGGTTTCACATTTAGATGTTTCTTTTTTTGGAAAAGGTGAAGATCTGGCTGGGCACAGTGGTGCACATCCTTAGGTAGTTCCAGCTACACAGGAGGCTGAGGCAGAAGAACTGCTTGAGCCCAGCCTGAGCAACACAGTGAGACTCCATCACTAAAAATAAGTAAATAAATAAATCACATAAAAAATAAAAAATTTTAAAAGGGGGTAAAGAGCCAATGAATTGACTAAGAAATGTGTTGTTTCAAATCAGAATGACCTTGAAAAGCCATAGTACTTGCATGCAAAAATATGATCCGATTTAAAAAGTCAATATGCTTAAAATACAACAGAAAAATCAACCAATATATGTATTTCGTATTACTGGTTTAAAATTTCTGAATATGCTGTAAAGAGAAGGAGGTGAAAAACGTCAACCAGACTGGGGTGGTGGCTCATGCCTGTAAACCCAGCACTTTGGAAGGCCAAGGTGGGTGGATCACTTGAGTTCAGGAGTTCACGACCAGTGTGGGCAAGGTGGCAAGATCCTGTCTCTACAAAAAATACAAAAATTAGCCAGATGTGGTAGCATGCGCCTGTAGTGCCAGCTACTCGGGAGGCTGAGATAGAAGAATTGCTTGAGACTAGGAGGCAGAGGGTGTAGTGGGCAGAGATCATACCACTAACCCCTCCAGCCTGGGTGACAGAGTGAGACTCTTTAAAAAAAAAAAAAAAAAAAAAAAAGAGAGCGAGAGAGAAAGAGGCAGAGAGAGAGAGAAAGATCTCAACTGATAAGATACTACATAATCACATTATCTCTTGCTTGACCAACTTAACAAATATTTCAAAATGTTTATAAAAATCAAAATGGGTCAGCATTGGAAGAAGTTGTAAGTAAAATTCAGGTGTTCTCCACATGAGGCAACTGCTGTTAATAGAAGACTATATGACGGTATTTTCTCGAAGTTTGGTACAAAGATCAAAAATAGAATCACAGGCAAAACCCTTGAAAGGCTTAGGAATCTGAATTTTTAAGTACTAGGTTGTTGATGAATATAAAATTTAAAGATGTGTATTTAGGGTAGAAATAACCTTGACCTTGGTAGCTGTGGAACTTGTGTGGTTACTCGTTCTGGGCCCTGGTTTTCCCAATGGTAAAACAGAGGAGGTAGGGACACAAACGTCCTACTTCATAGAAAAGTTATAAGACTTTAAAGGCGATGGTTTATAAAAAGTAATTAGCACACAGTTTTGACACACACTAAATAATAATTAGCTACTATGGTGGAAATTTTATTTCTATTTAACACTTCTGACATTAGCAAATAGTGTACCAAACAGACATGCTTTTTACATAGTTACATGATTCTTCTCAACAACCGCTCCCCCGAAAGAAAGCAGTTTTTAAGAGGGTCACTCTCATGATTTGAAGAGAACTGGGAGAGGAGGAACATAAATCAGTTCTGTCACATTTTAAGGATTAGAATTTAAACATTAAAAACAATTTTAATATGTTCACATATATAACTATCACCTGGTTGGACCATGACAAAAACCCACCCCTAACCATAAACAAGGGTAACCTATCATTTATCAAAAACAGGAAACGTTCCTATCTCTCAAGATCAGCGCTCTGAACTAATTATTTAACATAAGGTCATTTTTACGAGTTCACATGCTGAATGGCTTACAATTAAAAGCCTCTTCTAACCCAAATCACCATCCTCCTTCACTTACCTTTTTTTTTTTTTGAGATGGGAGTCTCCCTCTGTCGCCCAGGCTGAAGTATAGTGGCACAATCTCAGATCACTGCAACCTCTACCTCCTGGGTTCAATTGATTCTCCTGCCTCAGCCTCCTGAACAGCTGGGTACAAGCACCCACCATGCCTTGCTAATTTTTTTTTGTATTTTTAGTAGCGACAGGGTTTAACCATGTTGGCCAGGCTGGTCTGGAACGCCTGATCTCAAGTAATCTGCCCACCTCGGTTTCCCAAAGTGCTGGGATTACAAGCATGAACCACCGTACCTGGCCTGTTGCTTACACTTAAAAAAAAAAAAAAAAATTCCTCCCCTCTCCCTAGACTCCTAACCTAATCAAGTTACCAAATTCAAAAAATTATTTTATCTCACCCATTCTTGCCTCTTTTTTTCTTTTTTTTTTTTTTTTGAGACGGAGTCTCGCTCTATCGCCCAGGCTGGAGTGCAGTGGCATGATCTTGGCTCACTGCAAGCTCCACCTCCCGGGTTCACGCCATTCTCCTGCCTCAGCCTCCCAAGTAGCTGGGACTACAGGCGCCCACCACTGCGCCCAGCTGATTTTTTGTATTTTTAGTAGAGACGGTGTTTCACGTGTTAGCCAGGATGGTCTCGATCTCCTGACCTTGTGATCCGCCCGTCTCGGCCTCCCAAAGTGCTGGGATTACAGGCGTAAGCCACTGCGCCCAGCCTGCCTCTTTTTTTCTACTAGGGCTATCACAATTCTGGCCTTCATTTCATTTGACAGGAAGGCATGGGTTTATACCCTAACCAGAACAACAATGAACAGGATTTCTGCCTCCACTCCTCTAATCCAGGGGTTGGCAAACTTTTTCTGTAAAGGGCCAGATGGCAAATATTTAGGCTTTGCAGGCCACACAGTCTCCGTCTCAACTACACAACTCTTGCCATTATAGTACTAAAGCAGCCACAGACAATATTCAAGTGAATGAGTATGACTGTGTTCCAATAAAACTTTACTTACAAAAACTTGCCTTAGACTGCATTTGGCATACAGGGCATAGTCTGTTGATTGTGCTAATCCAACCAACTAATATCAACTTTCCTAAATTCCATCACAGATCATGTGATTTCTGATTTAAAAGTCACTTTCCTTGGCTGGGCACGGTGGCTCACGCCTGTAATGCCAGCACTTTGGGAGGCCATGGCGGGTGGATCACGAGGTCAGGAGATCGAGACCATCCTGGCTAGTAGTAGAGATGATGAAACCCCGTCTCTACTAAAAATACAAAAAAAAAAAAAATTAGCCGGGTGTGGTGGCGGGCGCCTGTAATCCCAGCTACTCGGGAGGCTGAGGCAGGAGAATGGTGTGAACCCAGGAGGTGGAGCTTGCAGTGAGCTGAGATCGCACCACTGCACCCCAGCCTGGGCAACAGTGCGAGACTCCATCTCAAAAATAAATAAATAAATAAAAAATAAAAGTCACTTTCCTTACCAAAAAAAAAAAAAAAATAGAACTTAACATTCCTTGGCCTGATACTCAAAGGCTTCCTCCATGAGTATAATCTTCATTAACCTTGGTCATTTCCTTTTTCTCATACTAGATTCCAAATTGTATTCCATGATTGTGGCTGCTTATACTGCTCTAATTCCAAACCTTTGCTCAATTTGTATACAGAATGTCCTTTCTTCTTTCCCTCTAAACACCTACATCTCCCTTGCTTCCCACACTACCACCTAGAACTAAAATCCATCTATCCTCTAAGAAGTCTCCTTCCCTTTACCCAGAAATTCTTCTTCAGCAGAACTTCTATGGCACTTAATCTGTATCTTTTCTGACAATGATTGCTTTGTATCTTTTACCACAGTGAATTATATCTTAGATCCCCTAAGCCTGTGGGCAGAATTTATTTACAAGTCATCTCTGTATTTCCCACAGCACTTTACAATCAAGAGATAAAAAAACAGGTATTATTGTTTCAAAGAAAATATTCCTACAACTAAATTCCTTTACATAACATAGCACTGTTAATAAGACCAAGACACACTTATTCTGTATTAAAATGTTACCTAAAAACTAATGACACTGGCTCAACAAATTAAGCCTTCAAAAATTAGTCTCCATCTTATTACCCAGAGGGCAGCATGGCAAAGTGGGAAAAGGAAAAAAGGACAAGATTGACATCCTGATTCTGCCATTGTTGTTAAATTTCTGCTTCCTTATCTTGTGAAACAGATGTTACCACTGCCTACCTGGGAAAACTAGGAATAACGACTACAGTAAATTATTATGCATTATGGCTTTTATAAACAGAAATTTAAGAACAGCTAAGTTAACTGCAAGATCCCTATTCTGTCAAAAAAAAAAAAAAAAAACACGAGTATCTTGTGTTCAGCATTATGAATATAAAGAATAAAGACATGAGCAGTCTCATAACATAGACAAGTTCAGTCTACTGTAGATCCTTTCACAGAGAAGTAATACAACATACTGAGTGCTAACCTTCCAGCTATTTCTAAAAAGATGGAAGTCCAAGGTTATTTCTAAATTATTTTAAGCATAAAGCTAAATATTTAAGAATGAGTTATAACTGAGTTTCTACCAAATTAAAACAACGATGCTTACAACAGCTTACAGGGCTCCTGATCTCACCTTCTACCACTCATTCTATACCTGGATCAGCATGCATGCTCCTGCCACCCCGGGCTTACTGATGAAAATCCAACAAACCGGGCTCAGTCCCATCTTAGGGCCTTTGCAAGTGTTCTCTACACCTTGAATGCTCTTCCTCAAGATCTTCACAGGTCTTGCTCACACACTTCATACAGATCTCATTCAAACTGTCACCTCCTCAGAGAGGCTTTCCCTGACCACCCTATTAATATAGACATCTCTCTCCCATAACCATCACTTTCAATCTCCTTAGGCTCTTTCCTTTTTATATCTCTTTATAGCACTTGTTAACTAGCCTTCGGTCATTATTTACTTATCTGTCTTCCCTAGTAGGATAAAACTCCCTGAAAACTGTAATATCTTATTGGCTGCTGTACTCCTTGTAACTAAAATCATGCCTGGAACACACTGAGTACTTGATACATATTAATTTTTAAATTGATGAATAACATTTGTGAGTGACGAGGAATATTCATCATTGCAACTTACATAATTTCTTAAACCAGCTGCTTACAATTAAATCTAGCATGTTGAGGCTACTCCTAGAACAGGGGTTCTTAATTTGGGGCTTTAGGGAATCATTAATACCCATGTTTCTGGAAGGAAAATCTACAGCTTTTCTTTAAATGGTCCCTAATCTGAAAAACATCCTAGACCAGTGATTTATGACTCTGGCTACATCATGGAATCTCCTGGTGAATTTTAAACATACAGATGCTTGGATCCCATCCCAGAGGGTGTATTTTTTCTCATCTGTGGTACAACCACAGGACTTCTAAAAAATTACCCAGGTGATTCTAGTGTATAGCAAAAGTTGAGAACCATGCAATTTGAACACAACAAATGTTAACTGGGTGAGAGTCCTCAAAGGTACTTACAGTGGGAAGAAAACAAAAATTGAAAACTATGAATTTTGAGGGAATTGGCATTGCTGGCAAACAGATCAATACACAAGTTCCTGAATAATTCTGTATCATAAAAACATTTTAAACAAAAACTAGTAGCTCTACCTCCACTTAAATACTAACCTGACATTGAGATTCTAGAGCTTACTCCCAGAACACAAATAACACCTTTCACTTAAAACAACGTATTTCAGACAAACATTCACTTCTTAATAACTTACTTATAAAAACCTAAAACTATCAAGAAAACAACAGAATACTTTTTGAAGACGAATCAGCTATATTACAACTATGAAGCTCTTTGTAGTTTTATTCCTAAAAATGCCTTTGAAGCAACACATTTCCACCAATTAATGTCCTCATTTAGCCTCAACTGTTACACAGGATGACAGGCCCTGAATTTAGGTGAAACTAATACTGACAATAGACACAAAGGGGGGGGGGGGATTTCAGAGATTTATTTAGATCATGTCAAAAGGGTTTGAAAAGAGCAGGTGTCAGACTGACACAGGTGGTAAATTGTTTTCTTTTTGAAGTCAAACAAGCAAACATTGAGTAATAAGCGAATTCACTGATACCAACCGAGGGTTTCATAAGTTACTGGTTTTTATACCTTCATCCAAGTAGCCCTTTTAAAAAAGGGATTAGCAAGATAGAGAGCAAAACAACAAAATGTTAAGTATTTGTAAAATAAATAAATCCAGATGCTTAAATCCACAGTGATAAATAATTTTAAATTATTCCTGGATACTTAGAATCACGATGAAACTCATTCCATCTATCCCTTTCTTTCTTTATTCTTGGCTGTATGGAGATACCTGCTGACACAGAAGCACCAGGTCATGAGCACATCTGACATAAAACATTACAAACTTAAAGCAGTATTTTTTAAAATCTAAAGGGCTTAGGGAAGACAGCCATGCTCCTAGCTATGAAGCCTCTGTGGCTTGACTTCCTGGTCATATCACAAGGATTTTTTTTTAAAGTATTATTCAGTTCCCTTGTTGAGTAAGTTAATTTACTAGGAAAGTGCAAACAAAGACATACATGCAGGTACGCAGCTCATCAACGCATTTTAGTTGTGGGGAAAGATCAGGCTTAGGAGACACGAATAATTATAAAACTATTAGAGCTGGAAGAGCCCTCTTTAAATTTCCCTTCTAGAAAGATGGGCACAAGGAAATCCTTAGCTTTCTATGTCGTTTTACTCGGTAAAATAGTACACTCTTATTAGTAACTTTATCTTTTATCAAAAGCCTGTGGAAATAAATGTTCTGGGATTAACTAGTAAATATATAAATAAAGCCACAGAAACATATTCCCAAAATGTGGGCTGGAAATGAAAACAGAACAGCATGGGATACAAAACCCCACTGGCTGTTTACAAAATGTTTCGTGTACATGACTTTTATGTAATAGGAACAGAACACTAGTATAGGAAATGAAGACTACATGGAAGGGCTGGCTACTTGGAGGTGACGGAGTTAAAGATTTCATGAACCATCAAAAGACCAGGTCATTTATACACTAGATTATCAAACCAGAAAAAGTCTGAGTCCCCTCATTCCATTACATTTGAAGAAATGAGAAGCACCAAAAAAATAAAGTATCAATACAAAGAAGAGAGAGAAACTAAGACAATCTGACCCTGAAGGAATCGCAATGTGGAGGGAAAACCCAGCCCTAGGAGTTAATTGTCTAAGTCAGGTAAGAAAAGAGTGAAAAAGTTGAACAGCACAACAGACTATTTCATGAACACCAGATGCCTCGATATGTAAGGGCTTTAAATAAAGAGAAAACACTCTCCTCATGAGCTGCTGCTTCAGTGCCTAGTTCTTCACTCAACTATACCCCCCTCTAAATCAGATGCAGCATTTTGAAATCGACCTCACTCCCTTAACCACACTTAATTTTTGGAGTAGAGGTTAATGAACACACCAGGATAAAACGATGTCTAGTTTGGCAGGAGTGGGAGTACAAAAGTAAGGGGAAAAAGACAAGAAAGAACAAAGCACTGGTTCGCACACCTCTCTCCACCCCAGTTAAGCTGTGGAAAGCTGACTGGCATATCCACATGCTTAAATTATACGTTACTGGCAATGAGGGAAGTGGGGAAATGCTAACATTCTGATTTGTCCCTTGACAAATGAGGGAGGATATTCCCCCCTCAGGGTTGCACTTTAAGAATTTCTACTTGCAATGCTCACTGCAGCCTCGACCTCCCAGGCTCAAGTGATCCTCCCATCTCAGCTTCCCGAGTAGCTGGGACTACAGGTGTGAACCACAACATCTAGCTCATTTCTTGTGGTTTATTGTACAGATGGGCGTCACCACGTTGCCCAGGCTGGTCTCGAACTCCTTGAGCTCAAGTGATCCCCCTGCCTCAGCATCCCAAAGCACTGGGATTACAGGCCTAAGCCACCGTGCCCGGGCTCTCACCACAATTATAAAAAGAGAGAGAATGAAGGGAAGGGTAGAATTTCCTCTTTAAAAGTGGTCTGACTCACCAAACCATCTTCACTGCAAAGCCTTAAACAGTACCAGAATACAGGAAAAGGATATTGTATGCTTTTCTTAGAGCTGGGACAAAGAAATGAGAGGGTGTGGTGGGGGGAAGGAGTAAACAATCAGAGCATAAGTAACCCATATTATACATGGTTTATATGATGCCATCTCCAGGTTTAATCTTTCCCTTTTATTATTTTATGATTATTTTAATGGAGATGGGGTCTTGCTATGTTGACCACACTGGCCTCAAAGTCCTGGCCTCCTAAAGTACTGGGATTACAAGGTATAAGCCACCACGAGCAGCCTAATCTCTCAATTTTAGTTTCCTTACCATAAAACAGACACAATGCTTACTATACAATTAAAATATGCTATAAAATAGTAAGTGAAATAACTATACTAAAAGGCATTCCTGGCATTCAGAAAAGTTGATGGTAGCATCCTTTCCCCCTCAAAGATAGGTACAGGAGGCCCTAATCCAATAGTTCTCAGCCAGGGATTTTTTTTTTTTTTTTTTTTTTTTTGAGATGGAGTCTTGCTCTATTGCCCAGGCTGTAGTGTTGCCATCTCGGCTCACAGCAACCTCCACCTCCCGGGTTCAAGCGATTCTCCTGCCTCAACTTCCCAAGTAGCTGGGACTACAGGCGTGTGCGACCATGCCCAGCTAATTTTTCTATTTTTAGTAGAGACAGGATTTCGCCATGTTGGCCAGGCTGGTCTCGAACTCCCGGCCTCAAATGATTCGCCCACCTCGGCCTCCCAAAGTGCTGAGATTACAGGTGTGAACCGCTGCTCCCAGCCTTGGGGATTATTTTGACCTTACCCCAACCCCCAAAAGGGCACATATAATAAAGTCTGGAAAAATTTTGTTGTCTCAACTAGGGTGAGGGAAGGTCCTACTGGCATTTAGGGGGTAGAGGCCAGAGACGCCATCAGGCATTCTTACAGTGCACAGAATAGCTTCCCATGACAAATAATTATTAGTCCCAAAAGGTTAATGGTGCCTCTGTTAAGAAAACCTGCCTAAAAAACATTCATTTTTGGAAAAACCACATAAACACAGAAGAGGAGCATAACACTCTAGTTCCTACAGTCTATTAAAAAAAAAAACTATTTAAAAGATATTACAGGCTAAGTGCAGTGGCTCACACCTATAATACCAACACTTTGGGAGGCTGACACAGGAGGATTACTTAAGCCCAGGAGTCTTCGGCTGTAGTAAGCTATGATCACGCCACTGCACCCCAACCTGGGTGATAGAGTGAAACCCTATCTCTCAAAAGAAAACATACTCTAAGAACAATCCTTTCTTGTGATAGCTATTACTCAAATGACAAAAGCTGGGGGAAATACCTTGTAAATATCAGAAAAAAACTTCTCCTCCTAAGTAGTTTAAAAATATGCAGATAGGCGGGCACAGTGGCTCACACTTGTAATCCCAACACTTTTGGGAGGCCAAGGTGGGCGGATCACCTGAGGTCAAAAGTTCAAGACCAGCCTGACCAACATGGTGAAACCCCATCTCTACTAGAAATACAAAATTAGCCGGGCATGGTAGTTCATGCCTGTAATCCCAGCCACTTGGAAGGCTGAGGCAAGAGAATCCCTTGAACCCAGGAGGCAGAGGTTGCAGTGAGCCGAGATGGCACCACTGTACTCCAGCCTGGGCGACAGACCGAGATTCTGTCTCAAAAAAACATTAACAAAGAATACTCCAGATCATCCAGAAAGTCAGTATCTGATAGTGTTTATATGGAGAACTCCTGCACTGGAATGTAAACTCCTAACCCTAGATCCATCTCTTCTCAGGTCTTCCTATCACCTCAGCCTACAGCAGTCAATCCTTCCCTCTAACCACTCCCTCCTCCTAAGATTTCAGCATTTAATGCCTGTACCATGTATCTAATACTTAGTACACAATGCCTAATTCTTGTTTTTTAATTTTTATTTAAAATACTAAAACGAAACAGAGACGGGGTCTCGCTATGATGCCTATTCTGGTCTAGAACTCCCGGGCTCAAGGGATCCTCCCAAGGAACTCGGCCCACAATGTCTAATTCTAATGCTTCCTCTTTTACTTGAAAGTGGAGGGGAAGGCTGGGAGCAGTGGCTCACACCTGAAATCCCAGCTACTCAGGAGGCTGAGGCAGGAGAATCGCTTGAACCAGGGAGGTGGAGGTTGCACTGAGCTGAGATCACACCACTGTACGCCAGCCTGGGTGACAGAGTGAGACTCTATCTCCAAAAAAAAAAAAAAAAATCAGTCACATAAATTACTCATTGAAGACAGGAACCAAGTTTTCAATTCTTCTTAAGTGTTTTCATCATTCCTGATCTAACCACCAGAGAAGTGTTTCCTTGCCCTTTGGTGGCAAGGTTAATCTTGGTGATAAATGATCCTGAAAGGCTAGTCTCCAAATAATTAGAACCTTGAAAATGTTTATATTTTTCTCTGCTCGGAAAATTCTGGAACCCCTTTTCTAGGACTGCCACAAGGACACTTCTGACTATCCTCAATGATGACACATTTTAGTTTCCATTCAGATTACCAATTATGGTAACTCCCCTGATCACTGTTTAAGTACTACTTATTAAAGGAACAAACATTAAGCTATTGCTCTTGGAAGGCCAGCCTGCTAGGAAACACCCAAGAGCAATTCTGTACCTTATCCTTCCCTAAATTAGTCAGCCAATCTTACCATTCAAGGATGAAATTAAAGGCATTTATCTCATCTAGTAATACCATCAGTAAACCATGGAAGCTTAAATAATCTAACATTGCTTTGGACATTATGGAAATGACAACCTCAGCACCTAATAAAATGTAAAACCAAATATATACATATCATGTCAATGTCTTGAATGTACAATTACCTTGAAAATTTCAAAGTCACCTCACATTTCTCAACTCTTGGACCTGAGACCTGCTTACTATCAAGTTATCATTGAGAACAAATTAAGAATTCTCAATTGAGAGGTCACCTGTTGCACTAAGCAAACCGCCTGCAAATACTAAATTAGCTTTTCTACTTACACTATCAAGTCAAATTACTTCTGGTAATGCTTGAGTGTATTTGCATGAGATCAATTTCATATACAGTTGGGCAGAAGCAAAATGAGTCTTAAGCAAGCTTCATTCTGTTTTCATCTTACAAAGAAAAGACTGGCCTGTCCTCCCAGCCTTTTGAATAAGGATCTTGAAAAATTCACTACGCACAGGGTGTGCCCAAAGAATACTTGCTGGAAAAATATGCTGGGAGAGTGCCAATTTAAAAAGAAAAACATTTTCGCCCAGTTGGAAATCTAGAGAAAGAATAGTTGTAGCAATTCAGCTAAAAACTCTCAAGACCTGAAGAAAATTTTAGAAAAACCCCAGATCTTTTTGTTATTGGAGTAAAATTCTATGAAAGGCAACTAAATGAATCAATGAAGTATTCAACTATGCTAATTTTATGCACCTAAAAAGCAGTAACTGAAATTCTGCCTTTGACATTTGACGGTGCAAAAAGCACTAAGTACCTTATTTGTTCTACATAAATGAACTTTATAATCTGCAATAGTTTTTAAATCAACTGTTTCTGGGAAATAATGAAAGCATTTTATTTTCCTTTTTAAAAAAGCAAGAATAACAAAACTTCTTTATTGTTTTGCTTTTTGGGAGGAGGGGTTGGGGGAATTGGGATAAATTTTTGTTTTCCATTAGAGACTTTTTTTTTTTTTTTTGAGACAGTCTCGCTCAGTCGCCCAGCTGGAGTGCGGTGGCACGATCGATCTCGGCTCACTGCAACATCTGCCTCCCAGGTTCAAGTGATTCTTGCACCTCAGCCTTCCAAGTAGCTGGGATTACGGGCATGTGTCACCATGCCCAGCCAATTTTTGTATTTTTTGTTTTGTTTGTTTTTGAGACTGAGTCTCGCTCTATCGCCCAGGCTGGAGTGCAGTGGAGCAATCTCAGCTCACTGTAACCTCCACCACCTGGGTTCAAGTGATTCTCCTGCCTCAGCGTCCCGAGTAGCTGGGATTACAGGTGCCCGCCACCACACCCGGTTCATTTTTGTATTTTTAGTAGAGACGAGGTTTCACCATGTTGGCAAGGCTGGTCTCAAACTCCTGACCTCAAGCGATCTGCCTGCCTTGGCCTCACAAAGTGCTGGGATTACAGGCATAAGCCACCACACCCGGCCAAGAGACTTATTTCTGAAGCATAACACTCCAGCAATAGCTTGATTAAGCTAAAAAGATACCCATCTGTTACAGGCCTTTGTCTTCAGTCTCTCACTACAACACCCACCCCTTTCCAGGTCCACTCAGAACCTTACGCTCAGATTTTTTTTTCACTGCAATAAGTGAACACAACAAAAAATTACAGTTACTACAGGGACACACTGGTCCCAGGTTGCCTCATGAGAAAAGCAGGTGAGTAGGCCTGCTGGAGCTTTGCACTAACTCTATGGACCCTGTGGAAACTGCATGCAATGCAGGCTACATGGAGGGTCACCGGGCTGCTCACTATACCTCAGCAAAGCAAAAGGCCTGCCTATGCCTATGACAACAGCCTTTCCCATCACAGCCTGGTCCCACCACAAAACAACAAGCAATATTCTTCCAAAAAGTACAGTCCTAATTTTAAAAGTGAGGAACTCGAGCCTAGGTAGACAAAATGTAACAATTCTTAACAGTTGTCCAGAATTCTTTCTACTCTCTTACTCCCCTTTTAGTACTAATACCACAAATGCTAAGAAAAATAACCTCTAGTTCATCCTTCAAGTTTTCTGGTACTTGCCAAATCAATAAAAATAACATGTGAAATGTTAATCACAAACCACCTACTCAGACACTGAAATGACACAAATACAGACTAAGTAGATGAAAACCAATCAGGATAGTCCTCAACTATTCTTTCAATATCCTTTCAAGTTCTATGGTAACTAGATTTACCAGCAAGAGTTTTCTTGAGGAAAATACTAAACACAAAGCACATGCTTACAATTCACCTGTAAGCACAAGTTAAGAATAATGGAGAAAGAACATAAAATACCTTCATAACTCAAAAGAGCTCCTTTTCCAGCAACTGGGGAAATAGTTGTTTGGGGCTTTTCCACATAAGATATAAATCATCCCTTTCGAATGTCAAAAATGTTTAATTTAGCCATTTGATGGGGAAAAACCTTTAATAGTTCACTTCTCTAGAGTGTTTATTACAGTAAAGGAAAACTATTTAAACTTCCCACCATCCCTCCTGGTCAATGCTGGTGTCCACCCACGTACTGTGTGGTCAGAGAGCTGTCTAAAGGAGTTACAGCAAACAGCAAAGCTATGTGCCTTCAGGTTGCTCCATTTCTCAAAATAGAATCTTTTTTCTGCCCTCTCTCTATCAGTTCCAGGAGTTATCTTCTATTCAGAAGATAGAACATGTATGACCACAAGCAAATTATTTAACATATCTATAGTCTTGGGTCTCAACTGTAAAACAGGGTATCATCATCATATGGAAGATTTAAAGACAACAAACCTAAACCACCTAACATACAGAAAGGTGTGATCAATAAATACTAATTCCTTTCTTTTCTTCCTTTTTTAAAAAAAATAACTTCAACCACTTCCTAGATGTTAGTCTGCCCTAGCAAAATGTCCCTCCTCTACCCATCCAACTTTTTTTAAGACAAGGTCTCACTCTGCTGCTCACGCTGGAGTGCGGTGGTGCAATCTCGACTCACTGCAACCTCTACCTCCCAGGCTCAAAGCAATCCTCCTACCTCAGCCTCCCGTGTAAGCTGGGACTATAGGCGCATGCCACCACGCCTGGCTACTTTTTTTTGTAGAGAAGGGGTTTCGCCATGTTACCCAGGCTGCTCTAGAACTCCTGGGCTCAAGAGATCTGCCCGCCTTGGCCTCCCCAAGTGCTGGAATTACAGGAGAGAGGCATCACGCCCATATAACCCATCCAACTTCTACTCCACAAAAGAAAATGAGTAATTTTCTTTTACTCATATTGTAGGCTTAAGGATGTATCTGGTTAAGATACATATGGCCATTATACCTTTCCTCAAAAAATACGTATTACCAAATTAATGTATAATAGTCTTCTGAATATAAACATAAATGCCATTATTTTACATGATGGTTGGTAGACCTCTTTTCATCAACCAAATCTAATGAACAATTTGATTCTGTTTACACTAAAAAAGCTAGTGCTTATGCCCAGGAGATAGGTAAAGAGCCTAGATTATTATCTTGATCTCTTATTAGCTGTTTGACATTAAGTTACTTAAACTTTCCATTCTGCAGTTTGAGTCTGTAAAATTAAAATTATCTATCTCATTGTACTGTTGGAGGATTACATAAATTAATTTGTAAAAAGCTCTTTATAACTAAAGAGCTAAAAACAATTCAACAAATGTGGGCTATTATTTCTCTACCAGAATGTCTCAACTCTGTTGTCTGCTTAGGCAAAGTTGGTTAAAAACGTTGTTCCCAGCAGGGCACAGTGGCTCACACCTGTAATCCCAGCACTTTGGGAGGCCGAGGTGGGCTGATCACGAGGTCAGCAGATCGAGACCATCCTGGCTAACATGATGAAACCCCACCTCTACTAAAAAAAAAAAAAAAAAAAAAAAAAAATACAAAAAATTAGCCGGGTGTGGTGGCAGACGCCTGCAGTCCCAGCTACTTGGGAGGCTGAGGCAGGAGAATGGCGTGAACCTGGAAGTTGGAGCTTGCAGTGAGCCCAGGTCATGCCACTGCACTCCAGCCTGGGCGACAGAGCGAGACTCTGTCTCAAAAAAAAAAAAACCTTGTTTCCTAGCTCACCCAAATCAGTTCGGTCAAAATCCTCCTGGGTTCTCAGGTTTAAGACTAATTCAGTCCCAAAGGCCCTAAACTCTGCCACCCTGTTTCTTCCCAGGATACATCTCTTGTAAGTACCTGAGAAACAAACCGGAAATAGCAATTAAAGGGAGAGCAAGGAAATGGCACTACATATACAAGGGTATTCAATTCCCTGGCACATGCCCTCTATTCTTTTAGGCCTAAGTAAAACAACTTATAAGAACATGATTTTAAATGAACTATGACACCTCTCTCTAGTTGCCATTCCCCAATCTCCCCATTTCCCCCGCCCCCAAAACAATTTTCTCTACAATTCCTCTTACCTGAGTTCTGAATATAATCTACATGATTACTACAATGCTACTAAATAGGCTGCTAGAGCAAACCACAACATTCACAATTTAATAGCAAATTTTCAGTATATTCTGCTTGCAGAGCAGACCCTACAACTTTCATCAGGCTTAAAATAATTTCAAAGCAATTTTGTCTACCATGGTACAAGAAACCTTTCTTCACACTTATAGAAATATAAAATCAAACAGGACACAGTTGCCACAAAGCCTTAACTAATGAGAATCAAAACTGGTAAGATTTATTCTTATGTTTACTATATACTAAACCCCCTTGGTTTCAAATCTATATAAACTCAATGTTTTCTTTACATTGGATATGTAAGCATAATTTTCCCAGATGCACAATAGAAAATTGGAGAAAGATAATTCACTGGTAAACATGAAAGGGCATGACCTTAGGCATGAATTTCTACCCAGCTTGCAAAATAATCTAGTCCACTTTGGTCCATGTTTAGGGAGGTGGGGAAATGAATTAAAGTACCATCCATTTATAACAGAATGTGGACCCATGCTTTCCCTTTTCTAGTTAAAACTATTTGTTTTATCACACTGACAGAGCCTAATCGGGGGCTCTACAAAGGACACTCCAGGTATACCCAACAAAGGAAAATATTTAAATAAAAATTAATGAATGCCTACCTCATCTGCTCCTTCTCCATCTTGACATATCCATCCAATGTAGTTACCCCTGCCAAACAAAAATCTGGGAATCACCCATGGCACCTCTTCCCTTTTGCTCACCACATGCAATCAGCCACAAGCCCTCATCACCCCTACTTCCAATAACCAATTCTCTTAAATCTTTCCTGCCAAAGGCTGAGTCCACCATTCAGCTAACTGGTTAGCCTAAATTCACCTCTATTCCCCTTCTCCACACAAGCGGGGTCTGAAAAATACAAATCATGTAAGCCATGTCAATGGCTTCACAATAAAAATTTTAACTTTATATAATCAACAAGGCCATCTGTATGATCTGGCAACTAGCTACCTCTCTGGTCTCATTTCTCACTACTTGTAAAATACACTATACTTTGCTCTGTTCTTTGAGAGTCAAGCACCTTCCATTTCCAGGACCTTAGCATGTCTTGTTTCCTCAATGAGCAGCAAAGCCCCTTCTCACCCACCAATTCCTTCTTATCCTTCAGGTCTCAGCTTACATGTCACTTCCTTCAGAAGACTCACCATCACATCCCCATCACATGCTGCCTAGATATATCCAATATGCACCCTCAGATCACTCTGAACTTTGTTCCTGTAGCACCCACAACAATCATAAATATATCATCTATGTAATTACCCGCTTAAATATTAATCTCTCTCTAATCTATATTCCCCATGAGGGCAAGACAAGGATTGTATCTTTCTTAACCACTGGATCCCTAGCATCCCAGCATGTAGCAGGCATTCAATGTAGAGTTAATGAATGAATTAATCAAATCCAAACTCCTCCAATGAAGGTTTTCAGGTCTCTACAGAGCAACTCCTCCCCCATTTATAGAAGATTATTTGGAAGCTTATTTCCTCACTGTTTTTTATTTTTTCAGACACAGGGTCTCACTTTGTCGCCCATGCTGGAGTTTAGTGGCACAATCATAGCTTACCCAAGCCTTGAACTCCTAGGCTCAACCCATCTTCCTGTCTCAACTTCCTGAGAGCTGGGATTACAGGCTCAAGCTACTGCACCCAGCCATTTCCTCATTTTTAACACTTGCTGGAACTTGTAAGGAATACAGAAACCTTCATTTTTAAGACTCTAGTAAAGAACCTGGACTCTCATGAGCTCTTAAGATTATTTTGCAAACTGAGTACTGAAATGCTTCTGGTAACCATCTATTGCTGTAGTCAGCCAGGCTTAAAACTTCAATCACCTATGATGATCCCTCCCGTCATTGCCCCCACACATCACAGTTATTAAGTCCCATTCAATTTACCTCTACATCATTTCTGGAATTATCTCTTTTTCTTCTCACATTACATTTACCATCTGTACCTATAATACTATGTCTTCAACATATCCCATTCCCATGGTGCCACCAAAGCCCTATACCTTTCAACTTGTCTTCTCTGTGTGCCCTGTGCTTTCTGCCTATACTGACCTCTCAGTAGGTCACAATCAAAAGAAAACTGTCTATCAAAATCTTTGCCAACCTTCAAGGTTCATTTCTAACATCACTAAGTGCCAGGCACTGTTCTAAACATTCATCTTTGTCTTACTAAGTTCTTCACTCCCTTCACTCTTTAAACTTCTTGAGGATACAAACTTAGCTTATTCATCTGTTATCTCTTGTGTCTTACACATTTACTTACTCCATAAGTACTTATTATATGACTTTAACACTACCATAAAAGAGTACGTTCACTTCAGAGAACAAAAACAACAATCACAAGGTGGCAGAAAACACTATAGCAACTATATCTACGGTAAATGGGTAACACCCAAATTCCTGATGCCTAAGTTCCTTTCTTCAGAATCCCACAACAAGCACTAAGAATGATTTTCACTACCTACGTTTCTTCTCAGGAAAAAAATGAGAAGAGAATAGAAGAAAAAAACACAAGTTCCTACTTCTGCCACTTGACGTCATGTGCAGATTAGGAGAAAAGCCAAGGGGCATTAAATCAAAGGTGTTCAACAAATGAAAGTTTACTCAGCTCTGAAGTAAATTCTGTAAGAATACAATGAAATTATTCCCACATTTCTATCCCATACATCAAGAAATAAGATAATCACTTTAATGGACTATGAAAAGTAAATCAACCAAAGAAATGAATGAAGGCATTAGAAGAACCAAAGCTTTAAGTCACAAGTCAAGAAACCTGTTTTGTTTCAACTTATACCAGTGCTTTGCTGGGTTCTTTGCCTCAGCTTCCCCCAATGCAAAAAAATGGTGATGAGAATAGTTTCATTCATGTTATTTAAAGATAAACAGTCACATTTCAAAGTAGTTTGAGACCTAAAGGTCACGTAGGGTCAGCTCCCTCACTTTAATTAGAAAAATGGTTACATTAGTCCTATAGCTAGTTTTTAGCAGAAGAAGGGTTTAGCTGAGAAGACTTGGGTATCCTGGCTGATGTTCCTCCCAACCCACCACTTTATGAAATGATAAAGAGTAGAAAAATGATAGCCGGGTGTTTGGTGCATGCCTGTAGTCCCAGTTACTCCTGAGGCTGAGGCAGGAAGATCACTTGAACCTGGGAAGCAGAGACTGCAATGAGCTGACATCACGCCACTGCACTCCAGCCTGAGTGACAGAACAAGACTCTCTCTCAAATATATACATACATACAAACATACATAAAAAGTAAAAAATGACAAAGCAATTTGATTGCCACTTTGGCAACATCATCTGTGTATTCTTAATAAATTCAAGTAAGAGTTACTTTTTTTTATTTTTATTTTTACTTATTTATTTGAAATGGAGTCTCGCTCTGTCGCCCAGGCTGGAGTGCAGTGGTGCGATCTCGGCTCACTGCAAGCTCCACCTCCTGGGTTCTGGCCATTCTCCTGCCTCAGCCTCCCGAGTAGCTGGGACTACAGGGGACCGCCACCACGCCCGGCTAATTTTTTGAATTTTTAGTAGAGACGGCGTTTCACCGTGTTAGCCAGGATGGTCTCAATCTCCTGAACTCGTGATCCACCCACCTCAGCCTCCCAAAGTGCTGGGATTACAGGTATTTTTATTTTTTTTTTGAGACACAGTTTCACTCTGCCACCCAGGATGGAGTGCAGAGCTGAGATTTCAGCTCACTGCAACTCCTGCCTCCTGGGTTCAAGTGATTCTCGTGCTTCAACCTCCCAAGTAGCTGGGATTAAAGGCGTGCACCACCACGCCTGGCTAATTTTTGAATTTTTGGTAGAGACGGGGTTTCACCATGTTGGCCAGGCTGGTCTCCAACTCCTGACCTCAAGTGATCCACCCACCTTGGCCTCCCAAAGTGCTGGGATTACAGACATGAGCCACCAAGCCAGACCAAAAGCAACAATATAGAACATTCCAAAGTATCTAAAAAGCAAAACCTATAAACACACTAGTAATTCATTTTACCATGAGGTCTTCATAAACTCCAAGAGGATAAAATTCCCCAGGAGGGGCTAGGCACAGTGGCTCTCGCCTGTAATCCCAGCACTTCGGTAGGCCAAGGTGGGTGGATTACCTGAGGTCGGGAGTTCTGAGACCAGCCTGGGCCACATGGTGAAACCCCGTCTCTACTAAAAATACAAAAATTAGCCAGGCATGGTGGTGGGCGCCTGTAATCCCAGCTTACTCAGGAGGCTGAGGCAGAAGAATTGCTTGAGCCTGGGAGGTGGAGATTGCAGTGAGCCGAGATCATGCCACTGTAACTCTAGCCTGGGCGACAGAGTGAGACTCTGTCTCAAAAAAAAAAAAAAAGGGCTGGGCACAGTGACTTACACCTGTAATCCCAGCACTGTGGGAGGCCAAGGCGGGTAGATCACCTGAGGTCAGGAGTTCGAGACCAGCCTGAGCAACATGGCAAAACCCTGCCTCTACTAAAAGTACAAAAATTAGCCGGGCGTGGTGACAGGCACCTGTAATTCCAGCTACTCAGAAGGCTGAGGCAGCAGAATCACTTGAACCCGGGAGCCAGAGGTTGCAGTGAGCCAAGATCGCGCCACTGCACTCCAGCCTGGGCAACAAGAGCAACATTCGGTCTCCAAAAAAAAAAAAAATTCCTGAGGGTGAGAAAACTCACTGCAATCAAGACCATCCAAAATTCAAATAAGCGCTTTAGTGTCACTGAACTGCATCCATAGTCTATTTTTACCCAACCCTGATCTGAAACAGACTTCAGGAGACTATTAGACAAAACACAGGTTAGCATAAATTCAACCAGAAATAAAAACATGAAAATAGGGAAACAAAATGAAGCTATTAAAAAGGTACAAGCTTAGCTCTAAATTTCCAGATGTCAATAGGAAAAAAGAAACCTAGTGAACAATTACAGCACCCAGGTAATAAAAACAGACTAAAAGCTTAGACAAACATACAATTATTCTTGGCTGCACATCTTTCTCCCTGAGGTCTTTATAAAGAAGGCATTGCAGAATACAGAGAATATCCTCAACAATATTTCAGTAATCACAATGAAATGTTTTATGAGGTTATTTTTATACTGAACTTCAAGATAAGCCTAGAGTAACGGTTGGGAGAAAAAAAAGAAAAAAAAAATTTCGGGGACAGAGAGAAAAAAAGAAAGGAAAAAAAAAAAAACTTAGGAGAGAGAGACCTACATAATGTGGTCCAGGTACCCAGAACACTGCTGATTTAAGAGCACAATTAAGAGAATTTCTGGAAAAAAAATATTATTTTAACAAGTAGTTACTATATAGAAGTTTATAAGCACAGGACCCAGAAAATGAAAAGCAAATTTAGCAAAATGTGGAATGGGTCCAGGAATTAAACAAAATTGCAGGGAAAAAAAAACAACTCTAAGAGGGAAAAACAAAGAATATAAAAGAAAGAAGAGCAAGCACAACTCAGCAAGTACATTACATACATATGATAATTAAATGCTTTTATTTCTACATCTACAATTAAGAATTAAACATTAAGATATTTACGGAAGCATGCAGCTTCCTTCTTAATCCCATAATCAAGGAGATAAAATTTAAATTCCTGTACCTTCCACAGTGATGAAATATCATTGTTTAGTGACATCATATCAAACACAACGTACTGCAGAATTTTCAAAGCAGTTATATTTCCACTGTACCAAGAAAGGAAGATATGTGAAATATTTCATGAAAATTTTCCAAGAAGAGTTTAAAACAAAAAGGGTAAGAGTTTTTAAACCAGACATAAAATCAGTCAACCATAAAAATTAATTTAAAAAACTCTCTCTAAAGTCTCATTTAGCAATATAGTTTACTGTCAAGCATAATACAATGATAAACATACAATTTGCTAAACATTCAACAACATAGAAAAATTAATCATTCTATAGCTAGCATGTACCAACGACACAGAATGGATCACTGTTTCTCCTCTGGGAGGTGGGAAAGAAAAAAACAATTGAATTCTTAGTGAAGAAAGGGATTATAATTTCCACAGAACTATCCACTTGTAATTTAAGCAACATCATTTAAAAACAGCTCATTCCAACAGTCTCCTCTACTAAATATTTTCATCAGGGCTGCCTAGACGAAACCTAGCCCACCACTCTATCTTGGGCAAAAGAGTAAAATACAGACCAGCTACTGGAAGGGTGGGGGGAGCCAAAATTCACCAGCTGGGTCAAGTTCCTGAAGAATTAACTAACTACATTCTAGGATTCATTTCTCAGCATCAAAGAACAACTTTTTCTTCTTCTTTTTAAATTAAAGCAATGCCTCCATTCTCATTGTCTGGTCAACTGCTGAAAACCTTTAAAACACTCAGAAGATCAACAAACACTTGGCTAAATAAATACCAGCCTTAAGAGTCAACCCGGTGATCTTGCTCAACAAGAACTTTAAAGTATTTATGCTTTACTGGTGGTTTTAGTTTAAATACAATTTTTTTTTTTTTTTGAGACGGAGTTTCGCTCGTTGCCTAGGCTGGAGGGCAATGGTGCGATCTCAGCTCACCGCAACCTCCGCCTCTCACGTTCAAGCGATTCTCCTGCCTCAGCCTCCAGAGCAGCTGGATGTAGAGGCGTGTGCCACCACGCCCAACTAATTTTGTATTTTTAGTAGAGACGGGGTTTCTCCATGTTGGTCAAACTGGTCTCGAACTCTCAACCTCAAGTGATCCGCCCGCCTCAGCCTCCCAAAGTGCTGGGTGGGATTACAGGAGTGAGCCACCGTGCCCGGCCCTAAATACAATTACAATGTGCAAAAAGAGCATGTACTTCAGAGTACTTTCAGTACCCAAATATGATCTAACGCATGAAAATTCAACTTTTTAAAGTATCAGTTGATTTAATTGCAAGAGGATTCAACTGATCCCAAAATGTTTCCTAAAAGCCATCCTTTGGCTGTTCTTATACACTTCACACCCTTCCAAACCATAAACCATTATGTGAGAAGAATGCTCAGAACTAAGTAGTGAATGAATGGCCTTAAGGTTTTTCCAAGTCATTAAACTATCCTACAGAATAAGAAAAATTCTCAGGTACTTTTATTTCATTGGTTTGTAACGCTTACCTACAACAGTACCAAAACTCAGAAATGTTTTCAATGCAACGTATCCTGAAAACAATACGCTTATAGTGTCTAGGTGCTTTTCTGTTACTCAAAATAAGTGCATGCAATTTAAAATCCTTTAACTACAGTGTTTATTATACCTCTAAGCACAAAATATTTAACGTTAACCAAGATATTTTTAAAGCGGTGATTTAAACAGCAAAGTTAGTGGGGATAATGCCATGAATATTAGCAAGCTGAATTAAGCTACTAATCCATTTAAAGAAAGATGGGTTACGGAAGAAGCAAGCCTCTGAAGCATTTGCTTTAAATCTAAATACAGAAGTGGACTTGAGCACAGTGAACTAACAAATGATAATAGAACTAGGTCTACAAGGAAGAAATTCAGCAAAAATTATCCATTTCTTCCTTCAAAATAGAAAAAAAAAGTTTCATTTCAGATACAATATCCATGCAGATAATATAAACAAAATTGGGAAACCAGAAAATTTACTTTTAAAAATCATAGCTGTCTCAACAACCAAACACTCCAGTGAAAATCTTCATCACCTTTTAATACAGTCAAGGAAACACCAATTCTTCCCACATATTCATCTTTTTCAGCCTTCTCTAGTAAGCCAGCCTCTAGCAAAGAGAAAATGAAAGATCTGCTAGTCAATTATCCTGCCCCTCTTTTCCAACTCCTCATGCTCTCTCTCAAATCTGATATTCCTAAGGAGATAAATGCACTTATTTAACATGTATCTTTAAGTATGTTATAATATAGTACTGCTTTATTTAATTAAGTACATAGATGCTGAATTGGGAGTGACAGGAATGAAACGTCTCTGTCTCCACCATGCCAATTTGGAGTGCCACCCATAAAAAGCTTATGTAAAATTTTCTCAAACCAACAGATTTAGAAAAACCAGTAAGATGAGGTGGGCGGATCACGAGGTCAGGAGTTTGAGGCCAGCCTGGTCGACACGGTGAAACTCAGTCTCTACTTAAGAAAAGAAAAAAGAAAAAAATTAGCCTGACTTGGTGGCGGGTACCTGTAATCCCAGCTACTTAGGGAGGCTGAGGCCCGAGAATCACCTGAACCCAGGAGCCAGAGGCTTCAGTGAGCTGAGATCGCACTACTGCACTCCTGCACTCCAGCCTGGGCGACAGAGCGGAACTGTCTCAAAACAAAACAAAACAAAAAACAACAAAAAAAACAACCCAGTAAGAATTTATTCCAAATACATCAATACATTTAACTCAGCTTAACAAATCTGCTTAAAATGGGCTTTTTTTTTTTTTTAATAGGAAGAGAGTCAGGTTGTGAAACTAGACTGTGCTTGGAGGCGATGTATTAAATATTCTGAAGCATTTTCTAATTGTCAGTCCTTAAAATGTAAGAAAATCTCAAGTGTTAAAATTGAAGACTGGGTGTGCTCTCTGCTGAAAGTTCAATCAAAAGCAACTGTAATTTCCTACAAAGGTAACTAGGTCAACTCAGCATTTGTCCCTGCTTACTGGAAACAACAAAATCTCAACAATCAGGCCATTAACTTATCATGTCCTATATATAGTTTCAAAAGAAATCTAAATTCACTCTTAAAGAGGTACTAGTACAATTTTACACATAAGATGTCTCCTAGTTATTTTTCTTAGACTTCAAAAGGAAATTACCACCATTTAGACTACAACAATACAACCCTACAGCAAAAGTATCTTCCCCTTCTTCACTAGCATGTATATGCACTCATCTACCCAACATCAGGGAAAAAACAAACAGAACCTAGACACCTATGTACAAAGAATCACATTCTCTCCATAATGGCGATTCATTCATTCTTCCTTGTGCCAACATTTCTCAAGAATGCTATCATGCATGAGGTCTACTCACAGGGGTACATGACGCTGCTCGGGATCAGCTCTGGTCAGTTCTTCCTCTTCAATATCAGACTCCCCTCCTGAACTACTGTCAGTGACATCTGAATCAAATGCCTGTTCACTGCACCTCAAGTTGGCTATGCCACTAGCTGTAAATCTCTCCAATTCTTCTGAAATTGAATTGCTTTTCAGAAAGTTGCTAAGTCCCTCTGAAGTGGTGGTCTCACTGGCAGCTTTTCTCAAGGCAGCTTCAGCCTTTCGAGTCAGCATCAACTGGCTCCGTGGTCTCAAGGATTCCAAGTTTGGCAGTTTGCTCAAAGTCTTCTCCAAAAATCCACCCAGCTGATGTTGTATATGCCTCTCAACCTGCTTGGCTTGCACAACCTGTAAGCGCTTTTGTAATCTGCGGGCACGGCTCTCAATGTCAGCCTGTCGCCGCAGTAAAGCTGTTATCCTTGTGTCAGAATCTAAAGCACTGAAAAGAATGGAAGACAGGGGAGACTTTTTACCCTCCAATTTGACACCCCCCAAGTTAGAGCTGGAGTCTGTACCAGGTGATAATCTACTGCTTCCTTGAAGTGCCGGCTGTTCCATGGAATTGACAGAGGATTTGTTTGCAGTGCTATTATTGCTATACAAAGTTGTGTGTTCTACATCAAGGCTTCTATGTGGAAGAGTGCAATTGGTCATACCCCCCTTCAAGTCCCCAGATTCAGATCCTCCCATTTCACCCCCATGAAGAGCAGATGAAGTGAGAGCCCGTTTTCCCCCATTGAGGGAAGTGGAATTGTCATGATCAGAATGTGTTGAACTTTTAGTCAATTTCTTAGCCAACCCATTTACAGGTGCTTGTGGCAGAGCTGTCTGACCACTCGTATTCATGGTTCTAAGATTTTCTAAGGAAAACTCCAAAACTGGCTGTCTCCCCAACAGCTCAGCTCGGAGTTCATAGGACTGAGATAAGAGAGGATGAGATTTAAGGACTGTCTGCTTGCTGAAGACCCCTTGCAACTTCAAAGACTCCTTTGAGGGAACAGATGTTACATCAGAGCAGAGATAAGATGCCACCAGTGGTTGCAGCTTTCCCAAGTCTTCCTTGGTAGGATTATTTCGGAAATCTAGGCTGGGATCCTCTGCAGCAATGGCTTTTCTTTTGGTTCCGTTGGCAGCAATAAGGATGTTGGCGTTGCCGTTATTTTCGGCACTGCCAGGGGACAAGGTAGAGGATGGGGGAGCCAGTTTGAACCGGATATGGTGTGCTTCAGCTGCTGCGTCAGTGAGAGCGGGCGCCATCGCAGCCATTCAGCACAGAGAGACAGGAAGTCCAGCCTCTCCCGATGCCGAGGCCGAGGCCAGCTCCACGGCCCCTTACTGCCTCCCCAGAGAACAGACTAGAAGAGAAAGGAGAAAAGAATATTAGAAATACAAGCACTTTTAAAAACATGTATATTTTTAACAAAAGCACTACTTGAGGCTGTTGTCTAAACTGCCTCCAGAAAGAAAACACTCTGGAGCTAACTGTACCACAGTTATTCTAGAGACCCAAATATCTTTCATCTGGGAGAAAGGGGGAGGCAAAATCCCTGCACAAGGGAAGGAAGAATTGCACCCTTCTTGTCATTTGTTACCACAGATTGAAAGGTGCCAAAACACAAGTTCGATTCAGAGAAAATCACAGATTGTTAAAATTAAATCATCTCCATTAAAAAAAAATCTCTTTAAGCTTGTTGAAATAAATGGATTTAAAGCAAGACACATCAAACTAAGCAATAATTAAACAGAAAAAAATTAGTAAGGAATTCCCGTGTTCACTAAAAAAAGTATGCCAAATATCACAGGTCTGTGCATTTTTCTGGCCAGGGAATCCAGTTTTCATCAGCTTCTCACTTCTCTAGAAGTATAGATTATACTACAAAGCTAACTGTACCACATCTGTAATACCAACTTGTTTCATCAGTTTTCTTTTCTTTCAGATCAAAGTGGTCATCAATATCTTCTCTACTGGCTTCTTCCTCTCAGCCTAGGAATTTACTCAAGTATCTTCTGCCCTCAGTACAGCCTCTCTCTCATACTTAATTGCCCAAATATCTCTCTTTCCCTTTACCCCAAAACTTCTCTAAGAATAGTATAAATAACTGTCTCTGCACTCTTCACTCTTCCATAATCTGGATTTCACCCCCTACTGCTCTGGCAAAGGTGACCAGTAATCTTATTATCAAATCCAATGGTCAAACCTCAGTCCCCATTCTATCTGACTTCTCTGAAGCACTGGACAATACCGACCTTCTTCTAATTCTTTCCTGATGTCCTTGTACTATCATCCTCTTCTCTTCCTCCTGGACCCTTAAATGCTGGTGCTGCACAAGGTCCCTTCTGCCCTCTTCTCTCTCAACAACCACTAGTATGGTGAGGTTTCTTAACCATAAGAAAAACTTCTGAGCTGCACTAATCAAGATTCCTATAACCTCTATGTTCCTCAAGCCCCCTGAAGCTCAGAATTCACTTTCTCCTTCCAGCACACTATTCCGCATCCTGTTTCATTACCTTAAGTAATGACACTGCTTTTATTTAGTAACCAAGCTAAAAATCTCAGTCATTTGCCTCTGTTTGATCCCCCTTGATCTATGTGGTCTGGGAGCCAAAGGAAACATACGTAAAGAACTAAGCCAGTTGTTCTTTAAAGTGTGGTCTCTGGACTTCTGGGGATCTCACAGGCTATTTTGGAGGTTCGTGAAATCAAAGGTATTTTCATAGCAATACTAGAATATTATCTGCCTTTTACACTGTGTTGACATTTGCAATCAGAGTACAAAAACAAAGGTGAACAAAACTGCTGGTACATTATTAGCACAAATCAAGGAAGAGGCACCAAACTATACTAATAGTCATTATACTCTCCACTCAGTTTTTCTTTTTTTAAGGGAGTTCCACTTAAGATGTCCTTGATGAACAGCAAAAATTATGAATTATCTTGAGCCTTTAGTGCATTTTTTAAAAATATTCTTTGTGATGAAAGGGAAAGTATGCATAAAGCACTCTGCTGCTTTATGAATTCTCAGGAAAAAGCACAGTACAACTGAGTTGCAAAATGAACTAGAGCTTTGTTCATGGAACACGATTTTTACTTGGCAGAACTACTGACAAACATTATTTGAAACCTGCTTCACTAGCAGACATTTCCTTGCAAATGAACAAAGTGAACCTGTCACTTCAAGGAAGACCACTGACGATATTTGCTGCCAATAATAAAATCTGAATTTTTTAGGCAAAGATTAGTGTTTTTGAAAACTTGTATCAACAATCATGAACTTAAACATTTTCCCAATATTTTATTTGGTGGGTGTGGATGTGTGTGTGTGTGTTTAACAGAGTCTTGCTCTGTCGCCACGCTGGAGTGCAGTGGTATGATCTCAGCTCACTGTAACCTCTGCCTCCTGGGTTCAAGTGATTCTCCTGCCTCAGCCTCCCGTGTAGCTGGGACTACAGGCACGTGCCACCACGCCTGGCTAATTTTTGTATTTTTAGTAGAGACAGGGTTTCACCATGTTGGCCAGGATGGTCACAATCTCCTGACCTCATGATCCGCCCACCTCGGCCTTCCAAAGTGCTGGGATTACAGGCCTAAGCTGCCACATTCGGACTTTCTGAATATTTTAAAAGCCATTTCTGATTTAACAGACTTGTGACGATATTAATGAACGTGAATTTTTGATTGCATATAATGTAATGTGTAACATTTGGAAGATCTGCATAACCCAGTGAACGATAAAATGTCCAGTGAATGTCAGGAAATCATGCATGGGTAAAAAGTTTAAGTGCAAGACAAATCATTTATTTGTTGCTGTTATTTTGAAACAGGGTCTAGCTCTGTCACCCAAGCTAGAGTGCAGCGGCACAATCATGGCTCACTGAAGCCTCAACCTCCTGGGCTCAAGTGATCCTCCTGCATCAGCCTCCTAGTAGCTGGGACTATAGGTGTGTGCCACCATGCCCGGCTAATTTTTTGAATTTTTGTAGAGATGGAATTTCATTTTGTTGCCCAGGCTGCTATCAAACTCCCAGCTTCAGCCTTCCAAACTCCTGGGATTATAGGCATAAGCCGCCATGCCCAGCCTGAATTACTTATTAAATATTTTTTAAATTTCTCAAAGTTTATAAGAAAAACAATTTATTTGCTGTTCTCAACAAATTTTAAGAGTTAAAAAAGGGTCCTGAGACCAAAATGCTTGTGAAATCACTGGACTAAGCACCCCCCTCCCTGCCCCAAATGAGGGCAATCTCCAATTTAATCAAAAATGCTTATCTTTGGAGCAATACCAACACAGGATGGTAGGCCCTACAGGACCACAGTAAGCTTCTTTATAGTATGACAATTTGAATCATTAACATAAAAATACTCAAATAAATGACTGAGAAAACATTATTCATAAAAGCACCAATATACATATGGGTCGAATCTGTCTTATTGCTGTGTGTGTGTGTGTGTGTGTGTGTGTGTGTGTGTGTGTGTGTGTGTGTGTGTTTCTGAGATGTAGTCTCGCTCTGTCGCCCAGGCTGGAGTGCAGTGGCGTGATCTCGGCTCACTGCAACCTCCGCCTCCTGTGTTGGAGTGATTCTCCTGCTTCAGCCTCCCGAGTAGCTGGGACTTCAGGCATGTGTCACCATGCCCAGATAATTTTTGTATTTTTAATGGAGATGGAGTTTCACCACGTTGGCCAAGCTGGTCTCAAACTCCTGACCTCAGGTGATCCGCTTGCCTCAGCATCCCAAAGTGCTAGGATTACAGGTGTGATCCACTGTGCCTGGCCTCATATAATTATTAACACCAAAAGTTTCTTGTTCCAGGGTTGTATTTTAACCAACACTCTTTATGAACTAGATTTTCAGGGCTTATGTAGTTTTCTCCTGTGGGCTTTCTGGCATATGGCATTCTGTGTGGCACAAATTATTCTATGTTGTCTTTTCCCATTTCTAACTTTAAATATAATACTAATTACTAATATATTATTAAACATTGTGTTACAGACCAGTTGACAGTACTAATTCCTGTTATTAAACATTGTGTTATAGACCAGTTGACAGCTGGACCAATATAGTTGTTAAAAATATTTTGAGTCACTTTTATAATATGCAAAGGGTTTTTCCCATGGACAAACGAAAATCACTACCAGATAATTCCCATCAATTCAATCTCCTCCCCTTTTGAATGTCAATATGTAGTTGATATGAGCAATGCAAGGAGGCATATTATCAGTGCCAGATGATTAATACAACATGTGAAGAGTAATTGTACCCTACTGCCTGACAGCACTACAGTAAGACTTAGCAAGGGCAGGAAACAGCTTCCCTCTGAGGACCCAAGCAAGGGCACAAATATGCTTTATGACTTACATAAAACTTAGGAAAACCCAGGCTCACTCCAGCACAAATGAAAAAGAGGGTCATAATTAACATCACATCACAGAAGGTGCTTAAGTAGTAAACTTCTCAAAGTTATTCTGAGATTATTCAATTCTTTAAAGCTTACAACTTTAAGAAAAAATGCCGGCTTAAATCCCATCTACTCCAGCTGGGCACAGTGGCTCACGCCTGTAATCCCAGCATTTTGGGAGGCCGAGGCAGGCGTATCACCTGAGGTCAGGAGTTCAAGACCAGCCTGGTCAACATGGTGAAACCCTGTCTCTACTAAAAATACAAAAATCAGCTGAGTGTGGCGGCGAGCGCCTGTAATCCCAGCTACCTGGGAGGCTGAGACATGAGAATCACCTGAACCCAGGCAGCAGAGGTTGCAATTAGCCAAGATTGCACCACTGCACTCCAGCCGGGGCAACAAGAGCAAGACTCCATCTTAAAAAAAAAAAAAAAAATCCCATCTACTCCAAGACTTCTCTGAAATGATGTCTATGAACTTGACATTAACATATACACTTCAAAGACAATAGTTTATTTGATTTGCACTTTATCCTTGGTCTCAATATCCCCATAGGATACACAGCATAGTGTAGTTACTAAAACAATCATCTAAGTAAGGGGGTGGGGGAGGAGAGAGAGTGCAGAGAACAGGAAAAAGTGACCACTTTTTCCGAAAAAATTCCCATTCCTAATTCCTAAATCTTGAGATTTCTATACCAAAGAAATACCATTTATTGACTTGACATACCTTTATTGACTCGAAATACTATGCTAAGATTCAACATTACTCCCAAAGATATTCATAAGTAAGAGGAGCACTGACTCAAGTGAGCAAATCTCAGTTCCCATCCTGGCTCCACCTCCTGTAGGTTACTTAACTATTCTGTTCTTTAAGTCTCCTCATCTACAAGTAACAGAGCCTTCCCGACAAGGATGCTATGATGATGAAATAAGATACTTTCAATTACTTGGCCACGTACCTGGAGCAACCACCCAGTATTATTTGCACTTTTATTACACTGGAAACAAAAAGGAAACATAGAAGGAATGAATTTCCATGGCTTTTTAATGCACCTAGTTTGCAATTAGCTACAATTGCCATAAACCACCACCTAAGTTTAGTACTTTAATCTTTTCCCTGTTATGTCTAGACTTACTTTTAATATTTCATGATGTTGTTTATAATAAAAAGAAAACTGAATGCCAAAAACTCGGTTAAATTATTAAATATCCATACAATGGAATACTGTGCAACCCTAAGTGTGGCAGAGCTATATTTACTAACATAGAAAAGTGCTTGCTTCATTATTAAATGAAAAAAAGTTACAAAACAAAACACAGTATCATCTCAATTTTGCTTTAAAAAGTCATTGGTTAAGATTCTTTTGTCTTTTGTTTCTTGGCTTATGTAAAGTCTCCACCATAAACATGTATTACTTCTATAATAAAATGGAGAGAAACAAAAAGAAAACAATGGAAATTCTTAAAGAGCCAATAACTAAGTAAAACAAAATCACAGTAACATTCTTTTTTTTTTTTTAAGAGATGGAGTCTCGCTCTGTCACCCAGGCTGGAGAGCAGTGGCGTGATCTAAGCTCACTGCAAGCTCCACCTCCCGGGTTCACGCCATTCTCCTGCCTCAGCCTCCCCAGTAGCTGGAACTACAGGCGTCCGCCACCACGCCCAGCTAGTTTTTTGTATTTTTAGTAGAGACAGGGTTTCACCATGTTAGCCAGGATGGTCTCCATCTCCTGACCTCGTGATCTGCCCACCTTGGCCTCCCAAAGTGCTGGGATTACAGGCATGAGCCACCACGCCCGGCCCATAGTAACATTCTTAAATTTAATATACAGAGCAAAACAATGATTCCTATCCCACTTGACCCCTACAAAATTCAAAAAGCTTCAATCTTTGACAATGTAAAGCAGGGAAAGACTGTCAAATTTAAGCAGTTCTTAGAGAAGCTCAGGGCTAAAGGAAAAAAAAACGAAAAACAAAAAAAGGAAGCAGTTCTACACAAACAGCACAACAGCCTATCTGATAAATCATCTTTCTCCAAAGAATACAAAGCCTTAAAAGCTATAATTAACTGATTAATCCTCATAACAACCTGGGCAGTAGAATTAGGGCTGAGATTATAATTTCTAATTTACCGGTGGGGATAAAGTCAGACTGTACATTCAGAATAAAAATTCAAGCCCCAAATATCCCAATTTTTAGTTCATTCAGTTAGTAAACTATAATCTGACAAATACAGATGGAGCTGCTACACCTGCTGTCACTCACACAAATTGAGATTCTGCAGTAAGCTTGTACAGATAAAAGAAAAGGCTACCTATTCAAGGTCATTTAGCTATAAAAGGTTGGGCTAGATAATCAATAGTTTCTCTCTCAGTTTCAAAGAAGTATTTTAGGGTCTGGAAGATGTTAAATGCACTCAGCAAGCAAATACATTTCGGAAAAACTTCCCAGATGGAGACTCACAACGTATTGCATCATACTGAATATGCAAATGTTTACCTTTACCAAACTTTTTTAACAAGCACCTTTTTCCATTACATCTATTAATATCAAGCAGAAACATCATTGTGAGAAATACAAGTTGGGATAAAGTTCAAATATGTGACCTCTAGGGTCCCTTCCTATGTTAATTCTATTATTCTAAATTGCACCATCGGTCCAAGGACAAACTTCTACCTAACACAAGTGGCACTTGGGAAGCAAAAATATACTTCTAGGATAGAGTTTCTCAACCTAACCACTAACTGACATCTCACGATGAGTAATCTATCACAGGGGGCTATCCTGGCAGTAGCATGTTTAGCAACATCTCTGTTTTCCACCCACTAGATGCTAGTAGTGCCCTTCTGAAAATTATGACAATCAAAAATGTCTCCAGACATGTCAAATATGGGAGCTGGGGGGTTCAACATCACACCTCCCAACAGAGAACCATATCCTAAAGATTATACACACACATATATATACTCTTTCAAAAGCAAAACGTATCCAGCTGCTTCAAATACTGTAAGTCAGAACTAACTCCACACCCACAAATGAAAACCTCATTTATTCCCAGTCAATTTCCAAGACAAGACTCCAGATACACAAGAATAACCTGGAAGCATCCACCTTGCAAAAATATTTAGCTGCAGAGAACAAAGGGGAAGGAATAGGTCATCCAGGTGGCCAACAAGTATTACAACCACACTTGCACTGAAAGCAAAAGCAAAAATCAGATGGGGAAGAAAAGTTTGCCCATAATGTGGCTTCTACTAACCTCTTCCTTCACCATTACCTCATTTCTCTACACAAAGGACGGAAAGAAACAGCAGGAAGGATGATTAGGGAAGTGTCCATGAAGTTGCCGCAATTTTAGCTGAGACTTGAAAATTAGCTAAAATGTCATTATGCAAAAGGCTAGGACAAGAGAATGGTAATGTGGCATTCTAGTGAGAGGAAATGGCATAAGAAAAGGCAACGCTGTGTGGGAAAAGGCGACATTCTGAAGGTTAAAAGAAATGAACAATTTGGGCCGGGCGCAGTGACTCATGCCTATAATCCCAGGACTTTGGGAGGCTGAGGCGGGTAGATCACCTGAGATCAGGAGACCAGCCTGGCCAACATGGCGAAACCCCATCTCTACTAAAATTACCAAAAATTAGCCGGGTGTGGAGGCGCGCACCTGTACTCCCAGCTACTTGGAAGACTGAGACAGGATAATTGCTTGAACCCAGGAGGCAGAGGTTGCAGTGAGCTGAGATCGGGCCACTGCACTCCAGCTTGGGTAACAAGAGCGAGACTCCATCTTAAAAAAAAAAAAAAATTAACAATTTGCTTAAAACACAAAGCATATTTTAATAGAGGAAATAGTAGAATGAAGGTGGAAAGGCAGTTTGAAGCCAGATCCTTAACGGACAGCCTTTAATAGCCTTAATTCAGACTTAAAGACAGTAGAGGGGCCAGGCACAGTGGCTCACGCCTGCAATCCCCGCACTTTGGGAGGCTGAGGCGGGTGGATCACCTGAGGTCAGGAGTTTGAAACCAGCCTGGCCAACGTGGTGAAAACCCGCCTCTAATAAAAATACAAAAAAATCAGCTGGGTGTGGTGGCGGGCACCTGTAATCCCAGCTGCTCGGGAAGCTGTGGTAGGAGAATCGCTGAAACCTGAGCGGCAGAGGTTGCAGTGAGCCGAGATCGCACCATTGCACTCCAGCCTGGGTGACAAAAGTGAGACTCCATCTCAAAAAAAGAAATAAATAATAAAAATAAAAATAAAAAATTTAGCCGGGCATGATGGCAGGTGCCTGTAGTCCCAGCTACTAGGGAGGCTGAGGCATGAGAATCACTTGAACCCAGGAGGCAGAGGCTGCAATGAGCTAAGATTGAGCCACTGCATTTCAGCCAGGGCGACAAAGAGAGGCTCTGTCTCAAAAACAAAAACAAACAAACAAAGACAGCAGAGGCCAGGTGCAGCGGCTCAGACATGTAATCCCAGCACTCTGGGAGGCCAAGGCAAAAGGATTGCTTGAGGCCAGGAGTTTGAGACCAGCCTGGTCAACATAGCGAGATCGAGTCTCTGAAAAATAAAAAGTATATACATATATATATACACACACATATATATGTATATGTATATATAAAATAATGACAGCAGAGTATCATTAAACACTTTTTAAATGGGAGTGAAACATCAGACTGTGCTTTAGAGAGATCAGTTGGGTAGGATGGATTGAAAGTAAGTAAAAAGGCATCTATAGATGGCAAAGACCAATAAAAAAGCTACCACAATAATCCAGATAGGATGCAATGAGAACTTCAACCAGAAAATAATAGTCAAAGTCTCTACCAAAGCTTAAATCCAGAAATGTGAAGGGGCCAGTCTAACAAAAAGGCCAAATATATGACAAACAAAAACATGATGGCTTATAAAGAATGGAAAGAAAGCTCTCTTTTCCTTCATAATTTCATCTCCTTTGTGACGAAATCCTTCTTTTCTCACGAAGCTTTTCAGGTTTGGTATGTCCTCTCTATACTTCTAACACTATCAGTCTAGCCCAGGTCCTCATCAGCTCCTGTCTAGATTATCACAACAGCTTCCTGACTAGTGCCTCAGTGCCCCAAACTATCCTTTACCTTTTTATCATCTCACTTTCCTACTCTGAACAAGTTCCTCACACTTTTTTTTTTTTTGAGACAAAGTCTCGCTCTTGTCCCCCAGGCTGGAGTGCGATGGCGCGATCTCCGCTCACTGCAACCTCCGCCTCCCAGGTTCAAACGATTCTCCTACCACAACCTCCCGAGCAGCTGGGATTACCGGTGCCTGCCACCACAGCCAGCTAATTTTTTTGTAATTTTAGTAGAGATGGGGTTTCACCACGTTGGCCAGGCTGGTTTCGAACTCCTGACCTCAGGTGATCGACCCGCCTCGGCCTCCCAAAGTGCTGGAATTACAGGCATGAGCCACCACACCCAGCCCCTCACACCTTTTTAATGAGTTCAAATTCTTCAAGATGAAACTTAACGTCAGGGCAAGCACATCAATTGATACGGACCCAGAACTCCCCACAGATTCCCAACTCCGTATCTTTGCCTATGTTGCTACCTCTACCTGGAAGGTCCTTCTTCTACTTTTTTTTTTTGTCCCCAAACTTACTAATTTTTCAATACATAGCATCTCCACAAAAACTTCTTAGACTCTTCCAATTCATATCACTTTCTTCCTGCTTGAATTGTATAATGCACTTAAAGTCACTGTCATTCAGTTCAAATTATCTGAATTTTCCCTAATTGTTAACTAATTCTATTTCCAAGACAAGCAAAATTCCTTAACAGCACCCTTCTTTAGCGTGCTAACTTTATCGAGAGCTTGGTACATAGTAAGTGCTGTAAGCCCTAAATGACTGGACTAGAGAAGTCAAAAAGGCCTCGTGGGGGTTGCCCTCAAGTGTAAGATTTTACTAAGAAGAGAAAAAGGAGGAAACACGAATCAAAAAATTGACACAATCAAAATAATGGGAAAGACGTGGGGCATGATCCACAAAACAACTTGCATGAATCAGGTGGTATATGTACAGCTTCTCAAGAGAAAGAGAGGAAAAGAACAGTGATTTGTGATGAAGTACTGCAAGCTACATTATGGAATGCACTGCAAAGTATTTATTTTACATATGAACAAAAGTAGATTTGTTGTGGAATACAATGGGGAAGGAGAGACAAAATTTTTACTATAAAACAAAGAGATAATGTGTGTCACCCACAAGACCATTATCAATTTCCTTGGCCAACAGGGCTTCTTAACTGAAAAAGCTTTATATTACTAAAGGAATCATTCCTGAGTGCAGGATAGGTTATTACAAATGTTGTTCACTAACATTAATTAGCGTTTTACTATGTCAATCACTATGCTAAGTATCTTACATATATTCTCTTAATCTTCACAATAACAATGTAAGGTAAGTACTACTGTCCTCATTTTATAGATGCTCAAAGAAGTTAAGTAATTTGCCCATGATCACACAACTATGAAGTTGCAGGGGCAGGATCCATAATGCTAAAGCCGATGCTTTTAACTACTACACTAGATAGTTTAAGGCTTAAACTGAAACGGTCTTAACTGCCTGACAGTAAATTCTGAATTTTAGTCTTTAGAGGAAAGTCAGTCAAAGAACACCAACTACCTACTGAGTATCTCCAATAAATATTAAAATGCCTAGAGTATTCAAAGCACCACAGTAAGTACATACAAGGATGACAAGCAGCAGTAAAGAGAGACACTACTGTGTGATTTGGGGGATGGAGGCAATCCTCATACAGGCTGAGAAGTAGGCGGAGTCAGAAAATGCTTTTCAGAAAAAAGAACATCCAGGCTGAAACCTAAAGAATGAGTAGGAGCTGGGTGCAGTGGCAGGCGCCTGTATTTCCAGTTACTCAGGAGGCAGGAGGATGGCTTCAGGCAAGGAGTTCAAGGCCAGCCTAGGCAACATAGCCCCCATCTAAAAAAGCCACCCAAACAAAAACACTAATTTTTTTTTTTTAAATGATGGCCTACCATGGTAGCTCACACTTATAAGCCCAGCACCTTGGGAGGCCAAGGCAGGAGGATCGCCTGAGCCCAGGAGGAGTTTGAGACTAGCCTAGACAACACACTGAGACCCAGTCTCTAAAAAAATAATAATTAGCTGGGCATAGTGGGAGGGTCACTTGAGCCTGGCGGGTGGAGGTCGCAGTGAGCTGTTATCACGCCACTGCACTCCAGCCTGGGTTACAGAGCAAGATTCTGTCTCAAAAGAAGGAAAAGAGGAGAGGGGAGGAGAGAGGAGAGAGGAGAGAGGAGACAGGGGAGAGGGGAGAGGAGGTGAGAGAAGAAAAGGAGGGAAAGAAGGAAGGAGGGAGGGAAGGAAGGGAAGGAGTAGGGCCGGGAGAGGTGGCTCACGCCTGTAATTCCAGCACTTTGGGAGGCCAAGGCAGGAAGATCACTTGAGGTCAGGAGTTTGAGACCAGCCTGGCCAACACAGCGAAACCCCGTCTTTGCCTGTAATCCCAGCTATTCAGAAGGCTGAGGTACAAGAATCACCTGAATCTGGGAGGCAGCGGCTGCAGTGAGCTGAGATGGCACCACTGCACTCCAGCGTAGGCGACAGAATGAGACTGTCTCCAAAAAAACAAAAAGAAAGAAATGAGTAGAATTCAGCATTGCCTATACAACTACTTCAAGCATCCCATATTCAAAACCCATTCCCTGCCCCAACACCAAATCCAAAACTTCCTCCTGCTCCTCAACATTGTCTATTTGAGTTAATCATGACCTCAAATCACCAACTTACTTTTTACCATAAATATTTAATTTAAACATCTACTAAATGCCAGATACAAGATAGTAAAATATAAATTAGGTGTGAAGGTAGCCTAGCTTGATAAAGTACTGTATTTCACCTGAAGGGGTCAAGGAAGGCTTCTAGAAAAGATGACATACTGACTGAATTTTGAAAGGTGAGGTGGTGCACAGAGGGTGAGGGTTGGCAACACACAGAATGACAGGCACATTCATTCCATCCTTGGTGCCAATGCCCTAGTGCAGAACCTCATTATGTACTATAGTAATTCAGGCAGTAATAATCTCCCAACTATTCTTCCTTCTTCCTGTCTCAGCAAGCCTCTAATCTAGCGTCCACTACCAAAATGATTATTAGAAAGGGAAGAAAAAAGGAAAGGAGGGGGTAAACCTAAATCTAACCATTTAAAATCTTTCACTGACTCTAGAGTAAGGATGAGTCCAAATTCCCCACACACCATTATCTGTCCCCTTTTTACATTAGACCTCATCTCCAGCCTGTCCTCACTGCAGCCACCTGAAACATATGTTTCCTGGCTCTTCTATGCCCCTGCACCTTTACTCATGCTACTCTTTCACGGTTCAGCTCAAGGTTACATGCTCTTTCAAGTATTCCCCATTACTCCCAGGTTGAGGTGGGGTCCCTCCCTCTAGGCTCTTACCTGCACCCCCATGACACCCTGGCTATTGCTCATGGTACAATATAAACTCACAATTTTGTCTTGTCTCTTTCTTCCCCAGAGTATGTACTTTTTTTTTTTTTTTTTTTTGAAACAGAGCCTCTCATTGTCACCCGGGCTGGAGTGCAGCGGCACAATATTGGCTCACTGCAACCTCCACCTCCTGAGTTCAAGCGTTTCTCCTGCCTCAGCCTCCTGAGTAGCTGGGATTACAGGCACCCGCCACCACATCTAGCTAATTTTTTGTCTTTTTTAGTAGAGACAGGGTTCCACCATGTTGGCCTGGCCTGACCTCGTGATTCGCCAGCCTCGGCCTCCCAAAGTGCTGAGATTACAGGCATGAGCCGCCACGCCTGGCCAACTATGTACTTCTTAAAAAAGGAGGGTTATAGCTTGTTTTATCTCTGTCCCCTACAAGCAGCACAATGCCTGGCAGACAGCAGACCAACACACGTTAAGCAACCTGAGCATTCTATGCTAAACCCATCAGATGAAGATCCATTAGGACGTTAATGGGGATGTCTGAAGTGATCAACCACCTAACAAGAAGAGGCATCAACTGAACCTAGGATAGGCTTCACCCACTACAAGTTCCAGTTATTTACTTGACCAAGCACCTGTACCCAGACTAGGAAACTTTTTAACTACACTTTTTAAGCTATTATTAAATGTGGTTACACAGCATTATAAAGGTAATAGCCATCAAAATCACAAATGTAATTGCTCAAACTTTTACCCAGCAACTGCACTTCTAGAAATCTATTCAACAGAAATATTCTCATAGGTACTCAAAGATGTATACACAATGCTTTCACTGAAGAACTGGAATACAAAAAAAAAACCCTAATTAAAAAGATCAAGCCATATAACAAGTATGATCCCATTAAACATATATATATACACATATATATACACACACATATATACACACACACACACACACACACACACACACACACACACACACGGATAGGCTAGGCCCCATGGCTCATGCCTGTAATACCAGCTACTCTAGAAGTCAAGGTGGGAGGACTGCTTGAGCCCAGGAATTCAAGACCAGCCTAGACAACATAGCAAGATACCATCTCAAGAAAACTTTTTTTTCTGAAGGATGTCTATATATCAAACTATTAATGGTGTTAATCCTACTTCTATGCTAGCACTGAATTCAAATTTCCTACCACTCTTTAGCTGACAAAAGACAGAGGAAAAAAAAATCATACTTTTTATCATATCTCTTTCCAACAAGCCCTAATGGTTGGTGTAAGTGCTCCTGAACAATCCTAAAATCAGCGACTTCTGGAAGATTTTAAGAATTCTAAAGGAGGCCGGGCGCGGTGGCTCATGCCTGTAATACCAGCACTTTGGGAGGCCGAGACGGGTGGATCACAAGGTCAGGAGATCGAGACCATCCTGGCTAACACAGTGAAACCCCGTCTCTACTAAAATGCAAAAAAAAAAAAAAATTAGCTGAGCATGATGGCGGGCACCTGTAGTTCCAGCTACTCGGGAGGCTGAGGCAGGAGAATGGCATGAACCCAGGAGGCAGAGCTTGCAGTGAGCTGAGATCCCGCCACTGCACCTCCAGCCTGGGGCACAGAGCGAGACTGTGTCTCAAAAAAAAAAAAAAAGAATTCTAAAGGAAACAGGTTATTCTGGGAGGGTCCATGGCCAAATTCCTGAGTTCCCACTGAAACCTACCTTATACCTTTAGAGAAAAGTCAATTAATGACTTTTAAAAGTACATTTTTCCAATGCCAATAAAATGTTAAGTCAATACTAATATCCATTTTTCATTCTCTTGGGAGGCAAGGGGTAAGGAGTAAATCACTAAGTGCAAAAAAATACAGTCCAATTTTTTGGAGACATGCTTAAGGTCTTCAAAGAGCTTCAGTTCTCCATGGTAACATATGGAGAGTTTAATGAAACTTTCCTGACAGTTCAACTTATCAGACTGGTATTTCTTTTTTCTTTTTTTTGAGACGAAGTCTCTCTCTGTCGCCCAGGCTGGAGTGCAGTGGTGCGATCTCGGCTCACTACAACCTCCGCCTCCAGGTTCAAGCAATTCTCCTGCCTCAGCCTCTTGAGTAGCTGGGACTACAGGCATGCGCCACCATGTCCAGCTAATTTTTGCTGTTTTTTTTTTTAGTAGAGACAGGGTTTCACCATGTTAAGCCAGGCTGGTCTCAAACTCCTGACCTCAGGTGATCCGCCTCGGCCTCCCAAGGTGCTGGGATTACAGGCATGAGCCACCACACCCAGCCCAGGCTGGTATTTCTATGAAGTGTCTCTCCTATACTAGAAACCAGAAACTAGCTACAGTACTTAGCTTTGAGCCTCTTTCCCTTCACACCCTCTGGTGGAGGTGCTAACAAACAGTCACAAAGGCCAAATAACAAGCAGCAAGAGGAAAGTCTAGATATGAGTTCTTAGCAATTTTTGGTTTAACATCCTAACAACAAAATTGTTATTCCTCTTTTTTATTCCCTAATACTTACCTTCCAACTGAATTTAACCAAGTCTAACCTTAAGCTCTCCCCTTTTTAAAAAGGAATTAAAAGGTGAGGGACTCCATTAAGTTTGATGTCACTCAAGCAACTTTTTCCAAATAAGAGCAGAATCTGCTGTAATTAAAATTCAGAGTAAGATCTCATTTTGGATTCCTGGTTCAGGTTACAAGAACCAGAGTTTTTAAAATAACATTTAGATAAAACTGCACTCAATCTACCTCCACTTTGCATTTCCTGACCCTCAAAATCTTGGAAAGAAACTTTAATTCTAAAAAAATTACAGCCAGGAAAAAAAAGGGTAAGTTCACAGTCAGCAACAATAAAATACACAGCTAAATAATTTCCTGGTAGAGGGCTTTCAAATGTTAACACTGTGGAAGCAGCTTAAAATCTTGGAAAAGCAAGGCTTGCAGAAAGTAACATTTATTAAACAACTATTTTGCCGCATTGTGCTACTAAATGGGGAAGGTCTACTCTATTTAAAAGGTCTCTTCCACCTTAAAGGGACTCTTTGCATAAAGGTTTAAAATCTTCATATAAAATGTTTGATTTTTTTCTTTCAGACTGCCCAAACTCATTTGTTTTTGATTCATAAACATGAGCTGTGTTTTCTACTTTGGTCAAGTCAGTTTCCGCACTCTATTTTAGCTTTACCTTTATTCTACCAAAGACAAGAAAATGCTTAATAAAAAAAAATATATATTGCAGCTCTTTTTGGAGTCCAAGTATTTTGGTAAATCACACCTTTTGGCTTATTTTCTCCTATGTATTTTGTTCTACATCCTAAAAGGCACATGGCTTAAAAAAGAAACAAATAATAATAGTTACCCCCTGCCATACTAGTCATCTCCTATGACCCACAATCCTCCCCTCAATCTGCAAGTGACACCCAAGGATATCACTTACCTCCTATATCTTCTGATAGCCTTCAAACGCTGGTGAACTCTAGTACAGTGGATATTTGTCTTTTCTAATTCATACTGTCTTCTACAGCCATAGTGTGGTTCAACTGAGTTTTGATCTCACATTTCAGGGAATGGGAAGTACTGATGAGGGAAACTTATCTTGTCATATAAACTATTGTTCTGCACAACTTTTAGTATGCCCAGAGGTATATACGCAACTTATCAGCATAGAAACTGTAATTTAAACATACATCTTCAGAAGCAACATGAGAACTAAAAAAGTCTTAAAACAGACTTCCAAGAAACAGTTATGAAGTCCAATTTTAGGAAAAAGACATGATCCAAGTGTTCTTTGCACTGACACAGTAGGCAAGCCAGGTGTCTGGGGCCATTTTACTTAAGAACCTGCCCTGTACTCCTTTCTTAAGGTAAGTAAGTAAAGAGGCACTAAGGTAAAATACGCTTCCCAAGACATAGACTAATCAAATCACTCAAGGCAGGAACATTTAAAATGAAGAAAGAGTACAACGAAAGCTGCTTTAAAACTCTAAATAAGACAAGCAAGGGGCCAGGCCCGGTGGCTCACGCTTATAATCCTAGCACTTTGGGAGGCTGAGGTGGGTGGATCACCTGAGGTCCGGAGTTCAACACCAGCCTGGCCAACATGGCAAAACCCCATCTATACTAAAAATAGAAAAAAATTAGCCAGGCGTGGTGGTGGGCACCTGTAATGCCAGCTACGCAGGAGGCTGAGGTAGGAGAATCGCTAGAACCCTAGGGGTGGAGGTTGCAGTGAGCCAAGATCGCGCCACTGCACTCCAGCCTGGGCAACAGAGCAAAGATTGTCTCAAAAAAAAAAAAAAAAAAAAAAAAAAAAAAAAAAAGACAAGCAAGGTTATATGCTCCCGTTGCTCAACCTACTCAGGAGGCTAAGGCAGGAAGATCACTTGAGCCCCGGAGTTCAGGCACTCTAAACTGTAGCGCACAATGATTACATCTGTGCACGCCAACCTGGGAATCACAGCGAGACCCCGAGACCTCGTCTCTAAAATGAAAAAGAAACAAAATCTCTAAACCACTCAATAAGATTTACTCTGGGGCAATCAACAGACAACCACTTATTCAGTTTACCCTAGTCCCTCCCCTCTAAACTCAAGGAATGGAACGGAGAGGTCCTTTGTTGGGGGGTGGAGAGGGACAATAAAACTATATACATCTATCTAGCAAGAAAGTCGCTTATTTCTGTGTCTTAATGGACTCACCAAGAAGAAAAAAATAGCCCCTACCCATCTCCCCACAAGCTGAAAAAACATAAAAGGAATACGCATTACTCTTTAAACATGGCGTTTACTATGTTTAGAAAATCCAGTGTGGATTAGTTTGGTGTTTTATAGCACATTTTAAAAATTGCTTGTCTAGGCTAAGCGTAGTGGTTCATGCCTGTAATTCCGGCACTTCTGGGAGGCCGAGGCAGGTGGATCACTTGAGGTCAGGAGTTCGAGACCAGCCTGGCCAACATGGTGAAACCCCCGTCTCTACTAAAAATACAAAACTTAGCTGGGCATGGTGGCACACGCCTGTAGTCCCAATGGCACATGCCTGTAGTCCCTGCTACCCAGGCGGCTGAGGCACGAGAATCGCTTGAACCTGGGAGGCGGAGACTGCAATGAGCTGAGATAGCACCACTGCACTCCAGCATGGGCGACAGAACGAGACCCTGCCTCAAAAAAAAAAAAAAAAAAAATTGCTTGCCTGATATAACAAGGTAACTAAGCTTTACTCGCAAAGGGGCCTAATCAGAACCTCTCAATACTAAAATACCTTCTCAAACAACCACAACACCCCTATGTTTACAGAGTACACAAATCAGGTCATAACGAACAGAACAAACCTAAAACTTCTTATTCACTTTAAAATGCAATTAAAACCTGTGGTCAACTCAATCCTCTACAGAAGACGCAGAGACACTGGTTACAATGTAGCATTACTAGAGATGGAAGAGTAGCCTTAGTGACAGTGAAGAAAAAAGTTTAGTATAGTTACTTCACTTTCTTCTCACCTTGATATGAGTTCACAAGTGAACTAAGGCCTACTCATTTTCTAACTTCCAGAATTTTCCTCAACAGGAAACACTCACGTAACAAAGAGTGCTCTGCAGGTTTAACCAGAGAAATAACATGTGTAGGCAGGAAGAAAGAAAATCAGACAAAAATTTAACATCTCACGTTGGTAAAGCACCAAAGTCAAATACGAATGTTCTGAACGTGGCTTTCAGAAAAGATGCAAGAAAACTTCTAAAATACTTCACTTCAGTGGACTCATATAGATGGAAAGACCGAAAATCCCACCCTACCATAAAGGCTCTAATAATTCTTAACTGATCATTCTTTTAACTGGTCACAATCACAGACACTGGTATATACTCAAATGAGGTGGCCATCAGTGACAACCATCTTCACCATAATATAGACATTAAGAACCTTTGTAACATTTAATGTTTCCCTCCAAGTAGTTCAAAAAATAAAAAGTCAATCACCTCAAATTATGAGGTACTAACAAATACACCAAATATGCTAAAGGTCGAAGGAACGGCACACTTTGTTGCATAAACCTAGTGGAAATCCAATTCAGAATTTCATGACTGAAGGTAGTTATTCCACATTTATAATACATTTTTTAAATTCCCAAGGGATGAGCATTTTTACCTTGCCTTATTTTTAGAACTACACATCACACTGCACATATCACATGACATGATGTAACTGTTAGCAAAGAAAATGGTCCAAACCATTGACAATGTACATGGTAAATCAGGATCAATGCATACTCAAGAACCACATTTCGTATTTACTTTAAAAAAAAAGTTTCTTAATTCAAAATGTTTTTTCAAATTGAAAAAATGTCTAGTAACCTATGTAGAAAAAACCAGAAATGTACTTCGTATTTTATAAAATAGGAGTTTACCCAATTATGGGAAAAACTGATATAAAGAAACAGATAAAGGAATAACATACTTCTAAAACTACAGGATTAAAAGTAAAAATTTTCTAGATCAACACCGAAATGCTAATAAATACACTTAGCATTAGGCACAAAACAATTACTACTCAAAAGTATTCACTGTTGATAGGTTAAAAAAATAGTTTTAACTGACAACGCCTGTAGACAATTGAAATTTTCTAAATTGGTCAGACAGCATGCTAGAAAAGGAACCAAGTAGAGCCTATAGGAAAGGGGAAAGGGAAAACACACCCACTTAAGCCTTTGTAAATAGTGGTCCTTTAACTGACCCAAAAAGCAGAGAAAACAGAAATTACAGACCATCCTGACAAATGGAAAACATATTCTAACGTACTAGTTTCCATACTTGAAAGGACTTTCAAAATGAAGTTCAGTAGCAATCTATAACTATATCATGATTATGCAAGGCAAAGATTATGTAATTTTATCGTTTATTTTAAAATGTTCTCCGACTCTAAAACTAAAACAAGTAAAACGTTTTGATCTCTCCAAAGCGAAAAGGAAAGGTTCCTCTGAGCTGCAATTTAAAAATATAAACACACACCCCAAAACAAACAAAAAAACACAATGATTGCTAGCCACGTGACAAAGGAGATGGCAACACCAGGATTGTGAATGGAGGGGAGGGAGGCGAGGCTGGAGGAAGAGAGATTTCTCGGAACTTTGGGGACCGCGGCAGTCGGTCTGCCGACCCTAGGAGCACTAAACTCCAGCCCCTACGAGTTGTGCTTCTAACACCCTCAAGTACAGTTTTATTAATAAGTCACAGAAAATGCTCCAGTGACCTCCAGGATAAAGGGGGGTGGGGGGGACCGAGGAAAAGGAAAGAGAGCAATTTAAAGTGGCGCCATCATGTCACCCCTTCTCCCCTAAAGCAATCAGTAAGCAATAGTTAAGTAGCACGTTTCTCTATAAATCCACATTGGGATTCCAACATTGGAAAACGAGGATTTTTAAGTAAGACACGGGAGTAGCGCTGTTTATCGTATGGAAAACAAACTATTTGCTAAGAATCAAAAGACCGTCAGCCGGAAAACAGGCCCCCAAAAAGGCAGTTAAGATTCCAACTCACTTAAAAGCAAATAAATCCCTCTTCCTCTTTAGTTTAAAAAAAAAAAAAGTCCGCCTGAGGGAGACTACATCTGAAAACGTAAGTGACCTGAATTTACAGGCAACAAAAATAATAAATGAAACAATCAGAGTTGTGATACAAACCGTGCAACGCGCCAAGATGTGTGTTTCGAGCAGAGAAAGGCCTTTTGCAGTCAAGAGAAGTTCAAGGCGAGAGCCAGAGTTTGTTTGGGGGGTTCTTTTACGGGAATAAATCATGTTCTTCAGGCCGCCTTTTTAAATAGAACGCCAAAGGAAAAGCTGGCGAACGAGGCGGCAGCTCCTGGGGAAGGGCCCCCGCACACCCCCGCCCTTGGGGCGACTCCCAGCCCGGACCCGCAGCAGGGAAGCCCGGAGAGGCCATTTAAAGTTCCGGGGGATTTTTCTACCCTGCCCTGCCTTTCTAGTTACAACTAACAAAGAGAGAGAGAAATGGGAGCCACAGGGAGAGCGAGGAGAAGGAGAAAGGGCAGCAGGAGGAGGAGGAGAGGAGCAGCAGCAGCACCTACCACGTGATGGAGGAGCGTAGCCCGGGCGGATTCAGCCCCACAAAATGGGCGCAGTTTGCAAACAGCCCCCCGGCCTGGGCGCCGAGGGCCAGCGGCGGGCGGGGGCGCGCGACGGCGGCTCCGGCCCGGGCCCGCCGCTCTCCTCCCCCCGACGCCCGGAGCCGCCCTGACTTTCCGGGCGGGGGGGCGAGGCAGAGGGGGAGGGGAAGGCGGCGGCGGGGAGCGGCTGCTTTTTCTTCTCTTTCGGGCCCTTTCCCGGCCTTGCTCCGCACCGACGGGGCCCGAGCACGGCTGGAGACCGCAGCCCGGCCGGGAGGGCGGGCGGGCGGGGGCAGAGAGTGAAACCGCCCCCCCGCCCCGCACAAACAAGCACCGCCGTCTGCAGCCCGAACCCGCACCCAGGCCGCCACCCCCGGCCGCCTCTTTCCAGCCGGGGAGCGCGCTTCAGCCGCCCCCCGCGCCGCCGCGGCGAGACGAGTCGGCTTCGCTACGGTGCTCGGTTCTCCCGCCGGCTCGGCGAGCGGTGGCGGCGGTGGCGGCGGCACTGGGAAAATGGCGGCCGAGCTCCTTTTCCCTCCCCCCCTTTAATCTGAAGCGGAGGGAGAATGGAGCGAGCGAGCAAGCGGGCGAGCGCCGGGGACACGGGGAGGAGGGACAGCAGCGCCTCCGCCGGCTGCGGCTGCGGCGGCGAAGGGCCGCTCCACCCCGGCGCGCCGCCAGGGGGCGCCCGCCGCGCCGCCCCCGCGGGCCGCCAGGAGGCGCGGCCGCCGCCGCCTCAGTCATGGCTCCTCGCCGTGGCCGATGTTTTTGTACCTCCATCTGCGGAGGCCGCGGCGCCCGGCCCCAGCTGCCCCGGACGTGCGGCGACGGCACGCAGCACTGCGGCAGGGGGAAGCCAGCCCTCGCTGCGGCCGAGGTGAGTCTAACCTGAGGCACTGACGCCGTCACATGCCCTCCGTGCTGGGGCCGGCGGTGCGGCTCGCCAGTTGAGGGGCAGGGCGGGCCGGCGCCGCGGAGCGAGAGGACGTGAGCGAGGAACTGTTTGCACTGTGTAGTAAAGAGGGTAAGGCCGTCGGCACCACACTATTCCAAGGCTAACCCTGCAGAAAGCTCCCTGACCAGTGAAGCGGCTTCCGCCGCCCGCCCTTTGTCCCTAGCAGCCAGCCTCCGTATACTGCAGCACGGCTGGGCACTAGCCCCAGCACCGCGCTCCGCAGCCACCAGAGTTGGGCGGGGTGGGGAGGGTGCACGTAGTCACTGCGCAGGCCCCAGCCAGGGCCCGCGCCGGGCCAGCCCGGGAAGGGACAGCCGGGAGCCAGAGGGGAAGTGATGGCCCCGCCGGCGCCGGGCCCGCTGGGAACTGTAGTTTTCGTGAAGAAACACGCGTCTTGTTTTGGGTGTCATGGCTTGGCAGATCCGCCAAAACAGGCAAATGGCATTACACAATGAGTATTTATGCTTCCTGCCGCCACCAAAAGGAAGTTCACTGCCATGCTAAAAGTTTAACAAAGAACTCCATAAAGAAACACAAGTCTCACAACAAAAAGCCAACTTCCCACCTCGTTACCAGAGTTGGTTTAAAGTGGTGGCACCTTATCATTTCTCATGACCAGTTTATCAGTACAGAACTTTATATTGTCCCCAAAATAGGACCTTTAAAATAATGGAACCTTTCCTAGACTTAAAGAATTCATAAACATAATGTAATACAAAGTGTCACACAAAGTGTAATTCTACCACCCTTTAAAGTTGCCAAAAGATGAGTGGAGTATCTTGAGATTTAAAAGACTAATCTAGGATTCATCAAAACTGGCTTAAATGACTGAAGAAAAAATCGTTCAAATCATTAAATCATCAAATTCGGCAGATAAGAAGGGTATGTATGCTCTACTACCAAAAAGGAAGACGCAAAATGCTTCACACTTTTTTGTGGCTTACCAGAACCAATATCCGGCATTATACGTCACTTCTGCTTATCAAAAAACACCCTCACAGTCGTTACAGAACGGTTTTAGTCTTCCCACAAAGTTACACTAACTCACCTGCCCCTGCAACATCTGCACCTAGGTTTCTGCGAATTTCCATTTGTACTCCTAAAATCACACTCTCAAGCATAGTCATAGTTCTCAAATACCAAAGGCAGGCAGTTTGGAGTCATAGGGTCAAATTACACAAAGAATAAACTAATATTTGTATACACATCCAAAAGAGGTCTTTAGTCTTGGATTTTTAATTTACAACCCTGGGGAAAAACTTTGACTTTTTTATTGTACACACATACACACATAAATAGTAATTCCACAAAATACAGTAGAAGGGTATTGGACCAACAGATGGCGAACTAGAGCCCCAATCTGAGGCTCCTGAAATCTAAATTAGCAGAATGAAAAATACCAAATAAGGCAAAGCCCTTTGCAGCGTATACTTAAATATTAAATTCAGACACACCATAACAAAATAATCTTACTGCTGCTCCAAATTTTTAAGACTGAACTGTCAGATTTAATTAGGCAACCAAATAAGCAAGATTATATGAAATATATTTTTCTAATGGATTAGGAGAAAACTGGAAAATGCTCATTTTTAAAACCATGTATTTGGGGGAACTATAAATTCCAGTTTCCCCTTTCTCTCATTGCTTAGTGCAAGAGTCAAGAGTTCACAGGGTTTATGGCACTTAAATCAGTCAACCTGTTGTATATTCTTATCTAAAATCAGACATCTTTCTTATTAGGCATCCACTTGTACTTTTATTTTTTTGACAGGGTCCTGCTCGGTTGCCCAGGCTAGAGTGCAGTGGTGCAATCAAACTCACTGCAGCCTCCCAGGCTCAGGCGATCCTACCTCAGCCTCTTGAGTAGCTGGCACTACAGGCATATGCCACCATGCCCAGCTGTTATTTTTTTCACTCCTTTTTGTTTTGGTAGATACAGAGTCTCCCTATGTTGCCCAGGCTGGTCTCGAACTCCTGGACTCGAGTGCTGGCATTACAGGCATGAGCCACCACACAAAAATCTTATGAAGAGAAACAAATTTTCTTAAATTTCCCCCCAAAAAATAGTGGATGTCCAAAAGGCTGATTGAAAACACCTACATACAAAATAAAACAAACAAACAAAAAAAGATTTAAAGAAAAAGGCCTGGTGCAGCAGCTCACTCCTGTAATCCCAGCACTTTGGGAGGGTGAGGTGGGAGGATCACTTGAGCTCCGGAGTTAGAGACCAGCCTGGGCAACAGAGTGAGACCCTATCTCTACAAACAAAATTTTAAATTAGCCAAGTGTGGTAGCATGTGCTTACAGTCCCAGCTACTCCAGAAGCTGAGGGGATTGCTTGAGCCTGGGAGGTCAAGGCTGCAGTGAGTCATGATCATGCCATTGTAGTCCAACCTGGGCAACAGAGCGAGACCATCTCAAAATGAAAAGTGATAAAAAAATAAAAACACCAACATATTTCAAATCACTCTTGGAATAGTCATGTTGACTCTCCAATATCCACTCTATTCTGATTAGTTTTAACCCATTCTCTTTGCCAATGATTGGTTAGGAATGGCCATGAGATGTGAGTAGAAGCCCCCTGGACAGCCTCCAAAAGAGAACTGTGAGAAAAGGTTCTTCAATCCTAAAAATGATGGAGGAAAAAACAGTCCCTCTTCCTCAGACAGTGACACCTCAAACTGCTACAGTCACCTTTGCAGCAAGCCTGAAGATGCCACCAACATCAAAGGGAATAGAGAGTTGGTCCTTGGTGATAGCATTAAGCCACTGTATCAACCAATCCTGACAATTTGTATGACTTCTGGATTTCCAGCCACATTACAACAATGTAACAATAAACATTTATTAATTGCTTAAGCCAATTTGAGTTAGGTTCCTTATATAATAAATGAAGTCAAAAAACAATGATTGAGTTCTAATGTTTTTTAGTATTTGTATCTTACTTTATGATTACAGTATTTTATATAACTAATCTTATTATTTCTTCCTCAGAAAAGACATTCCATGGCCAGGCATGGTGGCTCACACCTATAATCCCAGCACTTTGAGAGGCCAATGTGAGAGTATTGCTTGAGCCCAGGAGTTTGAGAACAGCCCAGGGAAAACAGCAAAACTTCATCTCTTCAAAAAATAAATAATAAAAAAATTTAGCCGGGGGTGGTGGCATACACCTGTAGTCCAAGCTACTCAGAGGCTCAGGCAGGAGGATCACTTGAGCCCAGGAGGTCAAGGCTGCAGTGAACCATGATCACGCCACTGCAAACCAGCCTGGGCAACAGAGCAACACCCCGTCTCCAAAAAAAGAAAAAGAAAGGAAGGGAGGAAGGAAAGAAAGAAAAAAGGAAAAGGTGTTCCCTCTTACACACAGCTCTGTATCCATCCATCTTTGTCTGTGTTCTCTCTACCTAGAAAAAGAGGACCATCCCTCATTACCACCATTCCTTGTTAATTCCTCTCTCCAATCCACCTACAACTCATGTTATCCTCTTATATTCCACCACACCACTGTTATCGTCTACTCACTTCACTTGACAATAATGTAGGCTGGGCGTGGTGGCTCATGCCTGTAATCCCAGCACTCTGGAAGGCCAAGGCAGGCAGATCACCTGAGGCCAGGAATTCGAGACCAGCCTGGCCAACATGGTGAAACCCCGCCTCTACTAAAAATACAAAAAGTAGCCAAGCATGGTGGTGCACGCCTGTAGTTCCAGCTACTCGGGAGGCTGAGGCATGAGAATCACTTGAGCCCGGAAGGCAGAGGTTGCAGTGAGCCAAGATCACACCACTGCACTCCAGCCTACGCGACAGAAGGAGACTGTGTCTCAAAAAAAGAACCAATAATGTACAGAGTTGGCACTACATTACCCTTGGTTAAATGCTGTCTGTAATTCCTCTGAGTTTGTTTTCATATACCAGTCTTGCCACCTCAAGCCAGCCTGAAAGCCCTTGCAGGCAGGAACTGTGGTTGTTCTAATTTAAGATCTGTAACTCATCTATAGATAATAAACGTATTCCAAAAAGGCACTCTCTACCTTCCCTGCCACAGACCTTCTAAACAAGCCAGAAATTCCTAAACAGAATAATCTCACAAATTCAGTACCTCGTATGTCCAAACTAATCTCAAAAGGACAATGAATAACTTTTTTTGCACTTAAGAAAAAGCAATTATTATATATTAACTCAGGACAAGTTCTAAAGCCTAGGCCATTTAGTTTCAAAAGCACAGGGGCCCATTTTTTTGGTTACTTACCTAGGACCTAGCCCAGGGCCTGGCACAAAAGAGACACATCATAAGAACTGACTGAATAAATGAAAAAGGTAGAGTGTAGTACTTAAGCACACAGGACCTAGGTAGCCCGATTCTAATCCTGCCTCCCTCACTTATTCTTTGTGTTACTTTGGGCAAAGTACGTATTCTGCTCTGTAAAATGGAGATAGTAATACCACCTACCTCTTAAGTTTAACTATTATTATTAGTGAATGAAGCTATTTTCCACAGTTCTAAACTTTAAAGGTTAAAATCTGAGTGAAGCAAAAATCAGCACCTCTTTCCTAATTCAAACTTCAAACACCTATCTACTTAGGACTTGGACCTACTTTAATTAAAAAAAAAAAAAAAAAAAAAAAAAAAGCCTGGATGTGGTGACTCACACCTGTAATTCTAGCACTTTGGGAGACCGAAGCAAGTGGATCACCTGAGGCCTGGAGTCTGAGACCAGCCTGGGCAACATGGTGAAACCCTGTCTCAACTAAAAATACAAAAATTAGCCTGGCATTGTGGCACATGCCTATAGTCCTAGCTACTTGGGAGGCTGAGGCAGGAGAATCGCTTGAACCCACAAGGTGGAGGATGCAGTGAGCCAAGATCGCACCACTGCACTCCAACCTGAGTGACAGAGCGGGACTCTGTTTCAAAAACAAAATCCCTGTCTAGACTCTAGCAAACAATGTTTTCATTCATGAACTTAGATAACACTATATATAAAAATACTTTTAGCTCCCTAAAAACATATTCTGAGAATGATTATTTACAATCATAAATCTAATGCCACATTAAATACTTCAAATACATTTAATTCAACAAAAATCTAGTGAGTACCTATTAAGCTCAAGAATTTATTCTAGATATCACAGAAATGAACACATAAACCTATGTAAAAACCCATATTAAAATTATAAAAGAAACATCTTTAAGCTGAAACTGAGGCATGTTCTCACATTAATATTTAACCAGCTAAATATTAAATAGCCAGAGTCAACTAAACCAAAGTTAAGAAATTTAAGTCAAAAAATTTAGGATGTAGAAGGAATATGTTCAGCCGCCACATTTTATTAGTGTGAAAATGAGGCCAACAGAAAGAAGCCAGTTAAGAGATTGCCAAAGCGTCAAAGCTGGAATCAGGGTCTCTCAGTCTTCAATTCTCACTTTTCCCACTTCTAATTCACCAGTGCTACTCAATTGGTGAACTGGATGTGCAAACATGCTAAAGGCATTAAACCTAAACCATACTACCTATTTCACAGTGTCACAAGTATAAAGATTTAGCCAAATGCAAGTAGAAGAAAATCCTCATACTGATTACAATGACTACAAAGCTCAGAAATCAAGATTTTTTTTCATTAAATGGAGGCCTTAGCTGATTCAAAATATCATACAGTATTTTTATGTACTGACTGAATCCAGTAGAAACAAACTTTCAGTAAGATTAAACAAAAGCATTTCATAAATGGCAAAGTATTACAAGAATGCATAGCATTCCTTCATTTCAATCCAACCTAACAAGATATTTTCCTCCTCATACTACTGATACAAACTGCAGGATTTACATAAAGATATTATTTTGCCATCTCACCACAGAACTGACCCAATAATTCATACAAAAGAAAAACTAATTATTAGGCAGCCTCCTAATTTAACTGTGTTAGTAATGAGAACAATACTGTTGTAGGTTAAACCTAAATGTACTAGTAAGTCTAGAAATAATTTACTTTAGGATAATTCAGAAGACAACATTAAAGCTCAGCTGAATACAATTATATCACTGAAAGAAACAAGTCAGGTTCTCTCAGGCCATCAGCTATTGTTAAAATCTAACACCCAAGATTGTTGGTCTTCTCCACAGTGGTGGATTTAATAGCAGCTACCAGCACTCATTTCTAGTGCAAGCAGTTTAAGCAGGATTTTATACGAACATTTTAATAAAGTTCCTCAATGAGTTTACACACACACACACACACACACACACACCCTGATTATTTTGGTGAATTTTAGTTAATTCTAATGTTTTTAACTTTAGAATATTTTAAAATTCTCAAATAACTAGAATGTGTGAACGTTCAATGACCAAACATAGAAGGAGTATTCTAATATACTGATTTTGCAGATTAAGCAATCTACGCAGGACCCAAACTTTTTATCAGATAATAAAGCTGAGTGTCAGAATTTGGCCAAAATGTACCAAGAAACTACCTGAGTTCTTTTCCAAAGGAAACATAAAGGTAAATATGCAGAACTTCAAGGCAGCTGTGAGCAGCCAAGTTGTGGAGGGCCTGACAAAAGTGAGTCAGAAGGGAAAATGTTCAAAGAGAAAAGGAGGCAGCAGGTGTACAAGGCAAAACACACCTTAAAAAATATCTTTACAGGCTGGGTGCGGTAGCTCATGCCTGTAATCCCAGCACTTTGGGAGGCCAAGGTGGGCAGATCACGAGATCCGGAGATCGAGACCATCCTGGCCAACGTGGTGAAACTCCGTCTCTACTAAAAATACAAAAAATTAGCTGGGCATGGTGGGGGGCACCCGTAGTCCCAGCTACTCGGGAGGCTGAGGCAGCAGAATGGCATGAACCTGGGAGGCGGAGCTTGCAGCGAGCGGAGATCACGCCAGTGCACTCCAGCCTGGGCGACAGAGCGAAACTCTGTCTCAAAATATATATATATATATATTTTTCTTTTTACGTCAGTTGCTGATTCTAAGTTATGATGCAACTTGTAAAATCTTGTTCTGATGGCATGGCAAACCTAGGGACTTTGGAAGATGGCAGACCTGTTTCCTCCAATGAAGCAGCATACCATTCTTGGAAAGGGAATTACTTTTTTTTTTTTTGAGACACAGTCTCACTCTGCTGCCCAGGCTGCCAGGCTGGAGTGCATGGCAAAATCTGGGCTCACCGCAACCTCCACCTCCTGGGTTCAAGCGATTCTCCTACCTCAGCTGCCCAAGTAGGTGGGACTACAGGCGCGTACCACCATGCCCGGCTAATCTTTGTATTTTTAGTAGAGACGGAGTTTCGCCATGTTGGTCAGGCTGGTCTCAAAATCCTGACCTCAGGTGATCCGCCCATCTCAGCCTCCCAAAGTACTGGGATTACAGGCGTGAGCCACCACGCCCAGCCTAGAACATTATTTTTAACCCACTAATTCTTGGATTCTTGAACTTGTTTCTATGTACACTCAGGAACATACAGCTACAAACGGGGAGTAACCAAAGCCACTGAATATATGCAGGAGCAACTTTTTTGGAGTATCAATTTAATCAAGGATTATAGTAAAATCAGATATACTTTTGTTAAAATAAACACAAATATATTACAGGTTGACCATCCCTAATCTGAAAATTCAAAACCCTCCAAAATCTGAAACTTTTTGAGTGCCAACATGACACCTCAAATGGAAAATTCCACACGTGACACCTTTGCTTCTGATGGTTCTCTGAACCATCAGAAACACTGTTTATTTCAAGAACAAAATTATTTTAAATTTTGTATAAAACTGGTCGGTTGTGGTAGCTCATGCCTGTAATCCTAACACTTTGGGAGACCAAGATGGGAGGATCATTTGAGCCCTGGAGTTCAAAACCAGCCTGGGCAACATAGTGAGACCCTATCTCTGAAAAAAAAAAAAAAATTAAGTCCAGGTACAGTGGCTCAGGCCTGTAATCCCAACACTGGAAAGCCATGGCAGGTGAATCACTTGAGCTCTGGAGTTCAAGACCGGCCTGGGCAATGTAGCAAAACCTATCTCTACCAAAAACACAAAAAATTAGCCAGGCATGGTGGCATGCACCTGTAGTCCCAGCTACACAGGAAGCCAAGGTGGGAGAATCACTTGAGCCTGGAAGGTGGAGGCTACAGTGAGCAGAGATGGCGCTACTGCACTCCAACCTGAGTAACAGAATCAGACCCCATCTCAAACAAACAAAAAAATTAGCTGGGCTTGGCACCGTGCATCTGTACCAGTTAGTACCAGCTACCTGGGAGGCTGAGGCAGGAGAATGACTTGAGCCCAGGAGTTCTAGGCTGCTGTGAGCTAGGATCACATTACTGCACTCCAGCCTGGGCAACAGTATGAGACATCATCTCTTAAAGAAAAAGGTAAAAAAAAGAAATTATCTTCAGGCTATGTGCATAATGTGTACATGAAACATAGAATTTCATGTTTAGATTTGGATCCCATCTCCAAGATAGTACATTATGTACATGCAAACATCCCAAAATCTGAAAAATCTGAAATCCAAAAAACTTCTGGTCCCAAGCATTTCGGATAAGGGATATTCAATGTATACAGAGCAAAAGGCAGAATTCTCACTGTTTCAAGATAGAAAAGGAGTCCTCAGAGAGATATGTCCTGCTTGTAACAAACAGCTCCAAACAGCCCTAGACCCTGAAAAGTACTTTAAGGAAAGATAAAGAGGTACTGGTTTAGACCATTTATAGATAAATATGCATGGCTAAAACCCCTGAATGTAATCCTTCCAGGCAGAAGATAAAACCTGAAATCTAACGTATAAATTGTCATGGGTACAATATTATAAAAGAGACCATAAGTTACCGAGAACATGACTGGAATTCAGGAAATGCTAAAGGTCCTGTCTTATCTCTGTAACTCATTTACAAAGAAATCATGTATGATTTTCTCAACTGCAATCTTTTTTGTTTCTGAATTAGACTGACAAAAATTATAGAATATAATATTCAATATTTTCCACCATATTCCAAATTCTCACTATCACATTTAAACACAATTTTATCTAATGAAATGTGTCCCAAATGAACCAACTTTAACCAGCATCAGAAAAAATAAAATAAAATAGTTAAATGAAACTGTATCTTCTTTGGTATAAGAAGTCCTTCAGGCCAGACGTGGTGGCTCACATCTCTAATACTAGCACTTTGGGAGGCCGAGGCCAGTGGTTTGCTAGAACTCAGGAGTTCGAGACCAGCCTGGGCAACATGGTGAAAACCCGTCTCTACTAAAATACAAAAAATTAGCCAGGCGTGGTGGCATGCGCCTGTAGTCCCAGCTACTCGGGAGGCTGAAGCAGGAGAATTGCTTGAACCCAGCGGGAGGTAGAGGTTGCAGTGTCAGTGAGCTGAGATCGCGCCACTGCACTCCAGCCTGAACGACAGAGCAGACTCCGTCTCAAAAAAAAAGAAAGAAATCCTTCAGCACAGAGGGTAGGAAAAAACAACTACTCACACTTCCCAGAATACCTACCGTGGCAATACCAAAATATGACCATGCTTGTTAATATTTGGGCTACGGCATTAAATGTTTATAACATAACACAAACACTTGTAATCCAAATGTGAATGATTATCTTCAATTTTCAGTAAAATAAGACCCTATAAAAGCCCTACCATTAATACATATTCATTCATAAACATACTGAGTACCAGTGGATGTTAAACACTGTAGAATCTCTAAGGAAAGAATACTCGGTCACTTTATAAGCTATGTGGTAGTCAAGAAAAATCCTTTCTACTCATTGATACGTTAAATGATCAAAAAATCCAAAGCTAAAAAATGATCAGAGAACAATGAAAAAATTTTAGTGGCTTTATGCTTCCAATTCCATTTTCTTCTGGACTCTTTTCTGAAGCTTGCCTAAATCATCCCAGGAATGCTAAAATTGGGTGTTATTTATGGCATAACCAAAATGAAATAACAAAGTAAGTACCCCAAATAAAACTAGGAGAAAAAATCCAGGGAACCAAGCAGGCAGTAAGGATCTAAAGTTCTATACTTGGAACCTCTACCCTGAATGTTAAATAATAGATGTTTTTTAAATAGTTGACTACCAAGTGTGGTGGCATGTGCCTGTAATCCTAGCTACTTGGGAGGCTGAGGTGGAGAGACTACTTGAGCCTAGGAGTTCTAGACTAGTCTGGACAAATAGCAAGACCCTGTCTCACGGGTAGGGGAGCAGGGGAAGGCAACCAAGCTGGGTGTGCCATGTGCCTCTAGTCCCAGCTACTTGGGAGGCTGAGACAGGAGGAGTGCTTGAAACCATAGGCCACTGTACTCCAGCCTAGGCAACATAGGAAGACCCTATCTCTAAAACAAACATAAACAAAAAGGCCGGGTGTGGTGGCTCACACCTGTAATCCCAGCACTTGAGGAGGCTGAGTTGGGAGGATCACTTGAGGTCAGGAGTTCGAGACCAGCCTGGCCAACATGATAAAATTTTTGTATCTTTAGTCTCTACTAAAAACAAAAATTAGCTGAGTGTGGTGGCAGGGGCCTGTAATCCTAGCTACTTGGGAGGCTGAGGCATAAGAATCATTTGAACCTGGGAAGTGGAGGTTGCAGTGAGCGGAGATCACACCACTGCACTCCAGCCTGGGTAACAGAGCAAGACTCTATCTCAAAAAAACAAACAGTTATATCTTTAATTATTATCTTCATTCAGTAATTAGGCAATTAGAATTTACAATTGCTAAATGAATGTTCAAAGTTCAACCAAAATTAGTCCAAGATGAAGCCAAGAACACATCTCAACTCATTCAATAAAGCCATTATTACTCTGATGCCAAAACCAGACATAGATATCACAAGACAACTACAGACCAATATATCTTATGAATACAGATGTAAAAGTCCTCAACAAAGCAAAATGAATCCAGCAACATATTAAAAGGCTTATACACCATTGCTAAGTATGACTTAATCCCAGGGATTCAAGGTTGGCTTAACTTCTGAAAATCAATTAATGTAATACACCATATTAATAAAGGATACAAACCACATGATCATTTGAATAGATGCAGAAAAAGCACTTAACAAAATCCAACATGCTTTCATGATAAAAACACTCAACAAAGTAGAAATTGAAGAAAACATCTTCAATCTAATAAAAAATACCTATGGGGGAAAAAAAGAATACCTACAAAAACCCCATAGCTAAAATCATACTTAATGGAGAAAGCCTGAATGCTTTCTCCCTCAGGTCAAGAACAAAACAAGGATATCCACTCTTACCACTCTGTTTAACACTGCACTGAAGGTTATGGCCAGGGCAAATAGGCAAGAAAAAGAAATAAAAATCACTCAGGCTTAAAAAAAAGAAGGAAAACTACCTTTATTTGCAGATGATATAATCTTGTATATAGAAAATCCTAAGAAAATCCCACAAATAAACTATTAGAGCCAATAAACACATCCAACACAGTTACAGGATACAAGCTCAATATACAAGTAGTAATCGTATTTCTATACACAAGCAATAAGCAATCTGAACATGAAAAGTTTTTAAAAATTCCACTTACAATAGCATCCCCCCGCCAAAAAAAAAAGACTTAGAAAGCCAAGCACGATGGCTCACACCTGTAATCCCAGCACTTTGGGAGGCCGAGGCAGGCGGATCACTTGAGGTCAGGAGTTCAAGACTAGCCTAGCCAACGTGGTGAAACCCCGTCTCTACTAAAATATAAAAATTAGTTGGGTGTGGTGGCAGGTGCCTGTAATCCCAGCTACTCAGGAGGCTGAGGCAGTGGAATCACTTGAACCCAGGAGGCGGAGGTTGCAATGAGCCGAGATCACACCACTGTACTTTAGCCTAGGTGACAGAATGAGACACTGTCTCAAAAAAAAAAAAAAAAAAGACTTAGAAATAAATTTAACAAAAGCAGTGACAATCTTATACTCTGAGATATATAAAAATTACAAAAGAAGTTACAGAAATCCTAACTAAATGGAAAGGCCAGGTGTGATGGCTCACACCTGTAATCCCAGCACTTTGGTAGACTGAAGTGGGTGGGCTGCTTGAGCGCAGAAGTTCAGGATCAGACTAGGCAACATGGCAAGAACTCATCTCTACAAAAATACAAAAATGAGCTAGATGTGGTGGCATGCACCTGTAATCCTAGCTGCTTGGGGGGCTGAGGAGGGAAGATCACTTGAGCCTAGTAGGTTACAGCTGCAGTGAGCCATGATTGCATTACTGTACTTCACTGCAGCCTGGATGACAGAACAAGACTGTGTCCCCCAAAAAAAAAAAAAAAAAAAAAAGGAAAGATATCCCATGTTCATGGATGAGAATGGATCAGAAGATACAACTCTGTTAAAATGGCAATATTCCCTAAATTGATCTACAGAATCAATGTGATCCCAGCATACCCAAAAGAAATTTGAATAGGAAAAACAAAGTTGGGGGACTCACACTTCCTGATTTGAAAACATAATTCAAAGCTATGGAAATCAAGACAGTGTGGTAGTGGCATAAGGATAAACATACAGATCAATGGAATATAAGTGTGGGTTCAGAAATAAACCTTTACACTGACAGTCAATTGATTTTATGACAAAAATGCCAAGACAATTCAGTGGAGGAAAGAATGGTCTTTTTAAGCCAAGTGCTGTAGCTGACACCTATAATCCCAGCATTTGGGGAGGCTGAGACAGGAGGATTGCTTGAGGCCAGGAGTTTGAGACTAGCCAGGGCAACAAAGCAAGACCCCCATCTCTACAAGAAACAAACAATGGTCTTTTCAACAAACCATGCTGGGACAACTGAATATTCACATGCAGTAGAATGAAGCTGGACCACTATATCTCACACCATACACAAAAATTAATTCTAATTAAATTTAAACACGGATTATAGACCTAAATGTAACAGCTAAAACAATAAAATTCCTAGAAGAAAACAAAGCTAATCTTCATTTCATTTGGTGGCCTGACATCAAAACCACATGCAACAAAGGAAAAAACAAGTAAATTTGGCTTCATCAGAATTATAACATTTTGTACATTAAAGGACACCATCAAGAAATTGAAAACACAACCCATAGATGGGAGAAAATATTTGCAAATCATGTATCTCACAAGGGATTTGTATCTAGTATATTTAAAGAACTCTTACAACTCAACAATAAAAAGAGAATCCAATTTTAAAATGGGCAAAGGCTGAGCATGGTGGCTCACACCAGAAGGAGAGGATCCCTTGAGGCAAGGATTCTGAGACCTGCCAGAGCAATATAGCAAGACCCTGTCTCTACAAAATAAATTAATAATAATAAAAAAAAACAATTAGCCAGGCATGGTGGCACACACCTGTAGTCCTAGCTACTCAGGAGCTTGAGGCAGAAGGAACCCTTGAGTCCAGGAGTTTGAAGTTCCAGAAACTATGATTGGGCCGGGTGCGGTGGCTCACGCCTGTAATCCTAGCACTTTGGGAGTCCAAGGCGGGTGGATCATGAGGTCAGGAGTTCAAGACCAACCTGGCCAAGATGGTGAAACCCCATCTCTACTAAAAATACAAAAATTAGCTGGGCGTGGTGGTGGGTGCCTCTAATCCCAGCTACTTGGGAGGCTGAGGCAGAGAATCACTTGAACCCAGGAGGCAGAGATTGCAGTGAGCCAAGATAGTGCCACTGAACTCCAGCCTGGGTGACAGAGCAAGACTCCATCTCCAAAAAAAAAAAAAAAGAAAAGAAAACTGCGATTGGCCACTGCACTCTAGCCAGAGTGACAGAGCAAGACCTAGCCTAAAAAACAATAGTGTATAAAAATAAAATTAAAATGTGCAGAGAATTTAAATAGACATTTCTCCAAAGAAGATATATGAATGGCCAATAAGCACATGAAAAGATCTCATCAGGTTGAGCACAGGGGATCAGGCCTGTAATCCCAACACTTTGGGAGGCCAAGGTGCGGGGACTGCTTGAGCTCAGGAGTTTGAGACCAGCCTGGGCAACATGGTAAAACCCCATCTCTACAAAAAATACAAAAAGGCCAGGTACAGTGGCTCATGCCTTTAATCCCAGCACTTTGGGAGGCTGAGGCGGGTGGATCACCTGATGTCAAGAGTTTGAGACCAGCCTGGCCAACATGGTGAAACCCCGTCTCTACTAAAAAGACAAAAATTAGCCAGGTGTGATGGTAGGCGCCTGTAATACCAGCTACTGGGGAAGCTGAGGCAGGAGAATCACTTGAACCTAGGAGGCGGAGGTTACAGTGAGCCAAGATCACACCACTGCACTCCAACCTGGGTGAAAGGCAAAAATCCGTCTCAAAAAAAAAAAAAGTTTCAAAGATAAAACAAAAATCTTGTTAAAGATAAATACACGAGATGCTAAAGAAATAATCTACTTCTTCAAGTCATGCTATCAATTTGCACCAAAATTTTCATTTCCTATGTGTAGGTGTTGAGGGTCTTGTACCCATGATAAATGACATACACCTGTTCTGGGCTGACTTTTGTTCCCCAAAAGAGATATATAGTACTCCAAGGGGCTGGGCACAGTGGCACATGCCTGTAATCCCAGCACTTTGGAAGGTCAAGGCCACAGCATCGCTTGAGCTCAGGAATTCAATATCAGCCTGGGCAACATGGCAAGACCCCGGCTCTACTAAAAATATAAAAAAATAGCCAGGTGTGGCAGTGCACACCTGTAGTCCCAGCTACCCGGGAAGCTGAGATGGGAGGATTGCTTGAGCCTGGGGTTTAGGGGGCTGGAGGTTGCAGTGATCCAAGTGCCACTGCACTCTAGCCTGGATGACAGAGGGAGACCCTGTCTCAAAAAAAAAAAAAAAAAAAAAGATATGTAGTACTCCTAACATTCAGCACCTCAGAACCTGATCTTAGAGACAGGATCTTCAGGCCAGGTGGCTTCCCTTCCTCTCCGCGTCAGTCTGTCCCACCTCAGCTCAGCCCACCGGAGACAGAGGGTGCAGGAACCTGGAGGCGGAGGTTGCAGGAAGCCGAGATCCTGCAACTGCACTCCAGCCTGGGCGACACAGCAAGACTCCGTCTCAAAAAAAAAAAAAAAACCTTACAACAAAATGATGCAGCCCGGGCGCAGTGGCTCACGCCTGTAATCCCAGCACTTTGGGAGGCCGAGTGGGGCGGATCATTTGAGGTCAGGAGTTCGAGACCAGCCTGGCCAACATGGTGAAATCCTATCTCAACTAAAAAAAAACCAAAAACTACAGAAATTAGCCAGGCGTGATGGCGCATGCCTGCAGTCTCAGCTGCTTGGGAGGCTGAGGCAGGAGAATTGCTTGAACCCGGGAGTCGGAGGTTGCAGTGAGCCAAGATTGCGCCGATTGCACTCCAGCCTGAGTGACAAGAGCAAAACTCCATCTCAAAAAAAAAAGAAAATGCAAAGTCACCTAAGAGACAGTTTAAATACATAAAAAGCTCGATGCCAAATAAAACTGGATGGGTCACTTGATAAGTGGGATTGATAAAAAGCAAGACAGCTGATATTATATAATTCTTATTTGCTTCGATATTTACTGGGGAAGGTAGAGGGGAAAAGCTATCTAAATTACTCTTAATAAGCATACAAATCTCTAATAGTGAATCAAATGCATCATTAAATATACTAAATTCCTCAAACTGATATGTCAGATGTCAGGTAGTCATGAAGACCCAAAATAGTCTCCATGGGTTTTTTGTTGTTGTTTTTTTGAGACAGAGTCTCACTCTGTTGCCCAGGCTGGAGTGCAGTGGCACCATCTCGACTCACTGCAACCTCTGTCTCCCGGGTTCAAGCCATTCTCCCACCTCAGCCTCCCAAGTAGCTGGGATTACAGGCATGTGCCACCACATTTGGCTGATTTTTGTATTTTTAGTAGAGACAGGGTTTCACTATGTTACCCAGGCTGTTCTCAAACTCCTGACCTCAAGTGATTCACCCAACTCGGCCTCCCAAAGTGCTGGGATTTCAGGTGTGAGCCACCACGACCAGCCCCTTCTCTGTGTTTTAAAGGCATTTAAGTATAAATTATTAAACTGCAGGACAGAACATATTAGCTGACGGTCATATGAGTGACCTTCTCTAAATGCCAGGAGGATAGAATCCACTTTTCCTTTATCAATATTTTCCTTGCTCAACTTCTGACATATTAGGTACTCAATAAGTATGTGCTGAACCAAAACGAACAAAAAAATGCTGTCATCAAAGTAACTTCCATCTACTCAAGTAGGCTGCAACTTCAAACTGCCCAAACTAGCAAATCTCTAATAAAGATGGGCTCAGAAGACATATCAGCATGAATAACCTTCTGAGGAAAAGACAACATGGATTCTAAAAGTGGACATCACACCACACCAGTTCACCCAAATTCTCTGAGAAAATAAATATGTGTGGCTGGGTGACGGTGGCTCATGCCTGTAATCCCAGCACTTTGGGAGGCTGAGGCGGGTGGATCATGAGGTCAGGAGATCGAGACCATCCTAGCCAACATGGTGAAACCCCAACTCTACTAAAAATACAAAAATTAGCTGGGTGTGGTGGTGAGCACCTGTAGTCATAGCTACTCGGGAGGCTGAGGCAGGAGAAACGCTTGAACCCGGGAGGCGGAGGTTGTAGTGAGCCGAGATCGCACCACTGCACTCCAGCCTGGGCAACAGAGTGAGACTCTGTCTCAAAAAAAAAAAAAAAAAAAAAAAAAAAAAAGACCTGAGTGGCCACAGGATGAGAACATTTACTGTAGACTGGACATAACTGAGACACAGAAAATTATAGGTAGATGCTGAGGTACTTCCCCAAATGAAGAAGTAAAAACAGAAGATTGAAAATTTTTTTAGAAATGCTATATTTAACATTTTAATATATTGTACAAAAAATATACAGAGAATTCCCCATTTTGCAGATGGGATGATGAGATTCCTAATAATGAAATACCACACGAGTTGGAAAAATAAGGGAACGGAGTGATGGAAAGGGTTTCTAAATATATTAAATGAGAAACATTTGCAAAAACTAAGATTTATATTCAGCTTAGAGAATGCTTTGGCAAGTATAAAAGCTGTCTAAATATGTGAAGGGTTATCTAGCAGAAGACAAACCAGACTTGCTCTAAGCAGTTCCCGTGTAGACAAAATTGGGCCCAAAGTGGCAATTCCAGAAGGGCACGCTTCAACTCAAGCTTTCTAACCATCAGACCTAACTAAAAAGGTGGTTCTTACCTTGGATTACCTCTAAGAGCCCACTGAGATATGAGTGTTAAAAAATTACATGCGAGGAAATGGCAGGTATGTTACAGCATGGACAAATGAAAAGTAAGGCATTTACAGGAAAAAAAATCTAAGCTATACTTAAAAGACTCATGCCTTCAAGTCAAAAAAGGAATTTTTGAATAATTATAGAATATTCCCTAAAGACAATGTGATGTTCTATGCAAAAAAAAAAAAAAAAAAAGGGAGGGAGGGAGGACCAAATCCTATTAGGAAAAAACTGTAAATCAAGGGTACCCAATCGTTTGGCTTCCCTGAGCCACACTGGAAGAAGAGCTGTCTTGGGCCACACATAAAATACACTAAAGTAACAATAGCTGATGAGCTAAAAAAGAAAATCTTAAAAAAAATCTCATAATGTTTTAAGAAAGTTTACAGATTTGTGTTGGGCCACATTCAAAGCTGTCCTGGGCCGCATGCAGCCTGTGGGCCATGGGTCGGACAAGCTTGCTGTAAATAGAACATATTTTCTTATCCTTCTACCAAATCACAGTGTAGTTATAACTAAAATGCAGTTCTGAGTAGTTATCATAAATCCAGAAAGGGAAAGCAATGCTGACAAAGATCCTGGAAGGAGGTTTCACTGGAGATTAAATTAAAAAGTCAAGCATCTTCAGTTGAGAAACATGAAAGCAAAGGGGCAATGTGATCAAAATCAGAAAACGTATCAATATGGTAAATACTAATTTATTCACCTTTTATGCTTGAAAAGTATTTCTTTATATAACAGATAAAAGAAACTTGTGGATTGTGTTACCACAATCTACAAGTTAAAAATAGATTCAAGTGCTCGGATAAATGTAGGTATATTAGGTCCATTCAGGTCCTACAGGATAGAAGTGCTATCAGACGTGAGGCCCTAAATTTCTGAGGTTAACATCTTAACAGATAACAATGTTTCACCTGAAAACATCACTTGGTGCCAATTTAGACAGAACAATTGGTTGGACAGACCCCGGACAGACAGACTCAAGGAGGCTGGTTGGTATAGACTTCCTTCCATTCTTTTACCTCAGTATGTATGTGTGTGTAATATATACATACATATTATACTAGAACATATATACATTCCTTATCTTTATACACTTAGAATGCTCCTTATATAGCTCTGCACCCTGAATTTTTCATTTATCATTTACTCAACATCCTAAGACATTAAAAATTCTTTTTTTTTTTTTAGACAGAGACTTGCTCTGTCAACAGGCTGGAGTGCAGTGGCACCATCTCAGCTCACTGCAACCTCCAACTCCCTGGTCCAAGCAATTCTCCTGCCTCAGCCTCCTGAGTAGCTGGGATTTCAGGCACGTGCCACCACGCCCAGCTAATTTTTGTATTTTTAGTAGAGATGGGGTTTCACCATGTTGGCCAGGATGGTCTCGATCTCCTGACCTCATAATCCGCCCACCTCGGCCTCCTGAAGTGCTGGAATTACGGGCATGAGCCACCGCACCCGGCCAGAAAAATTCTTTCAAATACTATTCCATGGTTGTAAATGTCCATCCTTAAATATACCATGATTTATTTTCCTATAAATCTTGCTGCTCATTTAGGTTTATTCTCAATTCTCACTAATATGAATAATGTTACAATGAACATCTTTGTTCACAAATCTTTCTATGTATCTTAATTTTTCCCCTTTAGGATAAATTCCTAGATGTGCAATTACTGAATTAAAGAACGTTTTTAATTTTGCCAATATATGTTGCCAAAATATCTTTCAAAAAAACTAGGCCCAATGCACACTCCACTAGCAGTTTCAGAGATTGTCCCCTCACCACCTTCGACAGCACAGTCAACTGTAAATCTGATAGGTTAAAAAAAGAGTATGTCATTTAATCTGCATTCCTTTGATTACTTATCAGGATAAAAATGTTTCTCATATGCTTCTTGGTCATTTGTATTTCTTCCTTATGAACTCTGATCATGTTCTTTGCCAGCAAAACTTTTCTTTCTCTTGGCCGACAAACTTTCTGTGGAAAACCAGCTGAGATGGAATCATTTAAATATCAGCAACTGCAGCTCCCCCTGCTGACAGATAAATTACCACCACCATCAAGTGCCCAGTAAAAAAAAGTGAGCTAGAACCATACGCTTGCCTGTCTTCTGGGCTGCTGCTACAAATACAAATTATACACGGTAATAAAAAAGAAAATACTGTGTATCTAAACTCATACTTAACAGAGCTGTGATGGAGAAGGCAAGGGGGACAAGCGTTTTATTTGTTTTTTGTTGTTGTTGTTGTTGTTGTTGTTTTTTGAGACGGAGTCTCGCTCTGTGGCCCAGGCTGGAGAGTAGTGGCGTGATCTCAGCTCACTGCAAGCTCCGCCTGCTGGGTTCACACCATTCTCCTGCCACAGCCTCCCGAGTAGCTGGGACTACAGGCACCCAACACCACGCCCGGCTAATTTTTTTTTTTTTTTTTTTTTTAGTAGAGACGGGGTTTCACCATGTTAGCCAGGATGGTCTTGATCTCCTGACCTCATGATGGGCCCGCCTCGGCCTCCCAAAGTGCTGGGATTACAGGCGTGAGCCACCGTGCCCGGCCCAAACGTTTTCTAATGTGCAGGAACTAGGCGGGGTGCAGTGGCTCACACCTGTAATCCCAGTACTTTGTGGAGGCCGAGGTGGGTGGATCACCTGAGGTCAGGAGTTCAAGACCAGCCTGGCCAACATGGTGAAACCCTGTCTCTACTAAAAATATAACAATCAGCCGGGTGTGGTGGCACGTGCCTGTAGTCCGAGATACTCAGGAGGCTGAGGAACGAGGATTGCTTGAACCCAGGAGGTGGAGGTTGCAGTGAGCCGAGACTGCGCCACTGCACTCCAGCCTGGGCAACAGAGTGAGACTCCATTTAAAAAAAAAAAAACTAATATGCAAGAACTAATGTCACAAACAATTCTAAAAATCAATTCCCTGCCAAATATACTACCTGGCACATATAAACATCACAGACCTAAATATTCATTTCCCTATACTTTAACTATGTGAAAACACTCTAAATTACCAAATGACACTGGGTGGTCAGCAAACTAGTTCTCTTTTTCCAAAAGCAAAAACAACAAAAACACTTTTGCCCTTTAGCATTCAAAGAAAGAGTATTAAAAATCTTAATTCTTGGCAATCCTTATTCCAAAGTTGCTTGCACTTATCAGACTGGGACCAATAGATCCAAAGAGTAAGGCCAAGACTGGCAAATGCATGTGACTCTCAGCTTTTCCACTGATACCCTCCTAAAGATGCATGTCCCAAGTCCAGCAATACAGTCTTTAACACTCATTTACTAAGTGCCATCAAGAGCAAGCAGTGATGGCCGGGTATGGTGGCTCACGCCTGTAATGCCAGCACTTTGGGAGGCTGAGGGGGGTGGATCACCTGAGGTCAGGAGTTCGCAACCAGCCTGACCAACATGGTGACACCCTGTCTCTACTAAAAATACAAAAATTAGCTGGGCGTGGTGGCAGGCACCTGTAATCCCAGCTATTTGGGAGGCTGAGGCAGGAGAATCACTTCAACCTGGGAGGCAGAGGTTGCAGTGAGCCGAGATCGCGCCGTTGCGCTCCAGCCTGGGCAACAAAGAGCGAAATTCCGTCTCAAAAAAAAAAGAAACAAAAACAGCAAGCAGTGAGGATAAAAGACAAGAGCAAGTCCTCACTCTCAAAGAACCTAGACACTAGCTGGGTTCAAAGTGGAGCAAACTAGCAATCAGTACAATAGAAGTGCTAGGTCTGCATATGCACACTCACATGCACACACACTAACAGTTTCAGAGATTGTCCCCTTACCACCTTTGACAGCACAGTCAACTGCAAATCTGATAGGTAAAAAATAGTATGTCATTTAATCTGCATTCCTTTGATTATTTATCAGAATAAAAATGTTTCTCATATGCTTCTTGGTCATTTGTATTTCTTTATGAACTCTGATCATAAAGTGATAATACCTGGGTCCAGAGGAAGCACTCAGTGTCAGCTACTGTTATTACTATTATCACTACTGTTATTTTGTTTTAAGGCTAATCAAGTGAAGCAGTGGGAGTGGAGAAGGAACAAAGAAATCTGTAACTGGCTGTGATCAATTAATAGTAAACACCAATATACTTGGACCAGCCACTACTGTTATTAAAGACTAGGGGGAGTAAGTTTCCAGAACAGGGTAGAGTCCATCTTAAGCAGAGGTAACTGCTTGTGTGAAGACCCAGAGGCAAAGAACAACAGGGTTCACAGAAGGAACTGGGCACAAGCTATCTGTACTACTGCGTACAGGATGCTCAGGAAGAAGTGGAGAGATGATCTGGCAAAACATTTCAACTCTACCTTCAAAGCTAGTTGAGCCATGGTGGAAGAGGGAGGGATATGATCATACGCTTGAACATGCATTTTACAAGGATCATGTTGGCAGCGACTTGGAAGAGAGAAAGCAGTCAAGGAGAATGATTACAAGACAACAGAAGGTCACGCAGCCAAAAGGGCGATGAAGGTCTGGACTCAAAAAGGAGAAGTAGGATGACTAGGAAAATATTATGAGCTAGGATCTCAAGAATGTGGTGACTAGAATGGCACAAGAAGGAACCCAGAGGCCTCTCAAATCCCTGATTTGAGTGACTGGCTGGGTGACACTACCGCTCACTAAGATACGAAGATAGGAAGAGGTTGGACTGGGGAAGTGGATAAGATCATTTTAAAATGCCCATAAGATGGCCAGATGCAGTGGCTCACGCCTGTAATCCCAGCACTTTGGGAGGCTGAGGCAGGTGGATCACCTGAGGTCAGGAGTTCAAGCCCAGCCTGGCCAACATGGTGAAACCCCATCTCTACTAAAAATACAAAAACTGGCCGGACGTGGTGGCGCACACCTGTAATCCCAGCTACCCGGAGGCTGAGGCAAGAGAGTCGCTGGAACCTGGGAGGCAGAGGCTGCCGTGAGCCGAGACCGTGCCACTGCACTCCAGCCTGGGGGATAGAGCGAGACTCCGTCTCAATAGTAATAATAATAATAAAAAAATAAAATAAAATGCCCATAGGACATCCAAGTAGAGATGTCCAGGAAGCAACTGTGTATATGGGATTGGAGATCAGAAAACTAGTCAGAGCTGGAAAAACACACATTTGCAAATCATCGGCATATAGACGGCAAGTGAGGCACAAGTTTATCTAAGGCATTCCTCATAAACTGCACAGGGTGAGAGGAAGAAGGGTCAAGGGAAGGCAAATACTAATGTTTTTAGGAGCAAAAGAGGAAAAAAGTCTGCAAAGAAAACCAAGAGTATGGGCCAGACTTGGTGACTCACACACTTTGGGAGGCCGAGGCAGGTGGATCACCTGAGATCAGGAGTTCGAGACCAGCCTGGCCAACATGGTGAAACCCATCTCTACTAAAACTACAAAAATTAGCCAGATGTGGTGGCGGGCACCTGTAATCCCAGCTACTGGGGAAACTGAGGCAGGAGAATTGCTTGAACCCAGGAGACGGAGGTTGCAGTGAGCCGAGATCACGCCACTGCACTCCAGCCTGGGCAAAAGAGCAAGACTCCGTCTCAAAAAAAAAAAAAAAAAAGTTTCAAAGATAAAACAAAAATCTTGTTAAAGATAAATACATGAGAAGCTAAATAAATAATCTACTTCTTTAAGTCATGCTATCAATTTGCACCAAAATTTTCATTTCCTATGTGTAGGTGTCGAGGGTCTAGTACCCATGATAAATGATATACACCTGTTCTGGGCTGAATTGTGTTCCCCAAAAGAGATATGTAGTACTCCAGGGGCCTGGGCACAGTGGCGCATTCCTGTAATCCTAGCACTTTGGGAGGCCAAGGCCACAGGATCGCTTGAGCTCAGGAGTTCAATATCAGCCTGGGCAACATGGCAAGACCCCATCTCTACTAAAAATATTTAAAAATAGCCAGATGTGGTAGTGTGCACCTGTAGTCCCAGCTACTCAGGAAGCTGAGGTGGGAGGATTACTTGAGTCCAGGGGTTAGGGGGCTGGAGGTTGCAGTGATCCAAGTGCCACTGCACTCCAGCCTGAATGACAAAGGGAGACCCTGTCTCAAAAAAAAAAAAAAAAAAAAAGAGATATGTAGTACTCCTAACATTCAGTACCTCAGAATGTGATCTTAGAGACGGGATCTTCAGACCAGGTGCAGTGGCTCACGCCTGCAATCTCAGCACTTTAAGAGGCCGAGGTGGGTGGACCACTTGAGGTCAGGAGTTCGAGACCAGCCTGGCCAATGTGGTGAAACCCCATCTCTACCAAAAATGTAAAAATTAGCTAGGCACGGTGGCGAGCACCTGTAACTCCAGCTACTTGGAAGGCTAAGGCAGAAGAATCACTTGAACCTAGGAGGAGGAGGTTGCAGTAAGCTGAGATCACCCCACTGTACTCCAGCCTGGGCAACAAAGAGAGACTCTAAAAAAAAAAAAAGAGATAGGATCTTCAAAGAGGTCATAAAGTTAAAATGAGGTCATCAGAGAGGACTCTAATCCCAATATGACTTGTCCTTATAAAAAAGGGGAAATTGTGGACACAAAGAAATACACACAGGGAGGCTGGGCGCCGTGGCTCACGCCTGTAATCCCAGCACTTTGGGAGGCTGAGGTGGGCAGATCACTTAAGGTCAGGAGTTTGAGACCAGCCTGGGCAACAAGGTGCAGCCCTGTCTCTACAAAAAATACAAAATTTAGGCTGGGTGCTGTGGCTCATGCCTGTAATCCCAGCACTTTGGGAGGCCAAGGCAGGCAGATCACCTGAGGTCAGGAGTTCAAGACCGGCCTGGGCAACATGGTGAAACCCTGTTTCTACAAAAAATACAAAAAATTACCTGGGCATGGTGACACGTGACTGTAATCCCAGCTACTTAGGAGGCTAAGGAAGGAGAATCACCTGAACCTGAGAGGCAGAGGTTGCAGTGAACCGATATTATGCCACTGCACTCCAGCCTGGGCAACAGAGCAAGACTCTGTCTAAAAAAACAAAAGAAATACACACAGGGAGAACTCTACATAAGGACTGGAGTTATGCTGCCACCAGAAGCTAGAAGAGAGGCTTGAAACAGATCCTGTCCCAGTTGCTTCAGAGAAAGCATGCCTCTGCCCTTAGATTTCTAGCCTCCAGAACAGGGAGACAATAAATTTCTGTTATTTAAGCCACTCAGCATATGTCACTCTGTGGCAGCAGCCTTAGCAAACAGATGTCATAAGAAAATTCGCAGCTCAGGTTTACTAAGTACCTACCAGGTGCTGTTCTAAACACTCTGCGTGAATAAACTCATTTAATCCTTATAAAGTCCACTCTAGGATCTAGGTACTATCATTATACCCTTTTTACAGTGTGGACACCAAGGTTCTAAGAGGTTAATGAGCTTACCCAGTATCACATAGCCAGAGCCCTCTCTCTCACCACTAGTGTATGAGGAGCTATTATTAACAGTAATTACAATAAGAGCTGGCGTGGTGGCTCACGCCTGTAATCCCAGCACTTTGGGAGGCCAAGGCGGGTGGATCACTTGAGGCCAGGAGTTTGAGACCAGCCTGGCCAACATAGTGAAACCCCGTCTCTACTAAAAATAGAAAAATAAGCCGGGCATGCTGGCATGCGCCTGTAATCCCAGCTACTTGAGAGGCTGAGGCAGGAGAATTGCTTGAACTCAGGAGACACAGGTTGCAGTGAGCCGAGATCGTGCCACTGAACTCCAGCCTGGGCGACACAGCAAGACTCCATCTCAAAAAAAAAAAAAATTAGTAATTACAATAAGAACAGTAGTAGTCCACTGAACCAAACACTGCCCTATGTCCTTTACAGATATAATACAAAAGTCCTCTGAAGTAAGTGTTATTATTTCCAGTATGAAGGAGGAACCTGAATCTCAGAGAGATTAAGAAAATCGCCCAAAGTCACACGGTTAAGAGTGCTGAGATTAGGCCGGGCACGGTGGCTCATGCCTGTAATCCCAGCACTTTGGGAGGCCGAGGCGGGTGGATCACCTGAGGTCAGGAGTTTAAGACCAGCCTGGCCAAGCTGGTGAAACCCCATCTCTACTAAAAATAAAAAAAAAATTAGCTGGCCATGGTGACAGGTGCCTGTAATCCCAGCTACTTGGGAGGCTGAGGCAGGAGAATCACTTGAACCCAGGAAGTGGAGGTTGCAGTGAGCCAAGATCACCTGGACAACAAAGCGAGACTCTTGTCTCATAAAAAAAAAAAAAGGAAGAAGAATGCTGAGATTATATCTAATTGCTAACTTAAGGGGATATACAATGAAAACCTGTTTTTACTAAAACTTTAAGAACAAGTTAATTTTTTTTTTTTCTTTAATGAGACAAGAGACAAGGTCTGGCTCTATCACCCAGGCTGGACTGCAGGGGCGCAATCACAGTTCACTGCAACCTCCACCTCCCAGGCTCGAGCCATCCTCCCACCTAGGCCTCTCAAGTAGCTGCAACTACAGGTGCACACCACCATGCCTGGCTAATTTTCTTTTGTATTTTTAGTAGAGATGGGGTTTTGCCATGTTGCCCAGGCTGTTCTCAAACTCGTGTGCTCCAGCGATCTGCCTGTTCAGCCTCCTAAAGTGCTAGGATTACAGGCGTGAGCCATCGCGTCTGGCCAAGTTAAATTTTTTAATGCCTGACTTTGCAGTTCAATACTAGAAATATACATCTATAAATTCAAAATTCTTGAAGATCCCAAGAGAACACATGTCCTAGATTATGGGCCCTTTTGCGTGTGTATCCCCTCAACCACTGTTCAAGAACTATTCTCTCGGCTGGGCACGGTGGCCCACGCCTGTAATCCCAGCACTTTGGGAGGCCGAGTTGGGCGGATCATGAGGTCAGGAGATCGAGACCATCCTGGCTAACACGGTGAAACTCCGTCTCTACTAAAAATACAAAAAATTAGCCGGGCGTGGTGGCGGGCGCCTGTGGTCCCAGCTACTCGGGAGGCTGAGGCAGGAGAATGACATGAACCCAGGAGGCACAGTTTGCAGTGAGCCGAGATTGCGCCACTGCACTCTAGCCTAGGTGACAGAGTGAGGCTCCGTCTCAAAAAAACAAAAACAAAAACAAAAAAACTATTCTCTCAGTTAGAACCCTTGCCATTTCTCTGACTTCCAGACACAGAAAGAGAAGAAAAGGAAGGATTGAGATGCTGTTCTTTAAAATTTTTTTTTTTTTTTGAGACGGAGTCTCCCTCTGTCGCCCAGACTGGAGTGCAGTGGCACGATCTCGGCTCACTGTAAACTCCGCCTCCCGGGTTCACGCCATTCTCCTGCCTCAGCCTCCCAAGTAGCTGCAACTACAGGCGCCTGCCACCACGCCCAGCTATTTTTTTGTATTTTTAGTAGAGACGGGGTTTCACCGTGTTAGCCAGGATGGTCTCGATCTCCTGACCTCATGATCCGCCCGCCTCGGCCTCCCAAAGTGCTGGGATTACAGGCGTGAGCCACTGCGCCCAGCTAAAATTTTCAATTTTCTATTTAATTTTTAAAATCTGATACAAACATCAGAAAGTGTAAAAAGATATAATGCAATGAGAAGTCTCCTTCCTACTCTGTCCTCTACCTGAACAATTCCTAGACCTAACAGGTAACCAGTGCCACCATTTTCTTATTTATTCTTCTAAAGGTTTGTGTTGTTGCTGTTGTTTGAGACAGAGTCTCGCTTGGTCAGCCAGGCTGGAGGACAGCGGCGTGATCTCAGCTCACTGCAAGCTCCGTCTCCCGGGCTCAAGCAATTCTCCTGCCTCAGCCTCCCAAGTAGCTGGGATTACAGGTGTGTGCCACCATGCCCCAGCTAGTTTTTATATTTTCAGTAGAGACGGGGTTTCACCATATTGGCCAGGCTGGTCTCAGACTCCTGACCTCAGGTAATCCACCCACCTTGGACTCCCAAAGTGCTGGGATTACACGTGTGAGCCACCATGCCCAGCCCTAAAGATCTTTTTTTTTTTTTTTTGCATACATACACCAATGCAAATTATCTTTTTCTCCTGTTTTTTTTTTTCCAAAAAACACAAAGGGTATCAAATCATACATACTGTTCTGCATCTTGCTTTCATCACTTAACTGTCTGCCTTGCAGATCTTTCTATATCATATTAAATTATGTTTTAATTCTCTCGTTTTGCTTGTCAAGAACAGTTTTTACTTCATTTCACCATAGTTCAGTCTAGCACACAAGGCATCCAGCAGCCCTAAGAACTACCTGAAACAACTGATGATGGCTCCATGCTACACACTAAAGACCCTGTATCTTTTCTCTCCTCCTCATCTTCATTTCACTCTTTTCTCCGACTCACTCAATTCTCCTTCCTTTCCCTATTCCTCTCCCATCTCACCCACTCCTTAGCCCTAACCCTGACAACTAGACCCTAGTAACATCACTGACATTGCTTAGTCGTGGCTAGAAATATTCAGGCTTTAAAAAGGTACAGACCCCTAACACAGAGAAAAAGGGATAAATAATAATTTCCATGAGAACTTCTAATTAACGAGAGTGCCTTAAATTGAGGAGTTTTGGCTTGGAGTTATTCTTCCTTGTTACTTGCCTCCTCTGGCATTTTCATTTGTGAAGACTGAGTGAGTGTGACGCTATTTTCTATACGCATGGAAACAAGCACATACTCAGTCTAACATTTACGCAATGCCTGACAGAACGACAGAGTTCATTCTACAATAAGATAATTGGAAACAAAATATAAGATCTATATAAAATAAACATTTGGGCTCCAAAATATGCACTTTAATTAACCTATCATTTCTTTTTACTTAAATTAAGTAGCTCCAATCTGAAACTACATCTTAGAAATGTTTTAAGGATATTCACCAATGAAAAAGAGAATAAAGTTCCCTCTCCCCACTTTTATTTTCCAGCCCACAAACTCAATGCTATCCTCCCCGCAAAAAGGACCTTTTTTTCTGACCAGACGAACACTGTAATTTTTAAGGTTTCTAAGTAATAAAAATAGGAAGAAAACATTACCCCCCAAAATTGGTTTACACTTAGAAGATGTTTCCCACTGAGCAAAGGATTGGTAAGGAACATAATATTAAGGCAACCACCTAACTGCATTCTTAAGTAGTAACAGGTGGTAACTCACGATATGGAGCTGATTTCCTTTCTCTATTCCTGCCATGCCAGAGACCTCTAGTAGAACTTCTGAGGTTACTGTATTACAACCCAGGTTCAGAGAGATTTAGAGGTAAAACCTTAAACACTGGAAATATCTTTAAAAGTAGGGCTTTGTGTACCAAATACATTCGTTAAAACCTAGGAAACTATAAAATGAAATCCAATGTATTGATCTCAATCCCCTTGCCTGCTTCCTAAAGAGGACAGAGGCCACCAACACTGGTGCTCAACACTTGCTAAGTCGAAACACTCTTACACAGGTCCTCTGATTCTTAACGGGTTCAGAACTTCTGGTTGCATTCCCCATGCAACCCCTCCAACTCTACAGGGAGAATGCTGGAAAAACTGTGTCACTTTGGCTTCCTGTATATTAATATAAGCACTCTTATCCAGCAATAGCAGCTGAAACATAAATGAAGATGAGAACTCAGCCTACATGACCTAAGATTTCCCACAAGTCCAGATATTTAGGTTACACACACTGCACTATTGTCTGATTTCTCCTCTGCATCAATCTGGAAGTCCACAGAGCAGATTAGCACCCAACAATCTTAACTAAGCTAGTATCCTACTCTGAAGAAAGGCGAAGCTGGTGGAGGGTTTCCAAGACTCCTTATCCTTCTCTGTCCTTCCTCCCATCCCCTCCTTACGTCTTTTCTGTTTGTTTTTATTTAATTTTTTTTTTAATGTATTTTTAGTCACAAGAAAATCAAAGAAGCCACCTACTTAAGTCTTAAGCTCTGCCCTTTGCTTAGTCCTAATGGAGAGTTCTTTGGCCATCTATGTACAAGAGATTAGAGGAGCCAAAGAGACTGGAGAACCACATCAATGGGAGCTTTTTCATCTAAAGGTCATCTGTCCACACTGTCCAAATGAGGTTTACCCTGTGAAATAAAACTTGGTGTAAGTGCTACCTGCTGAGAAAAATAGTATGAAATGTCACACAAAGGACTGGGGTGCAGCAGGAGGACTCTGAAAGAGTCATACGTGTAAACCAGCAGGTCTTAGAATGCCCTAATATACTATATGAAGTTTCAGAGTAAACAAATGGTTAATGACACATCTTTTGTAACACATGAATCAGCTACTGATTTGCAAGAGTGGGACACACCCTAGTACCTATGACTCTAAAGTACCTGTTTGAAAAGTGGACCTAGATGTTTGAATTGCCAACCCATCCTAAGACCGGAACATAATTTTACAACTATGTAAGTTGCCATAATTTAAAGTTAAAAAGATCACTGCCTTTCATTATAATGGAAGTTAATTTGAGAACTTCATTAAAACATTCACACCGATAATCAAAGAACAGTAGAGATACAAAGTAAAATATAGCCAATCAATCCTAGGAAGCAAACACAAGAGGCAAGAGAAATGGCAGGTAAAGGAAGTGAAGAATAGCAAATTCAAAAACTACAATATTCCCAATTCTAAAGAAAAATGAATAAAATGAGGCTGGTAATGAAAAAATAACACATCTTACCTTAAGAGGCATCCAAGTAGCATTCATAGTGTCAGGATATAAAGACAATACTCAGAAATGAGCAAGAAGTCTTAGTAATTCCCTCGGTTACCAAGTATAAGCAGGTAGGAAAATCTTTTGTTTCGAGAAGGTATCTGAAAGAGAGGATTTTCATTTAGACTAAAAAATAATCAAGACAATGCAAATAGTTTAAGCTACCTGGGCAGGGATTTTGAAGTACTATTTGCCTCATCGCACTAAAAAAGTATAGAAAATACAGTCCCCTTTAGAAAAGGGCAAATGTGTGTCTCCATATATATGTGTGTAGAAACATACTTTACATAAAAAGAGAAATAAATATGTAACACGTATTTTAGATAATGTAAAATTGCTTATCAAACAATTAGCCAAAATCCCAGAGAGAATAAAGTAATTTTCCAGGGTACTTCATAAACACTAAACGTGATTTGTTAACTAACCGTCTAAAGAAAGACCCTTGCCACATTTAATTATATTTAGTAAAGTAAAACTTCTCTAATCATCCCGACTGTCCCAAGATTATGCTTAAGTTTCAGAGTCAATTCCACATGAAAAGTAAAACCTATTCTTGACTGAAGTACTAGAAACAAATAAAAGACCCTTCTTCCCCAGAGATCGTTAAAAGCAGACCGAGCAACTTAATTTTGAGGGTGGGAGGAAGGTAAATTTGCCTGGAGGCAGGAGGATGGACTAAATGACCTCTGGTAGGATCCTCGTTCAAGTCCTGGGCCTGTATACAATTCCAGCTTAACCAGTTACTGCTTCGCTTAAAATGGAGGCTTGCCTGCGTAGGGACAAAAATAACAGCACCCACTTCTTAAAAATAAATGTCGAAAAGTACCCCTTTTTAAATAAAAATAAAAAATAAACACCTCTGGAGTGGATGTGTTCTTGCTATGCGTTTGTCACTGAGGCTTCGAAGACTTGGCATCACTTTCCTTACCGCTCACCGGATTTTGGGGGAGGAGCGGGGGGCGACAGTTTGACTCTTGACCCAAGTCTCAGGCGGACTTCAGAGCCCCACAGGGGCCCCCAACTCCAGAGCCAGAGGGAGCGGAGAGGCGAGAGCCCGAGATCGCACCTCCCCCCACCGCGGACCCCAGTCCCAAACCCACCCCTCACCTCCCCGCAGTGGGGCGCCTCCTTCTGCCCCATTCCCATTGTTAGGGAGGGCAGAGCGCGGGGTGGGCTCAGGGCAGGGGCGCCCGCGGCCGTTGCCCGGCTCGCTTCAGGAGGGGCGCCCCGCGGGATGCGGCTTCCCTTCCTCTCCGCGTCGGTCCGTCCCACCTCGGCTCGGCCTGGCGCCCCGAGGTCCGCTCCGCGCCCCCGGCCGCGGCCCCGGCCCGCCCCCCGGGCAGCCAGGCCCTCAGGCCAGTCGGCCGGCAGCCGGCGTCCCAGGCCTACGAGTGGGCGCTGGGCGGGGGTCCCCGTGCCCCACACACGCGTCCCCTCTCCCCCAGCCCCGCCGCTTCCAGGGCCCTCGGCGGCGCCCGCTCCCCGGGCCCCGCGGCCCCCCGCCTCCCAGCCGGGCCGCTCCCTCGAGCTCGTCGGGTCAGGGACACCTCCTCTACCTCACCATCACCCTGGCCCACTCGTGCCCCCACCCCCAGGGGCACCAGTGCCAAAGGCAGCTCCCCCAGCCCCGGACCTACCTGCACGGTTCAACCAAGCCTAGAAGTGGGGGCGGGGAATCTTCCGCCCTCCTCTGGCGCCCATTGGCCCTTCAGGGGCACATCGTGAGCGCCATTGGCTGAGCAATGGTGTCCGTCAGAGCGATGGGGCGGGACAGAAGGGGGAGAGGGATGCTGGTGCCTTGGCGTCTCTGTCTCTGTGTATCTCGTTGTCTCTGTCTCTGTCTCGGCCCTTGGAAACGAGAGGCTTTTGGCTGAGAGGACTAGAAGGGGGCCTGAGGTGGGAGGAATAGGAATAGGAATCCTGACAGAGCGTCACGCCAGTTGGCCACTCTGAACGCCCTACCTAAGTCCCCTTTAGGTTCTCTTCTCCATCACCCCCAACCCCTGCCCCTCACCCCTCGAGGTTCTTTCATCCAGGAAGCGACGTGATGAAAACTCCAGGCCGGAAGGCCATAGGGAGAGATGTTATATATGTATATAAAATATACACATAAAAATGTTTATATATAAACTCAACCAGATATCAGTTCACTAGGGCCTGGAAAGGAAAGGGCACACATCTCACAGACAGGGAAGGACTTGAGATAGAGCCGGTAGAAGAAGGAATCAAAAATCACTCTAAGAGCTGGCAACAGTGGTTACCTCCTGGGAGAGGAACTGAGTGCCTAGGGAACCAGTGGGCGGAAGACTTACATATCTCGGCATATCATTTGTATCCATTGATTTTTGCACCATTCATCAAGATTCCAATTTAAAGAAAAGGATTTAAATGTTTAAATAAGGTCGCAAAACCAGGGGACAGACAAGATAATTGGGCAGGAAAATTGGCGCAACATGCAGATTTGGGGAGGAATCTTAGCTTTTAATATGTTCAGCTCCCGGTAACAGGGTTTTGTAAAACCCAGTGAAGGTGTCCCAGAGGCAACTGAAGTTATGGAACTTGAGAGAGGGTAGACAATCAGGACTAGAGAAGATGCAGGGTCCTCTGCCTAAAGATAGTGATCTATGACATGCTAAAGGATAAACTCCCAAAGAAGGGTAATAAGACACCCACAGTAAAAGGTAGGAGGACGAAAAAGAAGGTCAGTGAGGTAAAAGAAACAATATTAAAGAGGCATGAAAATTAAGGGAGGAAGGGTCTGTGGAAAATAGAATAATAAAACTATGAGAGAGGCCGGGCACGGTGGCTCACACCTGTAATCCCAGCACTTTGGGAGGCCAAGGCGGGTGGATCACCTGAGGTCAGGAGTTCGAGACCAGCCTGCGCAGCATGGTGAAACCCGATCTCTAATAGAAATGCAAAAAAAAAATTAGCCAAGCGTGGTGGCGCGCCTCTGTAATCCCAGCTACTGGAAAGGCTGAGGTGGGAGAATTGCTTGAACCGGGAGGCGGAGGCTGCAGTGAGCCAAGATCGCGCCACTGCACTCCAGCCTGGGCGACACAGTGAGACCCTGTTTCAAAAAAAAAAAAAAAAAAAAAAAAACAACAAACAAACTGTGAGAGCCTCATAGGTCTTACCTCTTTACCTCTTTAGGCTCTGGTAACCATGGGACAATAAGAATGAAAGCCAAGGCCGGGCACGGTGGCTCACGCCTGTAATCCCAGCATTTTGGGAGGCCAAGGTGGGCGGATCACAAGGTCAGGAGATCAAGACCATCCTGGCCAACATGGTGAAACCACGGGCATGGTGGCGCATGCCTGTAATCCCAGCTACTCGGGAGGCTGAGGCAGGAGAATTGCTTGAACCAGGGAGTCAGAGGTTCCAGTGAGCCGATATCACGCCACTGCACTCCAGCCTGGATGACAGAGTGAGACTCCGACTCAAAAAAAAAAAAAAAAAAAAAAAAAACAACACCTTTATCGATTAAGAATCTTTTTTCTGAGTTTATTAATTCTATTTAAATCAACCCCAGAAAACACCTTCAACACAGCCTCTCATTTCATATCTGTAAAATGGGGCAAAAAAAAAAATAGTTCCTACCCTTTAGAGTTGTTGTGAAGATTAAATTAGTGAATACATATGATGGATTTTTTTTTCTTTTTTCTTTTTTATGAGACACAGTCTCGCTCTGTCTCCCAGGCTGGAGTGCAGTGGCACTATCTCAGCTCACTGCAAGCTCCGCCTTCCGGGTTCACGCCATTCTCCTGCCTCAGCCTCCTGAGTAGCTGGGACTACAGGCGTCCGCCAGCATGCCCGACTAATTTTTTGTTATTTTTAGTAGATACGGGGTTTCACCGTGTTAGCCAGGATGGTCTCAATCTCCTGACCTCGTGATCCGCCCGACTTGGCCTCCCAAGTGCTGGGATTACAGGCATGAGCCATGGCGCCCGGCCTGTGTGATGGATTTTTTAAGAGCCTGACTGGCGGGGTGAGGTGGCTCATGACTGTAATCGCAGCACTTTGAGAGGCTGAGGCAGGTGAATCACTTGAAGCCAGGAGTTCGAGACCAGCCTGGGCAACATGGCGAGACCTCGTCTCTACAAAAACACACACACAAAAATTAGCTGGGTATGATGGTGCATGCCTGTAGTCCCAGCTACTCAGGAGACTGAGGTGAGGGTCGCTTGAGCCTGGGAGGCAGAGGTTGCAGTCAGCCGAGATCTCACCACTGCATTTCAGCCTGGGTGACAGTGTAAGAACCTGTCAAAACAACAACAACAAAAAAAACAAAACAACAACAACAAAAAAACGCACGAAAAAAACCACATAAGCTCCTTGAGGGCAGAAACTGTCCCCTAGTCTTCTATATTTTATTTCACACAATGTACAGAAGACTAAATGAATAATTGTTAGCTGGTTTTTTTTTTTAAAGGGGATAAGATCAGTTACAATGTCTTTTTCCTCAGTCAATCACATAAGTATCTAAAATGACATTCCAAAGTAAGGACAGGAGTTTAAATCCTGAACTATGGTATCTAAAGTAAACTTGAACTTTCCTTATTTTTAAAAAATTTTGGCCGGGCGCGGTGGCTCACGCCTGTAATCCCAGCACTTTGGGAAGCTGAGGCGGGCAGATCACAAGGTCAAGAGATCTAGACCATCCTTGCCAACATGGTGAAACCCCATCTCCACTAAAAATACAAAAATTAGCTGGGCGTGGTGGCACGGACCTGTAGTCCTAGCTACTTGGGAGGCTGAGGCAGGAGAACCGCTTGAACCCGGGAGGAGGAGACTGCAGTGAGCCGAGATCACGCCACTGCACTCCAGACTGGCGACAGACTGTCTCAAAAAAAAAAAAAAAAGAAAAAGAAAAAAGAAAAGAAAAAAATTCCATACATAGAATTCTGTGTGGCATTTTAGAGAAAATCATGGTGACTAGAGACACCAGGTGAAATTTTTTTTTTTTTTTTTTTGGTGACACAACCCCAGGAGATCCTGTGAACATGTGTCCCTTGACCAGGTGAATTTCAGGAGCTTGCACTAGTCCCAGGTTAGCTGGCACCAGGTTGGCCCTAGTTTGAGTGCCTTCCACATACCAGGTACTGTGCTGGAGAAGTAACATCAAAAAGGAAAATCAAATTTCATCTTCAATAAGCAATCACAATACACTGTGATGAGAGTTAGGGTGAAGGAGGTTCAGGTTACCATGGGCTTATATTAGGAGGGCAAATTCTGTCTTCAAGTCTTTTTGCTTCAACAGTAGCGTTTAGATCTTGTGGGCTGGGCATGGTGGCTCTAGCCTGAAATCCCAGCACTTTGGGAGGGTGAAGTGGGCAGACTGCTTGAGCCCAGGAGTTGCAGATTAGCCTGGCAACATGGCGAAACCCCGTCTCTACAAAAAATACAAAAGTCAGCCAGGCATAGTGGTGCCTGCCTGTAGTTTCAGCTACTTGGGAGGCTGAGGTAGGAGGATCGCTTGACCCCAGGAGTTCAAGGCTGCAGTGAGCTACCATCGAGCCACTTCACTTCAGCCTGGGCCGCAGAATAAGACCCTGTCTGAAAAAAAAAATCTTGTGATATAATAACAGCTTGTGCACTCTTCGATAGCTCAGCTGGTAGAGCAGAGGGCTGTAGACTGCATAGATAATAATAACAGTTTGCGTTTTTGAGTCAAAGATGATACCCCAGAATCATTATCGAAAATAATGGTTGATCCATTCACCTGTGCCTATGACTGTGAGCCACATTGTGACCAATCTGTGAGCAACATGGGTGGGAATGCAGTTTGGGGCCATGGAACTCACTTAACAGGAAGTTCCAATAGCAGTGGATTTACCATGTTGCGGCTGTAGGATCTTGGACAAATATTTAATGACCTCTGTCTCTCAGTTCTCTCAATAATAAAACATCCCTCCGAGAGTTGCTGTAAAGGTTAACATAGGGGGAGTCTTGCAAATAGTAGGTGCTAAAATCCTGTCTTGAAAAAAAAAAAAAAATATATATATATATATATATATATATATATATATGAAGAGATGAGATCTTCAATTGTACAGACTGTCCCTGTACCCATTCATTTGCATTTCTTTTCCTTTACAATAATACATATCTATGATTTCCTTTCATTCCCACTGTCATCAATTTAGTTAGATTACTGGGCAGAGATCACCAGTGGGGCTAGAGTAAAATGAAAATAAATGTACATTGACTCTAGGTATTCCTAAGTAATAGCACAGTTTACTGTGTTCTCCCTCATAAATCCTGGTAGCTGAATGTTGCCTGCTTTTAGCAGTTACGTTTCTGCTCATCTCACCCTCAATGTTCATTAAGAAAATAGTTATTGAATGGCCAGGCTCACTGGCTCACGCCTGTAATCTATTACAGGCGTGAGCCACCGTACCCAGCCTTGGTTATCATATTTCTAATTTATAATAGTTTTTCTTGTTTTCTTATTGTTCATTTTTTATAGCATCCTGTTCTTATATTATGGATATATATCTTCAGGTCTCGCTGAAGAAATAAAGAGGTGTATGTGTATATATGTGTGTGTGTATTATCTTTATTTTTATTTTTTGAGATGGAATCTTACTCTGTCGCCCAGGCTGTAGTGCAGTGGCGCTTTTGGGAGGCTGAGGTGGAAGGATCACTTAAGGCCAATATTTGGAGACCAGCCAGGGCAACATAACAAGACCCCCATCTCTACAAAAAAATTAAAAATTAGCTGGCCATGGTGGTGAGTGCCTGTAGTCTCAGCTACTTGGGAGGCTGAGGCAGGAGGATTGCTTGAGCCCAGGAGGTTGAGGGGGGAGGTGAGCCATGATTGAGCCACTGCACTCCAGCCTAGGTGACAGAGTGAGACCCCATCTCTAAAAAAAAAGAGAGAGAGAAATAAAATAGTTATTGAGCACCTACTGTATGTCAGGTCCAAGACCCTAAAGATGTAAAGATGAATAAGGTGGTGACCCTGCCTTCCAGTTTCCACAAAGGTGGGGAATATGGATAAAAGCAGACAAAGCCATTGCCATGGGATAAGGGCAGAGAATAGCATGTGCAAATTATAGAAGGTGAGGGATAATATACCACTTTCCAGAAACTGATGGTTCAATGAGGCTAAAGCATGGAGTTCAAGAAAGGAAACCAGATGAGATTAACTGCAATGTGGTTCTCAAACTTAAATGTGCATAAAAACTGGCCTTGTTGACTGGGCACAGTGACTCACACCGGTAATCCAAGCACTTTGGGAGGTCGAGGCGGGCGGATCGCTTGAGGTCAGGAGTTCGAAACTAGCCTGGCCAATGTGGTGAAACCCCATTTCTTTTTTTTTCTTTTTCTTTTTTTTTTTTTTTTTTTTTTGAGACAGAGTCTCGCTGTCGTCCAGGCTGGAGTGCAGTGGCGTGATCTCGGCTCACCGCAAGCTCCGCCTCCTGGGTTCACGCCATTCTCCTACCTCAGCCTCCCGAGTAGCTGGGACTACAGGCACCCGCTACCATGCCCGGCTAATTTTTTTGTATTTTTAGTAGAGACGGGGTTTCACCATGTTAGCCAGGATGGTCTCGATCTCCTGACCTCGTGATCCGTCCGCCTTGGCCTCCCAAAGTGCTGGGATTACAGGCGTGAGCCACCGCGCCCGGCCTGAAACCCCATTTCTACTAAAAATGCAAAAATTAGCTGGGTGTGGTGGTGCACACCTATAGTCCCAGCTGCTCAGGAGGTTGAGGCGGGAGAATCACTTCAACCTGGGAGGTGGAGATGGAGTAAGCCAAGATCAAGCCACTGCACTCCAGCCTGAGTGACACAGCGAGACTCTGTCTCCAAAAAACAAACAAACGAACAAAAAACTGGCCTTGTTTACATAGTCTCGCAAGCTCCAAGCCTAGAGATCTTGATGGAGCGGGTCAGAGTGCTGCTGCTCGGAGGGCTACACTCTGAGAACCACCGATGGAGAAGAAGGGCGGGGTCAACTTGCAGAGCTGTGCTGGGAGGTGTGTGCTGCAGCCTTGAGGGGGTGAAGAACCTTTGAGAGGTTTTAAGCCTGCAAGAGATGTGGTCACATTTATATTTTAGAAAAATCACCCTGTGTGCAATATGAAAAATGAAACAGAGAGGGCAAGACTGGAGTCAGGGAGAGCAGTTAGGAGGCTGCTGCAGAAACCCAGGCAAGAAATCATAAAGACCTGAAATAAAACAATGCCAGTGGGGAACGGGGAAGAGAGGCCAAATCCAAGGGGTATTTAGGAGCCAGAATTGAGAGGGTGTGATGAGTGTTGATGGGATACAGGACAGGATCCTGAGATGGCTTGCAGGTCTTCAGCTTTGAGTGACCCATGGAAGCGAAGGAAGATGGGAAGGAGGGTGCCTATCACACAGAGAGAATGAAGGTTTGAGAGGCAAGTGTAGCTTTTGACATTTTGCTTTTGAAATGTCTATGGGACATCAGAAATAATCTCAAAAGACCACAAGTCAGGCAGGGCGCGGTGGCTCACGCTTGTAATTCCAGCACTTTGGGAGGCCGAGGTGGGCAGATCACGAAGTCAGGAGCTCAAGACCAGCCTGGCCAACATGGTGAAACCCCGTCTCTACTAAAAATTCAAAAATTAGCTGGGCATGGTGGCGGGCACCTGTAATCCCAGCTACTTGGGAGGCTGAGGCAGGAGAATCACTTGAACCTGGGAGGCGGAGGTTGCAATGAGCTGGGATCGAGCCATCGCACTCCAGCCTGGGCAACAAGAGTAAAACTCTGCCTAAAAAAAAAAAAAAACCATGAGTCACTGGTTAACAGCCTGAGCGGCAGAAATCTCACAGTTCTGAGTCTGAATCCTATCTAGCCTGGCTCTGAAACTCACAATCTGGAGCTGGGGCTTGGTGCAGTGGCTCAGGCCTGTAATCCCAGCACTGTGGGAGGCTGAGGCAGGTGGATTGCTTGAGGCCAGGAGTTTGAGAGCAGCCTGGCCAACATGGTGAAACCCCATCTCTACTAAAAATACAGTTAGCCAGGCATGATGGTGTGCACCTGTAATCCCAGCTACTTGGGAGGCTGAGGCACGACAATCGCTGGAGCCCAGGAGGCAGACGTTGCAGTGAGCCGAGATTGTGCTACTGCACTCCAGCCTGGGCAACACAGCAACACTGTCTAAAAAAAAAAAAAAAAATGCTGGGCGCGGTGGTTTACGTCTGTAATCCCACTTTTAGAGGCTGAGGTGGGAGGATCACCTGAAGCCAGGAGCTCAAGACCAGCCTGGCCAACATGGTAAAACCCGCCATCCCCTCCCTGCCATGCCCCATCTCCCCCAACACTCTCCCACCCTGTCTCTACTAAAAATACAAAAATTAGCCGGGTGTGGTGGCACACACCTATAATCTCAGCTACATGGGAGGCTGAGGCATAAGAATTGCTTGAGCCCGGAAGGTGGAGGTTGCAGTGAGCCAAGATCGCACCACTGCACTCCAGCCTGGGTGACAGAGCAAGACTCTCTCTTAAAAAAAAAAAAAAAAAGAATTTTTTTTTTAAATATAGAGATGGGCTTTCTGTGTTTCCCAGGCTATACTCAAGCTCCTGGGCTCAAGCTATTCTCCTGCCTCTGCCTTCAACCAGCCTCAATCCTCCAATTTTCTTATTTTTTATATTTTTCAACACCTTTTAAATTCTACATTCTGGCCAGCTGCAGTGGCTCATGCCTATAATCCAGCACTTTGAGAGGTTGAGATATGAGACTTGCTTGAGGCCAGGAGTTTGAGGCTTGCAGTAAGCTAGAATGGCGCCACGGCACAGCAGCTTGGGAGACAGAGCAAGACCTTGTCTCAAAAGAAAAAGAATTTAAATACTACATTCTAGGAGATTTCTTCAACCTTCAAATTTTGTATTGAATTTTTAATTTTGGCTTTTATTTATTTATTTTTTTTTTGAGACAGGTTCTCACTCTGTCACCCAGGTTGGAATGCGGTGGCTTGATCTCAGCTCACTGCAACCTCTGCCTCCTGGGTTCAAGTGATTCTCCTGCCTCAGCCTCCTGAGTAGCTGGGATTGCAGGCGTGGTCCAGCATGCCCAGCTTATTTTTGTATTTTCAGTAGAGACGGGGTTTCACCATATTGGCCAGGTTGGTCTCAAACTCCTGGCCTCAAGTGATCCACATGCCTCAGCCTCCCAAGGTGCTGAGATTACAGGTGTGAGCCACTGCACCCAGCCTTGGCTATCATATTTCTAATTTATGATAGTTTTTCTTGCTTTCTTATTGTTCATTTTTTATAGCATCCTGTTCTTATGTTATGGATATATATCTTCAGGTCTCGCTGAAGAAATAAAGAGGTGTATGTGTATATGTGTGTGTGTATTATTTTTATTTTTATTTTTTGAGACGGAGTCTCACTCTGTTGCCCAGGCTGGAGTGCAGTGGCACAATCCCAGCTGGCTGCAACCTCTGCTTCCCAGGTTCAACTGATCCTCCCACCTCAATCTCCCAAGTAGCTGGGATTACAGGCACCTGTCACCATGCCCGGCTAATTTTTCTTTCTTTGTTTCTTTTTTTTTTTTTTTTTTTTTTTTTTGAGATAGAGTCTCTGTTGCCCAGGACGGAGTGCAGTGGTGTGATCTCGGCTCACTGCAAGCTCCACCTCCTGGGTTCAAGAGATTCTCCTGCCTCAGCCTCCCAAGTAGCTGGGATTACAAGCGTGTGCCACCACACCCAGCTAATTTTTGTATTTTTAGTAGAGATGGGGTTTCACCATGTTGTCCAGGCTGATCTCAAACTCCTGACCTCAAATGATCCACCTTCTTCAGCCCGCCAAAGTGCTGGGATTACATGCATGAGCCACCACACCAGCAAAATTTTTGTATTTTTAGTAGAGATAGGGTTTCGCCATATGTGTGTGTGTTTTAAGTTTTTCTGTTTTCATTTCTCTTGGCATATATACCTCGGAATGGAATTACTGGGTCATATGGGAGCTCTGTGTTAAACACTTGTGTCATATCTAAGAAAACTTGCTAATCCAAAGGTCATAAAGATGTATGTCTATGTTTTCCTCTAAGGCCAACATGGTGAAACACTGTCTCTATTAAAAAAATAAAAACTGGGCCGGGCATGGTTGCTCATGCCTGTAATCCCAGCACTTTGGGAGGCCAAGGTGGGTGGATCACCTGTGGTCGGGAGTTCGAGGCCAGCCTGATCAACATGCAGAAACCCCGTCTCTACTAAAAATACAAAAAAATTAGCAGGGCATGGTGGCGCATGCCTGTAATCTCAGCTACTTGGGAGCTGAGGCAGGAGAATCGCTTGAACGCAGGAGGCAGAGGTTGCGGTGAGCCAAGATCGTGCCATTGCACTCCAGCCTGGGCAACAAGAGCAAAACTCGGTCTCAAAAAAAAAAAAAAAAATTAGTTGGGCGTGGTGGCGCGCACCTGTAGTCCCAGCTACTCCAGAGGCTGAGGCAGGAGAATGGCTTGAACCCAGGAGGTGGAGGTTGCAGTGAGCTGAGATCATGCCACTGCACTCCAGCCTGGCAACAGAGCAACAGAGCAAGACTCCATCTAAAAACAAAAAAAAGAGTTTTCTACTTTTCAGTCTAACAAATGTTTTATAAACAAAGGCTTTGTTATATTTTGAGTTAATTTTTATAGATAATATGAGGTGAGGTTTCAACTTCATTCTATTGTGTGTGGGTATCCAGTTGTCCCAGGACCATTGTTTGAAAAGACTTTTTTTTCTACACTTTCTCTCATTGAATTGTCTTGGCATATTTGTTAAAAATCAGTTGACCTTGGCTGGGCACCATGGTTCACACCTGTAATCCCAGTATTTTGGGAGGCCAAGGCAAGAAGACCATTTGAGCCCAGAAGTTCAAAACCCGCCTGGGCAATATAGGCACACTCCATTTCTAAAAATAATTATTAAAAAGATTAGCTGGGCAGGCCAGACATGGTGGCTCACGCCTGTAATCCCAGCACTTTGGGAGGCCAATGCAGGTGGATCACCTGAGGTCAGAAGTTCAAGACCAGCCTGACCAACATGGAGAAACCCCATTTCTGCTAAAAATACAAAATTAGTCTGGAGTGGTGACTCATGCCTGTAAATCCCAGCTACTAGGGAGGCTGAGGCAGAAGAATTGCTTGAACCCAGAAGGCGGAGGTTGTGGTGAGCCGAGATTGCGCCATTGCACTCCAGCCTGGGCAACAAGAATGAAACTCTGTCTCAAAAAAAAAAAGATTAGCTGGGCGTGGTGGCACATGCCTGTGGTCCCAGTGACTTAGGAGGCTGAGGCAGGGGGATCGGGAGACGGAGGCTGCAGTGAGCCTTGATCACTGCACTCCAGCCTGGGTGACAGAGTGAGACCCTGTCTCAAAAAAGAAAAAAAATCAGTTGACCGTAATGTGAGCACTCATTTCTGGACTTTCAATTCTATTCCATTGATCTATATGTCAGTCCTTATGCCAGTGCCCAGGGGCTCAACTACTGGTACTGTGAATTAGATTTTGAATCAAGAAGCGTGAGTCTTCCAATTTTGTTCTTATTTTTCAAGATTGTTTTGTCTATTTGAAGTTCCTTACAATTTAATGTGAATTTTAGAATCAGCTTGTCCATTTTTGCAAAAAAGGTAGTTGGGATTTTGATAGAGATTGTGTTGAGTCTGTAGATCAATTTGGGAGGCATTGCTATGTGAAGAGTAGTAAGTGTTTCAATCCATGAACACACAATGTCTTTTCATGTATTTAAGTTTAATTTCTTTCAATAATGTTTTGTAGTTTGCACTTCCTTGGTTAAATTCATTCCTAAGTTTTTTTTGGTGCCATTACAAATGGAATTGTTTTATTAATTTCATTTTTGGATTGTTCATTTCTAGTGTATAGAAATTCAACTGAGCCAGGTGTAGTGGTGCACCACCTGTAGTCCCAGCTACTTGGGAGGCTGAGTCAGGAGGATTGCTTGTGGCCATGTTTGAGGCTATAGTGCATTATAATTGTGCCTGTAAATGATCACTGCATTCTAGCCTCGGCAACATAGTGCAGTCTTGTCTCTTAAAAAATAAATAAATAAACAACTGATTTTTGTACGTTGATCTTGTATCCTCCAACTTTGCAAAATTAATTTATTACTATTAAGACTTTGTGGCTGGGCACGGTGGCTCATGCCTGTAATCCCAGCACTTTGGGAGGCCAAGGCGGGCAGATCACGAGGTCAGGAGATCGAGACCATCCTGGCCAACACGGTGAAACCCCGTCTCTACTAAAAATACAAAAAATTAGCCAGGCGCGGTGGCAGGCACCTGTAGTCCCAGCTACTTGGGAGGCTGAGGCAGGAGAATGGTGTGAACCCGGGTGGCAGAGCTTGCAGTGAGCCAAGATAGCGCCACTGCAGTCCAGCCTGGGCAAAAGAGTGAGACTCCGTCTCAAAAAAAAAAAAAAAAAAAAGATTTTGCTTTATTTTGTGTTTGGTGTGGATACTTTAGGAACCAAAAGATAAATAAATAAGAACAAGGTCTAGCACTTTGGTCAAATTTATTCCTAAGTGTGTGTTTGTAAACGATATTGTAAATGAATTTTCTTAGTTTCATTTTCAGCTTGCTAATTGTTACTGTATAGAAATACAATTTATTTATTTATTTACTTTTTTTTTTTTTTTTTGAGACAGTCTCGCTCTGTTACCCAGGCTGGAGTGCAGTGGTGTGATCTCGGCTCACTGCAACCTCTGCCTCCTGGGTTCAAGCAATTCTCTTGCCTCAGTCTCCCGAACAGCTGTGATTACAGGTGCGTGCCGCAACCCCCAGCTAATTTTTGTATTTTTAGTAGAGATGGGTTTTCACCATGTTGGTCAGGTTAGTCTCAAGATGTTCTTTTTTTTTTTTTTTTTTATCATTTTATTTATTTATTTTTTAATTTTTATTTTTTTTTAAATTTATTTTTTTATTGATAATTCTTGGGTGTTTCTCACAGAGGGGGATTTGGCAGGGTCATGGGACAATAGTGGAGGGAAGGTCAGCAGATAAACAAGTGAACAAAGGTCTCTGGTTTTCCTAGGCAGAGGACCCTGCGGCCTTCCGCAGTGTTTGTGTCCCTGATTACTTGAGATTAGGGATTGGTGATGACTCTTAACGAGCATGCTGCCTTCAAGCATCTGTTTAACAAAGCACATCTTGCACCGCCCTTAATCCATTTAACCCTGAGTGGACACAGCACATGTTTCAGAGAGCACAGGGTTGGGGGTAAGGTCACAGATCAACAGGATCCCAAGGCAGAGGAATTTTTCTTAGTGCAGAACAAAATGAAAAGTCTCCCATGTCTACTTCTTTCTACACAGACACGGCAACCATCCGATTTCTCAATCTTTTCCCCACCTTTCCTGCCTTTCTATTCCACAAAGCCGCCATTGTCATCCTGGCCCATTCTCAATGAGCTGTTGGGCACACCTCCCAGACGGGGTGGTGGCCGGGCAGAGGGGCTCCTCACTTCCCAGTAGGGGCGGCCGGGCAGAGGCGCCCCTCACCTCCCGGACGGGGCGGCTGGCCGGGCGGGGGGGCTGACCCCCCCCCCACCGGTCAGGTTAGTCTCGAACTCCTGACCTCATGATCTGCTCACCTAGGCCTCCCAAAGTGCTGGGATTATAGGCATGAGCCACTGCGCCAGGCCAATTTTTTTTATATCACTCTTACACCTGCAACTTTGCTGAATTTGTTTACTTGTTCTGACGGTTTTGTGGATTCCTTAGAATTTCCTACATACAAGATCATGTCATATGCAAATACATATGGTTTTATTTCTTCCTTTCTAATTTGTGTGGCTTTTATTTCTTTTTCTTGCTAATTTCCTGGCTAGAAATTTAAGTATAATGTTGAATAGAGGTGGCAAGAGTGAATATCCTTGTCTTCTTCCTGATCTTAGGAGAAAAACTTATAGTCTTTCATCATTAAGTATTACCTGTGGGGCTGGATGCGATGGCTCAAGCCTATAATCACAGCACTTTGGGAGGCCAAGGCGGGTGGATCATTTGAGGTCAGGTGTTCAAGACCAGCCTGGCCAAGATGGTGAAACCCCCATCTCTACTAAAAACATCTCTACTAAAAATATAAAAACTTGGCGGGGTGCAGTGGCTCACACCTGTAATCTCACCACTTTAGGAGGCCGAGGCGGGCAGATCACGAGGTCAGGAGATCAAGACCATCCCGGCTAACACAGTGAAACCCATCTCTACTAAAAATACAAAAAAAAAAAAAAGAAAATTAGCTAGGTGTCGTGGCACACGCCTGTAGTCCCAGCTACTTGGGAGGCTGAGGCAGGAGAATCGCTTGAACCCGGGAGACAGAGGTTGCAGTGAGCCGAGATCACACCACTGCGCTCCAGCCTGGGCGACAGAGCAAGACTCCATCTCAAAAAAAAAAATAAACGTAAATTAGACAGGCATGGTGGTGCGCACCTGTAGTCCTAGCTACTCAGGAGGCTGAGGAAGGAGAATTGCTTGAACCTGGGAGGCAGAGGTTGCAGTGAGTCGAGAGCATGCCACTGCACTCCAGCCAGGGTGACAGAGTAAGACTCTGTCTCAAAAAAAAAAAAAAGGATTTATGGGAAGTAATTAAGGTCAAATGAGGTCATAAAGCTGGGCACTGATCTAATAGAATTAGTGTCTTTATGAGACGAGAACCCAGAGAGCTCCCTAGCTTTCTCTCTGCCACATGAGGCCACTTCAAGAAGGCAAGCCAGGTAATAAAGCCCACGCTGAGGTAGGAGGTGGAACTGGACTCCAGAGATGGGGCTTGGACACCAGACCAAATTGATGACTAGCTGAAACAGGGACAGGGTGAAAGCAGCTTTCCATAAGACACGCTCAACCAGTGCACCATGTCAGCTTACCATTTCCATGGCAGAACCCAGAGTTACCACCCCACCGCCTTTTTTTTGAGACGGAGTCTCACTCTGTCGCCCAGGCTGGAGTGCAGTGGCACAGTCTTGGCTCACTGCAAGCTCCACCTCCCGGGTTCAAGCGATTCTCCTGCCTTAGCCTCCCGAGTAGCTGGGATTACAGGCGCCTGCCACCGCGCCAAACTGATTTTTGTATTTTTAGTAGAGACAGTGTTTCACCATCTTGGCCAGGCTGGTCTTGAACTTTTGACCTCATGATCCACCTGCCTTGGCCTCCCAAAGTGCTGGAATTACAGGCCTGAGCCACTGTGCTCAGCCTACCACCCCTTTCAATGGCAACAACTTGACAACCCAGAAGTTATCAGCCTTTTTCTAGAAACGTCTGTATAGTCTGCCCCTTAATTTGCATGTAATTAAAGGTCAATGTAAATATGACTGCAGAACTGCCCTGAGCTGCTACTCTGGTCACACTACCTACAGGGTAGCCCTGCTCTGCAAGGAGCAGTCCCTCTGCTGTTGCTATAGGCCACTGCTTCAATAAAAGTTGGCATCTAGGCCAGGTGCAGTGGGTAATGCCTGTAATCCCAGCACTCTAGGAGGCTGAGGCGGGTGGATCATTTGAGGCCAGGAGTTTGAGACCAGCCTGGTCAACATGGTGAAACCCCATCTCTACTAAAAATACAAAAAAATTAGTTGGGTGTTTTGGCGCACACCTGCACTCCCAGCTACTCAGGAGGTTGAGGCGGGAGAATCACTTGAACCCAGGAGGCAGAGTCTGCAGTGAGCCACTGCACTCCAGCCTGGGTGACAGAGTGAGACCCTGTCCCGAAAAAAAAAAAAGTTGGCCTCTAACACCTTCGGTTTGCCCTTGAATTATTTCCTGGGTGAAGCCAAGAACCCTCTCAGTCTAAGCCCCAGTTTTGTGGCTTACCTGCCCTGCATCAACACCAGAAACTTAACCCTTTGGGAATCTCGATCTTGGACTTTCTAGCCTCTAGAACCATGAGAAAATGATCTGTATTATTAGGCTACCCAGTCTATGATATTCTGTTGTAGCCTGGGGTGACTAAGACATTGAGCCTGTATGACTTGAATTTTGTTACCTGCTTGGCCCCTTGATGGCATTTCAGTTTGTGACTCTTGGTTTACGTGATCACGAAGCCAAAACTGTTTAGGAAGGAAGCAAAATCAAGACAGATTAAAAATAAAAATAAAAAATAAAAGGCTGGGCACCGTGGCTCACGCCCTCCCAGCACGTTGGGAGGCAAAGGTAGGCAGATAACTTGAGGTCAGCAGTTCAAGACCAGCCTGGCCAACATGATGAAACCACATCTCTACTAAAACTACAAAAATTAGCCAGGCGTGGTGGTGGGCACCTGTAATCCCAGGTATTTGAGAGGGAGGCAGGAGAATCACTTGAACCTGGGAGGTGGAGGTTGCAGTGAGCCGAGATCACACCACTGCACTCCAGCCTGGGTGACAGAGCAAGACTCTCTCTCAAAAAATAAAATAAAATAAAATAAAATAAAATAAAATAAAATAAAATAAAGAGCCGAGCACGCTGGCTCACACCTGTAATCCCACACTTCGGGAGAAAGAGGTGGCAGGATTGCTTGAGCCCAGGAGTTTGATACCAGCCTAGGTAACATGGCAAAATCCCATCTCAATTTTAAAAAAATTTTAAAAAAGAATAATAGGGCTGGGCACGATGGCTCATGCCTGTAATCCCAGCACTTTGGGAGGCCAAGATGGATGGATCACCTGAGGTTGGGAGTTTGCGACCAGCCTGACCAACATGGAGAAACCCCATCTCCACTAAAAATACAATATTAGCAGGTCGTGGTGGCACATACCTGTAATCCCAGCTACTCGGAAGGCTGAGGCAGGAGAATCGCTTGAACCTGGGAGGTGGAGGTTGTGGTGAGCCAAGATCGTGCCATTGCACTCCAGCTTGGGCAACAAGAGTGAAATTCCATCTAAAAAAAAAAAAAGAAAGAAAGAAATAAGGTATTTTACATAAAGATTAAAAAGAAATTAAAACCATTATTTGAAGATAATGGCTTAAACAGAAACTCTGCAAATCCTTAGAATAAGAAAGTTCAGGCCAGGTGTAGTGGCTTGTGCCTGTAATCCCAATGCATTGGGAGGCTAAGGTCGGAGGATTGCTTGAGCCCAGGAGTTTGAGACAAGCCGGGTCAACATAATGAGATCGCATCTCTACAAAAAATTGAAAAATGAGCCAGGTGTGGCAGTGCGTGCCTGTAGTCCTGGCTACTCAGGAGGCTGAGGTGGGAAGGTCACTTGAGCCTGAAGAGTTCAAGGCTACAGTGTTATGATCATGCCACTGCACTGCACTCCAGCCTGGGAGACAGAGCAAGACCCTGAGACCCTGTCTCAAAAAACAAAATAAAAAACCCTCACTATATTGAACACAACATCAATGTTCAATAGCCACTCTCCTTCTCCTTTTCTAATAAAATTCCACTTTTTTGTGTTCCATCCCAGGACCACGATTTATCTAAACTGGTCATTCTGGATCAATAAGTTTGGCTAAAAATAAATAATATCGAAATTGGTCACAGGAAATCTATTCTTTTTTTTTTTTTTTTTTTTTTTTTTCAGACAAAGTCTCACTCTGTCGCCCAGGCTGGAGTGCAGCAGCATGATCTTGGCTCACTGCAACCTCTGCCTCCCGGGTTCAAGCAATTCTCTGCCTCAGCCTCCCAAGTAGCTGGGATTACAGGTGCCTGCCACCACGCCTGGCTAGTTTTTGTATTTTTAGTAGAGATGGGGTTTCACCATCTTGGCCAGGCTGGTCTTGAACTCCTGACCTTGCGTTCTACCTGCCTTGGCTTCCCAAAGTGCTGGGTCTGTCACCCAGGCTGGAGTGCAATGGTGCAATCATGGCTCACTGCAGCCTCAACCTCCCTGGGCTCAGATGATTCTCCCACCTTAGCCTCTCAAGTAGCTGGGATTAAAGGCATATGCCACCATGCCCAGCTAATTTTTCTATTTTTTTTGTAGAGACAGGGCATCCCTACCTTGCCCAGGCTGGTCTTCAACTCCTGGTTTCAAAGGATCCTCCTGCTTCAGCCTCCCAAAGCACTGGGTCTATTATTCCCTTTCATATTCAAACTTAATTCTGCATTTTCAAGGCCTTGAATTTTCAAGGGCAGCTTTTTCTGTCCCTGAACTTAATCTTCAGCTCCTCTCACCTCCTGGGAGGTTGGGGGGTGGGGAAGAAAAGTCCCAACCCTCTAATCCTGCTTTGGTCTTTTGCCGCCAGCCCCCATCCTGAAGCTACCAGTCAATTTGTTTGCATACAAGAAGATATCACTTTGGAGATTCTAAGTGTATACGAGGAAATGAGGTCAAAGACCAAATATATATATTTCACTATATCACACTTCAAACTTTTGTTTACTGTTTCCCTTCTCCTACTCTATTATAAACCTTTGAGGGTGGGGACTGTGAGTTATTTATCTTTATATTCCCAGTGTCAAGAGTGTTTAGCTATAATGGGAATGAATCTCAAAGTTTCTTGAATAAATGACAAGAAGAATCATAGTTGCATGAACTAAATTCATTATTCTCAGTCCTTGAGGTAAATGAATATATTGATATTATGTCTGCTTACTCTTTTTTTGCGAGAGAGAGAAAGAGGAGGGAGGGAGGGAAGGAAGGAAAAAAGGAAGGAAGGCGAAAAGAGTGAAAGAAAAGAGAGAGAAAAAGAGAGAGAAAGAAGGAAGGGGAGGGAAGGAAGGAAAAGAAGGAGGGAAGAAGGGAAAGGGAGGGAGAGGAAGAAAAGAAAGAAGAAGGAAGGAAAGAAAGAAAGAAGAAAAGGAGGGAGGAAGGAACGAAGAAAGGGAAAGAAGGAGGGAGGGAGGGAAATGAAGGAAAGAAAGAAAAAAGAAAGAAAGAAAAAAGAAAAGAAAAGGAGGGAGGAAGGAAGGAGGGAGGGAAGGATGGAAGAAAGGGAAAGAAGGAGGGAGGAAGGGACATGAAGAGAATAAAGAAAGAAAGAAGAAAAGAAAAGAAAAAAGAAAAGAAAAGGGAGGGCTCTGCGGGCGGCGGCGGCGCGGGGAGCCGGTTGCAGGCCGAGATGCTGCAGATGGACCTGATCGACGCGACGGGGGACACTCCCGGGGCCGAGGAGGACGACGACGAGGAGCGCGCGGCCCGGCGGCCGGGAGCGGGGCCGCCCAAGGCCGAGTCCGGCCAGGAGCCGGCGTCCCGCGGCCAGGGCCAGAGCCAAGGCCAGAGCCAGGGCCCGGGCAGCGGGGACACGTACCGGCCCAAGCGGCCCACCACGCTCAACCTCTTTCCGCAGGTGCAGTTGTCTCAGGACACACTGAATAATAATTCTCTGGGCAAAAAGTACAGTTGGCAGGATCGGGTGTCTCGATCATCCTCACCCCTGAAGACAGGGGAGCAGACACCACCGCATGAACCCATTTGCCTGAGCGATGAGCTGCCCCCCCAGAGCAGCCCCGCCCCCACCACAGATCGAGGCACCTCCACCAACAGCCCACGCTGCTGGAGCTGGTGAGCCTGCGGCCGTGCTTCAGAGACTACAGTGACGAGAGTGACTCGGCCATCGTCTACGACAACTGTGCCTCCGTCTCCTCGCCCTATGAGTCAGCCATCGGAGAGGAATATGAGGAGGCCTCCCGGCCCCAGCCTCCTGCCTGCCTCTCCAAGGACTCCACGCCTGACGAACCCGACGTCCATTTCTCCAAGAAGTTCCTGAACATCTTCATGAGTGGCCGCTCCCGCTCCTCCAGTGCCGAGTCCTTCGGGCTGTTCTCCTGCATCATCAACCGGGAGGAGCAGGAGCAGACCCACCGGACCATATTCAGGTTTGTGCCTCGACACGAAGACGAACCTGAGCTGGAAGTGGATGACCCTCTGCTAGTGGAGCTCCAGGCTGAAGACTACTGGTACGAGGCCTACAACATGCGCACTGGTGCCCGGGGCATCTTTACTGCCTATTACGCCATCGAGGTCACCAAGGAGCCCGAGCACATGGCAGCCCTGGCTAAAAACAGTGACTGGGTGGACCAGTTCCGGGTGAAGTTCCTGGGCTCAGTCCAGGTTCCCTATCACAAGGGCGATGTCGTCCTCTCTGCCGCTATGCAAAAGATTGCCACCACCCGCCGGCTAACCGTGCACTTTAACCCGCCCTCCAGCTGTGTCCTGGAGATCAGCGTGCGGGGTGTGAAGATAGGTATCAAGGCCGATGACTCCCAGGAGGCCAAGGGGAATAAATGTAGCCACTTTTTCCAGTTAAAAAACATCTCTTTCCGCGGATATCATCCAAAGAACAACAAGTACTTTGGGTTCATCACCAAGCACCTCGCCGACCACCGGTTTGCCTGCCACGTCTTTGTGTCTGAAGACTCCACCAAAGCCCTGGCAGAGTCCGTGGGGAGAGCATTCCAGCAGTTTCACAAGCAGTTTGTGGAGTACACCTGCCCCACAGAAAATATCTACCTGGAGTAGCCGCGCAGCCCCGCCCTCTGCGTCCCCCGGCCCTCAGGCCAGTGCCAGGACAGCTGGCTGCTGACAGGATGTGGCACTGCTTGAGGAGGGGCACCTGCCACCGCCAGGGGATGAGGAAGTGGGGGCCGCTGGCTCAGGGTAGGGGAGGGTGGGGCAATGGGGAGAGGCAAATGCAGTTTATTGTAATATATGGGATTAGATTCATCTATGGAGGGCAGAGTGGGCTGCCTGGGGATTGGGAGGGACAGGGCTTGGGGAGCAGGTCTCTGGCAGAGAAGGATGTCCGTTCCAGGAGCACACGGCCCTGCCCCATCCTGGGCCATACCTCCCCTGCCAGGGCTCGGGTGCTCTGGCTCCTGCCTTGATGAAGCCCATGTCCTGCCTTGATGAAGCCTGTGCCACCTGCAAGTGCCCGCCCTGCCCCTGTCCCAACACCCACCGAAGAGCCCTGAGCTCAGGCTGAGCCCAGCCACCTCCCAAGGACTTTCCAGTGAGGAAATGGCAACACATGGAAGTGAAGTCCCTGTTCTCAGCTCTGTCATCTGCAGGGCTTCTGGGTGGCTCCTGCCACTGACCTCACTGGCATGCTAGCCTGTGGCAGGCCTAGGACCTCAGCGGGGAGGAGGAGCTGCTGCAAGGCCCTATCCCAGCAGGAGAGGGAGGCTTCCTGACTGACACAGGCTAGCCCCATCTTGGTCCTGTCACCCTGGCCCCAACTATTAAAGTGCCATTTCCTGTCAAAAAAAAAAAAAAAGAAAAGAAAAGAAAAGGGAGGGAGGGAGGGAGGCAGGAAGGAAGGAAGAGAGGGAGGGAGGGAAGGGAGGAAGAAAGGGAAAGAAGGAGGGAGGGAGGGAAATAGAAAGAAAGAAGGAAAGAAAAAGAAAGAAAGAAAGAGAAATAAAATAAAAATTAAAAAACCATAAGGTTAAAGTAAACCCTTTTTCTTCATACAGATTAAAACACATGACTTCAAATTACAGCTTTGCTTCTTAATAGCTTGGTGATGTAGGACGTTATGTAACCTCTCTGTGCCTCAGTTTCCTCATTTATAAAATAGGGCAATAATAATATCTAGCCCATAAGGCATTGTGAGGATTAAATGTGAAATGCTGATCACAAATACCTAGCAGCCCAATAGATACTCACTGTAATAATTATTATTTTTATAATTTCTGCAAAAGTATGGTGATGATTCTTGGGTTAACCTAAAGGCAGATTTTCTTTTATTTCTTCCTGTTTCTTTTCTTTTCCTTGTTCACTTTAAAGAATTAAAAAGAAAATTGATTCCAGCATTTTGGAATAAAAATTTGCATCAAAAAGAATTTATTCATTTTATTGACATACAAATAAAATGTCATTTGTTTATTCAATAAACATTTATTAAATGTCTGGTAAATTTCAGACATCATGCCAGGCACAGGGATGACAATGACAATAAGATGTGGTCTCTGCCCTCAGGGAGCTGATAGTCCAGGAGACTGACAAGTAGACAGGTGATTACATGCAATGTAACAAAGGCTATGATGTCATACAAGAAGACAAGTGGGAGTATGTGATGGGAGTATGGTTTTGACCAGTTCCTCCTCTTAGATTTATCCCTTTTTCTTTGGCTATAAAGCAAAAGAATTGGTCCTATTTTTTTTTCTTAACTTTGCAAATTAAACCATAAATTTTAATAACTTTATAAAGATAAAAGGCAAGCGGTCAGATTCAGTGGCTCACACCTATAATCCCAACACTTTGGGAGGCCGAGGCAGGTGGATAACCTGAGATCAGGAGTTCGAGACCAGCCTGGCCAACATCGCGAAACCCTGTCTCTACTAAAAATACAAAAATTAGCTAGGTGTGGTGGCAGGCACCTGTAATCCCAGCTACTCAGGAGGCTGAGGCAGGAGAATCGCTTGAACCTGGGAGGCGGAGTTTGCAGTGAGATGAGATGGAGCCATTGCTCTCCAGCCTGGGCTACAGAGCAAGACTCTGTCTCAAAACAAAACAAAACAAAACAAAACAAAAAGATGAGCAACTTGAATTATGGAGGACACTAGAAATAGTGTTTCCTACAGAATCAGGGCTTCCTACCAACATAGTCACTTCTAGGGTTTTCGACCTGAAAAGTTCTGTGGCATATTGTTTCTTTGCTATCCACTTTTTTTTCCCTATTTTTCCCCCTCTTTCTCTCCTCTACTTTATCTCCTAGAGATCTAGGTAGTTCCCAAAGGAATAATGCTTTACGGAGTCTAATGTTGATTTATTAGGTAAAAACAGAAAATGACTTTTTTTTTTACCCACAAGTTCCATACCAAAAAATGAATGTAAACTTCTTATGCAGTTTCACACATTGAAAATGCAGGTTATTTTAATTCCATTGCATTTTTCAGAATTCTCAATCGCAATCCTCTGACAACTGTTGAAGATCCGTATCTCTTTAAATTACTGGCATTAAAATATCTGTAAGTACTATAGTACTCTTGGGAGTCATGAGATGATTTATACTCTTTTTAAATTTTTCATCAAAGATTAAGTATTTTGCATTTAGGCTAAAATGTCATAATTTAAATTTTAACTGAGTTATTGAAAAACATTATTGGCAAAGGAAAGGATGTGTAATGGTCAAGATAGCCAGCAGGGGAAAGAGAACAGTGTTGAAGAACCCATATAGATTTGGAACATGTAGACACATGGAGGAATATTACTTAACCAAGAAAGCAAAGGGGAAAAGGTGTTCATTATTCTAAAAAGGAAGAAAAGAGTAAATAATCAAGATGGGTGAATGCAATATGAAAATGAGAAGTAAGATAATGGTAAAAAAAAAAAACAGTGTAAGACCTACTCTTGAATATCATTAATTTGATGATGCAAATCAACTTTAATTTCTTTAATAAGAGCTCTCTGGAATTTTGCGGCAAATAAACTGTTGAACTGGCTTGTTTTATAGGGAAGCCAAAATTGAAGTAATCACATGTCCTTGAATTATCTTTTTAAGTACAGAATTTTTTACTGGGGTTCATATCATGAATGTTTCGGCTTTCTTCTTCAGAGACGTGGGAACAACGCAAGTCCCACTTACAACACTTAAGAACATTCTCATGATGACCGTTGAACTGGAAAAACTGTAAGTTATTTTTTTCTTAGACTTATTTTCACCCTGTTGCGTTTTTAGGTTTGTTTTATTATTTTCTTAAGTCAGGTTTATTGAGATATAATTTTCATATACTAACATTCACCCTTTTTAAGTGTACAATTTGATGAGTTTTGACAAATGTATAGTTACATAACCACCACCACATTCCCAATATAAAGCATTTCTGTCGCCTCAAAAAGGTCCCTCGTGTCCCTTTGTAGTCAATCACCTCCTCCCACCGTCAGCCCCTGTTAGCTACTAATCTGATTTCCTATAGTTTTGCCTTTTCCAGAATATCTTATAAATGAAATCATATAGCATGTAGCCTCTTGTATTTGACTTCTTTCACTTAGCATAATTTTTTCTTTTTTGAGATGGAGTCTCACTGTTGCCCAGGCTGCAGTGCAGCGGCATGACCTAGACTCACTGCAACCTCCACCTCCCAGGTTCAAGTGATTCTCCTGCCTCAGCCTCCTGAGTAGCTGGGATTACAGGCACATGCCACCACGCCTGGCTAATTTTTGTATTTTTAGTAGAGACGAGGTTTCACCATGTTGGCCAGGCTGGTTTGGAAGTCCTGACCTCAAGTGATCCGCCCGCCTTGGCTTCCCAAAGTGCTAGGATTACACGTGTGAGCCACCTCACCTGGCCTCACTTATCATATTATTTTTTGAAATTATGCTGCCATCCATGTTGCTGCACCCATCACTACAGCTGGCCCTCCATATCTGCAGGTTCCTCATCCATGGATTCAACTGAACATGGATGGAGAATACTTGAAAAAAATGAAATATATAAAATAACTATAAGACAATAAAAACAGTAGAAAATTTAAAATACAGTATAATTATTTACATACCATTTACACTGTATTAGGTATTTAAAGTATACCTGAGGCTATATACAAACATTATGTCATTTCATAGAAAAGACTTCAGCATCTGTGGACTTTGGTGTCGGCAGGGGGTCCTGGAGCCAATCCCCTGCAGACACCGAGGGACAACTGTTCACTCCTTTTTATTGCTCAGTAGTATTCCAGTTGTGTGGAAACCCCATCTCTACTAAAAATACACAAATTAGCCAGATGTGGTGGCACACACCTGTAATCTCAGCTACTCAGGAGGCTGAGGCACAAGAAGTGCTTGAAGCTGGGAGGTGGAGGTTGCAGAGTCTCCTTTACACTTGCTGTCCTCCCTCCACTGCCGCCTGACACACTCCTCCCCAGCAGTGGCCTCTTCATAGGCAAATTTAAGGAGCACCTTTTAGTCCTTGTCCTGCTTGACTTGGCCCTGATGTTTGAAATTCTTGATAAATCTTTCTTCCGGAAACACACTCTTTCTATGCTTCCAGGAAATCTTTTTCTTGGTTCTCCAGACAACTTCTTAGACTCCTTGACCAATTCCTTCTTGTTGCCAACAATGGAAACAAACCAGCCCTACCTAAGCAAAGCACATTAAAACTCACTAGAAAGATACAGGGGAGGGGGCGCCCACTAAACCACTAAAGAGACAGGAGGTGGGGAGCTGTAGGACCAGGTTTGGGAACCTGCAAGAATCAAGACCAGAGCCCCTGAAATAGCAAGAAGCTGGAAGCACAGGAACTGTCAGAGCCAGATGGCTGTCACTGCAGTCAGCGCCTCTGATTGTTTGTTTTTGAGATGGAGTCTCGCTCTGTCGCCCAGGCTGGAGTGCAGTGGCATGATCTCGGCTCACTGCAACCTCCACCTCCCGGGTTCAAGCAATTCTCCTGCCTCAGCCTCCCGAGTAACTGGGACTACAGGAGCCTGCCACCATGCCCGACTAGTTCTTTATATTTTTAATAGAGATGGGGTTTCACCATGTTCGTCTCAAACTCCTGACCCCAGGCGATCCACTTGCCTCGGCCTCCCAAAGTGCTGGGATTACAGGCGTGAGCCACCATGCCTGGCCAGTTTTTGTATATTTAGTAGAGACTGGTTTTGCCATGTTGGCCAGGTTGGTCTCAAACTCCTGACCTCAAGTGATCCATCCACCTCCGCCTCCCAAAGTGCTGGGATTATAGGCATGAACCACTGTGCCCAGCCACCTCTGATAGTTTTCATCGTCCTCGGGCCACTGGCTCCCAAATCACGGTTCCAGACAAAAGCTTACAAGTAGTCCAGCTTTGGCCAGGCTCAGTGTGATGGTTAATACTGAGTGCCAACTTGATTGGATTGAAGGATACAAAATATTGATCTTGGGTGTGTCCGTGAGGGTGTTCCCAAAGGAGATTAACATTTGAGTCAGCGGGCTGAGAAAGGCAGACCCACCCTTAATCTGGGTGGGCACAAGCTAATCAGCTGCCAGCAAGGCTAGAATATAAGCAGGCAGAAAAATGTGAGAGACTGGCTTAGCCTCCCAGCCAACATCTTCCTCCCGTGCTGGATGCTTCTTACCCTCCAACATCGGACTCCAAGTTCTTCAGTTTTGGAACTCAGACTGGCTCTCCTTGCTCCTCAGCCTGCAGACGGCCTATTGTGGGACCTTGTGATCCTGTGAGTTAATACTTAATAAACTCCTGTATATATTCCATTAATTCTGTCCCTCTAGAGAACCCTGACTAATACGCTCAGTGACTCACACCTGTAATCCCAGTACTTTGGGAGGCTCAGGCAGGAGGATGGCTTGAGCCCCAGAGTCTTCTTCTTCTCCTTCTCCTTGTCCTTCTCTTCCCTTCCCCTTTCTCCTCTTCCTCTTCCTTCTCTTCCTCTTCCTCTTCCTCTCCTTCCTCTTCCTCTTCTTCCTCTTGTTTGTTTGAGAAAGGTTCTCCCTCTGTTGCCAAGGCTGGATTGTAGTGGCACAATTGTGACTCACTGCTTCTCAGCCTCCTGAGAGCCCAGGAGTTTGAGGCTGCAGTGAGCTATGATCACACTACCACACTCCTGCCTGGGTGACAGAGCAAGACCCTGTCTCAAAAAACAAACAAAAAACTCTGGTATGATAGAGGTGAATTGTCTGTTTTATCCTGATAATTCTGCTTACCTTAGTCCCGTGGTTCTCAACTGGGCCAATTTTGCTCCCCAAGTGACATTTGGCAATATCTGGGCAGAGGTCAAGGACGCTGCTTAACATCTTTTTTTTTTTTTTTTTGAGACACAGTTTTGCTCTTGTTGCCCAGGCTGGAGTGAAATGGCACGATCTCGCCTCACTGCAACCTCTGTCTCCCGGGTTCAAGCGATTCTCCTGCCTCAGCCTCCCGAGTAGCTGGGATTATGGGCATGCACCATCACGCCTGGCTAATTTTGTATTTTTAGTAGAGATGGGGTTTCTCCATGTTGGTCAGGCTGGTCTCAAACTCCCAACCTTAGGTGATCAGCCCACCTCAGCCTCCCAAAGTGCTGGGATTACAGGTGTGAGCCACCTCACCTGTCCTGCTTAACGTCTTAAAACACACAGGACAATTCCCCCATAAAAAATGATGACCAGCCGAAAATGTCAACAGTATCAAGGTGAAGAAATTGCCATAAAGGCTTGGTAAACAGGGATGGTATGACGACACTATTGATAGGCCACATTAAAATACTTAGGGCCATATCCATTATCCCTGTTTTTATGATTTCTTCTTTGTCCCCATGCAGTTTCAGGGGCAAAATAAGGGAGTAAGTCAGAGGTGGTTCCAAATAGACATCTGGGAATCTTAGGGTGTAATATGGCCCTCATGGAGGCCCTTGCTGAGCTTAGGGCCTGATTCTGGAATCCTAGCATTGCCAAGAGAGGCAGGCTGGCAGGTGAGAAGACAAATAATGGGAGAGCCCACATATGTTGGAATTCATTTGATGGTATCTAAGCTGGGGTGATTGTCCCCACTAGCATTACATGACTATGGATCCAGTTATTTGGAGAAATCCATTTCCTCCACAGGGAATATATACTACATTAGAACCAAAGATGGAATCCTTAGTAAATGGAATCATTTGGCAAAATTCAGTTGTCTGAAATTTTTGCATAAAATTCTCTTTTTTATTTTCATTGAGCCAAATAAATAAAGTATCAGGTATTTACTGGGGTCACCATTCTTTGATTCATTGATTTTTTTTTTCAGACAGGATCTCGCTGTCACCCACGTTGGAGTGCAGTGGCATAATCTCAGTTCACTGCAACCTCCACTTCCTGGGCTTAAGTGATTCTCCCACCTCAGCCTCCCAAGTAGCTGGAAATACAGGCGCGTGCCACCATGCCTCCATTTTCTTTCTTTTTTTTTTTTTTTAATTGATCATTCTTGGGTGTTTCTCGCAGAGGGGGATTTGGCAGGGTCATAGGACAATAGTGGAGGGAAGGTCGGCAGATAAACAAGTGAACAAAGGTCTCTGGTTTTCCTAGGCAGAGGACCCTGCGCCTTCCGCAGTCTTTGTGTCCCTGGGTACTTGAGATTAGGGAGTGGTGATGACTCTTAAGGAGCATGCTGCCTTCAAGCATCTGTTTAACAAAGCACATCTTGCACCGCCCTTAATCCATTTAACCCTGAGTGGACACAGCACATGTTTCAGAGAGCACAGGGTTGGGGGTAAGGTCACAGATCAACAGGATCCCAAGGCAGAAGAATTTTTCTTAGTATAGAACAAAATGAAAAGTCTCCCATGTCTACCCGCCTCTACACAGACACGGCAACCATCCGACTTCTCAGTCCTTTCCCCACCTTTCCCCCCTTTCTACTCCACAAAACCGCCATTGTCATCATGGCCCGTTCTCAATGAGCTGTTGGGTACACCTCCCGGACGGGGCGGCTGGCCGGGCGGGGGGCTGACCCCCCCACCTCCCTCCCGGACGGGGTGGCTGCCGGGCGGAGACGCTCCTCAATTCCCAGACGGGGCGACTGCCGGGCGGAGGGGCTCCTCACTTCTCAGACAGGGCGGTTGCCGGGCGGAGGGGCTCCTCACTTCTCAGACAGGGCGGTTGCCGGGCGGAGGGTCTCCTCACTTCTCAGATGGGGCGGCCGGGCAGAGACGCTCCTCACCTCCCAGATGGGGTCACGGCCGGGCAGAGGCGCTCCTCACATCCCAGACGGGGCGGCGGGGCAGAGGCGCTCCCCACATCTCAGACGATGGGCGGCCGGGCAGAGACGCTCCTCACTTCCTAGATGGGATGGCGGCCGGGCAGAGACGCTCCTCCCTTTCCAGACTGGGCAGCCAGGCAGAGACGCTCCTCACTTCCCAGACGGGGTGGCGGCCGGGCAGAGGCTGCAATCTCGGCACTTTGGGAGGCCAAGGCAGGCGGCTGGGAGGTGGAGGTTGTAGCCAGCCGAGATCACGCCACTGCACTCCAGCCTGGGCACCACTGAGCACTGAGTGAACGAGACTCCGTCTGCAATCCCGGCACCTCGGGAGGCCGAGGCTGGCGGATCACTCGCGGTTAGGAGCTGGAGACCAGCCCGGCCAACGCAGCGAAACCCCGTCTCCACCAAAAAAATACGAAAACCAGTCAGGCGTGGCGGCGCGTGCCTGCAATCGCAGGCACTTGGTAGGCTGAGGCAGGAGAATCAGGCAGGGAGGTTGCAGTGAGCCGAGATGGCGGCAGTACAGTCCAGCATCAGAGGGAGACCGTGGAAAGAGAGGGAGAGGGAGACCGTGGGGAGAGGGAGAGGGAGGGGGAGGGGAGGGGGAGAGGGAGAGGGAGAGGTGCATTTTCTTATAAACCCAATTTCCTCTTTAGTGCAACTCTACCATTTGAAAGGAACCTTTCTATTGTAATTTACAAGCTGTGAATAACCGCTATGTAATTCTTTCCAAGGATTAATAAACTGAGAGAGGATTTGAACCAACAGAGGTAGGGGAAGATTAGAAGGGGGATGCAAGTGGCCACAGATCTTAGAGGCGGCCAGCAGAGGGCGCTGCTCCAAGGTGAAGGTCGCACCCTGAGAGGCCATCCTTTTTTGTAGGACCAGACTGGGGTGTAAGGACAGTGCCTCATCCTCACAACGACAGACCCGTGTTCTGGGTGTGGATTTGCCTCCCTTGCCTGCGGGACTTCTGCTAGCACTGCCGTTCCTAGACTTAGACCATGCTAGAATGAGTCCAGGAACCGAGGAGAGGAGATGGGAGTGGCTCCTCCCACTGTGGCCCCTAATAATTCACATGAAGAATTTTTGCTTTCCTTGCCAGGGACCCGGGACTCAGTGGGTCCAGAGGTCCTAGTGCCAAAGGAAGAAATGTGTAGATCAGGAAATACTATTATGGTTTTATTCAACTGGAAGCCGAGGCTGGCCATTTATTGTATTTATTTATTTATTTATCTATCTATTTATTTATTTATTTAGAGACAGAATCTCACTCTTGTTTCCCAGGCTCCCAGGCTCAAGAGATCCTCCTACCTTAGCCTCCTGAGTAGCTGGTACTACAGTCGCATGCCACCTTGCCCAGCTAATTTTTTTTTTTTTTGAGACGCAGTCTCATTTTGTTGCCCAGGCTAGAGTGCAGTGGCGCGGTCTTGGCTCACTGCAACCTCCACCTCCTGGGTTGAAGCGATTCTCCTGTCTCAGCCTCCGGAGTAGCTGGGATTACAGGCATGTGCCACCGCGCCTGGCAATTTTTTTTTTTTTAGTAGAGGCGGGGTTTCACCATGTTGGCCAGGCTGGTCTCAACTCCTGACCTTGTGATCCGCCTGCCTCAGCCTCCCAAAGCACTGGGATTGCAGACATAAGCCACCGCGCCTGTTTTTTTTGTTTTGTTTTGTTTTCTGACAGAGTCTCTGTCACCCAGGCTGGAGTGCAGTGGTGTGATCTCAGCTCACTGCAACCTCTGCCTCCTGGGTTCAAGCGATTCTCCTGCCTTAGCCTCCCAAGTAGCTGGGATTATAGGCGCACACCACTATGCCCAGCTAATTTTTGTATTTTTAGTAGAGGTGGGGTTTCACCATGTTGGCCAGGCTGGTCTCAAACTCCCGACTTCAGGTGATCCACCCACCTCGGCCTCCCAAAGTGCTGGGATTATAGGTGTGAGCCATCAAGCCCAGCCCTGCCCAGCTAATTTTTACACTATGGGCAAGTATGCTGCCCAAGAGTGCTCTGGAACTCCTGGGCTCAAGTGATCTTCCTTCCTCGGCCTCTCAATGTGCTTGGATTACAAGCATGAGCCACCTTGCCCAGCCGAAGCTGGCCATTTAAAGTTCCTCATGCTGCTGAATCAATAAGGATGGAAGGCGGCTACTATTATGGGCTAAGTGTTTGCATCCTCCCCAAATTCTTTTTTTTTTTTTTTTTTTGAGATGGAGTTTTGCTCTTGTTGCCCAGGCTAGAGTGCAGTGGCGCGATCTCTGCTCACTGCAACCTCCACCTTTCAGGTTCAAGTGATTCTCCTGCCTCAGCCTACCGAGTTAGCTGGGATTACAGGCATACGCCACCACACCCGGCTAATTTTGTATTTTTAGTAGAGATGGGGTTTCTCCATGTTGGTCAGGCTGGTCTCAAACTCCCGACCTCAGGTAATCTGCTGACTTCAGCCTCCCAAAGTGCTGGGATTACCAGCATGAGCCACCGCGCCCGGCCCCCAAATTGTTTTTTGTTTTTTTTTTTTGAGACGGAGTCTCGCTCTGTCACCCAGGCTGGAGTGCAGTGGCATGATCTTGGCTCACTGCGAGCTCTGCTTCCTGGGTTCACGCCATTCTCCTGCCTCAGCCTCCCGAATAGCTGGGACTACAGGCGCCCGCCACCACGCCTGGCTAATTTTTTGTATTTTTAGTGGACACGGGGTTTCACCGTGTTAGCCAGGATGGTCTCGATCTCCTGACCTCGTGATCTGCCTGCCTCAGCCTCCCAAAGTGCTGGGATTACAGGGGTGAGCCACCACACCCGGCCTCGGCCCCCAAATTCTTATGTTGAAGCCCTCACCTCCATGTGATGGTATTAGAAGGTGGGGCCTTTGGGACGTAATTAGGCTGACAGTGCCCCATGATGGGATGAGTGTCTTAAAAGAAAAGACCAGGTGGTCTGGCTAGTGGCTCACCCCTGAAATCGCAGCACTTTGGGAGGCCAAGGTGGGTGGATCACTTGAGATCAGGCGTTTGAGACCAGCCTGGGCAATATGGTGAAAAGCCATCTCTACTAAAAATACAAAAATTAGCTGGGCGTGGTGGCGCAAGTCTGTAATCCCAGCTACTTGGGAGGCTGAGGTGGGAGAATCGCTTGAACCCAGGAGGTGGAGGTTGCAGTGAGCCCAGATCATGTCATTGCACTCCAGCCTCCAACCTGGACAGAGAGAGCATCTGGAGAGTCTCTGTCTCAAAACAAAAAGAAAAAAAAAAGAAGAGACCAGAGAGCCTTTCTTCTCTTTGTCCACCAAGTGAAGATATGGCAAGAAGGCAGCCATCTGCAAGCTAGGAAAAGAGCCCTTGCCAGCACCCAATTGTGCTATCACCCTGATATGGGACTTCCCAGCCTCCAGAACTGTGAGTAATCAATGTCTATTGTTTAAGCCACCCAGTATGTAATACTGAGCTGACTAAAACCATCACCGAACTAGCCTCTTTACATATGATTAGCAAGAGGAAAATGGCTCTGTTACTTAATGGAGGAAGGAGGCTATGTCTGAAAGCCAAAAATTCACTGGGGACACATCTTAGCAGGCTCTTGACCCTAAGACCTGGTTAATGGAAAAGTAGAGCAACCCAATAAAAACAAGACCACCAAGAAGTCAGGTCTTATGGAATAAAGTATTGAGTGTCCCTATGAGGCACAGAACCCTTCGAAAGGGGATTGGAAGAAGTGGTGAAGAAGGCGGCTATGATTATCAACTTAGACTTCATCGCCATTTGTAGAAGGAGGCTTCTAACAGCTATGTTTTATGTTAATTGGCTCTTTTCTCTTCTTTTTTCTTTCAACCTTATATTAAGAGCACTGGCAGAAGCTAGCGGTTTTGGCATCCTGTAATTATTAGCTGTATAACCTTGGCCAAGTAACTCAACCTTTCTGTGCCTCAGTTACTCATCTGTAAAACAGGGTAATAAGTCTCAACCTCGTACTTATGTTGTTATAAAGATTTAACACTAGGCTGGGCATGGTGGCTCACACCTGTAATCCCAGCACTTTGGGAGGCCGAGGAGGGTGGATCACCTGAGGTCAGGAGTTCAAGACCAGACTGGCCAACATGGCAAAACCCTGTCTCTACTAAAAATACAAAAAATTAGCTGGGTGTGGTGGCACGTGATTGTAATCCCAGTTACTCGGGAGGCTGAGGCAGGAGAATTGCTTGAACTAAACCTGGGAGGCGGAGGTTGCAGTGAGCCAAGATCGTGCCACTGCACTCTAGCCCAGGCAACAGAGTTAGACTCTGTCTCAAAAAAAAAAAAAAAAAAAAAGTAACACTTTGAACAAAAAAGAAAAAAATAATAAAATTTAAAAAAGATTTAACAATTGGGCCAGGCATAGTGGCTCATGCCTGTAATACCAGCACTTTGGGAGCCTGAAGAGGGAGGATTACTTGAACCCAGGAGTTCCAGACCAGCCTGGACAACAAAGCAAGACTTTGTTTCTACTTAAAAAAAAAAAAAAAACACCAAAGTCAGGTGTGGTGGTACACACCTGTGATCCCAGCTACTTGGGAGGCTGAGATGGGAGGATCCCTTGAGCCTTGGAGGTTGAGGCTGCAATGAGCCATGATCATACCACTGCACTCCAGCCTAGGCGACAGAGTGAGGCCCATGTCAAAAAAAAAAAAAATGATCCCCAACATTTAGCAGCTTAAAACAAAAAACATTTATTATATCACACTTTCTGTGGGCCAGGAATCTGGGAGGGACTTAGCTGGGTGGTTCTGCTCAGTTCTCTTGGGATGTTTCAGTCAAGCAGTGGCCTGGGGCTGCACTCTTATCTGAAGACTCAATTGGGAGAAAATATGCATTCAAGGTCACTCATTGGTTGTTGGCAGGCTGTAGTTCCTTACTGAATATTGGTTGAAGACTTCATTGGCTTACTACCTGGACTTCTCCATAGACTGCTTGAATGTCCTCCCCACATAGCTAGAGTGAATGACTAAAAAAGAGAGAGAACACACACAGCCCAGGTAAGAGTTCAGTCTTTCTAAGTCATTATATGAAAGAGATTCTTTTTTTTTTGAGATGGAGTCTCGCTCTGTCGCCAGGCTGGAGTGCAGCGGCACGATCCCAGCTCACTGCAACCTCTGCCTCCTGGGTTCAAGTGATTCTCCTGCCTCAGCCTCCCAAGTAGCTGGGATTACAGGCGTGTGCCACTATGCCCAGCTACTTTCTGTATTTTTAATAGAGATGGGGTTTTACCATGTTGGCCAGGATGGTCTTGATCTCTTGACCTTGTGATCCACCTGCCTTGGCCTCCCAAAGTGCTGGGATTACAGGCGTGAGCCACCACGCCTGGCCGAAAAAGATTCTTGCACACACATGTTTATAGTAGCACTATTCACAATTGTAAAAATGTGGAACCAGTCCAAATGCCCATCAATCAATGAGTGGCTAAAGAAACTGTGGTATAGATATACAGTGGAATACTACTCAGTCATAAAAAGGAATGAATTAATGGCATTTGCAGCAACCTGGACAGGATTGGAGACTATTATTCTTTTTTTTTTTTTTTTTTTTTTTTTGAGATAGAGTCTCACTTGGTCACCCAGGCTGGAGTGCAGTTGTGCAATCTTGGCTCACTGCAAGCTCTGCCTCCTGGGTTCACACCATTCTCCTGCCTCAGCCTCCCAAGTAGCTGAGACTACAGGCGCCTGCCACCACGCCCGGCTAATTTTTTTTTTGTATTTTTAGTAGAGACCGGGTTTCACCATGTTAGCCTGGATGGTCTCGATCTCCTGACCTCGTGATCCGCCCACCTCAGCCTCCCAAAGTGCTGGGATTACAGGCATGAGCCACCGCACCCGGCCTATTTTTTTTTTTTTTTTTTTTTTTTTTTTTTTTTTACTAACCAGGGGTTTAACATAAATACAACCAGCATAGAAAGACCCAAAACTATACAGAAACCAAAACCAGAATGCCATGTGGTGGAGGCAAAGGGCAGAATTTCTGACCCCTTTGGCTCAGCTGCCCTTCCCCACAAATAAAAACCAACAAAGAGGACAAATCAGGACAATAAAGAAGATTCATGCTAAGCTGTGGCAGAGGGGGGAAGGTATGATCGGGTGGGGGTGGGATAAGGAATGGCCATGGAAGATAACTGGGTCAGGTTGGACCCTGGGCTGGGAGGGGGAGGGCAAGGCCCCTCACCACAACTTAAGCCAAACCTAAGCTGCCCCCAGGTGCCATAGGTCCCTGTCCCAGCAGGGAGGCTGATGGGCCTGGGCCCATGCCCCTCCCCACCTTTGGGGGTCAGATAGTGGCCACCCAGGTTTGCTGGGTTGGGGCCTGATACAGGCTCTGCATGCCCATTCGGGCTGCCTGTGGAGAGAGAATGGAGTCACTGTTTAACCATGCTACCTGCCTCAGCCCCAGCAGACCACAGGAGGTTGGCCCCAGACTCACTGAGTGCCTGCAGCAGCCCTACAGACACAGCATCCTTGGCCACCTCATGCCCATCCCGGCCATCTAGGGTCAGCACAACCCAGATGAGGCCGCTGAAGGGCACCGGATGCCCAGGAATCACCACCTGGTACCAGAAGCGGTGCCAGCCAGCAGGTCCTATGCCCAAACACTTGGTGAGGAACACAGGGCTGCCCAGCTTCATTCGTTGGCACAGCAACTGCAGGGTAGCCCGAGCCCCTTGGGACCCTAACTTGTCCCTTGCCAAGGCCAACTGGCTGCCCTCTGGCTGTGGGGACCGCAAGGAGGGACCCACAAGCTGCTGGCGAAGTCGCTGCTTCAGTTCTGGCTTGAGCCACTCCACAGCCACCTGCTCTCCACAGAGGTGTGGCTGCCCTTCCTCCAGGGCCTTTTTGGCCATGGCAGCGGTCCAGTGCGAGCTGAATTTGAGCAGAGCGATCTGCCCGGGCGCAGGTCCGGGGCTGGGCAGCAGCCGCGCCTCCTGCAGGCCGGGACCCAGCGGCTGCAGCGCGGGCAGCAGCGCGGGCAGCAGCGCGGTGCGGGTCAGATTCGGCGGCAGGCAGTCAACGCTCAGCTCACACTTCCCGGTGCTGCGGCACACGAGCAGCGGGCAGGACGGCCGCAGCGGGTGGTTGTGCAGCGGGCGATGGCGGCCTGCGCGCCGCGCCGCGAGCTGCAGCGGGCATATGCGAAGCCGCGGTTCAGGCCGCTGAAGGTCATCATCAGGCGGAACTCGTAGAGGCGGCCCACGCGCTGGAACAGCAGGATAGCTGGTGCTCATACACTTCCTGAGGCAGCCGCCCGATGAACACCTCTGACCCAGCCGGCGGCGGGCTGCCCACCCAGCCTGGGGGTGGCCCGCCATACTTCCTCTGCCCGTTCACCTGCACCAGGCGATGCCTGTCTCCCTGACCCACGCCTCCAGCGCCGCCTTCACCCTCTCACACCACAGCTCACAATCCCGCTTGGACTGCATGGCTCTCTATTCTCTTTTTTTTTTTTTTTTTTTTGAGACGTAGTTTCACTCTTGTTCTCCAGGCTGGAGTGCAATGGCGGGATCTTGGCTCACCGCAACCTCCGCCTCCCGGGTTCAAGCGATTCTCCTGCCTCAGCCTCCCAAGTAGCTGGGATTACAGGCATGCGCCACCATGCCTGGCTAATTTTGTATTTTTAGTAGAGACGGGGTTTCTCCCTGTTGGTCAGGCTGGTCTCAAACTCCCGACCTCAGGTGATCCACCCACCTCGGCCTCGCATAGTGCTGGGATTACAGGCATGAGCCACCGTGCCCCGTCTATGGAGACTATTATTCTCAGCGAAGTAACTCAGGAATGGAAAACCAAACATCGTACGTTCTCACTCATAAATGGGAGCTAAGCTAGGAGGATGCAAAGGCATAAGAATGACACAGTGGACTTTGGGGAATCAGGGGGAAAGGATGGGAAGGGGGTGAGGGATAAAAGACTATTAATTGGGTGCAGTCTATATTGCTTGGGTGATGGGTGCACACAAATTTCACAAATCACCACTAAAGAACTTACTTACGTAACCAAACACCAGCTGTTCCCCAATATCCTATGGAAATAAAAATTTTTTTTTAGAAAAAGAGTTCGGTCTTTCTGTAACCTAATCTTGGAAGTGTATATTATCACTTCTTCCATAGGCTATCAGTCTCCCAGACCAACCCTGCTACAGGGTAGGGGAGACTACATGGTATGTGAATACCAGAAAGTGGGGGCCACTGGGGACTGGCTATTTGGAGGATGGTTACTACAAACTATATTTGTAATTTTTTTTTTCTTGAGATGGAGTCTTGCTCTGTTGCCCAGGCTGGAGTGCAATGGCACGATCTCAGCTCGCTGCAACATCCACCTCCTGCGTTCAAGTGATTCTCCTGCCTCAGCCTCCCGAGTAGCTGGGATTACAGGCACGCACCACCACACCCAGCTAATTTTTTGTATTTTTAATAGAGATGGGGTTTCTCCATGTTGGTCAGGCTGGTCTCAAACGCCTGACCTCAGGTGATCTGCCCGCCTCGGCCTCCCAGAGTGCTGGGATTACAGGCCCGAGCCATGGTGCCTGGCTATATTTGTAATATTTTAACCACTAAAAAAAAAAAAAAGAAGAAGAAGAAGAAGAAAAAGAAACAAGTATGGGAAAATATTAAGATCTGATAAAACCGGGTTATACTTATGCAGGTATTCATTACATTATTCTCCATAACTTTTTAAATGTTTAATAATAAAAGTAAAAATATTTTCCCCTTAAAAATGTGCAGAGCATACCTCAAATAATGTTGACAAAGAATCCTAAAGACAATTATTATTATTATTATTTTTTGAGACAGGTTCTTGCTCTGTTGCCCAGGCTGGAGTGCAGTGATGCCACCTGAGCTCACTGTAAACTCCGTCTCCCGAGTTTAAGCAATTCTCCTGTCTCAGCCTCCTGAGCAGCTGGGACTACAGGCGAGCACCATCATACCTGGTTAATTTTTATATTTTCAGTAGAGACGGGGTTTCATCATATTGCACAGGCTGGTCTTGAACTCCTGGCCTCAAGTGATCCACCCACCTTGGCCTCCCAAAGTGCTAGCATTACAGGCATGAGCCACTGCACCGGGCCTCTCAAACTCCTGACCTCAGGTGATCCACCTGCCTTGGCCTCCCAAAGTCCTGGCATTATAGGCGTGAGCCACTGCGCCCGGCCGATCTTCCTTCCTTTCTCCCTTCCCCTCTTCTTCTTCTTCTTCTTCTTCTTTTTTAATTAATAGAGATGGGATTTTGCCATGTTGCTTAGGCTGGTTTCAAACTCCTGGGCTCAAGCTATCTGCTCGCTTCAGCTTCCCAAAGTCCTGGGATTAAGGGCGTGAGCCACTGCGCCTGGCCCCAGTAAGGATTTAAAAGCTCAGGAATTATTAGTCAGCTTCCTTTTTTGTTCATCCTGTTGTTTGTTCATTTCAGTCTATTCCCTTTTTATAATTTCCTTCTTCATAAGGACTATTTCTCCTTGTACTTTTGTGAGAATTCCCGTAACTTGTAATCCCAGCTACTTGGGAGGCTGAGGCAGGAGAATCACTTGAACCGGGAGGCGGAGGTTGCGGTGAGCCGAGATCAAGCCATTGCACTCCAGCCTGGGCAACAAGAGCAAAACTCGGTCTTGGAAAAAAAAAAAAAAGAAAAGAAAAGAAAAAAGAAAGGAAGGAAGATCCTCATTGGACAGAGCAAAAAGCAGAATTGATGGCACTGAAAATGAAATCAGCAGCTGATGTACAAGTTCCAGAATGTCTCCTAGAGTAACAAGGAAATCCGGGTGTGGTAGTTTATGCCTGTCATCCAAGCACTTTGTGAGGCCAAGGAGGTTAGTTAGCTTGAGCCCAGGAGTTGGAGACCAGCCTGGCCAACATGGTGAAACCCCATCTCTACAGAAAATATAAAAGTTAGCTGGGTTTGGTGGTGGGTACCTGTAGTCCCAGCTACTCTGGAGGCGAAGGAGGGAGGATCACCTGAGTCCCGCGAGGTCAAGGCCACAGTGAGCCTTGATAGAGTTTTGCCACTGCACTCCAGCCTAAGCAACAGTGAGACCCTGTCTCAATAAACAAACAAACAAACAAATAAATAATTGTAGAGACAGAAGATAAAATGGAGCCCGGTGCAGTGGCTCACGCCTGTAATCCCAGAACTTTGGGAGGCTGAGGTGGGCAGATTACTTGGCCCAGGAGTTTGAGACCAGTCTGCCCAACATGGTGAAACCCCGTCTCTACTAAAAATACAAAAATTAGCCAGGCATGGTGGTGTGTGCCTATAATCCCAGCTACTTGAGAGGCTGAGACAGGAGAATCGATTGAACCCAGGAGGTGGAGGTTGCAGTGAGCTGAGATCACACCACTGCACTCCAGCCTGGGTGACAAAGCCAGACTCTGTCTCAAAAAAAAAAAAAAAAAAAAAAGGCTGAGCACGGTGGCTCATGCCTGTAATCCCAGCACTTTGAGAGGCTGAGCCGGGCAGATCACCTAAGGTCGGGAGTTTGAGACCAGCCTGACCAACATGGAGAAACCCCGTCTCTGCCAAAAATACAGTATTAGCAGGTCGTGGTGGCACATGCCTGTAATCCCAGCTACCTGGGAGGCTGAGGCAGGAGAATCGCTTGAACCTGGGAGGTGGAGGTTGCAGTGAGCCGAGATTGTGCCACTGCACTCCAGACTGGGCAACAAGAGTGAGACTCTGTCTCAAAAAAAAAAAAAAAAAAAAGAGAGAGAGACAGGGTTTCACCAGGTTGGCCAGGCTGGTCTTGGACTCCTGACCTCAAGTGATCTGCCCGCCTCAGCCTCCCAAAGTGCTGGGATTACTGGTGTGGGCCACTGCATCTGGCTCCCACCATCTCTATTAAAATAAGATAAAATAAACATAAAATAATGAACCGACAAAATAATAATACAATTCATTGTAAGTAAAATGCTATCCTGAGTTCTGTGAGTCATTCTGGATAATTCAAATTCTCTAGAATTACCACCTCAGCTGACTTTTTTTTTTTTTTTTTGTAGAGACCAGGCTGGTCTTGAATTCTTGAGCTCAAGTGATCCGCTTCCCTCAGTCTCCCAAAGTGCTGGAATTACATGTGTGAGCCACTGAGCCTGGCCTACAAATTCTTTATTATACAACACACAGTAGATGCTCAATAAATATTTGCTAAGCAGAAACATACACTCAAAATACCAGAAATTATCAAGGAAGTTGCCAGTTGGTCTCTTGGGTTCTTCCTCCCGACAGGTATACACACCTATTGTAAAGATGAACACATTAGGCTGTGAGAAACCAATACTGTTAAACATTCCAATCAGGTGACAAACTCCCTGGGCTCTGGTTTATATTACCAAGCAACCTGATGATAACTTGGCTTCCTGTGTGGCTTGTTTATAGAAAGAGAATGCTACCCAGGCTGACGTGAGTTGCATTTCTGAGTTGATTTCTCACTGTAAATTAATAAACTGGCATTCTGGCTACATAGATCAGTCTCTTTGAACTCTTTGTACCTTCCACCATTAGTGTGATTTCTAAGGCTGCAAGCCAGACACTGCCCAAGACCCAGCACTGGACTCTGGTGAGTTCTTCCAGCTGTTGCCACCCCAGGAGGCTCTGGGAGCCCCTGGGAACCATCCAGCTTGCTCTCTGTCTCTACATTTCAGGGTGTGGGTTTCAGGGCATTCACAACATTCCTGCAACAGAAGAGTTTTGGGAACACCCCCAGCAGGATGTGGGTGATTTGAATGTATGTCAGAGATGTGGTTGTAACTGAGAAATCTTAAGCCTAGTGAATTTTATTCCACTTGACTTAAATAAAGAGCACGTGAAAGAAGGGGATCTGAGGACATCTATGAACAGGGCCCCGAGGGCATGAACTTACTAGTGTTTATATGACTAGTGTTTATCTGGGCCTGTCTAGTCTGGAGAACCTGACTCTGGTGTACCCAAGCTTTGCAGTGGCTGTAGAGGTTTGCTCTTTTGGAGGGAGAAGATAATTCATTCCTCCAACACCTGAATGAGGGTAGATTAACCCACCTCCTTCAGCTGCAATTTGGCAAATTTCTCTTCTTTGATTTAATGCTCAACGGACAAATTTCCTTTCTTCTTCTTCTTCTTCTTCTTCTTCTTCTTCTTCTTCTTCTTCTTCTTCTTCTTCTTCTTCTTCTTCCTCTTCTTCTTTTTTTCTCCTCTTCTTCTTCTTCTTCTCCTCCTTCTCCTTCTTCTCCTTCTTCTTTTCTCTTCCTTCTCCTCCTCCTTCCTCCTCCTCCTCTTCCTACTCTTCTTCCTCTTCCTCTCCTCCTCCTCTTCCTCCTCCTCTTCCTTCTTCTTCTTCTTTCTTTTTTTTTCGGTTTTGAGACAGGGTCTCCGTCACCCAGGCTGGAGTGCAGTGGCACGATCTCGGCTCACTGCAACCTCCACCTCCTAGGCTCAAGCGATCCTCCCACCTCAGCTTCCCATGTGGCTGGGACCAAGGCGTGAGCTACCATGCCCGGCTAATTTTTGTATTTTTTGTAGAGACAGGGTCTCTCCATGTTGCTCAGGCTGGTCTTGAACTCCTGAGCTCAAGAGATCCTCCTGTCTCAGGCTCCCAAAGTCCTGGGATTACAAGCACGAGCCACCATGCCCGGCCTCAACAGGCAACCTTCTGATTAATAATTAGACCTCTGTGCCGGCCGTCGTGGCTGATGCCTGTAATTCCAGCACTTTGGAAGGCCAAGGCGGGTGGATGGCTTGAGGTCGGGCGTTTGAGACCAGCCTGGCCAACACGGTGAAACCCCGTCTCTGCTAAATATACAAAAATTAGCCTGGCATGGTGGCGTATGCCTGTAATCCCAGCTACTTGGGAGGCTGAGGCACGAGAATCGCTTGAACCCGGGAGGCAGAGGTTACAGTGAGCTGTCATATATAATGAAACAGTTTTACTAAACTTAGGAAGCAGTGACTTGGTGTCTCTAGAAATTGCCTAACATACACATTCCAGGATACATTCTCTGTCATCTGGAATCTCCTCCCTTCCACAAACCCACGCTGTCTTAAGCACTATTTTCCTATTTGTTGTTGACCTAATCTAGAAAAAAGCGGCCATCACTCTTTCTCCCCCACTCAGTCCCTCAGTCCCGAAACACCCTTATTCTCCGCACTTGTCACCCCACCCTCTGCTGCCCCCACCGCAGCGCGCAAACGCACACGAGTTTAAAGTTTAGGCTGTGATGCTATCCTCGCCCGCAGATCACAGGACAGACATTCTCGGGGACAACTTTGCGAGGCCATGTGCTCGTCCCCCTTAGGAAGGAAGAGGGAGAAATCCCTGCGGCTCGGTTTTGTTCCAATGGTCTGCTCAGCGAGTGATTCCCGTTTCCCCAAAGGCTGCCCCTCATTAGCATGAACGGGGACGCGGGTGTGGAGAAGGGGTTAGAGGAGAGAAAGCAAGCAAAAGCCCAGGCTCACTTTTAGAGCCTGGGAACCCTGTCTGCAAAAATGACAGCTAGAGCTTTCTGGCTCCTCTGTTTAATCGTCGGATCATCCCCCGAAGCTCCGGTGGAGAGAAAAAGTAAGATCGGTGTAGTGCGGAGCCCTGGGAGCGGAGCGGGGATCTGGGGAGGGGGCGCCCAGGCCTCAGCCGCCGGCCGACAACCGGGCCACCTTCCGTGAGGCCGCACACGCTCCCACAGGCCCGCGCCTGGCGCAAGCCGAGAACCGCGCGTCGCCGCGCCGCGGGCCCGCGACGGAGGAAGCCCCGAGACGCGCGCGCTCACGGGCCCTACGCTTCCCCGCCGCCCGGCCGCGCGCGCGCGCCGCCGAGGGCCCCGCCGGCCCTGCCCACCCCAACCGGCCGCGCGCCGTTGTGCCGGCCCCCGGCTCGCCGCCCGCGCCGCCGCCGCGCCTCAGCTTCAGATTCGGCCTCAGTCAGCCGCGCAGGGACGCGGAGCCCGGCGCCGAGCTCTGCGCTTGCGCTTGCCGGGCGGGCATGGACGGGCGAGAGGCGTTCTGCAAGCGCGAAATCGGTGAGCCCGGCCGCCGCGCCGCCGCCCCGCGAGCCTTTCCGAGTCCCGGAGAATCCTGCACGCGAGATCCCAGGGCGCCCGACCCATGCGGGCCGTTTCGCTGTTGCTAAAAACCAACGCCCAGGGACTGGGAGAGGAACTGGGGTTCCCAAACTGTTTTTTGGAAGCAGCGATGAACGGGATAGTGCATGACGTGGACGTGCTGGGCGCGGGCATCTGGCTGGTGACCCTGCTGGTGGATCGGGACGGGCTGTACAAGATGAACCGCCTGTACCTCACTCACCCCCGACGTCTTCTTCTTCCGAGTCCACATGTTAGTCCTGGACTCCTCCAGCTGCAATAAACCGTGTCCAGAGTTTAAACCTGGTATTGAAACTGAGCTGAATGACGCTGCATATGTACTTTATACCACCGTTTGTAACGTGGGTGCCACAGCCCGGGCTGTGGGTCGTCCAGTCTTTTTTTGGGACGGATGGGGGACAGTATTGTAACATGATTAGGATTTAGACGACAGGTATTATTTCCGCCACTGTGATTTAAGCACCGTCAGCCCCACCCCCACGGGTGAGAACGGCAGCTGTTGGCACAAAGCGGGCTGTCAATAAATAGATGTTGACAAATGGAGTGAGCGACCACCAAACACCATTGCCAGAAGGGACTGTACAGAACTGAGTTTAGAAAAGCTGCTTTTTTGGGGGAGTGTGTGGAGGGTTGGTAGCGGGGAATACCCACTCCCACATCTTTTTTTTTTTTTTTTTTTTTTTTTTAGACAGAGTCTCGCTCTGTTGCCCAGGCTGGAGTGCAATGGCGCCATCTCAGCTCACTGCAACCTCCGTCCCCCAGGTTCAAGCCATTCTCCTGCCCTCAGCCTCCCAAGTAGCTGGGATTACAGGCTGAGCCACTGCGCCCAGCCCCACTCCCACATCTTTCTAGGCATGTGCTCTGGGAAATCCTGATACAATGTGATAAGGACCTTTGTTCTGTAATGTGGGCTGGTTACGTATTGCTTTCCCTTCCCCACACCCCGTGCTACTTTTTGTATTTTTAGTACAGATGGGGTTTCACCATGTTGGCTAGGCTGGTCTCAAACTCCTGACCTCAAGTAATCTGCCCGCCTCGGCCTCCCAAAGTGCTAGGATTAAAGGCGTGAGCCACTGCACTGGCCTGGTTGGGTTGGTTATCTTCTAAAGGTCGCTAGACTGTTTCCACCTTGCCTGTAGACTAAATATCAGTTTCAACTTGTGCAGCAAGATAGTAGATTGCAGCTTAGGTATTTCTTAAAGGCCTTATATTTTCTGTTTCATGGCATTTAAAAGACGCTATGAATTAATGTTCTGGTTATTTTGTCCAGGCAGCAGGTATATTGTGATGGGCCACATCTACCATAAGAGAGGGCAGCTTCCTACAGCTCTGCTCCAGGTCCTGAGAGGCCATCTCTGTCCAGGGGATGGACTGCTGAGGAGCAGCAGCAGCTATGTGAAAAGGTTTAACCCAAAAAGGGAAGGGCAAATTCAAGGTGCAATTCATACCCAATGCATTTGAAACAACCATCCTGGCATTTCTGGATCACAAGAGACATCGGCAACAAGACATGAAAGGTCTATCTTCATGTAATGGGTCCTCCTTTAGAAGAGAGCCCAAAGCTACTCTATGAATGACCTGCATAGTTACAACTGTAATCTCGAAGGTGTCACTTTGTTATTTACAAGATGCTTCTTAAATGGGCTGCTCCTGAGCTCAGTGTCAAGGTGATTCAACTGTTGTGCCAGACAGTGATTTACACAGCTCAGATAACTGACCTGTCTAGTTAACAGATCACTGCTTCATGTTTTTAAATATTTTAATTTAATACATTCTTTAGTAGAAATAGTCCACAAAACATTTTCCTGAATTTAAATACACAACTTTTATATCATGTATCAAACCTGATTTTATATTCAAACCTGATTTATATTCAAAACTTATATGTGAAGATTAAATTCTTCACATAACAGTAAGCGCACTAGTCAAAAGACATTTACCTATGAAACGTCATTTAGATCAAACACAAGGGTCAAAGCCCAGGACAAGGATTAAAATTTTACACTTAAAAAGTACCAAGCCGGGCGCGGTGGCTCACACCTGTAATCCCAGCACTTTGAGAGGCCGAGGCGGGTGGATCACCTGAGGTCCGGAGTTCGAGACCAGGCTGACCAACATGGAAAAACCCTGTCTCTACTAAAAATACAAAAATTAGCCGGGTGTGGTGGCACATGCCTGTAATCCCAGCTGAGGGAGGCTGAGGCAGGAGAATCACTTGAACCCAGGAGGCAGAGGTTGTGGTGAGCCGAGATCGCGCCAGCCTGGGCAACAAGAGCAAAACTCCGTCTCAAAAACAAACAAAGTGTACAAAAGGGCCAGTGTGCGGATGGGTGGATTAAAAAAATAAATTTTAAAAAAGTGCCAAAGGGCTTACTTCAGGCAAAAGTGTTCCTGATGTACCAAAGAGTAAGATATAGTTTATTTTCATGCCTCCCTGCTCCTAATAATGTATGTTTTGTGCTGAACTGGCAGCTATCCCAATGTGAACTGTATTCTGAGTGTATCTGATATCATTTTTCTATTAAGACCAAGTATAATGTTTGCTTGTAAAGCAATAAATCTTGCTTTGAAATTAGACCTTGGATGCACCTGTTTATTTTTGTTTTGTTTTGTTTTAGCCTTTGAGCCCTAAAGGTTTGAGAAAAAGCCTTTCTCAAATTCATTCCCCAAACCTTGGAACCAATATTAACCAATGACAGCTCACAAGCAAGTGAATTCTAAACATTTTTCAGTTGGTTTTAAAAAGGTTTAATCACTAGCTAAATTAAATATTGATTTTATACCTGAGTCCACAAAGACATGAGAGTATTTTTTCAGAAGATAAGGCTGTACTTCAGTTTATAAGAAGTACGGTGAACAGAGACACCACTAATGCATAGATGAAGATGACTGCCTAAAGAGAGACAGGGGAAGGAATTTCACTGGAGAGAGAGCAGCCTATTTGGCCTCACGGTGATGCACTCAGGAAGGTCAGAATGTGTCCTGACGCTGTCCATGGCACCCAGTAGTAGCACTGTACACATAAAGGACATCCAGGACGGGACGCTAGGGAATCACAGGAGCCAAGAGGCAACAGCCTAACATTACAATACCTGATACTATTATTTGTTCCAATTATGGGGCAGACAGGTAATAAAGAGTTGAGAGGTTCTGAGTGTTCTATGGTAAAGCACTACTGAGAGATTTCTAGAGTATTTTCCAAAAATGAGTTTTGTCCAAATTTATTATAAATTTTACTAGAATTGCTTTTTGGGAGTCAGATGCATTATTGCATGATAGAATTATAGCTAATGAAGAGCTTCTGAGCTAGTTTTCTTTAAGATAAAAAAAATTAACTCAGGCATAACTCAGGCCAGTCAAATCAAAGTTGAATTTTTAAATGTCAAAAGGCTAGGCCGGGAGCTGTGACTCACACCTGTAATCCCAGCACTTTGGGAGACCAAGGCGGGTGGATCACAAGGTCAGGAGTTTGAGACCAGCCTGGCCAACATAGCGAAACTCTGTCTCTACTAAAAATACAAAAATTAGCTGGGCATGGTGGTGCATGCCTGTAATCCCAGCTATTGGGGGGCAGGAGGATCGCTTGAACCTAGTAGGCAGAGGTTGCAGTGAGCCGAGATCATGCCACTGCCCTCCAGCCTGGGCAACAGAGCGAGACTCTGTCTGAAACAACAACAAAAAGTATATCTATATGGCTAATTTCTTTAGTTGAATTTGGTTCAAATTGGATCAAGTGGTATAATCTTCTAAGAAAAGTCTTTTAGTATCTCACTCCAAGTATCTAGAAATACCTTAGAATGTTTCAAATTATTAAAAATACTTCTCGGTTGGCTCTTCCCTCCACCTCCTCAAGTACTTCATTATTTTATCCATGGAATATCCCCATTCTCACATTAAGGGCAAGAAATCTGAGACCTATGGTAATAGTTTCTTTTTTTTTTTTTTTTTTGAGAAGGAGTTTCGCTCTTGTTGCCTAGGCTGGAGTGTAATGGCATGATGTCAGCTCACCGCAACCTCTCCCTCCTGGGTTCAAGTGATTCTCCTGCTCTAGCCTCCCAAGTAGCTGGGATTACAGGCATGCGCCACTTTACCTAGCTAATTTTTTTTTTTTTTTTTTTTTGTATTTTTAGTAGAGATGGGGTTTCTCCATGTTTGTCAGGCTGGTTTCAAACTCCCAACCTCAGGTGATCCACCTGCCTTGGCCTCCCAAAGTGCTGGGATTATACGTGTGAGCCACCACGCCCAGCCGTATCATGATAGTTTCAATCAGGAAGAGTGAAAGCTGTAATAACCATGTAACTTTGTCTAACTAAGTGTGCAGAGATCTGAAAGTCCACCAGGTTGGCTCTTTAACATAAAGAAGTAGAGAGTTTGCCTAAAGGAATTAGCAGAAATAGGGAAATAACTTTTATTTGCAGATCCCAGGAAGGTAGATTACAAACAACAGCAAATCTTAGTGTCTCTAAATAACACTCTAGGCCATTTGGAATATAAAAAGGTAATTATTTTACTTCAGAAAATATCTCCAAAAGTTCACTTTTTTTTTGAGACAGAGTCTTGCTGTGTCGCTCAGGCTGGAGTGCAGTGGCACAATCTCAGCTCACTACAACCTCTGCCTCCCCAGTTCAAGCCATCCTCCCACCTCAGCCTCCTGAGTAGCTGGGACTACAGGTGTGTGCCACTTGTCCAGCTAAATTGTTGTATTTTTAGTAGAAACAGGGTTTCACCATGTTGGTCAGGCAGGTCTCTAACTCCTGACCTTGTGATCTGCCCGCTTCAGCCTCCCAGAGTGCTGGGATTATAGGCGTGAGCCACCATGCCCAGCCACAATTTTATTTAAACCTCCTGTAGAATTTGGATAGGAGAATAAAAGCTTTACCAATAGGAAAATACTTTTCATGAAATGGTTTCAAGGATTGTGAACTTGGCAGGTGAAGCATAACAGTTATTGAAAATACTTTTAGCCAAGGAAATCTACTGATGCAAATTAAATATATTTACAAGCCCAAGGCCTGTGGTAGAAACATCCTAAGAGTATCACAAATGTACAGTTTACTGCCTGGATTATTGAAAGCAAAATAGCTGTGTTATATAGATCTTAATAGCAGAAGCTTTCAAAGATTACTCACAGAAAAGCAGCTTTCAGAACTCATTATGTTCTAAAAAATGTATGTTTTTCTTTCTTTTTTATTTTTTTTGAGATGAAGTCTCACTCTTGTCCCCCAGGCTGGAGTGCAATGGCGTGATCACGGCTCACTGCAACCTCCGCCTCCCAGGTTCAAGTGATTCTCCTGCCTCAGCCTCCCTAGTAGCTGGGATTTCAGGTGCCTGCCACCATGCCTGGCTAATTTTTGTACTTTTAGTAGAGATGGGGTTTCACCATGTTGGCCAGGTTGGTCTCAAATTCCTGACCTCAGGTGATCCCCCCTGCCTCGGCCTCCCAAAGTGCTGGGGTTACAGGCGTGGGCCACCACACCTGGCCAGGAATGTGTGTTTTTCAAAAATTACTTTTGAAAGACTAAAGCCCTATAGTTGATAAAACTATAAAATGTCTTTATGTATTTGTATGGTGATAGAAACTGTAAAACACTTTATACCATTAAATACACATGAAATTAATATCTTCCTGGTCTCAGGATTTCCATAAAATTTACCCTTTTTAATTTGGCAATGCTAACAGCTACAGAAGACATATTACCACCAACCAACCGTTGCTTCATTAGAAACTGCACCAAATCCAATGTCAAAAACATTACTTTATTTTTCTAGTATGAAATGTCCTATTACATACAAAAGAATTGCTGTTTAGAATTTGCCACAATTTGTTGAAAACATAGCAATCTATTGCCTACAGGTAGGAAAGTTCTTGCTGCAACAAATTTTAAATGATTAAGCCCATATATATTTCTATATATATGAATAAATAGTGCAGAAATACTGTGACGTGATGAGATGCAGAATAATTTTATAATTCATTAAAATGTAGAATTCTTGCATCAGCACAGTGCATACAATATGTAACTTTTTTTAAAAAGTAAAAGGACAAAATAATCCATATTTAAGTATTTCCATCTTAATATTTTAAGCAAAAATGTTTTCATGTTTTCATATTGAGTGATTAGTCTCTTTAGTTTGTAAACATAGGTTTAAGTGACATCTTCATGTACAAAAAGGAATGGGCTTCATTAGATAAAATTAAGCCAGAATAACCTGTACACCTGAGCCTGTAATAAGAAAGAATTGGGAACTGTAGCAACATCTTTCTTTTAAGAAACCAAGGTCTGGGAAAGGTTTTGCATAGCAGGGAAACGTTGAAAGGAAGGAAACTTTTAAAAGCAATAATTAGATAAATTCCAGAAGTTGATAGGACAAAGCTAATATGAGTTAGAATAAAATCTAGTAGAATTTTTGCAAAGCTGCATAATCCAGCTATGGCAGATTTTATAGAAGCTATTACCACAATGCAGTAATACAATGTGTAAGAACATTGAAAGGAAGAACATGCAAAATACATCTTCCTCATTTTCTTCCTACTGCTTACACTACTTTTCCTTACATGGAAGAAACAAACAAACCAACAAGCAAAAAACAAACCCAATCAACAAATAACACAGAGGATGAGATCATCTAACAAAAAATGTCCTTCATACAATATAAGTAGCTGTCTGTAATTGGTAATTTGCCCAGTATCACAGAATGTACAGATGAAGGCAATGTGTATCTTGTCGCATTACCTTTTTCGTTAGTATGATCAACTGATGCGACAGGATTAGCACCCCTGAAGATTCTTCTCTGACGTGATGACAATTGACTGGGAATGATAAAACGAGGGGCCACTGCTGTCCAGGAGAATTCCAGGTACAATTAGATTCTTTTGCCTTTCATGACCTTGCAGCCCTCCCTCCCCACAGAGGCTTACAGATAATCATTAGCACACATTCAAAGACACCTCTGTCTGTGGGAGAAAAACTATCTCCATTTATTTTGTTTCACATACATCCATAGTTGAATTTTAATACAAAAAGAAAAATTAGAATCTGACAAATGTTTACAAAGAAGATACCTTCAAATAGATTTTACTCATTTCAACCTGGTGTGGAGTAATTGACAAATTGTACTGTTATATTCAAGTCACCAGAGTCTGTAGTCCAGGACCACTTAGCCCAACCTTTATGCAAGCTTGATTTTAATCTACCATGAACAATAAACTCATTGTTGATTCGCAGTTGTGTGTGTGTGCACATGTGTACATAGCAGCTCCTTTCATAGAAAGAAAAGACATCTAGAGGTTGTCTTGTACTTTTACGTACAGGAATCATTGATAAGATATGGATGGATTATATGTAACCGTGGCTGGATTTTATAAGAAAAAATAATTAGTTGACAAATGAGGGCAGCAATAAAAAAGCATCTTTTTTGCAACAATAAATAAATACAGTCAAAAGTTTTCTTTGAGACTCTAAACCAGCTTCTTCACTGAAGAGCAGACGTGGCATTTCCATGGAGTTATACTTGACCCCACAGTATCATTGTTTCTTGCTTTCTTTTTCTTTTTTTTTTTTAATAAACAAAATTTTCTCGCTTCTGCCACAATAATAAAACCATTTGATCTTGACAAGATAATGGTGTCGTTGACTTTTCTTTTTTCTTTTTCTTTTCTTCCTTTTTTTGTTTTTGAAACGGAGTTTTGTTCTTGTCACCCAGGCTGGAGTGCAATGGCTCAATCTCGGCTCAATACAACCTCTGCCTCCCGGGTTCCAGCGATTCTCCTGCCTCAGCCTCCCAAGTAGCTGGGATTACAGGCATAGGCCACCATGCACAGCTAATTTTGTATTTTTGGTAGAGACGGGGTTTCTCCATATTGGTCAGGCTGGTCTCGAACTCCCGACCTCAGATGATCCGCCCGCCTTGGCCTCCCAAAGTGCTGGGATTACAGGCGTGAGCCACCGCACCTGGCAACTTTGCTTTTTTCTTGTCCATTGGACAAAATTGGCCAATAATATAATTGGACTGTTATGACCAATAAAAACAAAGTTTAGGTCAAGTCTTGTCAGGATAGCCTCACTAAAAAGATCTGGCTCCTTAATTTAAAATAGTTCAGGCAACAAGATTCTTGCTGTGTTTTATGTTAGGTTAACATGCTGAACTTTAGGAAGCTGTAGACTGCAGTTTGTTGTTGTGAGACCTACAGAGTATAGAAAAAGGGAACAATTGAGCACCTTTCATTTTTGAAAATGATGCTTTATGCGGATGCCAAAGTAAATAAATCTGGAAGAAGCAGCCATGTTCTTTCATTCACCCTTGGCAAGCGAATAGAAAAGAACGATTAAGAAATTTTTAACCTATAATAATAAAACTTTTCACTGTACACTAAGCATAATAGCTCACTGGAAAAAGCCAATATTTAAAATATGTATGTATATATATTTGTCTAATAAAGATTACAACATTTTCAGGCAACTGGACAAATAGAGACATTTACAGAAGCATTACCATTGTGGTGAAAGGTGCGTGTGTGTGTGTATGTGTGTGTTTATTTACACGGATGAGGGGAATATAAAGGGAAAAATTATGCTAAAACAAAAGAAAAAGCAATTTTAAAATCATATTTTTCTATTAAAGTCCAGAAAGTCTCCCAGTTTCACACAGTTTTATTCACAATTTTTTTTTTTTTTGAGACGAAGTCTCGCTTTTGTCCCCAGGCTGTAGTGCAAAGGCGCGATCTTGGCTCACTGCAACCTCTGCCTCCCAGATTCAAGCGATTCTCCTGCCTCAGCCTCCCGAGTAGCTGGGATTACAGGTGCCTGCCACCACACCCGGCTAATTTTTGTACTTTTTGTAGAGACGAGGTTTCACCATGTTGGCCAGGCTGGTCGCAAACTCCTGACCTCAGGTGATCCGCCCGCCTCGGCCTCCCAAAGTGCTGGGATTACAAGTGTGAGCCACCAAGGCTGGCCTCACAACTTTTGTCAGTAAACCAAATTACTGTACAGTTACCAGGACTAAGTCAAAGGACTTTATATTGCAATAGCAGATAAATTTATATTGCAATAGCAGATAAATACAGTATTCCAATAGTTTACAATTTTTAAATACATTGTTTCACGTGGCTGCTAGAATAAATTTTTTACCACTATACATCGTTAACATTAAAAAATTATATTAGCTAACCTGACTTTTTGGGGGGCAATTTTGGATTACGTAATCACAAGGTACAATAAAACAGTGACCCCAACATCCAGTTCTGATTCCAGTTAAAAATTTAGACTAAAGATATCACAATCCGTAAGAAAAGAAAGAATATGGATGGTATAAATGATGAATTATAACAAAGTGCAGTAATGAAAACAATGTGCAAACAATGCTGGAGATCATAAATTACAATGGGAAAATATGGCAAAGGAAATTCTGGAAACCCATAATAAAATCAAGTTTCAATAACTGGCTAGTTATGTTTCATTCTACCTTAAATCTGGAAAGCAATAGAAATTCCCTAAAAATGCAACAGCAAGTTGTCTTTATACAATTCTTTGCATTGTAATTTTTTTCTTTTTTTCTTTTTTTTTTTTTTTTTGATTTGTTTGTTTTGAGACAGGGTCTCACTCTGTAGCCCAGTCTGGAGTGCAGTGGCACAATCATGGCTCACTGCAGCCTCAACCTCCAGGGCTCAGGTGATCCTCCTACCTCAGCCTCCTGGGTAGCTGGGACTACAGGCACGTGCCACCATGCTCAGCTAATTTTTTGTATTTTTTGTAGAGATGGGGTTTCCCCATGTTGCCCAGGCTGGTCTCAAACTCCTGGGCTCAAGTGAGCTGCCTGCCTTGGCTTCTCAAAGTGTTGAGATCACAGGTGTGAGCCACTGCACACAGCCTAATTTGTTTATTTAAGCAGAATTGAGCAAACGTCTCCATTCAGCTCCCATGTGCTTTATTGAAAATTATGTCAACTTCAGTATATTAAAAAGCTACATAAAATAACCAGGTGGCAAGAAGACATCCTAAGTGGCCCCTACACTATGCGGGCCCAGCCTAGGTCTCCTTTGCTCCTTTACCAAATTCCCTTTGTCTTGCCACAGGCCCCAGGACCTCCAAGCAACTTCCTCTCCTTCATCAGCAGTTGCCAGCAGTCATCCTCTGGGCTCTGCCAGCAAGTTGGCAGCAGGGTAGGATTCACACCCCTTGGCTTCTACCTCACAGTTACCACCAAAGGCCTTTCCAATTTAAAAAAGCAATTTTAGAAATTGAACCAGAGGAATAACCACCATGTACAAATCAAAAAGCATAGAGGGGCTTATAATGAGAAGTTGTGCTCCTCTGTCCTACCTTAACTCCCTCTGAAATCCAGGCTCCCTATGATCAATCCCCTTGACCTTTCAGTTCTCTGGGTAGATTTCTTTTCTTTTCTTTTCTTTCTTTCTTTCTTTTTTTTTTTTTGAGACAGAGTCTTGCTGTTGCCCAGGTTGGAGTGCAGTGGTGGGATCTCAGCTCACTGCAACCTCCTCCTCCTGGGTTCAAATGATTTTCCTGCCTCAGCCTCCCGAGTAGCTGGGATTACAGGTGCCCACCCTTACGCCTAGCTAATTTTTGTATTTTTAGTAGAGACAAGGTTTTACCATATTGGCCAGGCTGGTCTGGAACTCCTGACCTAACCGCCCACCTCAGCCTCCCAAAAGTGCTAGGATTACGGACATGAGCCACCATGCCTGGTCTGGGTAGATTTTTTTTCTTTTGAGATGGAGTCTCGTTCTTGTCGCCCAGGCTGAAGTGTAGTGGTGTGGTCTCCACTCACTGCAACCTCCGCCTCCCACGTTCAAGTGATTCTTCTGCCTCAGCCTCCAGAGTAGCTGGGACTTACAGGCGTGCACCACCATGCCTGGCTAATTTTTGTATTATTAGTGGAGATGGGGTTTCACCATGTTGGCCAGCTGGTCTCGAACTCCTGACCTCAGATGATCCACCCGCCTTGGCCTTCCCAAGTGCTGGGATTACAGGCATAAGCCACCATGCCCAGCCTGGGTAGCTTTCTTATACTGCTCTTTCTTGTTTTATCAACTTTCATTTAAGCCCTGTGATGGCAAATGAGAGCCAAGCTCACTTAACCATTTTCCCACCTCCATTTTTGAGTCCTAGTCTTTTTTGTTTTGTTTTGTTCTGTTTTGTTTTATTTTGTTTTTTTTTTGTTGTTGTTTTAAGATGGAGTCTTGCTCTGTCACCCAGGCTAGAGTGCAGTGGTGTGATCTCAGCTCACTGCAACCTCCACCTCCTGGGTTCAAGCGATTTTCCACCTCAGCCTCCTGAGTAGCTGGGATTACAGGCGCTCACCACTGCGACCGGCTAATTTTTGTATTTTTAGTAGAGATGAGGTTTCACCATCTTGGCCAGGCTGGTCTCAAACTCCTGACCTCGTGATACACCCGCCTCGGCCTCCCAAAGTGCTGAGATTACAGGTGTGGGCCACCGCACCTGGCTGAGTCCAAGTTTTATTTCCCTATAATTTAAAAATTATATCATTCCATGCTTTGTCTGTAGGCTGATTCTAAAAGTTGAAAACCAATGTCATTATTTTTATTTTTATTTTTTTTGACACGGAATTTTGCTCTTGTGGCCCAGGCTGGAGTGCAATGGCATGGTTTTGGCTCACTGCAACCTCTGCCTCCTGGGTTCAAGTGATTCTCCTGCCTCAGCCTCCTGAGTAGCTGGGATTACAGGTGCCTGCCACCACGCCTAGCTAATTTTTGTATTTTTAGTACAGATGGGCTTTCACCATGTTGGTCAGGCTGGTCTCGAACTCCTGATCTCAGGTGATCCACATGCCTTGGCCTCCCAAAGTGTTGGGATTATAGGCATAAGCCACTGTTCCTGGCCCAATGTCATTATTTACATTATTACGACAATGTAAATATTTTTCTCTATACCACCTAGTCCTTTGCTAATAAGGCATTCTTTTTTTTCTTTTTTTTTTTTTTTTTGAGACAGAGTCTCGCTCTGTCGCCTAGGCTGGAGTGCAGTGGCACAATCTTGGCTCACTGCAACCTCCACGTCTCAGGTTTGAGCAATTCACTTGCCTCAGCCTCCCAAGTAGCGAGGATTACAGGTGCCTACCACAATGCCTGGCTAATTTTTGTATTTTTAATAGAGACGAGGTTTTGCCATGTTGTCCAGGCTGGTCTTGAACTCCCGACCTCAGGTGATCCATCCACCTTGGCCCTCCAAAGTGCTGGGATTACAGGCATGAGCCACCGCACCTGGCCTTTTTTTTCTTTCTTTCTTTTTTTTTTTTTTTTTTTGAGATAGGGTCTTGTTGTGTCGTCCAGGCTGGAGTGTAGTTGCATGAACATGGCTCACTGCAGTATCTGTCTCCTGGGCTTAATCCTCCCACCTCAGCCTCTGGAGTAGCTGGGATCATGGGTGCACATCACCATGCCTGGCTAATTTTTGTATTTTGTAAAGATGGGGTTTCCTCATGTTGCCCGGGCTGGTCTAGAATTCCTGGGCTCAAGCATCCTCCTGCCTCAGCCTCTCAATGTGTTGGGATTACAGGCATGAACCACCATTCCCAGCCAACAGGCCCTCCTACACAACTTTTTGTTTTTAGTGGCGTTTCTAATTGCCTTTCATTTTTATCCCTGACATTCTTTGGCTTAATCATAGCCTTATGTTTTTCTGTCTTAAACAAATTATCTAATGCATGAGTCATTGTCTTGCCCTACTGACCCTCTGGGGAGTGCTCCATTCTCCTGCTAGGATTTGGATTGCTTACCGCACAGCCTGCTGTACAAATGTCACCTTGAGTCAGAGTAATTCTCATTGCTTTCCCTGAACCTCTTGTTTTCTGAACCCAAATAAATAAAAATGTCTGGCCAGGCGCGGTGGCTCACATCTGTAATCCCAGCACTTTGGGAGGCCAGGGCAGGTGGATCACTTGCCTTGAGACCAGCTTGGCCAACATGGCAAAACCCCATCCCTACTAAAAACACAAAAATTAGCCAGGTGTGGTGGCAGGCGCCTGTAATCCCAGCTACTTGGGAGGCTGAGGCAGGAGAATCGCTTGAACGCGGGAAGCGGAGGTTGCAGTGAGGTGAGATTGCACCACTGCACTCCAGCCTGGGCAACAGAGTGAGACTCTGTCTCAAAAACACAAAACAACAGAAAAATTTCTAGCCCAGTGCAGTGGCTCACGGCTGTAATCCCAGCACTCTGGGAGGCCAAGGTTGGCGGGAGGATCGCTTGAGCTCAGTTCAAGACTAGCTTGGGTCATATAGCAAGACCCTGTCCCTAATTAAAAATATATATTATTAAAAAGAAAAAAATTTGTTTCCTTATTTTTGATAGCACACTTTTTTTTTTTTTTTTTTTTCCTGAGCAGAGTCTCACTCTGACACCCAGGCTGGAGTGCAGTGGTGTGATCTTGGCTCATTGCAGCCTCTGCCTCCCTGTTTCAAGTGATTCTCATGCCTCAGCCTCCTGTGTGGCTGGGACTACAGGCATGCGCCACTATGCCCGCCTAAGTATTGTATTTTTAGTAGGGACGAGGTTTTGCCATGTTGGCCAGGATGGTCTCGAAATGCTGACCTCAAATGTTCCATCCGTCTTTGCCTTCCAAAGTGCTAGGATTACAGGCATAAGCCATTTCGTGTCTGGCCAATAGCACACGCTTTTAAAAAATACCTGCCAAGAAAGGGTACCCTGAGTCCTTACATGACTGAAAATGTATTTATTCTGACTTTACTTGACTGTTTGGCTGCACATAGACTTCTAGGTTGAAAATCATTTTTTCTTAAACTTTTAGATTTATTCTTCCATAATCTTCTAGCACTAAATGTTGTAGCGGAAAAATCTGACACCAATCTAATTCTTGTTTTATAGATTGTCTGTTTTATCTAAAAGTTTCTTTTATTCTTAATGTTTGGAAATTTTATAGTGATGTATGTAGGAGTGAGTCTTTTTCCATTTGTCCACCTGGCTTATAATGTTTATCAACTGACCCCTTGCTCCCCCCACCCCTCATAGAGTGCAGGGGCTTTAATTTATTCACTGCTAAATTCCCTGTATCTGGCACACATCAGGTTCTCAATAGTCATTTGCTGAGTGAATGAATTTATTCTGCTAGAATTTAAAGTCCCGTGACTCGCATCAGCTCAGAAAATTTTTCTTTTATTCTTGTCTTTTTTTTTTGAGACAGGGTCTCAATCTGTGATTCAGGCTGGAGAGCGGTGGTGTAATCACAGCTCACTGCAGCCTTGAACTCCTGGGCACAAGTGATCACAGCTCACTGCAGCCTTGAACTCCTGGGCACAAGTGATCTTCCTGTCATAGCCTCCTGAGTAGCTAGGACTACAGGTGCACGCCACTATGCCTGGTTAATTTTTAAAATTTTTGTAGAGACATGGTCTTGTTATGTTGGTAAGGTTGGGAATTTTTTCTTCTTCTTTTGTGAGAGTCTCACTGTCACCCAGGCTGGAGTGCAGTGGTGTGATCTTGGCACACTGCAACCTCTGCCTCCTGAGTTCAAGCAATTCTCGTGCCTCAGCCACCTGAGTAGCTGGGATTACAGGTGTGCATCACCACACCTGGCTAATTTTTGTATTTTTAGTAGAGATGGGGTTTTGCCATGTTGGCCAGGCTGGTCTCAAACTCCTGACCTCAGGTGATCCACCCGCCTCGGCCTCCCAAAGTGCTGGGATTACAGGCATGAGCCATCACGCCTAGCCTAGTTTTACAGATTTTGTAGTTTCTTGTTTTTGGTCTATAACCTGCTGCCTACTTTTCTTGCTTCCTTGCCTATATATATATTCATTTATTTTTTAATTCCTTTGCTGAGAATAAAAATTGGATACTTTAGCTGGGCTTGTCCTTCAGTTTTTTTGTTTTTGTTTTTGTTTTTTTTTGAGACGGAGTCTCGCTCTGTCTCCCAGGCTGGAGTGCAGTGGCGCAATCTCGGCTCACTGCAAGCTCTGTCTCCCGGGTTCATGCCATTCTCCTGCCTCAGCCTCCCGAGTAGCTGGGACTACAGGCGTCTGCCACCACGCCCGCCTAATTTTTTGTTATTTTTAGTAGAGACGGGGTTTCACCGTGTTAGCCAGGATGGTCTCGATCTCCTGACTTCGTGATCCGCCCCACTCGGCCTCCCAAAGTGCTGGGATTACAGGCGTGATCCACCGCACCTGGCCTCAGTTTTTTGTTTGTTTTTTTTTTTTAAACAGGCAAGTTCTTGCTGTGTCACCCAGGCTGGGGTGGAGTGGCTCGATCATAGTTCACTGCAGCCTCAAACTCCTGTACTCAAGTGATTCTCCTGCCTCAGCCTCCCAAGTAGCTGGGACTATAGGCACTCATCACCAAGCCTGGTTAATTTTTTTTTTTTTTTTTGGTAGTAGAGACAAGGTCTCATACTGTGGCCCAGGCTGGTCTTGAACTCCTGGCTTCAAGCTATTCTCCCCACTCGGCTTCCCAAAGTACTGGGATTACAGGCATAAGTCACCTTGCCTGGCCTTTCACTTTTATTTTAGGTAAACTGCTTTTAAAATACCCTCTTAGAAACCATCTTCCTTGCTACAGAAGAGAGAAAGCACCCCGTGGCTTTTCCTCAAAGGAAGATCACTGTGGGGGCTGGGCGCGGTGGCTCATGCCTGTTATCCCAGCATTTTGGGAGGCCGAAGCGAGCGGATCACCTGAGGTCAGGAGTTTGAGACCATCCTGGCCAACACAGTGAAACCTCATCTCTACTAAAACTACCAAAATTAGTCGGGTGTGATGGCACGTGCCTGTAGTCCCAACTACGCGGGAGGCTGAGGCAGGAGAATCGCTTGAACCTGGGAGGCAGAGGTTGTATTGAGGTGAGATCACACCACTGCACTCCAGCCTGGCAACAGGGTGAGACTCCATCTCAAAAAAATAAAATAAAATAACCGAGTATGCACAATTCAACTGTAATAGATACTATCAATTTACCCTCCAAAGTGACCATACCAATTTATACCCCCACCAGCCTTGCTAAAAGTATTCTAAGATATTAATTTTATGGTTAATAAAATATACACTGAGACTTCTGAAAAAACTTCAAATTCAACTCATGTGTACCCACAGGTTCCTTAATAACACCATAATAATCTGGTGCATCATTAGGGTCTACTGGTTCAAGGAAAGGCTGGGCCATCTTATGGGCCTATAATGAAAAAGTAGGCATTCTTATTGTCAGTGAAAACACTAATTCCATTTAAGATTCCCAGTTGAGTCACTACATCAATGAACCCAAAAGTCAGTTTTAAATGCGATACATGAAATACTTTATATTAGGTGATTTCTGCTCTAGTAATAAGTTACCTAAGATGAGCTTCCTCTGCAATAATGGTACTCAAAGCTTGGTCGGAAGACCTTGGTGTGGTGAAGGGGTGGGTTGCCCCTCCACACCTGTGGGTGTTTCTCGTTAAGTGGAACGAGAGACTTGGAAAAGAAAAAGACACAGAGACAAAGTACAGACAAAGAAATAAGGGGGCCCAGGGTACCTGCGTTCAGCATATGGAGGATGCTGCCGGCCTCTGAGTTCCCTTCATATTTATTGATCATTCTTGGGTGTTTCTCGGAGAGGGGGATGTGTCAGGGTCATAGGATAATAGTGGAGAGAAGGTCAGCAGATAAACACATGAACAAAGGTCTCTGCATCATAGACAAGGTAAAGAATTAAGTGCTGTGCTTTAGATACACATACACATAAACATCTCAATGCCTTACAAAGCAGTATGGCTGCCCGCGTGTCCCACCTCCAGCCCTAAGGCGGTTTTTCCCTATCTCAGTAGATGGAACATACAATCGGGTTTTATACCGAGACATTCCATTGCCCAGGGACGGGCAGGAGACAGATGCCTTCCTCTTGTCTCAACTGCAAAGAGGCATTCCTTCCTCTTATACTAATCCTCCTCAGCACAGACCCTTTAAGGGTGTCAGGCTGGGGGACGGTCAGGTCTTTCCCTTCCCACGAGGCCATATTTCAGACTATCACATGGGGAGAAACCTTGGACAATACCTGGCTTTCCTAGGCAGAGGTCCCTGCGGCCTTCCGCAGTGTTTGTGTCCCTGGGCACTTGACATTAGGGAGTGGTGATGACTCTTAAGGAGCATGCTGCCTTCAAGCATCTGTTTAACAAAGCACATCTTGCACAGCCCTTAATTCATTTAACCCTGAGTTGACACAGCACATGTCTCAGAGAGCACGGGGTTGGGGGTAAGGTTATAAATTAACAGCATCTCAAGGCAGAAGAACTTTTCTTAGTACAGAACAAAATGGAGTCTCCTATGTCTACTTCTTTCTACACAGACACAGCAACAATCTGATCTCTCTTTCTTTTCCCCACAGTGTGGGGGGTGGAACACAAGCTTAGAAGTCACAAAATCAGTATTCTGGGCCCTACATGATGAGCTGTCACTGAGTGATGCTGGCATTGCAACTGCTTCTGTAACAGGTGGGATGGGTTCAAAGTGTGGAATCATTACCACAGCTGATTAATGATGAGGTGGCAGAGATGTGATGTTAGATAACATTCAACCACACATTGAGACTACGATTCCCTTTTTAGTTTCTTCAATTCTTGTGATTATGATAAAAATAGAAGAAAGTTTCAATCCAATGCACTATATCCTTTTATTTCCCCCCATTGTTTTGAGACAGGGTCTCGCTCTGTCATCCAGGCTGGAGTGGAGTGGCACGATCATAGCTCACTGTAGCCTCCTGTGCTCAAGTGATCCTCTCACCTCAGCCTCCCAAGTAGCTGGATAAACAAGTGTGTGCCAACATGCCCAGCTAATTTTTTATTTTTATTTTTTGTAGAGATGGGGTCTCACTTTGTTGCCCAGATTGGTCTCTAACTAATTGACTCAAGTGATCCTCCTGCCTTGGCCTCCCAAAGTGCTGGGATTATAGGTGTGAGCAACCACACTGGCCTTCTGTGTCTTCAATACACCTGTATCACTTGCTAATCCTGCAAACCATACCTATCCTGGTTTTCTTTTCTTTCCTTTTTTTTTTTTTTTTTGAGACAGAGTCTCACACTGTCACCCGAGCTGGAGTGCCATGGCTCGATCTTGGCTCACTGCAACCTCTGCTTCCTGTGTTCAAGCGATTCTCCTGCCTCAGCCTCCCTAGTAGCTGGGATTACAGGCTCACGCCACCACACCCGACTAGTTTTTTGTATTTTTAGTAGAGACGGGGTTTCACCATGTTGGCCAGTCTGGTCTCAAACTCCTGACCTCATGATTTGCCCACCTCAGCCCCCACAAAGTGCTGGGATTACAGGTGTGAGCCCCCGTACCCAGCCACCTTTCTGTCTTTCATAAGGAAAATAATAACTATAATCTAATCATACTGTTTCTCAATCCATGGGAGTGAGAGGAAGTTTCTTTAAAAATAAAATGTATAAAGAAGTGAGTCACGTTAGATTATCTGAGTGTTAGATAAGCTGAGGTGGTGTGGGGATATGGTAAAGCTCATGACACTGGTATGTGAAGGACTGAAGTTTGTCAAGCCCTTCACTAGACTAGCTGAGAGTCAGTAAATAATCACTCTAAGATTGGAAACTTGAAATCCTAACATTGGAAACTTGAAATCCTAGAAATGCTTCCAAAATTATGCCAGCTGATTTCATTTTCAAATGCTGCACACAGAGGGGCTCTCATCTGTAAGGAACGGAGCACCCTCTTCAACTCCTCATCATCCTTCTCTGTTAGTGGTGTGAGCACTGTCATGACATCCTCTGTTGACTGGCACTGTGGACAGACATACTCATCAATGAGCTCTGCCTCACTCTGCAAGATGCCAATGCAGCACCCATGGTACCAATTCTGACACCGATCATGGCCAATAAAAAATCTGCAAGATCCGAAATGGAAATGTGAGTTCAAAACAGATGGGATGATGTTACTTATAATAAAGCATGCACCTGAAAATTTGCTAAACCCTGGGATATAAAATAGTTTTAGTATTGTGGTTTTAATACTTTCAAGATCGACATTCCAGTACATTAATTTAGTATTTTTGATGTTAAGAACAAGCAGTAAAAAAATTTATAAGAACACTGTAATTTTGGAGAACCAATTTAAAGATAAATATGAAACATTCAATTGATTTTAAAGCTGAAAACAAGTCACAAATCTTTCAACTAGTACTGTACCATGTGGGAGTTCAAAATCCTATAAGGTAATAACAGAGTCTCAAAGCTTATACCCAAATTAGTGTTTTTCTAACCTATAATAAAGCACCATTTCAAACACTGATAAAGTCCAAACAAGTCAAGCTAGTTTAATCTCATTAATTTCTATGTTACATATTGAAGAATCAAATCTACCATTAAACCACATTTTCCCCAATGTGTCTCAAACATTCACTATGAAGCAAGATAAATTTTGAAGGGTAGGTAAAAAGGGAAAAAGAGAAAAAAAAATGAAAAGGAATTTGTAATGTAAGTGTATAACAAATGTAGAAAAAATCTGCTTTTTATTTTAAAGTAAATAAGTAACCAGTCAGAGCAATTTGGCTTCCTAAATTATTAAATGTGATGCTCTTATTAGAACTCACTGTGACTGCAGGTGTTCTGCAGATACAGTACAATTCCTCACTGCTGCCCTCTTGTGCCCATTTACAATCATTACAGATGTACACATCCATTTTCTTAGCCTCCTTTTCTGCGATGCCAACACATTCTCCATAATAGCAGTTAGTACAAAGATCACAGCCAATATAGAACCTAGAAGTATTCACAACGAAAATGACAATGTAATTGTCGTTTTGAGCTGCATGGTACTTAAATCTGTCTTCCCTGCCTTGCTTCATTTTTTTACAGGATAACTTCCTGCTATGAGTCAGCTAAACATTCCTGAATCCAACCATTCTACCCCTGGCAAACTCCAGTATCTGATGCTCTATCACATGTGCAAACAAAGTCACTCACATGGGTTTCAACAAGTACACTGCTTAGTGAAATATGGGTCTTTAAAAACATACTGGAATTTGAAAAAATAAACCACACACTGATGGTAATGTCTTCCTCTGAATGAATGTGTGCAAAACTGTAACAGGCACAAAAACCAAAGCCAAAGAATCAAAGACTTACACCTGTCAAACCTATTCCACAGAAGCCATTTCAATATCAGGGCTATTTCTTAGATAGGTTTAAAAATGTATCTCACAATTTAAATTTGAAAACAAAGCAAAGCGCAAACACCAAGTAGAAGTTACACTACAAGGACCATGCAGGTCAGCCAGGTGTAGAAGATAAACGGTCAAAATATGCTAAGAAGAAGAAAACTAAGAAAGGTACATAGAGCAATTCAATCTCTACCAGGTTTTCTGAATAAACATTGGAATTTAATCGAATTAAAAATAATTTCTCATAATGGAATATGGCATGGGCCACTTTTTCAGTTAATATAATGTTTGTGACAATGTGGGCAGTGGCCTGGCTAGTTAACGGGTAGGGAACGTGGAAGGAGCTGCTTCAGTTCAACATCGGGGACATGGTATGGGGAAGGATGCAAAGATAGTTATCCAGAATCTGTCTACACTGCTTGGCAGGGTCTACACTGCTTGGCAAGGCGGAGCTGTGTAAGTGTGTGATTGTGGAGTGCACAGTGGCCTCTGTAATAAAAGACGTAATGACAAAAGAAAAAGTAAATGTAACAAACGCTTATACAGTGTGTCTACAAGTGTTGATAGGCACAGTGTAGGAACATCATGTCAAAGTCATAGTGAGAATTACCATGAATCACAGGGAAGCAGGCTGGCTTTGCCGATACCATTGGCACTCCTAGCTCTACCAAGGCATTTCTTGGTAGATTCACCTAGAGGAATGGAAGTCGTCCTCAAGCTTCAAATTGACCTGCTTCATGAATGTGAAGGAATAATACATGGCTATGTAGTTTATCCTGTTACCACTAACTTTTTTCTTTTGTCTCGCTGTATAACCCAGGCTGCAGGGCAGGGGCAGGATCACGGCCCCCTGCAGCCTGGACCTCCCAGGCTCACATGATCCTCCCACCTCAGCCTCCCGAGTAGCTGGGACTACAGATGTGCACCACCAGGCCCGGCTTTTTTTTTTTTTTTTTTTTTTTGACGGAGCCTTGCTCTGTCTCCCAGGCTGGAGTACAGTGGCATGATCTCGGCTCACTGCAACCTCTGTCTCCTGGCTTCAAGCAATTCTCTTGCCTCAGCTTCCCAAGTAGCTGGGATTACAGGTGTGTGCCACCACATCTGGCTAATTTTTGCATTTTTGGTTGTGCCACGTTGGCCAGGCTGGTCTCAAACTCCTGACTTCAGGCGATCCACCTGCCTTGGCCTCCCAAAGTCCTGAGATTACAGGTGTGAGCCACAGGGCCCAGCCTCTTTTCATATTTTTTAAAAAAAGTTTTAATGAGCAGTGAGGACGACCAGAGGTCACTTTCGTCACCATCTTGGTTTTGGTCGGCTTCTTTACTGCATCTTGTTTTTTCTTTTTTTTTTTTTTTGAGACTGGGTCTCACTCTGTCACCCAGGTTAGAGTGCAGTGGCACAATCTCGGCTCAGTGTACCCTGCACCTCCCAGGCTCAAGTGATCCTCCCACCTCAGCCTCCCAAGTACCTAGGACCACAGGCACGTGCCACCAAGCTCAGCTAATTTTTTGTATTTTTGTTAGAGACAGGGTTTCACCATGTTGGCCAGGCTAGCCTTGAACTCCTGACCTCAGGTGACCCATCTCAGCCTCCCAAAGTGCTGGGATTACAAGCGTGAGTCTCTGTGTCTGGCCAACATACTATTGTCTCAATATGCATTTTGCCATACTTTTTAAGTGCATCTCTTCTGCTATCCTGTAGTACAACTTACTCTTGGAAATGATCAAAGCAAACTATATTACCCTAGGGACAAACCCATTGTGATTGGCATCCACGAACAAATTTGGTGTAAAGAAATCATATCTATGACCAAGAGGGTTTCTTTCTTATTTGGAGATAAGAGTCTCACTTTGTCACCCTGCCTGGACTGCAGTGACATAAACACGGCTTGCTATAGCCTTGACCTGCCAGGCTCAAGTGATCCTCCTGCCTCAACCCCTTCAAATAGCTACAGGTGCTCACCACCATGCCCAGCTACTTTTTTTTTTGTAGAGATGGAGTCTTGCTGTGTTGCCCAGGTAACTTACCTCCTGAGCTCAAGTGATCTGCCTGCCTTTGCCTCCCAAAGTGCTGGGATGACAGTTATGAGCCACTTGTACCCAGCCATAAGAATATTTCTTAAAATCTGACTTAAAATTTTTTTAAAAAATTCTTTTAGAGATAGGGTTTCACCATGTTGGCTAGGCTGGTCTCGAACTCCTGACCTCAGGTGGTCTGCCCACCTTGGCCTCCCAAAGTGCTTGGATTACAAGTGTGAGCCACTGTGCCCAGCCAAAATCTGACACATTTATAAATTTCTACAATAATTTTAAATACCAAAAATATTCCCAAAACGTTTCATCATGATTATTTTTCTTCCTAAATCTTATAGTCTCTCAGAAAAATAACTTAGCCCACGTTTCCTTTAAAGAGTTTTTAATTTTTTTAATGAAGGGCCGAATTAATTTTATTTTTCCTTCTTTGAAAAAATTCATCCAGCACACTGGCTCACACCTGTAATCCCAGCAGTTTGGGAGGCCGAGGGCGGAAGATCACTTGCGTCCAGGAGCTCAAGAGCAGCCTGGCCACATGGTGAAACCCCATCTCTACTAAAAATACAAAAATGAGCCAGGTGTGGTGGCGCATGCCTGTAGTGCCAACTACTTGGAAGGCTGAGGTTGGAGGCTCCTTTAAGCCTGAGAGGTGAAGACTTCAGTGAGCTGTGATGGCACCACTGTGCTGCAATGTAGATGACAAAGTGAGACCCTGTCTTAAAACAAAACAAAACAAAACTTTTTTTTGGAGACAGGGCCTCACTTGATCGCCCCGGCTAGAGTACAGTGGTGCTATCATGGCTCACTGCAGGGTCGACCTCCTGGGGTCAAGCAGTCCCCTGGCCTCAGCCTCGCCAAGTAGCTGAGACTACAGGTGTGCATCACAACACCCAGCAAATTCCTTTTTGTAGAAACAGGGTTTTGCCATGTTGCCCAGGCTGGTCTCAAAATCCTGGCCTCAAGTGATCCACCCACCTCAGCCTTTTAGAATGCTGGGATTACAGGCTGTGAGCCACAACTCTCTTGGCCTATAAATGATAATTTAAGTGAATCTCTGAAGCTACAGTTTTTTGTTTCGAGATGGAGTCTCGCTCTGTCGTGCAGTGGCATGATCTCGGCTCACTGCAACCTCCGCCTTCTGGGTTCAAGTGATTCTCCTCCCTCAGCCTCCCAGGCAGCTGGGATTACAGGTGCCTGCCACCATGCCTGGCTAATTTTTGCATTTTTAGTACAGACGGGGTTTCGCCCTGTTAGCCAGGCTGGTCTCGAACTCCTGACCTCAAGTGATCGTTTCACCTCAGCCTCCCAAAGTGCTGGGATTATAGGCATGAGCCATTGCGCCCAGCCTCTGAAGCTATAGTTTTATAGATTCTAAAGCAGAGACTTCATATAGATGTCTATGAAAAGCCAAAAACAAACAAAAAACCCACAGGAAAACCTGATTCCCCACGCCAAAATTTCAAGGATTTGCCTAAAGGTAAGGTCCATCTGTACCTGAAATAAGTTTGCTGTGCCTCTTTTTCTGCAGGGTAACCCAGCCCTATGCACCAATCATTACATGACTACCTCAGGAAGCTTTTAAATATATCACAAATATTTTACCAAATAAACCTGAATGGCCCTGGTTTAATGAATCTGCTTCTCTGTCTATAGACTATCTAGTCTCATAAAGTCAAAAGAGAAGCAATGTGACAAATTATTCAACAGCCCTTCTCTATTTATAGAGAGAGACTGAACTTCTTCTTTGGTTAGAAAGAAAACCTTGAGTTTCATTTCCTAGTTCATATATTTTTATAACATCGTGGGACGGATTTTGGGAGAACCAAGATGGTATAGCGGGTGCACACTTTGATCCTCCCTCTCCCTTCAAGAACATACAAGTGAGAGTAAAATATAAAAAAGAGAAATTGAAAAGACATAGTCATGCTTAAATAAGTTACAACAATCTCAATGGAACAGACACAAAACTGTGAGCAGGACTAAAACTGCAGGCCTTCTAGACTCCAGATGCAGAAGGAGGAAGTGGTGGCTGAACACTAACAGTAAGAGTTTCTCGGGGGTAAGGGAGGCTAACATGCTGTGTGTGAGGCAGTGATAGGCTCCCTGCTGGAAGTTAAGGGTTGACTGGGCTACACTGGGCTTCAGGAGAGAAGAAAACAACACTCCTCTCACTCAAAATAAGCTTGCAAAATTCAAATGTTTGAAAATGAAAATGTGTAATATGAAAAAAAGACAACCAGGGCCCATACGGTGGCTCATGCCTATAATCCCAGCACTTTGGGAAGTCGAGGAAGGAGGATCACTTGCTTGAGCCCGGGAGTTTGAGACCAGCCTGGGCAACATGGCAAAACCTTGTCTCTACAAAAAAACAATGACAACAACAATAACAACAAAAAACACCCCAAAATTAGCCAGAGATGGTGGCATGGCACGCGCCTGTAGTCCCAGATACTTGGGAACCTGAGGCGGAAGGACTTACTGATCTGGGTAGGGGGAGGCTGCGATGGGGTGTGATTGCACCGCTGCACTCCAGCCTAGGAAAAAGAATAAGGCCCTGCTTCTCAAAAAGCAAAAAAAAAAAAAAAAAAGCCAATAAAATCAATGGTCTAATCTGAATTCACTCCAAATGAAATTATAGAGCAATTTGACAGGCCAGGCCCAGTGGCTCACACCTGCAATCCCAGCACTTTGAGAGGCTGAGGAGGGAGGATCACTTGAGGTCAGGAGTTCAAGACCAGCTTGGCTAACATGGTGAAACCCCGTCTCTACTAAAAATACAAAAATTGGCTGGGTGTGGTGGTGGGCACCTGTAATCCCAGCTACTTGGGAAACTGAGGCATGAAAACCACTTGAACCCAGGAGGCGGAGGTTGCAGTGAGCCGAGATCATGCCACTGCATTCCAGCCTGGGTGACAGAGCAAGACACTCTCTCGAGGAAAAAAAAAAAAAAGAAAAGGAAAACAACTCAAGGGTTGGATAACATTGCCAGTATAACCATAATTCAAAACAAGCAGCAGAATTTGGAGGATAATTTGTTTCATTCTCAGGAAAATGTGAAACTCTGAAACTGCTTTTTGAGTGCAGGGTATTTCCGGGGCTTTTCCTAAAGTCTTAACCCTTGGCTCTGACCCCTTATTTGAAGTTTGGAGAGCAGAACCGAGGATTGTATTACTACAGTTGTGGACACAGGAGAGGGGTTAGTCTCCCCCCGCTCCAGGAGTAAGGGATGCTGGGCTGCTCGAACACAGGCCTTGTTAGAACTCCCTTCAAACAGGATCCCAGAGATGTGGGGAGAAGGTAACTGGCCTTAAGAATGATTGCGCTACAGCTTTCGAAAACTATAATGCCTTTCAAATATGGCTTATTGCTTGGATCTCAATATCTCCCACGTATCTTGGGTGGAATATTTTGCCGAAGATCTTTCTGTCAATCATTTACAATCATGTGCTGCAAAATGAAGTTTGGGTCAACAGTAGACCACATATATGATGGTGGTTCTGTAAGCGTATAATGGAGCTATCCCTATATAGGTATACCATTTTTATCTTTTTTTTTTTTTTTTTTTTTTTTTTGAGATGGAGTCTCGCTCTGTTGTCCAGGCTGGAGTGCAGTGGTATGATCCCAGCTCATTGCAACCTCCACCTCCCAGGTTCAAGTGATTCTCCTACCTCAGCCTCCTGAGTAGCTGGGATTATAGACACGCGTCACCACACTCAGCTAATTTTTGTATTTTTAGTAGAGATGGGGTTTCATCATGTTGGCCAGGCTGGTCTTGAACTCCTGAGCTCAAGTGATCCACCCACCTTGGCGTCCCAAAGTGCTGGGATTACAGGCATGAGCCACTGTGCCCAGGCCCCATTTTTATCTTTTACACAGTATTTTAACTATATATTTTCCATGTTTACATACACAAATACCTGCCATTCTGTGACAGTTGCCTTTAGTATTCAGTACAGTAACATACAGTACAGGTTTGTAGCCTAGGAGTCCTAAGCCATACCGTGTACCCTAGGTATGGTGGCTACACCACCTAGGTTTGTGTAAGTATACGCTATGATATTAGCACAATGGTGAAATCACCTAGTGACACATTTCTCAAGCTCCTCACGTGGCAAGCAATGCATGACTGCATATGAAAGCTCTTAAATAGAGATTGTTTCTAAATTAATCTCAAAACAGTCATTATTTACTATTTATGGAATTTTTTTTAAAAAAAGGAGCAAAAGTATCATTTCAGTGGGAACTTAACTTGGGGCTACAGTGTTTTATTTAACTTTTACCCCAAAGTTGCAAAGTGTTTTGAAATTTTTCCCTGTAAAATAATTATTTTAATTCAATTTAAATAAAACCCACCAAGGAGACTTCAAGCTTTAAGAAGTCTAGCTTCCTGTGAAATGTGAGAGGAAGTCAGCACTCATTTCAGAAATCTGATTATAACGATAGCTCCATCCCTAAATGAGGTGAATCTTGGACTCTCTTCCATTTTATTTTATTTTATTTTTTTGAGATGGAGTTTCTCTCTTGTTGCCCAGGCTGAAGTGCAATGTTGCGATCTCGGCTCACTGCAACCTCTGCCTCCCAGGTTCAAGTGATTCTCCTGCTTTGGCCTCCTGAGTAGCTGGGATTGCAGGTATGCACCACCACACCTGGCTAATTTTGTATTTTTAGTAGAGACGGAGTTTCACCATGTTGGTCAGGCTGGTCTCGAACTTCTGACCTCAGTGATCCCCCCACCTCGGCCTCCCAAAGTTCTGGGATTATGGGTGTGAGCCACCACACCCGGCCCCCCTTCAATTTTAAAGCCATCACTATGCACCCTATGTCTATGCCAAGCACTAAAATAAGATGAAGCACCTTCTTGGAGTTTACATGCTGGTAATTATGCCAGACAGTAATAAAATAGGTAAGAACGGCTGTGGGGGAAGTCAGCTGGGTTCTAGTTACAGTCGCATTTCAGGAAATGATTTAACATGCTGACTTTAACAACCTAAGCCTCTTCTCCATGTGTGCACACAGGGTAGATCTCTGAACACAGGTGACCCTAGAAGTGCTGTAACTTCTAGGGGAATGGCTGTGTTGAGTCAAGGCAGGATGACAGTTCAGCCTCCTCCCAGGCTAGTGCAAAGGGCTCTTCACTCGGATTAAAACCTTCTCTCCCAGACCGAATTGCCAACTCCCAACACCCCTCCTACAGAAAATTTGGAGTCCTCGCTTATTCCCTGGCAGCCCCTACCTAATAGGGTGGTGAATTAATTATCAAACATGCGACAGTTTAGCGAAAATGGCAACACTTTGGAATAAGTGACTGTAATGTGCATCCTGGCGCCCATTTTGCAGGTCAGTTGCTCTCCCTGGAAGGAAGAGTGTTCTCGGATTTCACCTTAAAGGAGGAAGGCTGCCAGAACTGAACTAGCACTTCTGAATATCCTGAGGCGAGGTCCGGTGACTTCCTTGGGAAGCTCTGCCGCGCCCCCACCCCACCCTACCCCACCCTACCCCACCACAGCAGGCGCTGGAGTCCTGGGACCACCAGGGTCTGAGGCCCAAATCCTTCCTCACTAAGGGGAGGAGAGGGGTGTTCCGGCAGGGCAGGATGGGAAGGCGTGCTTGGGCGGGATTGTGACATAAGAGTGCCCTGGTGACATGGAGCAGATCTGTGACATAAATAAAGGTGTCATAAAGACAGGGCGGGGCTCACGCTTAGAAGGGGCACGAGCGTCTCGGAGCTGCCAGAATGTCTTCTGCTCAGTGCCCGGCACTAGTGTGTGTCATGTCCCGGCTGCGTTTCTGGGGCCCATGGCCCCTCCTTATGTGGCAACTATTGTGGCTACTAGTCAAGGAGGCTCAGCCTCTGGAGTGGGTCAAGGACCCGCTCCAGCTCACCTCTAATCCCCTGGGGCCGCCTGAGTCCTGGTCTTCCCACTCCTCCCATTTCCCACGGGAATCTCCCCATGCGCCTACTCTCCCAGCAGACCCGTGGGACTTTGATCACCTGGGGCCCTCTGCTTCCTCAGAGATGCCAGCCCCACCCCAGGAATCGACTGAAAATTTGGTTCCATTCCTGGACACCTGGGATTCAGCTGGAGAGCAGCCCCTGGAGCCAGAGCAGTTCTTGGCTTCACAGCAGGATTTAAAGGACAAGCTGAGTCCACAGGAAAGGCTCCCTGTTTCGCCCAAGAAGCTGAAGAAAGATCCAGCTCAGCGTTGGAGCCTTGCTGAGATTATTGGAATTACACGCCAATTATCCACACCTCAGAGTCAGAAACAGACTTTGCAGAATGAATATTCCAGTACAGATACACCGTATCCCGGTAGCCTGCCTCCAGAACTCCGGGTGAAGTCAGATGAGCCTCCAGGGCCCTCTGAGCAAGTTGGACCTTCTCAATTCCATCTAGAGCCCGAAACTCAAAATCCAGAGACCCTTGAAGACATCCAGTCCTCTTCACTCCAGCAAGAAGCCCCAGCACAGCTTCCACAGCTCCTTGAGGAAGAACCTTCTTCAATGCAGCAGGAGGCCCCAGCTCTGCCTCCAGAGTCCTCTATGGAGAGTCTAACTCTACCGAATCATGAGGTGTCAGTTCAACCTCCAGGTGAGGATCAAGCTTATTATCACTTGCCCAACATTACAGTTAAACCTGCAGATGTGGAGGTTACCATAACTTCAGAGCCTACCAATGAGACAGAATCTTCCCAAGCCCAGCAGGAGACCCCAATTCAGTTTCCAGAGGAGGTGGAACCTTCTGCAACCCAACAGGAGGCCCCAATTGAGCCTCCAGTTCCTCCTATGGAGCATGAACTTTCCATCAGTGAGCAGCAGCAGCCAGTTCAGCCTTCTGAGTCTCCTAGGGAGGTCGAATCTTCTCCGACCCAGCAGGAGACCCCAGGTCAGCCTCCAGAACATCATGAAGTCACAGTTTCACCTCCAGGTCACCATCAAACTCATCATTTAGCTTCACCCAGTGTCTCTGTGAAGCCTCCAGACGTGCAGCTCACCATAGCAGCAGAGCCTAGTGCAGAGGTGGGAACTTCTCTAGTCCACCAGGAGGCTACAACTCGGCTCTCAGGGTCAGGTAATGATGTAGAACCTCCCGCCATCCAGCACGGGGGCCCACCTCTGCTTCCAGAGTCATCAGAAGAAGCTGGACCTTTAGCAGTTCAACAGGAGACTTCATTTCAATCTCCGGAACCTATTAATAATGAGAACCCCTCTCCAACCCAGCAGGAGGCTGCAGCTGAGCATCCACAGACCGCTGAGGAGGGTGAGTCTTCCCTAACCCATCAGGAGGCCCCAGCTCAGACTCCAGAGTTCCCTAATGTAGTTGTAGCTCAACCTCCAGAGCATTCACACCTGACTCAAGCCACAGTTCAACCTTTGGATCTGGGGTTTACCATCACTCCAGAATCCAAGACAGAGGTTGAACTTTCTCCAACCATGAAGGAGACCCCAACTCAGCCTCCTAAGAAAGTTGTACCCCAACTTCGAGTATATCAAGGGGTAACAAATCCAACACCAGGTCAGGATCAAGCTCAGCATCCAGTGTCACCCAGCGTTACAGTTCAACTTTTGGACCTGGGACTTACCATCACTCCAGAACCTACTACGGAGGTTGGACATTCTACACCCCCGAAGAGGACTATAGTTTCTCCAAAGCATCCTGAGGTGACACTTCCACATCCAGACCAGGTTCAGACTCAGCATTCACACCTGACTCGAGCCACAGTTCAACCTTTGGACCTGGGGTTTACCATCACTCCAAAATCCATGACAGAGGTTGAACCTTCTACAGCCCTGATGACTACAGCTCCTCCTCCAGGACACCCTGAGGTGACACTTCCACCTTCAGACAAGGGTCAGGCTCAGCATTCACACCTGACTCAAGCCACCGTTCAACCTCTGGACCTGGAGCTTACCATAACTACAAAACCTACTACAGAGGTTAAACCATCTCCAACCACGGAGGAGACCTCAACTCAGCCTCCAGACCTGGGACTTGCCATCATTCCAGAACCCACTACAGAGACTGGACATTCTACAGCCCTGGAGAAGACTACAGCTCCTCGTCCAGACCGGGTTCAGACTCTGCATCGAAGCCTGACTGAAGTCACAGGTCCACCTACTGAACTAGAACCTGCTCAGGATTCACTGGTGCAGTCTGAAAGTTACACCCAAAATAAGGCTTTAACTGCACCAGAGGAACACAAGGCCTCCACAAGCACCAACATATGTGAGCTCTGTACCTGCGGAGATGAGATGTTGTCATGTATTGATCTCAACCCAGAGCAGAGGCTCCGCCAAGTGCCTGTGCCAGAGCCCAACACCCACAATGGCACCTTCACCATCTTGTAAGAATCACTTTTCCTCAATTGTCCTCTGTGTCCTGCCTGACATGGCAGCCTTTTCCTGGAGGCCTTCCTGGGCCTTCTTTATCTCCCCAAGCCATATGGACAACTGACTTTCTGCTTTCACCTTTGCTTGTCAACTCTCCCTTCTCCTCATTCTCTTTTAATGTTAGGCCCCTTCTCCAGTCTTTTCCTTTTACTCTGGTCTTTTACTCGTTTTTGTATCCATTTTTATTTAGCCCCATCACATCATTGCTTAACCGCTGCTCTCCTCCCATTTTCGCTTCACCCTCTTTACAGCAGCCTGTCCCTCTCCCGATCTCAATGATGATGCTCTAAGTCGTTAAGAGTTGATTCCGGAGCCAGGCTGCCTGGGTTTGAACCCAGATCTATTTATTAGCTTGGTGACCCAGAGCAAGTTATTCTGCCTGTGACTCAATTTCCTCACCTTTAAACTGGGGATCATGCTAGTTAGCATTTCATAGGATTGTTGTGAAATTTAGGTGAGTGAATATATGAAACACTTCATCAGTGCTTACCATATGTAGGAGAGTTGGCTGTTCACATGATTATTCAGTCCTTTAGTTTTGTCCAGAACTCATTTTTGTCCCTAGCTTTCTATATGTAGAACTAGTTTTATGTCAAACCCAGGGCCAAGTATGCTACTGTCTCCAGAACACGAAAATGATAGGAGGGAAGAGGCTGGGTGTGGTGGCTCACGCCTGTAATCCCAGCACTTTGGGAGGCCGAGGCGGGCGGATCATGAGGTCAGGAGATCAAGACCATCCTGGCTAACATGGTGAAACCCCATCTCTACTAAAAATACAGAAAAAAATTAGTCAGGCATGGTGGTGGGTGCCTGGAGTCCCAGCTACTCGGGAGGCTGAGGCAGGAGAATGGCGTGAACCTGGGAGGCAGAGCTTGCAGTGAGCCGAGATTGCACCACTGCACTCCAGCCTGGGCGACAGAGCAAGACTCCATCTCAAAAAAAAAAAAAAAAAAAAAATGATAGGAGGGAAGAAAGAGAATAGGCATAAAAAGGGAGGTATATATAATTAAGTACTAAAAGATAATGCAGACCATTGGTGCTAGAATTTGCCAGAATCTGTGATCCTTGAGGTGTGGAGATGCTACATGGGTAAGCTAAAACTTTACTTGGGTCTTAAAGAGTAGCTATAATTTGTTAAATAGAAGAAAAATGGGAGTACAGTCTAGGCAAACGCATGGCTACAGGTATGGTTGGAATTTAGTAGACCAATGTGGCTACAAAGAATTAGGTGAGGGAGCAATGAAGATACGATTCTGTAAAACCTTGATTATCAGCTATAGGAGTTTGAAAGTTACACAGTGAGGTATGGAAAGCCATTGAAAGTTTCCAAGCAAGAGAGATTACATGATCAAAACAGGAAGATTATTTTATTTTGTTTTTTGCATTATGTGCAAGTGTAGACATGCAGAGGATTGTTTTAGAATCCATATGTAAAGTGTCCAAAAGGAAAAGCTTAATTCAGGGAGACAAAATAGAAAGGTCTAGCAAAATCTAGGAGTGAAGTGTGAAGGGGCCAAATCAGATCAGTTGTAATAGGAGTGGAAAGAAAAAGCCTAGGATGTTTCAACAGAGGGCACTGGGCCAAAGCTTTGGTGTTACCTGGCATAGGGTTTCTTTCTTCTCATTTGTTGATAATGATAAGCTTTTGCCCATATTTCTGTGGAATTATTTACCATTTTGGTACTGATTTGTAGAAGTCTGTTTAGACACATAAGTGCTTTTAGATAAAATACTTACATTCAAAGTAATTAACTGGCATCATCTGTCCAAGAGATGGGATGGATAAGAAGTTAAGCTTCCAGGAGATGCCTCATCATTTGTGCCAGTGACCCCGCATAATTTCTTGATGAATTGTGCAAACTGGGAAGCTGATAGCTCTGGAAATGAGAAAGCAGGTGTTATTTTCTGTTTCTGAATATCCCCAACAAGGTTGCAATGATTCTTTTACTTATCGTGTTCATTGTTTTCCTACCTATTCAAGGATATAAACTGTGTTTCTTCACAGAAATTTCCAAGGAAACTATATTTCTTACATTGATGGAAATGTATGGAAAGCATACAGTTGGACTGAGAAACTGTGAGTATATTCTCTCCAAATATGACAAAAAGCTAACTGCATTGTAAGATCCTTCTTGGTCCAGAATTTTGAGGTCGGTACCTCTGAGGAAAGATATTTCTCCTCCATGCCCCAAATCAACCACTGTTGATTGCAATTGTATGGTCATTTTAAAATTAAATTTGGTAGGCTCTCTTTAAAATAAGAGGCAATTTAAATTTATTTTTTATCATACAAATAGTACATGGTTATATTCCTTTTTGTTCTCTTTTTTGTTTTTTTTTTCAGAGACAGGGTCTTACTTTGTCCTCTGGGCTGCAGTGCAGTGGCACAATCACAGCTCACTGCAGCCTTCACCTCCCAGGCCCAAGTGATCCTCTCACCTCAGCCTCCCCAGTAGCTGGGACCACAGGTGCATGCCACCACACCCACCTAATTTTGTATTTTTTGTAGAGACAGGGTCTTCCTATGCTGCTTAGGCTGGTCTTGAACTCCTGGGCTCAAGTGATCCTCCCACCTTGGCCTCTTAAAGTGTTCATATTACAGGCATGAGCCACCACCCGCAGCCCATGATTCCATTTTTAATATATAAAAATGCAATAACAGATATAACAAAAACTCTCCTTGTGCCCTACTCCCTCATCCCTGAAGTAATGCTACTCTGCATTTAGTATACATGCTTCCAGACTTTTCCTCATTTACCTACATACATATTTACATAAAGCAAAATAGATTTGTTTTGTGGTTTTAAAATTTTTTCTTCGCATAAAGGGTAACATCTTGCAACTTGATTCTTTCACTTCATGATATGCCTTAGATTTCTTTCCTTCCCAGTACTTAGAGGGTCACCCCATTCATTTAAACTCCTGCATAATCCATAGTATGGATGCATCATGGTTTATTTAATAATTCCCCCATTGATGAATGTTTAGATTATGCTTAGTTTTCTTGTTACATGCATTGCTGCAATGAAATCCCTGTACATGCTTCTTTGTGAACATGTGCAAGTATTCCTGTAGCATAGATATCTGGAAATGGAATTCTTGGGGTGAAGACTATGTAGATATAAAATTTTAATTGCCTTCAAAAATTTTGTGCCAACTTACTCTATTGTCAGCAGAATATGACAGCATTCATTTCCCAACACCTTTTCACCGCTGGGTATTCTCCAACATTTTGCTGAAGTTATGGATGAATAAAAGGGATTCCATCTAAATGTGAATTTTTCTGATTACTCATGAATTTAATTTAGTATCTTTATATGTTTATTGAACATTTGTGTTTCTTCTCTGAGTTTTCTGGCCTTTGTTCATTTTCCTGTTGAATTGTTTTATCATTTTCTTACTGATTTATAGAAGGAATTGGTTTAGACACATAAGTGATTTTGGAAAAAATGCTTACATTCAAAGTAACTGACATTTTTCACAACAGTTTGTGTGTCACATCATTATTTCAATGTATATAGACAAGCCACGATGAGTTCTAAATTAAAAATAAACATATGCTAGGCGCGGTGGCTCACGCCTTTAATCCCAGCACCTTGGGAGGTAGGCGGATCACCTGAGGTCAGGAGTTTGAGACCAGCCTGGCCGATAGGGCGAAACCCCATCTCTACTAAAAATACAAAAAGTAGCCAGGCGTGGTGGTGGGTGCCTGTAATCCCATCTACTTGGGAAGCTGAGGCAGGAGAATTGCTTTATTTATTTTTTCAGATGGAATTTTGTTCTTGTTGCCCAGGCTGGAGTGCAATGGTGCGATCTTGGCTCACTGCAACCTCCACCTCCCGGGTTCAAGCGATTCTCCTGCCTCAGCCTCCTGGGTAGCTGGAATTACAGGTGCCCTCCATCACACCCAGCTAATTTTTATATTTTTAGTAGAGACAGGGTTTCACCATGTTGGCCAGGCTGGTCTCAAACTCATGACCGTGGGTGATTCACCCACCTTGGCTTTCCAGAGTGCTGGGATTACAGGCATGAGCCACCACGCCAGGCCAGAACTACATTTTAAAAACAAGAAAATTATTACAAAGGTCAGGATAGTGGTTACCTATTAGGGTTAGAGAGAGGGATATGATTGGAAAGGGGCACACTGGGGCTTCTGGCATGCTAGCAATGATCTTTTGTAATGATGTTTACATGGGTATCTGCTTCATAATTATTAAACTGAATATTTTGGCCAGGTGAGGTGGCTCATGTCTGCAGTCACAGCACTTTGGGAAGCAGACACAGGAGGATCACTTGAGCCAGGAGTTTGAGACCAGTCTGGGAACAGAGTGAGACCCTGTCTCAAAAATTAAATTAAATTAAATATAAACAACATTTATGTTATGTGCACTTTATGCACATTATAGTTCTCCAATTTTTTTGATGGGGGGAAAAAGGTTGAATGGCTTCACTTGCAGTCCTGACATGGTTCCATGTGGGGCTTTCATAATAAGGTTTGGGAAAAGAGAGGAGGAAATGGAGGTTCTGCTGATCTTGGTGCCACCCAGAGTTGGATTCTAAAAGGGATTTTGTGATCTAGAGAGGAGGCATGAAATAATAGAATTTGGTGGGAAGAAACCCACTCTTCAAGGGGTGTGCTTGAGTGTGTGTGTGTGTGTGTTTGTGGTGGTGGTGGAGAGAGATGGACACAAAAAGGAAAATATAAGAAAAGGTTTGAATGAAAGCAGAGCAGATCCCACCATCTTGAAGTGACCATGACCCAGCTTTCCTCCACATGCAGGAGATGGTTCTGTGTAGCAAATAGTTGTAGTTTGCATTTTAATCTAGAAATAACTTCTTCATTTTCCAGAATTCTCAGAGAAAATAACTTGACTGAATTACACAAGGATTCATTTGAAGGCCTGCTATCCCTCCAGTATTTGTAAGTTAGTTAATTATATTTATGAGTTTTTAGTCATATTATCTGTAAAATGAATAAGGGGTTCAAATTAGATAATCTCTCAGATTTCTTTGAGCAATAAAATTCTGCAATTCTGTAAGTTTGTATAGGGTCTCAGCCCATCTCTAACACTAGCTACCTCCTGTGCATTTTCAGTTTTTAAGTTATATAGACAAAATACAGACAAAAACATTTCACATGGTAAGAAAATCTGAGCAGTGACTGACACCCATATGAACCTTGTTTTATAAGGGTTCACATATCATTCTTTTTCTATTCAGTCTACAACCAATAGATCCAATCTAATTTATGGTCTATTTTTAAATAGCCCATTAAGTTAAGAATGGGTTTTGCATTTTTAAAGGGACTGTGAAAGAAAAAGAAAAGAAACAAAGAAATATGCGAGAGATCATATGTGGCCCATAAAACCTAAAATATTTACTGTCTGACCTTCACCAAAAAAAATTTCAAAAAGTTGGTTTAGTAGGATGAAAGGAACTAAAGTTAACTTCAGATGGTTGCCTAAAGGAGAAGAAAATGGAGACCACCTGCATTCATTTGAACATCATTAATCCAGAATTTTTTGGTAATTTAATCGGAATTAAATTAACATTTAAATATTAAAAATAGCTGAATTATATCAATAATATTATCAAGAATATTAAGCTACCAAGAGAATAGACTGGTATTAAGGATTTCATTTCAGGAATTGTTATATTAAAACAGATGTTTAAAATGATGGTTAACTGATAGAGCTAGAAATGTTTACACTAAGAAGCACATCAGAAATGCCCCTAACTCTTCACTAATTACAAAATAACGATCGCCCCAGCCCTGTTACCAGAAAGGGATCCCTGTATTTCTGTCTGTTTAGAGACAAGAAGATACTATGTTCATTGCTATGAAAGCTTGATTCTTACCCTTTGTCCATAGAGGTCTGTATGTCATTAATCCTTATTAAGCTCATTAGTGATGCTCTTTTGCAAACAGATTCTTTCAAATATAGAAGGCTTAAGGAAAGTGGGTGTAAAGACCCTCAGGTGGATGCCAAAGTGCTACAGAGACCATGAAATAATAAAACTACATTTCCTTTAAAATAGTTATTTTCCTTCTACTCACTCCCCCAGCTATTCATTTATTTTACAAATATTTGAGTTTGCTTTATTTCCATGTGTCAGTTTTAAACATGGTGGGCAATGCAGATGAGCAAGACCTAGTCCATGCTTTCAGGGAGTTTATGCTCAGAAGAAATGGGATAAAAAATAACTACATTAAGAAGAAGAAATGGATGTGGGCACTAGGAGGGATAAATTGTTTCTCGAACATAGAAGAGGAAAAAATGCCTTCAATTTGGACCCAGGAGGATGTTACTAGAACAATGCCATTTGAATAGGACTTTGAAGGGCCATTGTGTAACATCAGACAGACATCTTGGGGAAAATACTCTAAACTTGCAAAAGGAAAATGGGAGGGCAAAACACAGGAAAGTATTCAAGGAATGCCATGAGTACCCGTAGAGTACAAGAAGGGAGAGTAGGAAAATGGAGCCAGATCTTCTAGAGCTTTGAATGCCAAGCTGAGGAGCCAACATGGGGAACCGTGTTACCACAGCAGCGCTGTAAGGTAGATCTGCATCACAGTCATTGAGAGGGCACGTTAGAACTCAGTTCTGGACTCCACCCTCGTAGTTACTGATTCAGTTGGTCTAGAGTGGGACCAAGAATTTGCATCTTCAGTAATTTCCCAGGAGATGCTGGTCTTTGCAAGCCACTTCTGGAGAGTTTATATGATGACTGTGTGCAGGATAGTTTAGGTAGGGAGAGACTGGAGATGGAGATATCAGCCAGACAACGTTACACCATCCAGGTAAAGAGGGAGGGACAAACTCCATCACTGTATAACTGAAGAAATTTTTTTTTATGAAATATTAAAGCAATACAAAACCAAAAATGAATTTCTATTAATATGATAGAAATTAATTCTATTAATATGATTTGAATTAGTTCAAAGTTATGTATTAGGTAAAGGGGTAGCTTCCTTTCAAATGATGTGAAAGGATGTCTTTTATTTCTTCTGATATTGAAGTGGCTTAGGAAAACAGACCTAAACTAAGAAGGTGTAGAAATGTGAGACTTGTTTGTTTGTTTGTTTGTTTGTTTGAGACGGAATCTCGCTCTGTCGCCCAGGCTGGAGTGCAGTGGTGCGATCTCGGCTCACTGCAAGGTCCGCCTCCTGGGTTCATGCCATTCTCCTGCCTCAGCCTCCTGAGCAGCTAGGACTACAGGCACGTGCCACTAGGCCCGGCTAATTTTTTTTTTTTTTTTGTAGAGACAGGGTTTCACCGTGTTAGCCAGGATGGTCTCGATATCCTGACCTCAGGATCTGCCAGCCTCGGCCTCCGAAAGTGCTGGATTACAGGCCTGAGCCACCGCACCCGGCCCGACTATTTTTTTTAATATTAGAAATTGTGTATATAGAGATAAAATCTTTGAGCTCATAATCTAAGATTTGATGACACTACAAAAGGGCATCTAATCAAGTCTACTGCTCTCAGGAAAAATTAATTCCAAAGTCTATTATGTTGTATATTTATTAAAACCATGAAGGTGAGACTCTAGGAGAGGTATGGGCAGGGTTAGGGGCTCTGGAATGTTCAAATACAAGTCCAAACGTTTAGAGTTGAGATGAAAAATAGGTATTCAGTATTATTCTAAACTCTTGCTGTTATTCATACCAATTGACATTTAATAACTAATCAAGGCAATATTTTCGTTTTCCTAGAGATTTATCCTGCAATAAAATACAGTCTATTGAAAGACATACATTTGAACCACTACCATTTTTGAAGTTTATGTAAGTTACAAATATAACTTGATTACATTTGGAATTTTTATAAAACTTAATTATAAACCTCTTTGCTATTCTTGAAATATGATTAAAATTTTACCAGTAGAAAGCTACTAAAATTATACAGCAAATCCTTTTTGTCTCTAGCAAGGATTATTGTGAGAATTATTACACAGATCTTAGTGAATCATCAGAGAGCAGTGGTTCTCAGGTGGTGTGATTTTGCACTCAGGTGGCATTTGGTAATGTCCGGAGACAGTTTTGGTTGACAAAACTGTGAGTGTGCTCCTGGCATCTGGTGGGCAAAGGCCAGAGATGCTGCTAAACATCCTTCAAGGTATAAGACAAACCCCCATGGCAAAGAGTTATATAGTCCAAAATGTTGATGGCACTGAAGTTGTGAAATCCTGTTCTAGAGAAATAAAGATCACTTAACACAGGTATTTACTGAACATTCACTGTTTTGTATCTAATGCACCACGTGTGCAGTGTTAAAGTATAAATCATAAGCCAGTATCTTCCACAGTCAGATTTCCTTAGTGCATAGAGAAAGGATTGAGGTTATGTTCCATCCTATATAAATTAGAATCATGGCAAATGATAAATGTTCTGAAATAATTTTTTTTTTCTTTGGCTTGTGTCTTTTTTTTTTAGAAATCTTAGTTGCAATGTAATTACAGAACTCAGCTTTGGAACATTTCAGGCCTGGCACGGAATGCAGTTTTTACATAAGTTGTAAGTGAAATAGAAGATGAATACATGTAAACAACTATTTATGTACAAAAACTCATACAATTATTGGGTAGCTGGGTATAAGCCCATTATCAACTCTGAAAAGCATGTCTTAAGATCCATTCATTTTTCTCAAATGGGGAAGCTAAGGTACAAAGAGGCCAAGAGACTTATGTAGCTTATATATGACCTCCTCTGCTTGTCCTAGTTCTGACCTATAGCATGGGCAAGAAAAGGCATCAAAGAAGTGACCCTCAAATTAGCCTTGTTGCTGGGCGGGGTGGCTCAGACCTGTAATCCCAGAACTTTGGGAGCCGAGGTGGGTGGATCACCCGAGGTCAGGAATTCAACACCAGCCTGGCCAACATAGTGAAACCCTGTCCCTACTATAAATACAAAAAAATTAGCTGGGCGTGGTGGTGCAGTTTTTTGCTCCCTGGAGGACTTTGTGTTAAGCTTCCTTCCTTGCAGCTAAATGTTGCAGACATCTAAGCAGTTAGAAACTCTGCATATGAGCAGGAATCAAATCCAAAGTTGTAGGGCCAGAATGGTGGCTCATGCCTGTAATCCCAGCACCTTGGGAGGCCAAGGTGGGAGGATCACTGGAGGTCAGGAGTTTGAGACCAGCCTGGCCAACATGGCAAAACCTCATCTCTACTAAAAATACAAAAATTAGCAGGTCATGGTGGCGGGCACCTGTGATCCTAGCTATCGGGAGGCTGAGGCACGAGAATGGCTTGAACCCAGGAGGGGGAAGTTGCAGTGAGCCGAGATTGTGCCACTACCCTCCAACCTCCCCTCCAGGCTGGTCTCGAACTCCTGTGACCTCAGGTGATCCGCCCACCTCAGCCTCCCAAAGTGCTGGGGTTACAGGTGTGAGCCACCATGCCTGGCCAAGATGGTGTTTATGTTAAGCTATTGTGCAAAAAAAAACTTTTGTAAAGAAAATATATCGCTGTATCTTAATTCCATATACTTTCCTGACTACTCTTCTACCATAATTGCAAAAATTCTATGATTTCTCTGTATAACATACCCATCAAATCAGAGTGGGTATATTCAGTGGCCTGAAGGGGACTCAAGGTGAAGATTCTCCTCTACATCTGACTTTAGAAAAGACTTTCCACCTGCCTTGTGGTTCAGAAATCTAGTTTCACACAGTTCATTTCAAGTTAGAGGGAGGCATTCAGGATGTGTCTGGACTAGAGCAGCAGTTTCTGCACATGCTCCCCTCTGTCCTCATTAATTTGCTGATGCATAACTTAGGAAAAGTACACTAAAGGTCTGTTTTTCTTTTGCCCTCACACCAGAGAACAGGCTCATTAGGTCCCTCCACCAAGAGGTTTAGGTAGCATCAATACAAATGTTTTAAACTCACCATCTTTACTAAGCACTTTATACCACTGGGAGTCCCTCATAAAAATCTGGTGGCCGGGAGCGGTGGCTCATGCCTGTAATTCCAGCACTTTGCTGAGGTGGGTGGATCACCTGAGGTCAGGAGTTCAAGACCAGCCTGACCAACATGGTGAAACCTGTCTCTACTAAAAATACAAAAATTAGGTGGGCATGGTGACAGGCAACTGTAATCCTAGGTACTCAGGAGGCTGAGGCAGGAGAATCACTTGAAACCAGGAGGCGGAGGTTGCAGTGAGCCGAGATGGCACCATTGCACTCCAGCCTGAGGGACAGAGTGAGACTCTGTCTCAAATAATAATAATAATATAATAATAATAATCATCATCATCATCTAGCCAGCTTCACTACAATTATGTAGGCAACACCAGGAAAACACTGGAATCACAGTTGATAAAAATTAATGAATTCACTCAAAAACATTCAGAGTGTCATGTCCATTTGTGCCAGGTACTGTACTAAGTGCTGGGGCTACAAAATCCATCTCAAAGACACACCAAGATGAGGACTTTGTCCCCAGGGGACTTTCATTCCTCAAGGAGGAAGCGGATGCTGATGGGAAAACATATGAGAGCCATGTGGGGATCTGTACGGCAGGGTGACAAGGAGAGGACAAAGCAGGAATGGGGGCTGGGTTAAGAAAGACTTGAGAGACACTAACTTGCTTATCTTGAGTTTCTGTGTTCATCTTAAACAACAGAAAAAGGCATTTGCTTCATGGTGATGAAAAAATCAGAGCTAGCTGATATTGGAAACTAGCACTCATTTCATATAAACAGAATAGAGCTGTACCCTTCAAACTAAGTCACAGTTACTTTCAAAGATTGGCACAAGGGTCTCAACACACCAAGTGTATGTTAGGGGCTGGGCTCCGTTGGAGTCAAATCTTCCTGGTAAACAAAGCTACACTGCAGTCATATTTGGCATATGTGACATATAGGCCCACTGCATTTCCTTCCAAAGGCAAGATGCCAAGGGAAGGTGCCAGTAATTTTATGACCAAAATGACACCATTTTGTGGTGTTTGTAAGTTGAAACAATATATTTCCCTGCATTACACAAGTTTATAAAAAACAAACAAAAAAAGAGGCCCCAGCTGTGGTTGATCGATGATGAATTGAATAGAGCCTAACCTTCCAGGCTTCTCACTTGCACAGGCCCTTCCAAGGTCCTGGGAGGGCCCCTGGAAATTTTTGTAGTCATAATTTTTTTAATGTTTTTACTAGATAAGGCTCAGGCCCCACAAAATCCTGAAATCATCCCTGGGTTCCAATAGTTACAACCCAGTAAATCTCTTGAATGAAGCCTCTATGTTATTGACAAATACTGACTGGCCAAGTTAGCAGGGTTAAAAGGTCTGTCTATTTTGAATCTGAAATCCATCTCAAAGACAGGCCAAGAGCTTATTAGTGGACTTAACTGGATTCTGCTGGCCCAAGCGCAGTAAAGTCAAACAACCATATCGAGGTTTTGCATTGGGGAAAGGAGGACATTTATTTGCAGGGCATCCAAGCAAGAAGGACCAGGCGGCTAACTATCAAAGTCCCTCACTGAATGGGGGCAATAATCATATCTCTTACAGATGAAATCATGAATGAAATGGTTTATGGAAAAGCAGCAATGGTTGATAATCCTAAATGTTAAGTATGTTTATATTTTTTCCCTGACTTTAAAGTGCTTCTCCTTCATTCCTATACACAGGTCCAGACTGATGGCTTATTTTTTAAAATTCTCTTAGTCACTTCATTGGTTCTAACAATAATTTTAGAAACTGGATGACTTTGCAATGTAGAAAGGCTATACTTTATTCAGATAGAGTACACTCACATATTGGCTTGTCTATGGCACATCGATATCATGCCAAGAATGTAAGCACTAAGAGAGAATAAGAGGAAAATCCAGGCTTTATCCCTATTGAATTATTTATCCCACTATTAGAATATTAGTGAGGTAGGTGTGGCCACACTGTGATGGCAAATTGAGCTTCGGTCACAAACATGCCTTACTGTTCCCCCCAGTCTACTGACATCAGCTTCCTTTACATAGCGGTAGATGCACAAAAGTTTGCACAGTTGAGGGTATTGTCATCATGTTTTGGTATGTACTGGAATCCTGGCAGCTTCTTCTCTGATTCGGAGAGGCGCAAACATTAAAGACAAAAAGAACAACTCGAGTCTGTCCTTTGGGGTGATTTAGGGTGGCTGTTTAAATTTGTAGTGGTTGAAAAGTCTTGAGATTGTCACACCTAGCAACTCTTATACTTTTCTTCTCTCAGCTGCAGCTTGTTCTTTTCACCTGTGTAACAAGCTGTCTTCTCTTCTCACAGAAGCTTAGCATTTCATCCTCTGCCCCATAGCATTTTTTCAATACTTAATTTACCAGGTGCTGTTTATGTTGTAGGCACCTAAGTACTTATACAAGTGAGATAACATGTCCGAAGTTCTTAGAACAGTGCTTGGCCTATGGTAAATGCTCCATACATGTTACCTCCTATGATACCTCATTTTCATTTTTCCAACAACTCTTGCGATGCGGTTATTATTATCATTTCTATTTTGTAGATGAGGAAGTTGAAACTCAGAGACGCTAGGTAATTTGCTAAGGTTCACATGGCTAATAAGTGGCAGAACCACTTACAAGCTTTGCAAATAATTTTCAATGCAGCTCTTAGTTCCCCTGTAATAGGAGCTGAATGATGACAATTTGGCTTTGTGCGCATTGTGTCTTACTTTCTAACTTGAATAGGACCTGTAGAGCAGTGAGCTCCACTTCCCTCTGAGAATCCCACGCTTCTGGAGCTCCTGGCTGTACCAGCTCTGGGCATCCCCAGGGTTTATGCTCACCGGTCAGTGCTGGTGTGACATGATGGCTGAGCACCGGCACTGTGTCCAGCGCATTGCTAGGCACTAGACACGTGCTCTTTCATTTATTCCTCAAATTGCTTTGTGCTGTAAACGCTACCCAGAAAGGCTCATGTTCATTACTCAAGTCACTTCACCAGAAAGTGACAGAGCCAGAATTCAAACCCAGGTCTGCCAGATTCCAGGTCCCTTGCTTCTTCTGTTGTTGCTCATTGCAAGGGAGTCTTCTTCAAGGTTATTCTCAGGACTTTGATTAAGATACAGGCTCACAGCTGGGCATGGTGTCTCATGCTGTAATCTCAGCACTTTGGGAGGCCAAGGTGGGTGGATCACTTGAGCTCAGAAGTTCGAGACCAGCCTGGCCAACATGGTGAAACCCTGTCTCTACTAAAAATACAAA